>NC_000008.11:130714222-131339222 GCF_000001405.40 Homo sapiens
GAAATCACTGTCAAGCTCAATGTCATAAAGCATTCACTCATCTCTTGGTGTACCTTTGGGTTGTTTCAATTTTTTAATTATTGCAAATAAAGCTGATATGAAAATTTGTGTACATGGCTTTATATGGACATATGCTTTCATTTATTTTGGATTAATATCTAGATGACCAAGGGGTAGATAAATATTTTAATTTTTAAAGAAATTGCCAAACTGTTTTCATCAGGAGTGTTTTAATGCAATATAGATGTTGCACATTCCTTATCAAGGTTATTCTCAATTATTTATTTTTCTTTGTTGTTATTGTAACAAGGAGTAGTGTTTTTTCTACCATTTTACATCATAATTGACTATTATTTGTGTATATAAAATTATTACTTTCTGTAGATGACTTCTTTTATAATATGTTACGTTATATTTTATTTATTTGAGTTAATTTTATCATTTATTCATATCACTGAAAATAGAGACAGCTTTACTTATTCGTTATCAATTCTCATGCATTTAGTTGATTTGCTTTGTCTAATTGCATTGGCTAATATGTGCATTACAATGTTGAGTAGTAGAGGAGATGGTAAACATACTTTTCTTGTTTTGATCTTAGAGGAAAAGCCTGCAGTATTTCCCCACTAAGAAATATGCTGCTAAGAAAATATTCAGCAATTCCTATTTTCTTGAATGATTAAATAGGGACTACATGTTGAATTTTGATGCTTTTCAAGCATATGTGGTGATAATCACATTTTTCCTTTGATCTATTAACTTGATGGATTATGTCAATATAATTTCTAATATGAAACCAACCTTCTATTTCTGGCATGATCGTCATTTGGCCATTTGATTTCATTTTTGAAGGATGTTTGATTTTAGTTGGGTATGGAGATCTCATTTGGCAGTTATTTTATTTCAGTACGTTAGAGGTATCACGCTGTTGACTTGCTTCTGTAATTTCTCTTGGAAAACCGGCGATCGAGCTTATTGCTATTCCTTTGAAGGTAAAATATCTTTTTAAAAATCTGGTTGCTTTTAGGACTTTTACTTTATCTTTGATTTTTAGCAGTTTTACTGTGATGTACTTTAATGTTGCTTTCTTTATATTTAAACCATGTGTGCGTTACAGAATTTCTTTAATCTTTGGCTTGATATCTTCTAATAGTTTTGAAAACTTCTCAGTCAGTGTATTCTCAAATACTTGTTTTGCCTATATTCTCTCTCTTCTCATTTTGAGATTTTAATTACACATATATTAGATGTTTTCAGTATGTCTTATATGTCTCATACTGTTTCCTGTATTTTCTACCTTAAATTTTTTTTTAATGCGCTTTAATTTGATTATTTTCTAGTGGCTCCATAGTACTAATCATCACGGTAGCTGTTCCTAACCTGCTATTAAAACTATATATTTTATTATCAATTTTATTTAACTGTTTTTATTACTAGAATTCCTATTTGATACTTTTAAAAATAGGCTTCATTTTTTTCTGATAATATTTGCCACCTTTTCATCTATTTCCTTAAGTAGATTATTTTAAGCTTGCAGATAGTGAAGTCTATGTTTAATAACCCCAACATATGGATAACCTGAAGGTCTACTTGTGTCATTTTTTTTCTTCTCTTTTTCTCTTGATTTTTATTTATTTTTCATGTCCTGGCATGCCCATAAATTTTTGATTGAATGTTAGATATTGTGTATAAAAAAATGCCAGGCATGGTGACATGTGCCTCTAATTCCAGCTACTCAGAAGGCTGAGGTGGGAGGATTGCTTGAGCCCAGGAGTTTGAGTCCAGCCTGGGCAACATAGTGAGACCCCATCTCTAAAAATTAAAAAAAAATGGATAGGCTTTGGGTGAAGTGGTCTTTCTCCAGATAAGATTCAGTGTTCTTGTGGCAGGCAGAATGGATTTCATTTGGAAGCCTGGGGTGTGCAGCAGGGATCTTCTTTGATGGAGCTTGGACTCCACTGTTTGCTTCCCTAGTCCTGTGCTGCAGAATATCTTTACAGATTTTAAGCCTGTTATTAGCTGCCTTCTCCTTGGTGTGTATACACAGCCTGGAATGTCAGAAAATTTCTCAAAGGGAAATTTCATGCTAATTTTCTCTGGAGTTCCTTTTCTTCTGAGACATTGGTCTCTGACACCCTGGCTTTTTTGTTAGCCCTGAACTTAAATTGTTCATTTCTAGGTCCGGGAGACTTTCACAAGTTTCAGGCTCCTTCTTTCTTTTGGACCTCTTTGCCCTGTGCTGTGAACTGGCAAGTGCCATAAAGGAAGAAAATAGCACCAAACACAAGGCTAACTTCTAGGCATTCCCCTTCTCTGGGGATTTTGGCCTCTTTAGTCTCAATTGCTGTACTTGATTGCTCTCAGATACTTTCAACAGCTGCTTTCCTTTTGTATATATCCAGATTTTATAGCTGTTCTTTTTGGGAGCATTAGTCTGATACAAGCTATTTTATGATAGGCGAAAGTAGGATTCCTGCTTATTTCTTTAATTAGGTTCACTTTTATACAAACCAATTACCTATTTTAGCCTCATTTGAAGAGATAATATTTATGAAACCAGAAATATACTTTTATAAAGAAAACATATTGAAACAAATACACATGAACATTCATCTGTATACCCTTTAAAATCATTTCCTATACCTCTGGCATGTGTATACCATACTTTGGATAATTTCTTTGGAATATACCCAGAAGGCCATCCTAGGATCTTTTCTTGGTTATAGTAGAAATACACTAAGATCCCTCAGACTTAGAGTCCAATTCCAGCTTGCCACTTACCTGCTTGTTATGGACTGAATGTGTTTCCCCCAGAATTTATATGTTGAAACTTAATCACTGATGTGATAGTATGAAGAGTCAGGGCCTCTGGGACATGATTAAGTCATGGAGATGGAAACCTCATGAATGGGATTAGTTACCTTAGAAAAGTGGTTCTAGGGAGTTGTACTCCCCTTCTGCAATGTGAGGGCACAAAAAAGAGGTGGTATCTGTGTAGCAGACAGCGAACCTTCACCAGACACTGAATCTGCAGGTGCCTTGGTCTTGGACTTCTGAGCCTTCAAAACTATGAGAAATAAATGTCTATACTTAGTCCTCAATTACTTAGTCTGAGGTCTTTTGTTATAGCAGCCCAAACAGACTAAGACAATGCTGGAGCTATACGGACAAGTCATGTAACCTCTCTGGGTGTCATGTTTAAAACCAGGCACTTAAACTTACCCTAGACTGGCTTCCAGCACTAGTATTCTCTGAGCTGGTGGGGCTGGCCCCTGGGCCTGCTGAGTCCCGGTTCTGGATTTCTGACTGAGCCTGCAAGCCTTGGCTCACTCTCTGGATTTCTGGATTTTCTCCACTCTTTCCTTTTTGAGAGGTTGTCTCTTTTTTTTTTTTTTTTTTTTTTCTAGTGAACCTCAAGGTTTTTGACATCTATGCAGAGGCCAGACTCAGGGCATAAAAAGACCTAGAGATGAAGCCGGGTTGGCCCTGGGGAGTCCCTCGGAAGGAGCAACTTTTGTCCTTGATTAAAGGAAGGTTGAGGAGGTCTCTTGTACATAGATATCTGCTTTGCTCCTTAAAAAATATATCACCATTAGTAGAGTATTCTTTTGGGCTATAGCCTTCCTTCAGTTCTGTTAACTAGTATCTATCACCCCCTGCTAGGGGGACTGGGATGGGCTCTGTGAAGGGATAGTGCAATGAACTGAATGTTTGTGTCTCCCCAAAATTAATGTTGAAATCTTAATCCCAGTGTGACAGTGTTGGGAGGTGGGTCCTTTGGAGGTAATTAGGTCATGAAGGCGCAGCTCTCATGAATAGGATTAGTGTCTTTATAAGAAGAGATCTGACCAATGGAACAGAATAGAGAATCCAGAAATAAACCCAAATACTTAGAGCCAACTGATCTTCAACAAAGCAAACGAAAAACGTAAAGTGGGAAAAGGACACCCTCTTTAACAAATGATGCTGGTATAATTGGCTAGCCACATGTAGGAGAATGAAACTAGATCCTCATCTCTCACCTCATACAAAAATCAACTCAAGATGGATTAAAGACTGAAATCTAAGACCTGAAGCTACAAAAATTCTGGAAGATAACATTGGAAAAACCCTTCTAGACATTGGCTTAGGCAAGGATTTCATGACCAAGAATCCAAGAGCAAATGCAATAAAGATAAAGAGTTGGGACTCAATTAAACTAAAGAGCGTTTGCATGGCAAAAGGAACAGTCAGCAGAGTAAACAGACAACCCACAGAATGGGAGAGAATCTTCACAATTTATACATCAGACAAAGGATTGATATCCAGAATCTGCAATGAACTCAAGTCAGTAAGAAAACAAAACAAAACAAAAAAATCCCATCAAAAAGTAGGCTAAGGACATGAGTAGACAATTCTCAAAAGAAGATATACAAATGGCCAACAAACATGGGAAAATGCTCAACATCACTAATGATCAGGGAAGGGCAAATCAAAACCACAATGAGATACCACCTTACTTCTGCAAGAATGGCCATAATCAAAAAATCAAAAAACAGTAGATGTTGGCATGGATGCAGTGATCAGGGAAGACTTCTACACTGCTGGTGGTAATTTAAATGAGTATAGCCACTATGGAAAGCAGTGTGGAGATTCCTTAAAAAACCAAAAGTAGAAGTACCATTTGATCCAGCAATCCCACTAGTGGGCATCTACCCAGAGGAAAAGAGGTCATTGTACGAAAAGGAAGCTTGCACACACATGTTTACAGCAGCACAATTCACAATTGTAAAATCATGGAACCAACCCAAATGCCCATCAATCAACGAGTGGATAAAGAAACTGTGATATATATAATATATATATATAAAATATATAATATGTATATATAATATAATATAAATATAATATTTATATATATTACAAATATATATAATATATAATGTGTATATATAATATATATCACATATATATCACACATATATATATAGTGGTGTGACATATATATATATGTCATATATATATATATGATGGAATGCTACTCAGCCATAAAAAGGAATGAATTAACGGCATTTGGAGCGACCTAGATGAGATTGGAGACTATTATTCTAAGTGAAGTAACTCACGAATGGAAAACCAAACATCGTATGTTCTCACTAATATGTGGGAGTTAAGCTATGAGGACATAATATGTGGGAGTTAAGCTATGAGGACATAAAGGCATAAGAATGATACAATGGAGTTTGGGGACGTGGGGGGAAGAGTGGGAATGGGGCGAGGGATAAAAGACCACAAATAAGGTGCAGTGTATACTGCTCGGGTGATGGGTGCACCAAAATATCACAAATCACTATTAAAGAACTTAGTCATGTAACCAAATGCCACCTGTACCCCAATAACCTATGGAAAAATAAAATAATTTTAAAAAAGAAGAGGTCTGAGAGCTAGCTAGCTTTTCTTCTGTCATGTGAGGATACAATGAGAAGTTAGAAGTCTGCCACCGAAAAATGGGCTTTTACAAGAACCCAACCATTCTGGCACCCTGATCTCAGACTTCCAGCCTCCAGCACCGAGAGACATAAATTTCTGTTGTTTATAAGCCACCCAGTGTATGGCACTTTGTTATAGCAGCCTGCATTGACTAAGACAGATGAGTTTTCAGGCACAGGATTTGAGTTTGATTTCAAGTTCTGCTACTTACCAGTGGTGTGACATTGGGCAAGTGCTTTAACTTCCTGTGGCCTCCTCTCCTTCATCTAAAAATCAATAATGATGTATGTTCTGCATATCCACTTGGATATCGTGAGGATTCCCAAGACACCAGTGGCAGTGGTTACCTGTAGGGATAGGAGGGACTGGAGCAAATGGAAATTGTATTGTAGTAAGAGTTCTCAACCGATACCTTGTTGAATTGTTTTGATTTTTGAGCCAAGTGCAATTGTAATCTCAATAGATCTCTTTACTAATTAGTGTTATTGTCAGGCAATGAACACAAAGATGTTGCATAAATGTAAGTACCTGAGTCTTGATGGCTTTGAACTCCCTCCTGTTTTATTGCTCTGTAAGCCAGTCTTTTACAGTTGACCTTCCCTGTCATAGCACCTGGCACAGTCATGCTCAGAAACGTTGGATTAATGTTGGGTTCACTTATCTGAATGGATGCAGTTCATTTTGCAGATGGGAGGGAGGTCCAGAGATTTACTTTTGCAGCACTTTTTTTTCTTCTTTTCCTGAACTTCTTTCAAGTCCAGAGATGTCTATTAGAGGAATTAGATGAGGCCCTTTGATTTTTAATTGTATGTGCCCGGGTGGTTAGGGGAGGACATGGCAGAAGTTATAGTTGGCTATCCAGGATCAGAGTGGCTCCTTAATAGATGCTGGAACTTGACTCTATCAGTTCAAGCAGGTAGAACCACTTGCAGGGCCTGCTCCACACCGCCCAGACTGCCAAGAGCCTGATGGATGAACCAACGTGCCAAATTAATAACAATTTCCTCCGTGACATTTCGTGACGTGAGAACTAGGACAGCAAGTATTCATAGAACACTTCTCACTGGGACAAATGTCGCCTCCAGAGACTGAACCACTGATCAGAGGGATGTGTAGGGAAGTGTAAAATTGAACACAGAGAGATAGTTATAAGGGATATGTGCACTGGGACATTGTAAAATGTATTTCCCTTTTTCTGTTTAATAGACATTTCTGTTCATTTGTTCATTTATTTGCTCATTTCACATCTCTTGAGCCTACCCTGTGCTGCAAACTGGAAATGCCAGATGAATGTATTTCAGTCTCTGTTCTTAAGAAGGTTTCAGTTTAGTGGTGAAGGACAAATAAAAAATAGCACACTTGGATCTCCTCGATTCTAAGATACTACTGAATTTAAGATGCATTGTTAATTTACTCACAGCTTATAAGGATAAAAGAAACACTGTATTAAATGTACACAGTGCTTTTAAGACACGTCTCAATTTCAGAATGATTTCATTGTAAACAAATATGTACATCTTGGAACTGAGGAAACATGGTTCTTACCATAGTATGTGACATGTGCTGAGATGGAATTATAAACCGTGTAAACGAACATGGCAGTGTGGGGTGCTCTACCCCTTGAAAGGGTGCCCTCCATTAACAATAGGGACCATACCATAGGATGATGGCTATGGTCTGAATGTTTGTGTCCTCCCAAAATTCATATCTTGAAACGTAATCACCAATGTAATAAATAGTATTAAAGACTGGGGTCTTTGGGAGGTGATTAGGTCATGAGGGCTATGTCCTTATGAATGGGATTCGTGCCCTTATGAAAGAGGCCTGAGGGGGCTTGTTTGTCCCTTCTGCCACATGAGGACATGTAGAAGACACCACCCGTGAGAAATGAGCCCTCATCAGACACGGAATCTGCTGGTGTCTTGATCTTAGATTTCCCAGCCTTCTTCCCAGTATTGCTTCAGAACTGTGAGCAATACATTTCTTTATTATTATTGTTGTTTTAATAGTTTTTGGGCAGCAGGTGGTGTTTGGTTACATGGATAAATTCCTTAGTGGTGATTTCTGAGATTCTGGTCCACCCATCACTTGAACAGTGTACACTGAACCCAATGTTTATCCCTCACCCCCTCCCACGCTTTTCCTTGAGCCCCCAGAATCTATTGTATCATCTTATGCCTTTGTGTCCTCATAGCTTAGCTCTCACTTATGAGTGAGAACATATGATGATGTTCAGTTTTTCACTCCTGAGTTCCTTCACTTAGAATAATGGTTTCCAATTCCATCCAGGTTGCTGCAAATGCCATTATTTCATTCATTTCCATGGCTGAATAGTATTCTGTGGTGTACATATATATATATCACATTTTCTTTTTTTTTCTCCTTCTTTAGGGCACTTTATTAGACTTGTTTTTCTCTTTCCACATTACTCAGGCAATAGTGTTACTAAACTTTCTGTCACCAAATGACAAGAATCCCTTTACCATCAGTTTCCAATAAAGTTTTCTTTCCTTTAAGTCTTCACTCATAACCTTCTCAAAGATCATCGTGCTTCTTAGTTTCTTCGAGGATCTTCAAATGTTCACTAATGCTCCCTTCAAATTCTTTCCAGTTTCTATGCACTGCCCATTTCCAAAGCCACTCCCACATTTTAAAGTTTTTGTTATGGCATCCTTCCATTTCCAGGCTCCAATGTCTGTACCAATGTCAGGAACAATCTATTGCTGTGTAACAAA
Source organism: Homo sapiens (assembly GCF_000001405.40). Classification (NCBI taxonomy): domain Eukaryota; kingdom Metazoa; phylum Chordata; class Mammalia; order Primates; family Hominidae; genus Homo; species Homo sapiens. The sequence continues at coordinate 130,722,427 of NC_000008.11, forward strand.
TGATATCAAATTTAGCAATTTAAAACAACAAGTATTTATTATTTCAAACAGTTTCTGATGATTAGAAGTACAGAGGAAGGGAGCTGGGCAGTTTTGGCTAAAGGTTTCTTTCTTTCTTTCTTTCTTTCTTTCTTTCTTTCTTTCTTTCTTTCTTTCTTTCTTTTTTTTTTTTTTTTTTTTTTTTTGAGGCAAAGTCTCCCTTTGTCACCCAGGCTGGAGTGCAGTGGCCTGATCTCGGCTCACTGCAAGCTCCGCCTCCTGGGTTCATGCCATTCTCCTGCTTCAGCCTCCTGAGTAGCTGAGTAGTACAGGCGCCCGCCACGAGACGCCTGGCTAATTTTTTGTATTTTTAGTAGAGACGGGGTTTCACCGTGTTAGCCAGGATGGTCTCGATCACCTGACCTCGTGATCTGCCCGCCTCAGCCTCCCAAAGTGCTGGGATTACAGGCATGAGCCACCGTGCCGGCCTAAAGGTTTCTTTTTTTAAAAATTCATTTTACTTTAAGTTCTGGGATAACGTGCAGAACGTACAGGTTTGTTACATAGGTACACGTGTGTCATGGTGGTTTGCTGCACCTATCAACCCATCGTCTAGCTTTTAAACCCCACAAGGATTAGGTATTTGTCCTAATGCTCTCCCTCCCCTTCCCTGCAACTCCTGACAGCACCCGATGTGTGTTGTTCCCCTCCCTGTATCCATGTGTTCTTATTGTTCAACTCCCACTTATGAGGGAGAACATGCGGTGTTTTGTTTTCTGTTCCTGTGTTAGTTTGCTGAGGATGATGGCTTCCAGATTCATCCATGTCCCTGCAAAAGACATGATCTCATTCTTTTTTATGGCTGCATAGTATTCCATAGTATATATGTACCACATTTTCTTTATCCAATGTATCATTGATGGGCATTTGGGTTGGGTCCATGTCTTTGCTATTGCAAATAGTTCTGCAATAAACATATGTGTGCATGTGTCTTTATAGTAAAAATTTATATTCCTTTGGGTATATACCCAGTAATGGGATTACTGGGTCAAATGGTATTTCTCATTCTAGATCCTTGAGGAATCACCACTTGTCTTCCACAGTGGTTGAACTAATTTACATTCCCATCAACGGTGTAAAACCGTTCCTATTTCTCCGTGGCCTCACTAGCATCTATCATTTCTCGACTTTTAATAATCACCACTCTGACTCTCATTGTGGTTTTGATTTGCATTTCTCTAAAGACTGGTGATGATGAGCTTTTTCTCATATGTTTCTTGGCCACATAAATGTCTTCTTTTGAGAAGTGTTTGTTGATATCCTTTGCCTACTTTTTGATGGTGTTGTTTTATTCTTGTAAATTTGTTTAAGTTTTTTTGTAGATTCTGGATATTAGACCTTGGTCAGATGGATAGATTGCAAAAATTTTCTCCCATTCTGTAGGTTGTCTAGTTGACTCAGATGCTAGTTTCTTTTGCTGTGCAGAAGCTCTTTAGTTCAGTTAGATCCCATTTGCCAATTTTGGCTTTTGTTGCAGTTGCTTTTGGTGTTTCAGTCATGAAGTCTTTGCCCATGCCTATATCCTGAACAGTGTCGCCTAGGTTTTCTTTTACGGTTTTTGTAGTTTTGGGTTTTACATTTAAGTCTTTAATCCATCTTGAGTTAATTTTTGTATAAGGTGTAAGGAAGGGGTCCAGTTTCAGTTTTCTGCATATGGCTAGCCAGTTTTCCCAGCACCATTTATTAAATAGGAAATCCTTTCCCCATTGCTTGTTTTCGTCAGGTTTGTCGAAGATCAGATGGTTGTAGATGTGTGGTGTTATTTCTAAGGTCTCTGTTCTGTTCCATTGGTCTTTATGTCTGTTTTGATACCAGCACCATGCTGTTTTGGTTAATATAGCCTTGTAATATAGTTTGAAGTCAGGTAGCCTGATACCTCCAGCTTTGTTCTTTTTGCTTAGGATTGTCTTGGCTATATGGGCTCTTTTCTGGTTCCATATGAAATTTAAAGTAGTTTTTTCTAATTCTGTGAAGAATGTCAATGGCAGTTTGATGGGAATAGCATTGAATCTATAAATTGCTTTGTGCAGTATGGCCATTTTCACAATATTGATTCTTCCTATCCATGAGCATGGAATGTTTTTCCATTTGTTTGTATCCTTTCTTATTTCCTTGAGCAGTGGTTTGTAGTTATCCTTGAAGAGGTCCCTCATGTCCCTTATAAGCTATATTCCTAGGTATTTTATTCTCTTTGTAGCAATTGTGAATGGGAGTTCATTCATGATTTGGCTCTCTGCTTGTCTATTGTTGGTGTATAGGAATGCTTGTGATTTTTGCACATTGATTTTGTATCCTGAGACTTTGCTGAAATTGCTTATCAGCTTAAGGAGTTTTGGGGCTGAGATGATGGGGTTTTCTAAATATATAATCATGTCATCTGCAAACGGAGACAATTTTACTTCCTCTTTTCCTATTTGAATATCTTTTATTTCTTTCTCTTGCCTGATTGCCCTGGCCAGAACTTCCAATACTATGTTGAATAGGAGTGGTGAGAGTGGGTATCCTTGTCTTCTGCTGGTTTTCAAAGGGAATGCTTCCAGCTTTTGCCCATTCAGTATGATATTGGCTATGGGTTTGTCATAAACAACTCTTATTATTTTGAGATATGTTCCATCAATACCTAGTTTATTGAGAGTTTTTAACATGAAGGGATGTTGAATTTTATCGAAGGCCTTTTCTGCATCTATTGAGATAATCATGTGGTTTTTGTCACTGGTTCTGTTTATGTGATGGATTACATTTACTGATTTGCATATGTTGAACCAGCCTTGCATCCCAGGGGTGAAGCCAACTCGATTGTGGCGGATAAGCTTTTTGATGTGCTGCTGGATTTGGTTTGTCAGTATTTTACTGAGGATTTTTGCAATGATGTTCATCAGGGATATTGGCCTGAAGTTTTCTTTTTTTTGTTGTGTCTCTGCCAGGTTTTGGTATCAGGATGACACTGTCCTCATAATATGAGTTAGGGAGAAGTCTCTCCTTTTCTATTGTTTGGAATAGTTTTAGAAGGAATGGTACCAGCTCCTCTTTGTACCTCTGGTAGAATTCAGCTGTGAATCTATCTGGTCCTGGGCTTCTTTTAGTTTGTAGGCTATTAATTACTGCCTTAATTTCTGAACTTGATATTAGTCTATTCAGGGATTTGACGTCTTCCTAGTTTAGTCTTGGGAGGGTGTATGTGTCCAGGAATTTATCCATTTCTTCTAGATTTTCTAGTTTATTTGCACAGAGATGTTTATAGTATTCTCTCATGGTAACTTGTCTTTCTCTGGGGTCAGTGGTGATATCCCCTTTATCATTTTTCATTATGTCTATTTGATTCTTCTCTATTTTTTTATTAGTCTGGCTAGTGGTCTATTTATTTTGTTAATTTTTTCCAAAAAAAAAAAAAAAAAAACAACAGCTCCTGGATTCATTGATTTTCTTGAAGGGTTTTTTGTGTCTCTATTTCTCAGTTCTGCTCTGATCTTAGTTATTTCTTGTATTCTGCTAGCTTTTGGATTTGTTTGCTCTTGCTTCTCTAGTTATTTTAATTGTGATGTTAGGGTGTTGATTTGAGATCTTTCCAGCTTTCTGACGTGGGCATTTGGTGCTATAAATTTCCCTCTTAACACTGCTTTAGCTGCATCCCAGAGATTCTGGTACGTTGTCTCTTTGTTCTCATTGGTTTCAAATAACTTATTTATTTCTGCCTTAATTTTGTTATTTACCTGGAGTAATTCAGGAGCAGCTTGTTCAATTTCCACATTTTCATTAGGCACTTGCTGGTTGGTGGGCATTTAGTCTGTTTCCATATTTTTGCAATTGCAAACTGTGCTGCTATAAACATGCATGTGCAAGTGTCTTTTTCACATAATGAAATCTTTCCTCTGGGTAGATACCCAGTAGTGGAATTGCTGGATCAGATGGTAGTTCTATTTTTAGTTCTTTAAGGAATCACTGTACTGTTTTCCATAGTGGTTGTACTAGTTTACATTCCCACCAGCAGCATAAAAGTGTTCCCTTTTCAACACAGCCACGTCAAGATCTATCATTTTTTCATTTTTAAATTATGGCCATTCTTGCAGGAGTAAGGTGGTATTGCATTGTGGTTTTGATTTGCATTTCCCTGACAATTAGTGATGTTGAGCATTTTTTCATATATTTGTTGTCCATTTGTATATCTTGAGAATTGTCTATTCGTGTCCTTAGCCCACTTTTTGATGGCATTATTATTATTATTTTTCTTGCTGATTTTTTTGAGTTCATTGTAGATTCTGGATATTAGTCCTTTGTTGGATGCATAGTTTGCAAATACTTTCTGCCACTCTGTGGATTGTTGGTTTATTCTGCTGGTTATTTCTTTTGCTATGCAAAAGCTTTTTATTTTAATTAAGTCCCATCTATTTATCTTTGTTTTTGTTGCATTTGCTTTTGTGTCCTTGGTCATGAACTCTTTGCCTCAATCAATTTCTAAAGGAGTTTTTCCAATGTTATCTTCTAGAAATTTTATGATTTCAGGTTCATTTCTGTTTTTTAAAAATTATCTAGTTTAGGTATTTTGTTATAGCAGCCCAAGTGGACTAAGAGAGTTACCATTTACTATTACATTATTAATGCATTTGTGCTTTTGAGATCTGTGTCTAAAGACCTGGTGGAAGTAGAGTGCTCCCTCCAAGGGCAGGGCTATGGAAATGCAGCCAATGCTTCCTCTCCAGGGCCTCTTCCCAACATTCACAATCTAATTTCAGAAATAAGCCCGAGGATAATTTGAAAAGTCCCATGAGTGTGTTGCAGGGCTGAGCATCAGGAAGCTCACTCTCTACCTTGATGCTAGCTCTAGGACTTTGAGCAAACCATTAAACCACCAGAGGATTCTCTTTTCTCTGCTTGGACTTACTTGTAGCACGTTGGAAGTAGAAAATGGATCATGATTAAAAACTACCACGTTGAAAAACTCTGCTGAAGGCTTGCCCTTGACACTTCGCTCCACATTCTCCCAGCCACAGTGACTCATCAGAAACAGAAACTGACCCAGTGCCAAAGCCAAGGCCAGTGGAGACATCGACTGGGGGAGATCTCCTTTGTTTGCTGGCCTTGAGAGCACAGCAGCTGTGCTTTCTAGGAAAGACAGGAATCAAGAATCTTAGAATCCCAGGGGTGGAAGGAACATGAGGTACCCTCAGTTCAGACCTTCATTCCAAGAAGGAAGGTGGCTGGGAAATTGCCAGCTCTTTGGATCCCTACAGTGATGAAGAGCTCCTTGCTTGTAAAAGCAGCTCATTCTATTGTTAGATGCTAAAGATTTAAAAGATTTTAAAATTTTGTTGTTTCATTCACTGACTCATTCGATTGCTCATTTATTGCTTCCCTTCTTTGCACCAGGCATTGCTTTAAGCACGAGAGATAAGTTGACGAGCAAAAAGGAACAAAATTAATGCCCTTATGGTTTATATTCTAGCAGAGGGACCATGTAAGAAACAGTAAGTACATAAGAATTACATGTTGGAGTGTGATAAATGCAATGTAAGGAAAATGAGAGTATAATATTAAAAGGGGTTTCAGAGTAGGTCTCCTTGAGAAGATCGTATTTTAGCAAAGATTTGAAGGGGGCAAAGAAATGAGCCATGAATCTGACACAGGCCATGCAAAGGTCCTGAGCCTGTTATGTTCAAGAAATAGCAGAGCTGATGTAGCTAGGGCAGAGTGAACAAGGGGATGAGGAAGAGATGAGTCAGAGTAAGGTGGGGCAGGCTGTGTACTAGCTTTAGGCTGTCATAAGTATATCACTTTTACTCTGATTGAAGTGGAAAGCTATGGGAGGGTTTTGGGCAGAGGCATGATATGATTTGATTTACTTTTTCACAGGATCCCTCTAGGTCCCTTTAAAGATTATAATACAGAAGGTAAGAGTGGGAGGAGTGTGATTAGTCAGGAAGCTATTGCAACAATCCAGGTGAGAGATGATATGACTTGGACAAAAGTGGTAGTAGTGGAAATAGCAAAAAAGCAGAATTCTGATTTAGTATTTGGAAGGTGGCACCACCACAATTTGCTGAGTGATTGAAAGTGGGGTGTGAGAGAAGGAGAAGGGTCAGGGATACCTTCAGTATCTCTGACTTAAGCCACTGGAAGGGTGGAGTTATCTTTAAATGACATAATGAGAACTGTGGTGGAAGCTGATTTTGTTTGAGGAGGGAGTTCAAACTTGGGCCAGAATAAAATTCACTTCCCTACAATTTTTACCACTGGCAACCGCTATTCTGGGACTGTTCCCGGAGAAATTCCTACCCTTCCTTTGTGTGGCTGTCCATTAGAATTAGAGCCAGCATGCCTGTTCTCTATGAATATTTTTCTCAGTTAAAGCATCCCCAAGCTGCTCCACCTATTTCTCATTCATTCATATATTTATTCACTCATTCATTCCTACTTATAATTTTTCATTCATCCAATTTTGCATTTATTGATGCTTACTCTGTGCTAGTCACTGTAGTGGGTTCTTGAAACACCAGCTGGTCTGGGTATTTGAAGAGGGCACAGTGTGGTGGGGGAAGCTCACAGCCCTGTGCGATGCCTGCAAAGGACCAGGAAAACACATGGGGTTTGGAGGTGCCTAACTCAGCTTGGAAACAGGGAAGAAGACAAGGAAGGTGGCGATGGTGATAGAAGAAGGCTTCCGGAATAGATGAAGTTCGAGCTGAGTCTTAAGGAAGTAGTATGTAGAGAAGTGGGGAGCAATTGAATGTTTCAGAGCATGATGGTATGGGAGAGATGTTGGGTGCATGTGGAGGAGAGAAAGAAAAGATGCCAGAAAAAGGAGGCTAGAAACCTGGTGGGCCATGACATGAAATGTGGACTTTACCTTGACACCACTGGGAGTCAGGCATTCAGTGGAATTTAAACAAGTAATGAACGTAATCAGATTTTCATTTTAGGAAGACTTTTGTTAGAAATGTGTGGGACGGTGGGAAAAGAATCATGAGTTCATCAAACGGAAAGTGTTTTAATAATCCAGGCAAGAAACAACTAGTGTCTGAACCTGAGCAATAGCAATGAGAATGAAGAAGAGGGATAGATTTTAGTGTGGGATGTAGAAGCCCTGGATGCAGCTTCGTGGGCAACTAGCTGGGGAGGGTAATGGTGGAGGGTAACTTAAAATAACTGATTGGCCCGGGATATCAATTGGATGGAGGTAATATTTAATGAGGGGACACAGGAATGGAACATGTTTTGGAGTTTGTAAGCGTGAGATCATGAACTCAGGTTTGGTCCTGTTGAATTTAACACATCTGTGGGACAGTCCAGTAGAAATGCCCTCAAGTCTGGGGAGCAAAGAGGCCTGGGATGAAGACAAAGAATTGGGAGCTGCTGGAATCTCCAAAACCTTTCTTATTAGTGAAATCACCCAGGGAAATGAGAAGCATAGAGGGTTAAAGGCAGAACCCTGAGCAACGCCACCATATAAGAGGCAGACCAAAGAGGAAAAGGCTGCAAGAGAAACCAAGAAGGAAAGAAGAGGGCAACCATGAAGAAGCTGTGTTCTTAAAGCAATGTAGAAAAGAGGATCAAGAAGAGTGGAAAATATTTATAAAGATGTAAGGTGAAGATATTAAAATAAAACCTTTGAGTGAGGAGGTCATTAGGTACTTTGACACAAACCACAGCAATGGGAAGTTGGGGAAAGAAGGTAGATTGAGATGGGTTGAGGAGCAAAGAATGGGTGAGGATGTGAGTTAACCAAGCATCCATGACTTTTCCTAGGACGTTGACTTTGAAAAGATGAGAAAGGATTTAGGATAGTGATGAGAGAGTGGTTGTATTAGTTTTCTATTGCTGTGCAACAAATTACCTCACATTTAGTGGCTTAAAACAGCCCATATTTATTATCTCACAGTTTCTGTGGATCGGGAGTCCTGGTATAGTTTAGCCTGGTCCTCTGGTCAGAATCTCTCAAGGCTGCATTCAGATGTCGGCTGGACTGAATTCCTTTCTAGAGCTTGGGGTTCTCTTACAATGTCATGTAACTGTTGGCAGAATATAGTTACTTGTGTTTGTAGGACTGAGGTCCCTGCCTTTGATTGGCTGTCAGCCTGGAGCTAATTTCAGGTCCTGGAAGCCACTAGGGTTTTTGGCCACATGGTCCTCCCCCAACATGGAAGCCCACTTCTTCAAGGCCAGAGGGGAGCCTCTGCTAAGATGAAGGCTTATATAACCTAATATAGCCACAGGTGTGACTATTCCATCACTTTTGCCGTATTTTATTGGCCAGAAGCAAGTCACAGGTTCCACCTCTCCTCAAGGAAAGGGCATTATAGAAAGACATGATTTGTTGAGGGTCACCTTAGTGTGTGTCTGCCACAGAGATCCATAATTAGGAGATTTTGATTTTAATTTTTAATAGGAATGACTTGTACGTTATATGTCAAAACAGAGTCTATTGGGTAGTTAACTCCAGAGTTTGATTATTTTAATCTTAGAGGGGCTAAATCACTACCAAGGTAGAAGCCATAGACATGTTCAGAACCAGTAAGAACTGAGCTTGATGGCCAAGCAGATGAAAATGGTGACTTGAACAATTTTCTCAAATGGTGTTTGGACTGTATCAGTTATGTGCTGCTGCATAACAAAGTCCCTCAAATGTTGTGACTTAAAATAGCCAGAAATGACTATTGCCTGTGGGTCTGTGCTGCAGTTTGATAGTTCTAGTTTCAGCAGGGCTTCCTCATGTCTGTAATTAGCTAAGGTTAGTAGGCAACTCGCCTTCTGGGGGTTGGCTCCTCTGTTCTCCATGTGGTCTCCATTCTATAGCTGGCCAGCTTGGGTTTGGTTGCAGAGCAGTCACAGGTTTCCAAGAGGGAGGGTGAAGGTGTGCAAGGGCTCTTGGGGCCTAGAATTAGAACTGGCAGCACACTGCTTTCACTAAATGTTGTTGGCCTAAGCAAGTTACAAGGCCAGCTCAGATAAAATGCATGGTGAAAGAGAGCTGTAAAGTGACGTTAAAAAGTGCATAGATACAGAGAGTAGTGAAGAATTGTGGCAACTACTTTTGCAGTTGACAACAATGACTCATGCACATGTGCAAGGTTGAGGCTGACCAAGTACAAGTTGTTAAATTAAACTAAATTTGGCCTAAGGATGCCCATGTACATTGAGTCCCTACTGAAGCCTAACTTAGTACATAAACTAAAAGCCTAACTTAGGAGTATACTTTTGTAACATCAGCTGAGTCTCAGCCAGTCACAACAGCCATGCTTCAGTCAATCACAAGCAGCCACTGTGTTCAAATAAGGCAAATGCTGAGCTGCAACCAATCAGCTATTTCTGTACCTCACTTACATTTCCTGTCCATAAATGCAGCCACATTACTGAATGGAGCTCTCTGAACCTTTTCTGGTTCTGAGGGCTGCCCAATTATTGAATCTTTCTTTGTTCAATTAAACTTGTTAATTTTTTTCTTTTCTTTTCTTTTCTTTTCTTTTCTTTTCTTTTCTTTTTTTTTTTTGTGAGACAGGATCTCATTCTATTGCCCAGGCTGGAGTGCAGCAGCATGATCATAACCCACTATAATCTCAAACTCCTGGCTTCAAGCAATCCACCAGCCTTGGCCTTCCAAAGCACTGGGATTACAAGTGTGAGCTACTGTGCCTGGCCTGTCAAATTTAATTCGTCTAAAGTTTTCTTTAAACAATGAAACATGGAGCAAGAGGAAAGTTAGATAATTGAAAGAATTAAGGTTATTCAATGCTATTAAATTAAAATTGGTCAGGCGTGGTGGCTCACTCCTGTAATACCAACAGTTTGGGAGGCTGAGGTGGGTGGATTGCTTGAGTGCAGGAGTAGGAAAAGAGTCTGGGTAACATGGTGAAACCCCATCTCTACAAAAAATACAAAAATCAGCCAGGTGTGATGGCATGCCCTGCAGTCGAAGTTCCTTGAGAGGCTGAGGTGGGAGGATCACCTGAGCCTGGGGAGGTTGAGGCTGCAGTAAGCAGTGGTCATGCCACTGCACTTCAGCCTGGGTGAAAGAGTAAGACTCTATCTCTAAAAACAGAAATTAAAGTTTTTAATTTACTGAAAGCATTTTCATGCCTCTGTGGTCTTCTCTAGACCCTGGGTACCGATCTGGGAAGGACAGTGCAACATAGAGGCAGGTTTCACACACCCACACTAGCATGAAAGTCTTTATGAGAAGCACTTATGAGGAGGTTAGTCTTCGGGGCATAGATGTGTATCAAAGTCCGGAAATTAGTGCAGGCTGATGGGGAGCTGAGAAAATCATTTAAATAGCAAGTTGGGATGGACAAGTAGAGGAGAAAATCCAGAGATTCAAACTCAGGGTTGGAAAATGTATGATTAGTTAAGACGACAGCCTATTTGAATAGGTTAAAGACTAGACTGTTGTAAACAGCAATTCATTTGCATACTGTTTTTCCTATATGTGGCTTATAGCATTTTGCTGAGCTGGGGGAACCTGATAAGATTCCAGTATGATCCTGGATAATAAATTGGTTATAAATTGGTGAGACATGTCAGTTCTTTGGAAAAGTGTATTAAGTTCTTAATATAGTACCTGACTTTCAACAAATGATAGCCCTTATGTGATTCTTGCTATTCTTAGTTTAACTACAATTCTACATATTGGATGTTTTTGGTTTTAATCTCTTTCCTCACCAAGATGCTCCATCCGCATGAGAAGTGCTGTCAGTCAGGTGAGTGGGCACCCAGCTTGAGGAAACAGCTGGGAGGGGGTGGATTGGAGGTGGTGGAGTAAATTGCTATCTGTATCCTTCCTAAAAATGGCTCTCATGGGGGAAAATTACTAATCACTGCCATTATTCTGCATCTGGTGTTAATTATTCCAGGTACAGGACACTATAAATGGAATGTTAAGTTCTTAATTTAGGGTGTTTTGGGGTGGAGGAATTGTTCATTTTATTAGTCACTATTCAAGGCATTAAAAAGAACAAGAAGTTTTGATGTTAAAGAAAGTAGCTAAGTCAGAAAGGTTACGAGACTTTTCTTTTGAGTGCTGGTAGCTTTCTATTAAAAAATACCTGAGTCCTTGCCTGATTTATAGGTGTTTGGCATACTCTAATATGAAAAGAGGGCAGCATCAGATGAATGGGTGTAAGTTCCAGGGATAACTTTCACTCTCACCTGGACAATTGCAGTAACCTTCTGACTGGTCTCCTGCTTTCACTTCCCTCCTCTTCAATCCATTCTCCACATGGATTGTGGAGCCAGAGTGATTCTCTTAAAATCACATGTCATCGCTTACCTCAGCAAAAGCAAGTTCCCGTTACAGTGGGTAAAATCACATTCATTGCTTAAGACTTCACGGCATTGTCTGCTTATACCTGTATCTTTAAATGTATTATCATTTGCTTGTCTCTTCTTTGTTTACCAAGCTCCAGGCACCATGGTGTCTTTTTAGCTCCTGCAACAAGATAATCTTATTCCTGCATCTGCAATGTTCCATCTCATAACTAGCTCCCTGTCCTTTATGTCTCAGTGTAAATCCTTTCTCTAAAGAGATTTTCCTTGATCACTGTTTTAAAAGTAGAACCTCTTATTACTTTAAATATCACTTACCAGTAGTTTTTCTACTAAATAATTATCAATGATCTCAATAGATACTTGTTTTATTCATTAAAAGATATAATACCTCTCTATCCCACTAGACTATAAGGTCCAACTTAGAAGAAATCCTGTTTGTCTTGTTATTGCCTAGCAACAGAGACTCTAGAGCCAAATCCTAGTTCAAATCCCAGTACTGTAAAATCCCAGTACTGTTAGTTACTAGCTGTGTACTCAATCTTGGGGCAAGCTGTTACATAACCACGCTGTTCTTTGATTTCCTCATCTGTAAAATGGGGAATAATAGAACGTGGCCTGGTTCTCTCAATTGATATTTGTTGAAAAAATAAATAAAGAAAAAAGAAACGGAAAAGTATTTATTTTAAAGTAGTTTAAACATAGGTAGGTGATGATTAGGCTTCAGAAAAAAAGGCTTTTATGTTATAGAACTGCTCCAATTTCCTAGACATAAAACTAGAGGAATCTAAAAGTGTTGAGTCATATCACTCACTGGCTGACACGCATAATAGAGATATTATCTATTTCAAGCATATATGAACAACATAGTTGTATGGATTATTTATTTGTTCATTTATTTATCCACTTAGAAAACTTGATTCCTCTTTATATGCTGGACAATGTGCAACCATTAAATAAATATAATCCTTGTTCTAGAAGAGTTGACAATCTAACTGAAAAGAAAGAGAAATGGATACTAGAGGATGAATGCTGAAATAGATGTCTGAACAAAGGGTTGCTAGAACAAAGGATGGAGGGATTAACCCTGATATCTATAAGAAGTACCCATGAAACACTACACATCCAGGGATCATTTCTATAGTTCAATACTAGAGAAGTTTCTCTGAACATGTAGACCACTGCCTGAAGGCAGCTAGAGAGAAAAGTCAGGTCACTTACGAAGAAAACCCCATCAGGCTAGCAGAAGACCTTTCAAGAGAAACCTTACAAGACAGAAGATATTGGAGGCCTATTTTTAGTAGAAAAGAAACTAAAACCAAGAATACCATATCATGCCAAACTAAGCTTCATAAGCAAAAGAGAAATACAATCCTTCTCAGACAAGAACTAGGGGAATTTGTTACCACCAGACCAGCCTTATAAGATATACTTAAAGAAGTGCTGAACATGGAAACAAAAGATTGAAACTTGCTACCACAAAAACACACCCAAGCACATAGCCCACAGACAATATAAAGCAATTATTCAAGTCTACAAAACAAACAGCTAACAACATGATGACAGGATCAAAATCTCACATACCAATATTAACCCTGAATATAAATGGTCTGAACACCCCACTTAAAAGGCATAGAGTGGCAAGCTGGATAAAAATACAAGACCTAATAGTCTACTATCTTCAAGAGATATGTCTCACATGTAATGACATCCACAGGCTCAAAATAAAGGGATAGAGAAAGATCTACCATGCAAATGCAAAACAAAAAAAGAACAGAGATGGCTATTCTAATACCAGATAAAACAGGCTTTAAACCAATAACAATCAAGAAGGACAAAGAAGGGCACTACATAGTGATAAAGGGTTCAATTCAATAAGAAGACTTAACTATCTTAAGTATATATACACCCAACATTGGTGCACCTGCATCCATAAAACAAGTACTTCTAGACCTATGAAAAGACTTAGACAGCCACACAATAATACTGGGGGATGTCAACACCTAACTGACAACATTAGACAGATGATTGAGGAAGAAAATTAACAAAGAAATTCTGGACTTATACATAACACTTGACCAATTGGACCTAATAGGTATCCACAGAATACTCTACCCAACAATCATGAACTATACATTCTTCTCATGCACACATGGAAGATATTCTAAGATTGACCATGTGCTCAGCCAAAAGCAAGTTTTAATGAATTCAAAAAAATAAAAATGATACCAAGAGCACTTTCAATCATAGTGCAATAAAAATAGAAGTCAATAGCAAGGAGGTCTCTCAAAACTACACAAAAACATAGAAATTTTAACAACCTTCTTCTGAATAACTCATGAGTGAAAAAATTAAAACAGAAATCAACAAATTCTTTGAAATTAATGCAAATGGAGACATAACTTACCAAACATTTTGGAATGCAGCTAAAGCAGTGTTAAGAGAAAATTTATAGCACTAAATATCTTCATCAAGAAGTTAGAAACATCTTAAATTAATAATCTAACATGGTTCCTAGAGGAACTAGAAAAAAAGAACAGCCTGACCCCAAAGCTAGCAGAAGAAAAGGAATAACTAAAATCAAAAGAGAAAGTAATGAAATTGAGATCCAAAAGCCTCAACGAAAGAGCAATAAAACCAAGTTTTTTTTGAAAGAATAAACAAGACTGATAGACCGCTAGGGATAGGTAAAGAAACAAAAAAACAAAACAGAAGAGCACAATCAGAAATGAAAAAGATGACTTTACAACTGATTCCATAGAAATACAGAAGATCCCCAGACTATTATGAAAACCTCTATGCACACGAAGTAGAAAATCTAGAGGAAATGGATAAATTCCTGGAAACACACAACCTCCTAAGATTGAACCAGGAAGAAAGTGAAAACATGAACAGACCAATAACAAGTTCTGAAATTGAATTAGTAATGAAACTCTACCAACCAAACCCGGCCCTGGACCGAATGGATTCACAACCATTCCATGAGATATACAAAGAAGACCTGATACCAATCCTACTGAAATTATCCCAAAAAACTATGAGGAGGGATTTCTCCCTAACTCATTCTACAAAACAAGCATCATCCTGACACCATAATCTGGCAGAAACACAATGAAAAAAGAAAACTACATGCCAATATCCCTGATGAACATAGACACAAAAACCCTCAACAAAATACTAGCAAACTGACTATAGCAACGCGCCAAAAAATTAATTCACAATGACCAAGTAGGCTTTACTCCTGGGATGCAAGGTTGATTCAGCATACACAAGTCAATAAATGTGATTCACCATATAAACAGAATAAAAACAGAAAACCATATGATCATCTCAATAGATGCAGATAAAGCCTTTGATAAAATCCAGCATCTCTTCACGATAAAATCCCTCAAGAGACTAGACATCAAAGGACCTTACCTCAAAATAATAAAAGCCATCTATGACAAACCCACAGCCAACATCATACTAAATGGGCAGAAGCTGGAACAATTTCCCTTGAGAACTGGAACAAGACAAGGATGTCCACTCTCACCACTGCTATTCAATATAGCACTGGAAATCCTAGCCAGAGCAATCAGGCAAGAGAAAGAAATAAAAGGCATCCAAATAGGGGGGAAAAAAGTCAAACTGTCTTCTCTGGTGTTATAATTTTAGACCTAGAATACCTAAAGACTCTGTCAAAAGGCTCCTGGCACTGATAAATAACTTCAGTAAAGTTTCAGGATACGAAATCAATGGGCAAAAATCAGTAATATTTCTATACACCAATAACATTCTAGCTGAGAGCCAAATCAAGAACATAATTCCATTTATAACAGCAACAAAAACTGAAATACCTAAATAATTCTACCCAAGGAGGTGAAAGATCTCTGCAAGGAGAACTGCAAAAATGGCTGAGAGAATTCAGAGGTGACACAAATAAATGGAAAAATATTCCTTACTCTTGGATTGGACAAATCAATGTCATCAAAATGGCCATACTGCCCAAAACAATTCACAGATTCAATGCTATCTCTATCAAAACACCAACATAATTTTTCACAGAATTAGAAAAAAATGATTGTAAAATTCATATGGAACCAAAAAGGAGTCTAAATAGCCAAAGCAATCCTAAGCTAAAAGGACAAAGCCAGAGGCATCACATTACCTGACTTCCAAATATACTATAAGGCTAGATTAACCAAAACAGCACAGTACTGGTACAAAAACAGACACATAGATCAACAGAACAGAATAGACAGCCCAGAAATAAAGCCACATACCTACAACCATCTGATCTTCAACAAAGTTGACAAAAATAAGCAATGGAGAAAGGACTCCCTATTCAATAAATAGTGTTGGGATAATTGGCTATCCATATGCATAAGAACAAAACTAGACTCCTGTCTCTCAATCATAAAAATTAACTCAAGGTCAATTAATAATTCAGCTGGGCATGGTGGTACATGCCTATAGTCCCAGCTACGTGGGGGGCTGAGGTGTGAGGATCGCTGAGCCTGGGAGGCGAAGATTGCAATGAACTAAGATCACGCCACCGCACTCCAGCCTGTGTGACAGAGTGAGACCATGTCTCAAAAAAAAAAAAAAAAAAAATTAATAATTTAAATGTGAGATCTCAAACTATAAAAATTCTGAAGGAAACCTAGGAAATACCCTTCTCAACATTAACTTTGGCAAAGAATTTATGGCTAAGTTCCCAAAAGCAATTGCAACAAAAGAAAAAATTGACAAGTGAGACCTAATTAAATGAAAAAGCTTTTGTGCAGCAAAAGAAGTTACCAACAGAGTAAACAGACAGCTTATAGAATGGGAGAAAATATTTGGAACCTATGCACCTGACTAAGGTCTAATATCCAGAATCTATATGGAACTTAACAAATCAACAAGCAAAAAACAAATAATCCAATTTTAAAATGAGTAAAGGACATGAACAGACACTTCTAAAAAAAAGACTTCCTGGCAGCCAACACAGATATGAAAAAATGCTCAGCATCATTAATCATCACAGAAAAGCAAATCAAAACCACAATGAGATAAATCTCACATCAGTTAGAATGGCGATTGTTAAAAAGTCAAAAAATAACATTTGCTGGCAAGGCTGTGGAGAAAAGCAAAGATTTTTTTTTTTTTTTTTTTTTGAGACCGCGTTTTGCTCTTGTTGCCCAGGCTGGAGTGCAGCAGCAGGATCTCTGCTCACTGCAACCTCAGCCTCCAAAAATTTTTTTTTTTTTGTATTTTTAGTAGAGATGGGGTTTCACCATGTTACACAGGCTGTTTTTGAACTCCTGGCCTCAAGCAATCCACCTGTCTCGGCCTCCCAAAGTGCTAGGGTTATAGCATGAACGACTGCGCCCGGCTGCAAAGACGTATATTGTTGGTAGCAATGGAAACTAGTTCAGTCACCATGGAAAGCAGTTTGGAGATTTCTCAAAGAACTTAAAACAGTACTATCATTTGACCCAGAAATCCCACTATTGGGTATATACCCAAAGGAAAATAATTTATTCTATCAAAAAGGTACATGCACTCATGTTCATCACCATGCTATTCACAATAGAAAAGACACGGAATTAACCTACGTGTCCATCAACACTGGATTGGATAAAGAAAATGTGGTATATATACACCATGGAATACTATATAGCCATAAAAATGAATGATACCCTGTTCTTTGCAGCAACATGGGTGGAGCTGAAGGCTATTATCCTAAGTAAATTAACTCAAGAACAGAAAACGAAATACTTTATGTTTTCACTTATAAGTGGGAACTAAATATTGAATACACGTGGACATAGAGATGGGAACAATAGACACTGGGGACTACAAGAGAGGGGAGGGAAGAAGGGGAGTGAGTTGAAAAACTACCCATTGGGTACTATGCTTACTACCTGGGTACAGGCATCATTTGTACCTCAAACCTCAGTGTCACACAATATACTCATGTCATGAACCTGCACATGAACCCCTTAATCTAAAAGAAAAGTTGATATTATTAAAAAATGGTGTATATTTATGGGGTACAATATGATGTTTTGATATATGTTTACATCAGTAAAAGATTAAATCAAGCAAAAAAATGGGAACTACCCATGAATCCTGATTTTTAGTAACAATGTGTATAGTGAATGCTGCTGCATTGCCTAGATTTCCACTGCTAGATACCTCCAGTGGTTGTGTGGGTTACTGAAAACTCTGGCCAGTGTCCTTTGGGGACTGACTGTAGATTCATCTGAGTTTACACTCTGACAGGTATAGCCTAGGGCAGCCCACATCCAATGATAAGGATATTACCAAGATGGGGTTCTCTCTTTTCACTTTGTGACGACTTTGAAGGACCACCCTAACTCCAGGTTGCAGTACAAGCGGCTCAGCTGCTCAGGTCATATAACCACTATGGCATGTGAAGTATCTGTCATGAGAAAAGATGCTGCATAGAGTTTATGGTAAACCACAATAGAACACTCACAATGCAGGCCTTTGGAGCAAGGTTATGTTATCTATGGTAGAGAACCGCACACTATTTGAAAAGCATTATCTGATCATGGGACATCAAGTGATTCTGTAGCCACAGCTGCCCACTGTGAACTGAGTTCTGTTAGACCACCAAGTCATAAGGTCAGGCAGGCTGAGGACTTCCATCATGAAATGGAAGTGAGGTTAGGCTTCAGCAGGTCCAGAGAGCAGAAGTAAGTCACACAGCATGTGGCCCAGATTCCATGTCAGCTGCCACTGTTGTACTGGCCTACCCTTCAGCTTACACCTATTGCCACCTGGTGTCCCTTACAACCAGTAGATAGAGAAGGACATGTGTTCAGCTCAGTGCTGTAAATGCTGGCTGACTCTGCGTGTTAAATAGCCGTCTCGAGTCAGCTTCTTCGCTCATTTTTTTGAGAAAATCTAATTCATACTGATCTCTTTAGTTTTTGATTATCCATATCACAAATCTTGTGTCACAATTTAAATTGCTTATCATGTGTATTTTATAGTCCCTTCCAATTTTGTTCTGTTATGATTGCATCCAAGACTTGATTCAGATAAGAAAATATGTAGCTCAGCTCTTGGTATAGAACAGCATCACCGTTAAGTATTTCTAGACTCGAATTGAGTCCACATAGACCTTGGCAGCTGAAATTGAATAGACGGTATAGAAGATTCTAATAGAAGAATAGATAACATTTCTTAGAAATACATAGTATATCATATTTCTTCAAGGCAATCTTATTCATCCTCTTGGATTTTAAGCTGATGCTGTTCACTGACAAAGTAAATCAATTACTTTATCACAACTAGGTTTTATGTGAAATAATGCTATTATGGGAGGAAGCACATCCTCATGTTCCCATCAGGTAATTTCAGTTCTACTGCCCCAAAGGCAGTGTATTTGTGGAGCCCTTCAAGTTCCCCTCTCTATCTCCCCACGGGAAAGTGAGCAGCTCAGATGATTGGCGTGAATGTGGATAGCCTGATATCCATTGGTCTTCGTTATCTGTAGCAGAGACACTGCACTGAAAATGAAGGTAGCAGGAGTATTTCTTGCATGTTGTAAAATTGCCCTTGAAAACTCCCTGAGAAGGTCCCACATTGGTGACTAGAGATTGGGAATGCCTGCTAATACTGTCCTCAATAAGTTGAATAGAATCTTTGTTTTTTCCCTCCAGCTTTGGAACACCACGTTTCTTTAGTTGATTATCAAGTAAAGCCTTCAACTTCCATTCTGTGGCCATGTTGTACAAAGATGCCTATTAGGAAACTCATGTATCCACATTCAGTGGGGCCAGAAGCTCAGACTATTAAGAGATGGGGAAACCAGGATGCCAAGAGGGAACAGTAGATTGGAATAGGCCTCTGTGGAGGTCTCTGCTTATTGACAGGGGTGAAGTGGTGGAATTTCTCTTTTATTATCTTTGACATGGTCCAATAATTGAATGTTTCTAAATCAAATAAGGTGGGATTCCACCACAAGCATTAGTATTGTACTTGTCAAGTGCTAAGCACTTAGTAAATGCTAGCCTCACTAATAATTTCTCCATTACAGGCAACTGTCAAAATAGTACTCTGATGAGAAGTAGGTAGAATTGATTGAATCTGTCTTGTAGAATTGATTGAATCTGTCTTCCCTGTGGGGTGGCTGTTACTACATTTTTCTCTTAAGATCTTCAAACAGACAACAATAGATAGCTTAATGGTGGAGTCAATGGTTAAAAATTGTTCCAAATATTTTCAACATAGGAAAGAGTAGTCCTGCATGAAGGGCAACCCCAAGTAGAGACCTGTTTTTCTTTCTTCAGTCCAGAAGTGCTGGGCTGGAGTCTTGATGTGATTGATTAAAACGGAGAATGATATAAATATAAAATTTTATGAAGGGGATTTGTGGTTATAAAATTAAATTCTTCAAGAGCCACACATTCTTATTCAGAGTCCAAACTATTTGGAAAATATATAAATCTATCAATAAAAAATTTCCAGACTGCTTTCTTTGTTTAGCTTTGAACATGATTGGAGCATTGCTTTAAATAACTTGAAAAAGAAAAGGATTCTGACCAAGAGACTAAGTCGGTGGCTTGAGGGGGTTTACCCAGAGTTTCTGTCTTTGCACTTGTTGAACTGACTTTTAGCTCTTATTGATCTCATAGATTAAAG
This sequence comes from Homo sapiens, assembly GCF_000001405.40. Taxonomy (NCBI): domain Eukaryota; kingdom Metazoa; phylum Chordata; class Mammalia; order Primates; family Hominidae; genus Homo; species Homo sapiens. The sequence goes on from NC_000008.11 coordinate 130,742,359, forward strand.
ACAATTGATCATGTCTAAGAATAAGTAAAACTAGATCAATGCTTTGTCAGTTATGATGAAAGCATTCTGCACTTGAGAGTTGCAAAAATAAATAATTTGTCTCCTGTTATTGCAATAGCATCCTGTTCTTCATTTTCTTCCTTTTCTTTACCTCGAGCTAGTTTTTGTTGTTGTTGCCAGATCAGCACTTTTGCTGGACCATTGTTTTAATTCCATCCTATAGGAGTAAGGGAGGTTAGGGTTAGAAGAGAGCAGCTTGGCTGGCACTCCTAATTTTACAGTTAAAGAAATTGAGGTCCAAAAGGTTAAATGATGACTTAGCGAAAGAACCAGGATTCAAAATAGGATTCTGGTCTCATTTTGTTACATACTTTTTGCTGCATCAATGAAACAAACCTCTGAAATATAAGACCTAGCTACTATTCCTATTATCCTAGAGGAATAATAGAACAAAGACTAGCAGAGACTAACTGCAAGAAAGAGGTGGGTGCACAGCTTCCACCCAGCTTGTCACATCCCTGGTCTTTTCATAATTCCATACTACTTCATGGCCGATACATTGAAGCTTCATTTTTGGGCCACAAGCCATGGGACCATCTCAGAATGATGGTCTGTTGGCATGTGCTAATTAAGATTTCTCCTGAATGGGATTAATGCTGTTATAAAAGAGACCCCAGAGAGCTGTCTTGCCTTTTTCACCATGTGAGGACACAGTGAGAAAGTGTCGTCTTCTCTGTGAACCAGAAAGCAGGCCCACACCAGACACCAAATCTTCCAGCACCTTGATCTTGAACTTCCCAGCCTCTAGAACTGAGGAATAAGTTTCTGTTGTTTATAAGTCATCCAGTTTATGGCATTTTATAGCAGTCTAAATGAACTAAGATAGTTAATATTCCTTGACAAGAACCAAGATAATATTATTAATATCCATAGTTGATATCTTTGGAGTACTAATTTTGGGCCAGCTATATATAAATTGTACTCTTTTGGCCTGTATGATAGCCTTATGATGTAAGCACTGTGATGATCTCATTGACAGATAAGAAACTGAGGCATAGAGAAGTGAATAACTCCCCAAGGTCCCCCAGATGATAAATAATGGAGTTGGGATATAAATTATTTGACTGTCTCATTGGAGCAAATTCTTCCCCTCCCCTCCCTGCCAATATTGTGAAAGCAACCCATCTTCTTATAGATAATTGAGACCTTAGCAGGAGAGACCAGAGAAATGAGTCAGCATAATCCATTCTTCGGTTTAGAGGTATTTTTCCCCAGGGATCCAGTTTGGTGATTTCCAAGGAGCTTGATACCTACATTGTCAAAACTTAAAAGCTCGGCCAACATGTCCCTGATTTCCCAGTGACCCGGTACTGCTCAGAGCCATGCAATGTCTTCAAAATATCCAGCATCAAAAGATGTGGTAGAACGCCAAGATCTTATAGATGTTGCAAGGCAAACATGGAAAAATGACTCAGCTCTAAATAGCTAATGGTAGCCCAAGCATGGAGAAGCTTAACTTGTTTTGTTCGTTTAAAGGAAATAGCTTGCACTTCTTTCACCGTGGAAGGCACCCCAATTTGTTATAATTACTTGCCTTTTTTGCTAATGTTTAAGTTTGGGGAATTTTTTTCCCCTTCTCTGTATTCTCAAAACTTAGCACAGGGTATATATTTGTTAAATGAATGAATGCATGAGTCTTGGGTGTGCTCACATAATACCAATGATATACAAAGAAACATAGGCCAGCCAGGGGTGGCGGCTCATTCCTGTAATCCCAGCACTTTTGGAGGCTGAGGTGGGCAGATGGCTTGAGCTCACAAGTTCGAGACTAGCCTGGGCAACATGGTGAAACCCCATCTCTATAAAAAATACAAAAAATTAGCCAGACGTGGTGGCATGTGCCTATAGGCCCAGCTACTCGGGAGGCTGAGGTGGGAGAATCACCTGAGCTCAGGAGGTCAGGGCTGCAGTGAGCTAAGATCATGCCACTGCACTCCAACTTGAGCAACCAGAGTGAGACCCTGTCTCAAAACAACAACAGCAGCAACAAAAACCCAAAAAACAGAAAACAAAAAACCCCCCAAAATAAAAGACACAGGAAATTGGGGAGCTTTCAAGGCATCACTGGGTAGAACAAAGGGGAGAGAAGTGCAAACTCAGAATCTCTGGACACAGAAGACCCTTAAGCAGAGTGCTCTGCACAGTTGTCCCCCATTCCATTCGTGGGCCCCCTTTTATGTGTGCTCAACAGTAACATTTTGATGGACGTCAAGCTTCCAAAAGTCAACACCAGCTATTACCTTAGAATTATCTGTCACAATCTTGTCTCTACTCACAAGCTCTGGACTCTACATAGACATGACAAGACTTGGTCGATGCTGTGGAATAAACTGATTGTTAATTGCTGGTAGAAGCAAACACACACACACACACATGCATGTGTGCACACACAAACACACAGTCAACAGAAGAAACTGCAAATAACCTACAATCTGTTTATCTCCTTCAAAGTTCTTTGAGGCTTTCCAGTTATGGTGGTCTGAGGTGGTAGATGGATCCTTTTGGTCAAAAACAAGTAGAAAACTGGAAAAAATGATTTAAAAAAGCCATTCAGGGGTTTAAAAGTTGACTACAGGCATAACAGAAATTAAGGAGCATTTCCTTTTTCATAACTTTATTGAGATATACATACCATGATATTCACCTGTTTAAAGCAAATGATTCAATGTTTTTGTGTGTGTTCATGGAGTTGTGCAAGAGAAGAAGTGCTTATGTTTGAAAACCTGTACACCTGAGGAGCAGGGTAGGGATCTATGGCCTTCTTTCCTGGAGCTACTCCCTTTACTTCCCAAGCTTGGATCTGGTCTTGAATATCCACAGATTTTCTGAAAAAGGGGTCCATGCAACACAAGGCAGGGCCTGAGCACCTGCACTTTGCCAGTGAAGAGCCACCAACTTGGTAAACTAACAAGGAATAGGCACCATTATTTTATGGGCCACAAAGAAAGAAAACTGCTGCCAATTAAACCTGACCTTGATTGTACAATGCATCCCAATTTCAGAGATGTTAAAATGTGAGTCTTAGAATGGTTGGAATATGATATGAGTAGGAGCAAACGGGTGTGTGGTTGGGATCACACGAGGTGCAGATAAGGATGACTTTGAATGATGTGTCGGACAGAGACAGATTTGATGTCCAGTAAGTGGTTTGAAGCTTAGGAGAAACCTTGGCATGTGGATACAGATTTAGGTGTGTCAGCCTACAGGTGGCATTTGGACCTGTGGGAGAGGATGTGATGGCCCAGGAGGGTGTGGAGAGCAGGGTCTTTCCACCATGGCACCATTGATAGTACTGTGTTGTCGGGCCTCTTTTGTGTACTGTAGGATGTTTAGCAGCATCCTGGCCTCTATGCCTGGATTCTGCTAAGCAAACCCCACCCAACTGTGACAACCAAAATGTGTGTAGACACTGCCAAATGTCCAGTGTTTCTATCCCTTGACACCCCTTCTTGTCAAAAACTACTGTTGTAGAGGGAGGCAGGAAGAGGAAGAGGAAGGATTCAGGGGATATTAATGTTTAATACACGTTTAATAATGAATACACAGACTAAGAAGAAATGTGATATTGATTAAAGAATGGTATGCCTAGTTGTTTTTGTTTTTCCCTTCTATTTTTCCCCTTTGATCATTTTAAATGGCATAAGTTCTTTGGCCTTGCAGATGTTGAGCAAGGAGTGGTGGGTTTAGGTGGTAATATGGGTTCTGCAGTTAGAAATTCAGGGGTCATATTCTAAGCTTCACTAGTCCCTAGCTGCGTGGTCTTGACCTCTTCCTGGCTACATGGCCTTGACCTCTTCCTAGCTGCATGGCCTTGACCACCCCTTGGCTACATGGCTTGACCACCCCTTAGCTGCATGATCCACAGGTCAGATTCTGTCTTCTTTTTCTTCTCTTCCTCCCTCCCTCCCTCCCTCTCTCCCTCTTTCTCTTTCTAACTCTTTTGTTCCCAAGTATTTATTGAGAGCCAATCCAGTTTAGAAGGGGAACCCATTAAGAATGATGTTACAAAGGAATGTATTATTCAGAATTGTTATAGATTTTATGAAGGGAAACTGCTCTGATGGCACTGAAAATGTGGGCGAAGGATTACCTAGGTGCTGAGGCAAGAGACTGAAGGCACGAAATGTTCAGTATGATAAAGAAAATAGTTAGAATAAGGATAGTCATAATACAAATTAGATACAGAGATGATCATGGACATTATCAATCATTAATATAAACATTAATCATTAGCTTTTAATATTACTCTTTGTTGTATTACTAATATAACAAATAACCGGCAGGTATAGGGTCAGGTGCTGAAGGGATATTGTGAGAAGTGACCTAGAAGGCAAGAGGTGAGCCCTCTGTCATGCCTGCATAAGGGCCACTTGAGGGCTCCTTGGTCAAGCAGTAATGCCAGTGCCTGGGAAGGCACCCATTACTTAGCAGACCGTGAAAGGGAATCTCCTTTCCTTGGAGGAGTCAGGGAACACTCTGCTCCACCAGCTTCTTGTGGGAGGCTGGATATTATCCAGGCCTGCCCACAGTCATCTGGAGGCCTAAAGCCCTCCCTGTGGTGTTGTGCTTCAATGGTCACTTTCCTTGTCCACTTTCATGTTCCTCCCATACTTCTGGTTACTCTTTGAAGTTCGTAGTAGATAGCGGTAGAAGAAATAGTGAAAGTCTTAAAGTCTTTGATCTTTCTTACAAGTGCATAGAAGAAAATGCTGACGTATGCTGCCTTCCCTCTCTGCTTTGGCTACCTAGAAGGGAAGGGCCACCTGTCCCATGATCACATGACTTGCTTGACCTTATCAATCACTTGGATGACTCACCCTCCTTACCTTGTCCCCCTTGTATTGTTTGCAATAAATGTCAGCGCGCCCAGCCATTCTGGGCCACTACCGGTCCCCTCATCTTGGTGGTAGTGGTCCCCCGGGCCCAGCTGTTTTCTCTTTATCTCTTTGTCTTGTGTCTTTATTTCTTACAGTCTCTCATCACTGCACATGGGGAGAACACCTGCTAAGCCCGTAGGGCTGGACCCTACAGAAAATCTCATTTAAACCCCTACCCCACAAAGAGCCTATAATCAAGTGACATTGACACCCCTCAGGGATGATCCTTTGGGGGACCAAAGTTCTCATGGGTTCTCTGTCAGTGAATTTCAGAGGATATATTTCATAGGTAAGAGGGAAGCTTTGGAGATGGATTGTCCTGCTTATTAGCTTTGTGACATTGGCTAAACTCCTCAGTTTTATCTGTCATACTGGGAAAATATCATCCACCTAATAGGATTGTTGGGAGGAATAAATAAGATAATTCAAGAAGAGGGCTTAGACCAATTCCTAGAGTGTAGTCAGTGCCCAGTAAATGCTGTGGCATCTGGAAGGATCTTAGACCACATGACCAAGGAGTGGGGTTGGGAGTAGGGTGGCAGGCAGGGAACAACTTAAACAACAGGAATGGGATTGCATTTCTCAGCAGAGCCCATGTAATGGGACTCTTCCTGTAGCTAGTGATCCAGGACAGAGTGTTCAGAGGTAGGAGAGTGTGATGGGCCAGGAGACAAGGGAGGAGAATCCATCAAGACAGATGCAGGCCATGCTGGGCTATGTCAAGTGCAACAACAGTGGCAATAGGACTTTGTACTTAGGAGGATGTATTAGTCAGGGTTCTCTAGAGGGACAGAACTTATATATATATATATATATAAAATATAGGATATATGTATCCTATTAGTATATAGGATATATGTATATTAGTATATATATATTAGTATATATATATTAGTACTTAATCATATATAATGCAAGTCTGAAACCCAGACTTATACATATATGGGAGTTTGTTAAGTGTGTGTATATATGTGTGTGTATATATATATGTACACACACACACACACACACATATATATATATATAAAGGGGAGTTTATTAAGTATTGACTTACACAACCACAAAGTCCCACAATAGGCTGTCTGCAGGCTGAGGAGCAAGGAGAGCCAGTCTGAGTTCCCAAAGTGAAGAACTTGGAGTCCGATGTTCGAGGGCAGGAGGCACCCAGCATGGGAGAAAGATGTAGGCTGAGAGGCTAGGCCACTCTCTCCTTTTCACATTTTTCTTCCTGCTTTATATTCCCTGGCAGCTGGTTAGATTGTGCCCACCAGATTAAGGGTGGATCTGCCTTCCCCAGCCCACTGACTCAAATGTTAATCTCTTTTGGCAACACTCTCACAGACACACCCAGGATCAATACTTTCAGTCCAATCAAGTTGACACTCAGTATTAACCATCACAGATGAGGTGAGGACAGAAGTCAGCCTGGAGAGTCCAATGGTAAGGCAGTGGAGACACAGAAGGTAGACAGCTTCTGCTAGAAGCAAATCTGGGGAAGAAATGAAACAGAAGTCAGCAGCTTAAGAGTGCCATGGCAATAGGGACAGAGAAAGGAGGCCACATATCAGATAGAGCCCGTAGGTAATTAGAAGGTCTGGGGCATTTGGAAATAGGAGGTTTCAGTTAGAATAGTTTTGCTGGTGTTGCCATTTCACAACTTCTGGCTGGGGCAAGAGAGGGAGAAGGGTAGTGTTGTTACATTGACTGACCATGGGGACCACTTCAAGTACAGATGTGAGGACAGGAGGAGGCAGCCAGATGGGAGAAACTTGGGGGACCAAAGTGACCACAGCTGTAAAGAGCAGGAAAGAGGGGAACTGTAGAGTGCTGGAAGCCTGAAGGCTGTGTCTCAACACGGGAGAGAGGACTAGAGGGGGATAAAGACTTTACCAGCCTTGTGACCCCAACTTCTAGTAGATGGCCACCCACACATGACAGGTATTAATATAAGTTGGTGGTGGGATGAAGAAACCATAGGTAACATAGGTCTCATTATGCCCATTTTGCAGATGACCAGAGACACTTACTGTTTTGTTTAAGGTCACACAGCTAGAAAGTGCTAGGGCCAAGACCCGAAGTCAGGTCTCCAGAGTCCTGGCCTAGGGCTCTTTCCTTCAGCACATTGTCACTCTCTCAGGCTTTGCCACTTGCCTCCATCACACCTACTCGGAGCCAACCTCCTATCCTCTTGACAGGCTTACAGGGAGGCAAGAGGGTGTTACGCAAAGGAAACTTTCTTCAAATTCTGCTTTTTCACTTGCAAGCTGTGTGGTCTGGGCCAATATTTTACCTCTTTATACCTCATCATTTCCTCCGTCAAACAGGAATGACTCAGCCTTCATGTAGCTGCATCTGAGACAGCCAGCTGGAATATAAACTCCAGGAGGGCAGGGACTTTTGCCTGTTTAGTCCTCTGCTTTGTCTCCAGCACCAGCACCAGCACCTAGAACAGCTCCAAGTCGTTCTGGTGTTAGTTAAGCTTCCTTGGAGAAGAAGAACCTCTCACTTCAGGCTTCTGTTCCCCAGTCTGACCAGAAGATGGCAGCAAAGGAAAGCGTGTCCCCTGGACAAGGCTGTTGCCGTGCTGAAGGCCTCTGCAGATTTCCTGATTGCTTGTCCCTGCATTAGGAAGCAGAGCTGTCACTGCTCCTTGAGCTTCAGAACTGTGGGCCTGTGCGGAGCCTAGTTATGAATCCTTTTTATAGAGGCCTGGTGCTGCTTGGGTGAGAAGGGGCAGCATGTGCAGGAGGTGCCTTTTGGGCCTCCATCTAGTAGAGCTGTGTATTAATCCGTTTTCACACTGCTATAAAGACACTACCTGAAACTGGGTAATTTATGAAGAAAAGAGGTTTAATTGACTCACAGTTCCACATAGCTGGGGAGGACTCAGGAAACTTACAATTGAGGCGGAAGTTGAGGGGGAAGCAAGGGGTGTCTTACATGGCAGCAGGAGAAAGCATTAGAGGGGAACTGTCAAGCCCCTTATCAAACCATCAGATCTCATGAGAACTCACTCACTATCAAAAGAACAGCATGGCGGAAACCACCCCCATGATCCAATCACCTCTCACCAAATTCCTCCCCTCCACACATGGGGATTACAATTCGAGATAAGATTTGGGTGTGGACACAGATCCAAACCATATCATTCTGCCTCTGGCCCCTCCCAAATCTCATGTCCTTTTCACACTTCAAAACCAATCATTCCTTCCCAGCTATCCCCCAAAGTCTTAACTCATTCTAGCATTAACACCAAAGTCTCATTTTAGACTTGGACTTTTCAGTTAAAAGTCAAAAACTTTTGAGACAAGACAAGTTCCTTCCACCTATGAGCCTGTAAAATAAAAAACAAGTTAGTTACTGCCAAGATACAATTGAGGTACAGGGACTGGGTGAATGTTCCTGTTCTAAATGGAAGAAGTTGATCAAAACGAAGGGGCCACAGGCCCCATGCAAGTCTGAAACCCAGTGGGGCAGTCATTAAATCTTAAAGCTTTGAAATGATCTCCTTTGACTCCGTGTCTCACATCCAGGGCATGCTGATGCAAAGGGTGGGCTCCCACAGCCTTGGGAAGCTCCACCCCTGTGGGTCTGCAGGGTATAGCCTGGCATTGAGTGCCTGTGGCTTTTCTAAGTGCATGGTGCAAGCTTTCAGTGGATCTACCTTTCGGGGGTCTGGAGGATGGTAGACCTCATCTCACAGCTCCACTAGGCAGTGCCCCAGTGGGGAAACTGTGTGGGGCTTCCAACCCCACATTTCCCTTTCACACTGCCCTAACAGAGGTTCTCCATGAGGGCTCTGCCCCGGCAGCAGACTTCTGCCTAGACATTCAGGTGTTTCCATACATCCTCTGAAATCTGAGCAGAAGTTCCCAAAACTCAACTGTTGTCTTCTGTCTACCCACAGGCCCAACACCACATGCAAGCTGCCAAAGCTTCTATGTAGTACTGGGCTGTGGATAGCAGTGGTCTGGGCTGTACCTTGGCTCCTTTTAGCCATGGCTGGAACTGGAGTGACTGGGATGCAGGGCAACAAGTCCCAAAGCTTCACAGAGCAATGGGGACCTGGGCATGGCCCATGAAACCTAGGCCTCTGGGCCTGTGATGGGAGGGGCTGCTCTGAAGGGCTCTGACATGCCCTGGAGACATTTTCCCCATTGACTTGGCTATTAACATTTGGCTCCTTGTTGCTTATGCAAATTTCTGCCACCAGCTTGAATTCCTCCACAGAAAATGAGTTTTTTTTCTACCACATGGTCAAGCTGCACATTTTCCAAACCTTTATGCTCTGCTTCCCTTTTAAACATAAGTTCCAATTTCAAGCTATCTCTTTGCGAGCACATATTGCTGTACACTGTTAAGAGCATCCAAGCCACCTCTTCAACACTTTGCTGCTTAGAAATTTCTTCTGCCAGATACCCTAAATCAACTCTCTCAAGTTCAAAATTTCACAGTTCTCTACAGCAGGGACACAATGCTGCCAGTCTCTTTGCTAAAGCATAGCAAGAGTGACCTTTGCTCCAATTCCCAATAAGTTCTTCATCTCCACCTAAGACCACCTCAGCCTGGACTTCATTGTCCATGTCACTGTCAGCATTTTGGTCAAAACTATTCAACAAGTCTCTAAGAAGTTCCAGATTTTCCCACATCTTCCTGTCTTCTTCTGAGACCTCCAAACTGTTCTGACCTCTGCCCATTACCCAATTCCAAATTTGCTTCCACATTTTTAGGTTATCTTTATAGCAATGCCTACTTCCAGTACCAATTTCCTGTATTAGCCTGTTCTCATACTGCTGTAAAGAAATACCTGAGACTGGATAATTTATAAAGGAAAGAGGTTTAATTGACTCACAGTTTCACATGGCTGGGGAGGCCTCAGGAAACTTACAATTGTGGAGGATGGGGAAGGAGAAGCAAGTACATTCTTCACAAGGCAGCAGGAAAGAGAAAGAGAACAAAGGGGGAAGACCCTTATAAAACCATCAGATCTCATAAGAACTCACTTACTATCACGATAACAGCATGGGGGAAACTGCCCTTATGATCCAGTCACCTCCCACCATGTCCCTTCCGTGACATGTGGAGATTACAATTCAAGATGAGATTTGAGTGGGGACACAGAGCCAAACCATATCAAGCTGTGTAAACACCCACCTATCCCTATGCCCAGTGCCCCAGTCTCAGATCACTGGGGCCCTGGGGGTGGGGACAAGGAGTCAGGGTGGGGTGTGGGCCAGATGCCAGCATTTGGAACATATAACAGCACCACCTCGGATTCGTACAGCAGTTGATCAGGAATCCTTGTCTACCACCTCATTTTGAGACTGGTGTGGTTATCATGGCTTGTTCCTTCAGGTTTGAGCTCAAAATATAACCTCCCCAGGGATGACTTTCCCACTTAAGGTAGCCCCCACATTCTCTCATGCTTCTTCAAAGTGCTTACCATTATCAGAAGTGATTTTCTTTCTTTATTTTGTAAGTTAGTTTTGAGTGTTTGTGGCCTTCCAATCACTAGGATGTTTGGGACAGGGCTGCTTTCAGTTCCCAATGGACCTCCAATGTGGAACAAGGTCTGGCATATAGGCATGTGTTCAGACAAGAACTGATGAGTGTTGCACAAATTGTGCCCACTTCCTAGCTATCATTCTCACTCATGATATATAGAATTTTACATTGTATGGATCACACATTATTTAGGAATTTATGTGTTAATTGTCCCACTCTCCAAGGGTCTGTAAGCTGAGGGAGGGCAAGACCACACCTGCCTTGTTTGGTACCCTGTCCCTTGATCTTGCAGAGTATCTGGCACCCAAGGTGATCATAGAATTTGGGAGGTGAGGCACAGAGACGCTAAGGCACTCGTCGGTGAAGGACAGAGCTGGGACAAGGCTTGCCTTTCCCTTTCTGTCTGGTGCTCTTTCTCCACCGATGGCAGAATGCTGGGAGAACCATTCCCACAACCTACACCAAAGCCTTATTTCTGAACACATCTGTTGTTATCCTGTCTTGGGAGCTACGTGGGCTGGGCCTGGCTAGTAGTGGCTTTGTGCACAGGGTTACATTGAATTGACATAACAACCTTATGAGGGTACTCTTGTTAGTCCCTTTCTGCGTAGATGAGAAACCAAGACTCAAAGAGATTAAACACCTATCCAGGGCATTGCAGCTTAGCACAAGTGGAGGCAGCCTTTGAACTTGGAACTCTACTGTCTCTCTGAAGGCAGATGTGACCTAACACAAAGGAGATAAACAGAAGAATTCTGATTTCTGGTGAATCTTTCACCTTGTCTCAATCCTGTTGTCTGATATTTTAGCCTGCAAAGATGATTCAAATCATCTTGTCTTGCAGGAGTTTCATGAGGATCCCTGCACTTTCTGTGATTGGTAGTTGTATGCATGCTTGAAATAGCCTCCGTCTCCTCCCTGTCCTTGTCTTCTTTTGTGTTCTTCAGAACAGTCTCGCCAGTGCCAGCTCCCAGCCTCCCTCTGCTTCAGAAAAGCAAGAGCCTAACCCCAGACTTTCCTGTTTTCTGCTGAGCCTTTGCTCTCCTAAACCCTATAGGAGCTCAGCTTCCCTTCCTGCACTGTGGATTGGAAGCTAATGGCATTCCCTCTGCAGGCTTTGGAGACTTGCCAAGTGGCCCCCCTGCCACTCTGGGCAGCTCCTCTGTCCAGGCCTCACACCAAAAAATGGAGAAAAGAAATTAAAATGATGACAGCCAAGAATGAATCTAATGAGCAGGAGGAAGGCTGTAACCTGAGACTGAGGCTTGAGCTAAATTGGGCAGTGGGATCTTTAAGCAACTGAGAAAATCAACACCCTGAGCAAAACAAAGGGTATAACAGCCCCAGTGACTCTCGGCTGTGGCCAGGGCCCATTCTGGAAATCCAAGACTTTATCTAAAGGGGTTCCTGGCTCTCAGGTCTGAGAGAGAGGACATGGACTGGGGGCTTCTGAGTCCCCAAGGTGGCATGTGGCTGTCCATGACCTCTTCATAGCCACCCCACCCCCTTACCCAGGGATCTTCCATGGAAGACTTTGAGGATCTATTTGTTCTTGACTGTTGGAGACTGGAGTGGGTGTCATTGAAAACACTTTTGCAAAAGTTATAACACTGAGAAAATTATGACAGTGAAAGAGAGCTGATCTAACCAATCCCCACTTGCTTTTAACCTCCAAACAGCCCTTAGACATTCCTGAGGGTAAGCCAAGCTAACTTTGGGAGAAATTTAGTTTATAAATTTAAATGGTAATGGCCCTCCTGCAAAACTAAACCACCTGTGTAAAGCTAATGAAAGACCATCAGGTTAGGAGGATGAGAGGAGCCTGAATTCTGTTAAGGTGTAGACATAAATGATTACAAGGTCACAAGATTTGCAACTTCCCCAATTACTCTACAGATAACATCACTATTATAGAATCTAAGATTGGCCTTTTGAAAAGCCTTTTCAGGTTTTTGCATTTCTGATGACCGATGGCTCCACCTGGACCCACTAACTGGCCCTATGGTCCCATCCAGAAAGAGACTCAGCACATTTTCTTAGGACCATTTTCCACACCCCTATGATTGCATCCCCAACCAATCAGCAGCACCCATTCCCTTGCCCACCAAATTATCCTTGAAAAATCCTAGTGTCATTCACAGTAGCAAAGACATGAAATCAGCCCAAATGCCCATCAATGATAGACAGGATAAAGAAACTGTGGTACATATACACTGTGGAATACTATGCAATATTAAAAAGGAAAATCATTTCCTTTGCAGGGACATGGATGGAGCTGGAAGCCATTATCTTCAGCAAACTAATGCAGGAACAGAAAACCAAATACCATATGTTCTCACTTATAGGTGGGGGCTGAACAATGAGAACACGTGGACACAGAGAGGGGAACAGCACACACTGGGTTCTGTTGGAGGGTAGGAGGTGAGGGGAGGGAGACCATCAGGAAAAACAGCTAACGCATGGTGGGCTAATACCTAGGTGATTGGTTGATAGGTGCAGCAAACTACCATGGCACACATTTACCTATGTAGCAAACCTGCACATCCTGCACATGTACCTTGGAACTGAAATAAAATAAGAAAAATCCTAGTGTCTGAATTTTCAGGGAGGCTGATTTGAGTAATAATAAAACTCTGTCTTCTGTGCAGGCTGCTTGGCTCTGTGGGAAGTAAACTCTCTATTTCAATTCCCCTGTTTTGGTAAATTGACTCTATCTAGAACCCATTGGATGGTAACAGTATCACACACTTCTGTCCCTCCTCCCTGTCCTCTTCCAGTGCTTTCTCTCTCCATAAGGAAAGAGGGGCTGCTGTATAAGTCAGAGTTCAGGACATCACTGGGCAATAATTTGCTGGGGGCAGGGTCACCATACCACAATGCAGAAGCCCATTCTTTGTTCTTTTCTTACACTTTCTATTCCTCCATATGTGGCAGAGTTAGTAAACTGAATCAGGACTCCCCCCATCCCCTTCCAACTGGAGACCTGGCCATATATTTCTTCTTGTCACTCTGTCTACTATACTGGTTCCAAGGTTTCCACTGGATGGAGAAGTAGGTGGCCCTGCTTAGGTTGCAGCTGTTTTTGTAACTTGACTTTTACTAGGGGACCATCATCTGTCCACCATCAATCCATGAGTGCCACCATCTGCTGGTCCAGCTGCTAGGAAAGTGGCACTTTGATTCTGCTTCTGCTATTTCTTTGTGTGTGTGTGTTGACAGAGACTGTTTTCTTGGCCAAATTTTAGTTAAGCTCCTTTGCACCATCTTCTCAACTAGGCTTTGACTTTGGCCTTCTGTATCCATCCTGTCCTTGTTGGGCCTGCACAGCCCACTTTTAGAAGAATGCTGCTAAGTCATCTCTTCCTGCCTTGATATCTGATCAAGTCCTTCACCCCCCATATTTGATGTATAAGTTTTTGGCCCCGCTAACATTGATGTTCCTCTTAGTAATTTCCCATCCACTGACCCTCACCCTGCTTCTGGGCTATAACCCCCCACTTGTCCTTTCTGTAGTTGAGTGTGATCTCTCTCTCCCCTATTGTAATACTGTTATTGCAATTATCTTTCTTACCATTTTAACCAGAGTTGGAATGATTTTTTCTCTCTCTCTTTCTCTCTTTCTTTCTCTTTCTTTCTTTTTCTTTCTTTCTTCCTTTCTTCTTTCTTTCTCTTTCTTTCTTTCTTTCATTCTCTTTCTCTTTCTTTCTTTCTTTTTTTCCCTCCCTTCCCTCCTTCCTTCCTTCCTTCCTTCCTTCCTCCCTCCCTCCCTCCCTCCTTCCCTCCCTCCCTTCTTCCCTCCCTCCCTTTCTCTCTCTCTCTCTCTCTCTCTCTCTGTGTGTGTGTGTGTGTGTGTGTGTGTGTGTGTGTGCGCGCGCGTAGACAGAGCTTTCTCAGGTTCTCCTTGGGGAGGAAGAGGAGATGGGAAGGATGAGATTAGAGAACTCCTAGGTCCTTGGCCCTAACAGCCAAGTCGGGGGAAGTCAATAGTTCAATAAACTTTAATGCGTACTGTAGCATTGTGCCTGGGAGCACACATAAGAATGGTTAACCAAGTGTAGGGAGGTGGACAAGGAGAGAGCCCAGAGGAGAGGGTATCTTCCAATGTGAGTCCCAAACCCTGAATCAGTCAGAAAAGGAGAAGAAGGGAGCAGCCCAGGTAAAGGAGGCAAAGTAGGGAAACAGGAGTGGTCAGGGCATGCTGGAGGACATAAAGTGATTTTGTCTTCCTGGAGCATGAAGGGAGGGGAAGATTCGAAGGAAGGCAGAAGAGGGTACAGGGGCTGGGTCTGGAAGGACTTTTCAGGAAGTTTGGGCTGTATCTTCTGAGCAGGTGGACCTGGCTTCTGCTCACTGACATCTTCCTTCCTGAGTTTGTTCATTGGTTCATTTATTAGTTTATTCATTCAACAAATGATTTTGAGGACATACAATGGCCAGTCATTGCATTAGCCATGGAGTTAAAAACAAGTATAAGACATAGCCCCAATCTCAAGGAGTTCATATCTGATGGGGAAATCCAACATGCCGTCAGTTAGTTATTTGGGCTCCAATCACTTTTCTCCAGTGCATCAGTTCATATATGAGTTCTGGATGCTGTTGGCCTTAAATTGAGCTGGGACACTCTTCTTGATTATCTGTTTGTAACAAATAGTCTTTAGAGGTGGAAGAAAGCTCCTGGAGAAGCAACAGTGGGACTCTGGGACTCTATTGAGAAAAAGAAAAAGTGTTGAGAAAACCACCTGGAAACCTCAGGGGATGTCTGACAAAGGAGTGGTTGGAGGAGCCAAGAGGTTCCCTGAGAGGGAATGTATTATAAAGAAAGAGATAGCAAAGAGTAAGCTTCACTTAACCAACTTAGCATCATGACCTAAAGATAATTCTGATCGTGAGCTCCATAATTCTGGCTGGTTCTTATTTCTATCTAAACCCAGTTGTTTTTATGCTGTGGTTACTTCCTGGAGACAACTATTCATTTATGTGCATATCACTTAAGATGCATTCACCTACAAGTATCAGAAAAGTCTGGCGGCTCAAACAAACGGCTCTTTATCACTTATTTATAACATGTTATGCAGAGCAGTTATTCACTTTGATTCAGTGGCTCAGTGATGTCATGGCTTATGTCTATGTAATTCTCCTGGTTGTACCATATCATTATATAATGGCTGCTGCAGCTCCAGCTATTGCATCCATATTTGTGGCAGAAAGAGGCAGAGTAGGTTGGTGCTGCCCACATCTACTGCTTCTATCAGGAAAGAAGAATCTTTCCCAGAAGTTCTGAAAACAAATTTCCCCTTGACTCTCAGTGGTCAAAACTGCATGGAAAGCCAGGTAACATGGGGAGCAGGTTTATCATGAATGGCTTAACACAGAAGTTAGCAAACTTTTTCTTTTTCTTTTTTTTTTTGTGAGATGGAGTTTTGTTCTTGTTGCCCAGGTTGGAGTGCAATGACACGATCTCGGCTCACCGCAACCTCAGCCTCCTGGGTTCAAGCAGTTTTCCTGCCTCAGCCTCCCAAGTAGCTGGGATTACAGGCATGTGCCACCACACCTGGCTAATTTTTTTGTATTTTAGTAGAGATGGGGTTTCTCCATGTTGGTCAGGCTGGTCTCAAACTCCTGACCTCAGGTGATCTGCCCGCCTTGGCCTCCCAAAGTGCTGAGAATACAGGTGTGAGCCACCACGCCTGGCAGCAAGCTTTTTCTTAAAAGGCTAGAGAGTAAATATTTTGGGCTTTGTGTGCACTAAAAAGCAAAATTAAAGTTATTATGTAGATTCTTAAATGATCATTTAAAATGTAATTATTTAAAAATATAAAAACTATTTTTTGTCCATGGGCCATGCAAAGACTGGGATGGATTTGGCCTGTGAACTGTATGTAGTTTGCCAAAGCTTGACTTAATCATGATTTATCACCCAGGACTGGGCATGTGGCTGTCCTGCATAAACTTGGGCAAAGATGAGAGATGGCAATTGATGTTGATCAGAAAACAGTGTCTGCCACAACCAGGACAAGACGCTCTGAAGTCTAGGCACCTTCTCCATGGGACAGCCCTTGACTCAGTCTGACAATAGGAGGAAAGCAGTGTTCTTTCTTTACCTTGGTGAAAGACTTGGCTTCTTATGAAAGGATGGAGACTGCAACCAATGATGCTGGAGATTCTCCTCCTCTAATGTGACAGCTCAGCAGTGGATCTACAGTTCCCAAAGTGACTTCAACAGACGCAGTAGAAGCTGTGACTCCTGGCTCCACCACTGGCATCAGGGACTTTGCTGCTTGGGGCACTCAAGATCAGCAGGTCAGACCTGTAGCTCCTTGGTGCTGTCGAGGGGTTCAGTTGTTTTGGAATCTGGCTGGGAGAAGTGTGGGAGTTCCTGCTCCGCCACCTTGCAATCAACGAGATGCAACCAGAACTGATGGATGAACACATGGCAACCCAACTAAACGTGGGGAGAGAACCAGTGGTGCTGAGACGCAGCATGTGTGGTGGGCTGGAAGGGGACACTGGGCACGCTGCTTGCTGGTTATCAACTTGGGTCTACTGTCACTTCTAGGGTCTCCTCTGAGTCACAGAGAAGCCAGGAACTGCATTTCCCAGAGCCCCTTCCCCAGGGACCCCTGAGTGACAGTTTTCCCAGGTGTAGGAGGTTCAAGGAATTTTAGATCTGATTAAGGAAAAACATGACCATGAGCTGTGGCATGCACAAGCCTTGTTGTGGGGGCAGGGAGATAGATCAGAGAGGAGATTTGGTGTCTCTAGGTGGTGTCCCTCCACAGCACAAGGAAGGATCTGTTGGCCAGAGAGCTTTGAAGGGCAGCAGTGGCTTGGGGTCCTATAAGCACCATCTTATAGGCTCCATCTCACCAGGGGTCAGCAGATGCTGGGTATAGTTTCATGGAGTATAAAAAGCAGGCAGGCCCTAAATGGCTAAAAATCTGCTTGTGTGCACTATTTTAAAAACGAATGTGTGAAAAGCTGAGTTTGGCATTATCAGGTTTTTGATCTAATGGTTTTCAGCCTTCAGTGGAGAAATAAATGAAACTGTGCTTGACAGGGTTAAAGCAAGTGGTGACTTAGAGGAATTATTGAGCTTGTTTTACAAAATGGCAGATAAGGAGACAGGTTGTTGAAATCCCCCCTGCTTGCAAAACAGCAAAGCTGGCTGAAACTTGTTGGAACCTGTTGCGGGAAGTCAGGGACCCCGAACAGAGAGACCTGCTGAAGCCGTGGCAGAACAACATAAATTGTGATGATTTAATGGATATTTATCAGTTCCCCAAATTAATACTTTTATGATTTCTTATGCCCCTCATGTAGACAGGTGTGAGATTCACAGAGGCTGCCAGGTGAGTCTCAAGAACCATGTTCACTGGGACATCAGGCTGAGGTATCCGGAGGTACTTCCCAGCCTCCAGGAACAACTTCCCTGACCTTTTCTTTCTCAGCTCTGCAAAGATTATATGAGCCCCTAAGAGTACCTTCTAGATTCAATTTCTGGCTTTATTTCTTTCTGGCGGGGCAAACATTCCGAGCTTTTATGTCCTCCTCTGTAATATGCAGGTAATATTCTCCCCACATCTGTTCTTTAGGAATCATGAGATATTTACACAAAGGACCCACCACAGTGTTTGGCAAAGTGCAGACGTGTTAAATATTAACTCATTCCTCTCCATCTCTGTGTTTCAGAAATATCTGACGCACAGGTGAAGGAAGAAGCGAGTAAACAAAGACACGGTGGCCAGGCTGTTCAGAGGAATTGGTGCCTTCTTTCATTTGACAATGTCCCAAGGCAGTTCCTTTGTTCAGGACAGATGCTGATGTTTGAGAAGAGGCACACATTACTGGATAAAGAGGCACACATTACTGAGGAAGGAAGTGTGTGGTTGTGTAAGGAAGTGTGTTGTATTTGTGTACCTCTTTACTGTTATTACGAGATGCAGAGAGCATGCTGGAGGCATCTCCATAATATCACAACTGTCTGAAGCTACTTAGCTGCCAGAAACCTTGGCAGACTTCAGGTTGAATAAGTGCCCATAGTACATTCAATTATTGTTGCAAAGATCATTGGATGCGAAAGGTCAGAACTGTTTGGGATGCATCTCAGAGTTGATGTAGTTCATCTCTAACTGCTGCTTGATAATCTTTATGCATATATATGCATATTATACATGTATTAATCTGCTGATTAATGTGAATAATCTCTTCTTCTCTCCATATATATGTGCAGAGATTAATTAGCAGACTCTGCTAGAGGTCTGCCTTTCCTTCCACATGTACCTTCCTTCAGGTGCTGGGTTCTGTTGGAAGTTTCTTAAGCCTGAGCCTAGAAGGTCTAGTTATGTGTAGGGAAGTGTTCTTCCCTCAGAAGAGAAGAGGGATGATAATATTAGCTCCTATTTATCAAGCCTTTTTCCTGTGCCAGCAACACAGTTGAATGCTTTTGCACAACTTCTCTTACTAAATCTTCCCAAGTTTCTGCAGTAAGTGGGATTATCACTTCCACTCAACAAAGGAAGGAATGGAGACTGGGAGTCACCCATCACTCATCCCAGGTCACTCAGCGAGGAAGTGGCAGAGTTTAGATTCCAACCAGCCAGCTCGACTCCTAGTTCCTTGTGCTAAACCTCCTCCTTATCCCATGCCCCCCGGCCCATGCAGTGTGGCAATGGCTGTGGCCTCAGCAGTTCATGTGTCAGATCTTGGCTTCTATTTGCCATAGGCTTGGTCTGTATCTTTCTATGGGAGGCCCAGGACTTCATAATCAGTTAGAATCCCTTTTGGTCACATAGTCCCCACAATGGATGTTCTATGTTAGGGTGTGAAAGCTCAGACGCAACATGTGCCACAGGTTTAATTTCAGTGAGCAAGACTGGCTGGGAGGGGACACCAGCTCATGGCTAGGCTCATCCCTCCTTCAAGAGGGGAGCCCCTTCCCCTTCTGCTCTGGCCAACTGCTGCCAGGCAGATGATAGACTCTATGTAAACGAATTGTCCAATTATTTTATTTTATTTGACATATAGAAATTATAGATATTTGTGGTGTACAACATATTTTGAAATATGTATACCTTATAGAATGACTAACTTGAGCTAACATGTGCATTACCTCACCTACTTATTATGTGTGATGAGAATACTTAAAATCTACTATTTTTCAAGTACGCAATACATTGTTATTAACTATAGTCACTATGTTGTATAATAGATCTCTTGAACTTATTCCCCCTTTCTAAATAACATTTTGTATCCTTTAATTAACATCTCCTCCATCCCCACCCCCAGCTCCTGGTCACCACTACTCTTTGACTCTTTGAGTTTGATTTGTAAAGATTCCACGTATAAATGAGATCATGCAATATTTGTTTTTCTTGTGCCTGGCTTGTTTTACTTCACGTAATGTCCTACAAGTTCAGCCATGTTATTGCAAATGGAATTATCCAACTTTTTCAGAGGAGCCAGAGATCTAGATTTTAAAATTTTCCAGTGTTTTAAATGCTGAATGCTTACTCAATTAAAAAAAATCTCTGCCTCCTCTTTCCTTCCAAACAAAGAATCTCGGGACTGGTGATTCACTGCTCCATTTAATCATTTGTTTAATGATTTGACAAATGTTTATTCATTGTTTGCTCACTGCTAGGCTTGGGCTAGGCACTGGAGAGTGATGAAGAGCAAGACAGGGAAGACAGGCAATGTTATAGTAACACTAGTACAGCGTGGTACTCGCCAAAACGGGAAGCAGAGCTGTGGCAGTTTTGCAAGAGTCAGGATGCAGCAAGCAGGCTCTTCTCAGTTGTGTTTTGAGAAAGTAGAATATTATTGAGGTTACTGTTATTCACGAGATTTGGAGAATCGTGATGTAAATGTTTAAGGTGATGGATATCTCATTTACTGTGATTTGATCATCACACACTGTATGTATGTAAGTATCACATGTACCCTCCCAAATATATACAGCCGTGATTTATTAGTTAAAAAAGAGAAATTTGGAGAATTGTGAATCTGCTTGCAACCTTTTGATTCAGAATTTTAATTCCAACTCTTACGAGAAGGAAGTAGTGAGTCGTAGCAGGGGGGAAACATGGCTTGTTACATGTTATGATAGCTGTGGCTGCTGTGTAGACAGCAAGGGAGGAAATAAAGGGTGAATTGAGATGAGCCAGTGAGGACACAGTGAGGAGAAGAGGTGAGTCAATATATTGATTTGGCTGCAATGGGATGTGAGATTAAGAGAAGTTGAGATTAGAGAAATAGTTGGCTGTGGATGTGGGGTTGAGGGAGAAAGATAAATGAAAGAATTCCTGGCCACAAGACTTGCTTTTTGCTGCTTTGGTTGACTTAAGTTTCATTTGTTAGTTTGCATTAAACTTTGCTGCAAATGACAGAGAACCCCAAACACTGGAGGTGTAAACAAGATAGTGTTATATTTCTGTGCGTTTTAGAAAGAGTCTGTAGATAGCCCAAGGCTGGCAGGGTACTCTGTGCAGTGGTCCCCTACATTTTTGGCACCAGGAACTGGTTTTATGGAAGATAATTTTTCCATGCACCAGGTGGGGGGATGGTTTTGGGATGATTCAAGTGTATTATTTCTATCATTATTACATTGTAATAAATAATGAAATAATTATACGACTCACCATAATGTAGAATTGGTGGGAGCCCCGAGTTTGTTTTCCTGCAACTAGACAGTCCCATCTGGGGGTGATGGGAGACAGTGACAGATCATCAGGCATTAGATTCTCATTAGGAGCACGTAACCTAGATATTTCGCATGCGCAATTCACAATAAGGTTCATACTCCTATGAGAATCTAATGCTGCCTCTGATCTGACAGGAGGCAGCTCAGGCAGTAGTGTAAACAATGGGGAGTGGCTGTAAATACAGATGAAGCTTTGCTCTCTCACTGCCAACTCACCTTCTGGTGTGCAGCCTGGTTCCTAACAGGCCACAGACAGGTATCCTGCTCTACGAGATAGCCTCAATATCAGGGTCTATGGCAGTATAAAAATATGGTCTGTGGTTTCCTCCAAAAAAAAATGGAGCCTAATTCTCCTCTCCTCGAATGTGAGCTGGACTTAGCAACTTGTTTCTAAAGAATAGGGTGTGGTGGAAAGTGATGATGTGTAACCAAGTTCTAAAAAGACAATGTTATTTCTTCCTTCAATCACGAGCTCTGGGAGAAGCCAGCTGCCATATTGTGAGAGCGCTCAAGCAGCCCTATGAGGAGGCCCATGTGGCAGGGAACTAAAAAGTCTCTGCCAAAGCTAGGAGGAAACAGATCTCCTATGTGAGTGAGCCATTGTGGAAGCAGATCCTCCAGCCCCAGGCAATCCTGAGGTTACTGTAGCTGGGGTTGATGTCTTGATGCACCCTGTGAGAGTTCCTGAGTCAGAACCACCGAGCTTAGCCTCTTCTGAATTCCTGACTCATGGAAATGGTAAGATGATGAATGTTCTCTCTTTTAAGCCATTCAGCTTTGAGGTGATTTGTTACATAGCAACAGATAATACATGGTCCAAGACATTCCAGGGTGCAGGATGGAGGGGGAGGAGGAAGGTGAGTTCCTAGAAGGTGAAACTTGACGCTTTTATTACCTTGCATCAATCAGGACTCAGTCACATGGCTCTACAGCCAGCTGCTGGAGGCCAGGAATGTAGCCTCCATTCTTAACACCTTTGCCACCTTTAAAGTGGAAAGAATGGGAACCAGGGAGCAATAAGCAGGCTCCACCACAAGTTGGGAGTGTTTTTTGTTTTCCCTAACAAAGGGAGCCTTTGTTGATACAAAGAAAGCATTTCCCATCCCTACTTTATGGAGGAGTTGGTCCATTTTTACCCAAAGAGATTGAAATGGTCAAATGCAAGGATCTTGCCTTTATTATAAGAGAAGAAATACCCTTTCCTTCCAGGAGATGGCAGTAGAGTAAGCGTTAAGTCAGCTGCCTGGCCTTGCCTTAGGTTTGCCTAGAGTGCGGCACTGGATGGGTTTCTATCCCTGCGATCCCACTTCACACAGACCCAGGTTTGTGACAACTGTGCTTAGCACATCCATGATGGGCTCCACGGACAGAAAGAAGCCATAAGGGGTTTTGCCGTGATGCTGGGGAAAGTAGGGCAAGGAAGGCCCCTGTAGAAATAATGAGAACATTGCAGGTGGAGGAGCGCAGGGGTGGGATGAGCTGAGGAGGAGGAGAAACACCGGGAGGAGGTCGGAGGTGGAGGTATTGTCACAGGGAGGCTGTCCCCTCCTGGTGGGCTCTAAAGCAATCAGATTGGTTTGGTCATCCCGGTGTGCACTTTCCACTGGGGTGAGATTTGGAGAAAGGACTGCGCGTACTGGGAACAGTGCTCCTGTCCCACCTGCTTCAGGTCTGTCGGCCCCAACAGCAGGCCCCTCTTTACTCTCCATGTCTGTCTTCATTATGGGCTAAGCACCGGGCAGGGCACTCTCTGACAGCGGAGATTTGCCTTAGCAGGGAGTAAGTTCAAGTCAGGGGGACCTCCTGGGATGCCTTTTGGCTGATGAACCAAACCGTGCTTTCCAGCTTTCCTCCGTAAGGAAGCTAAAATCCTACTCTCTGTCTGTCCCTTGTGTCTTACTTCTCTATTAGTTTCTTTCTAACACATGGGGGAAAGATGGGATGAGGGTGGTGATGGCTATTTTAGGTCCCCAGCAACTTCTAACACCATCCCCAATTTTGTTTAGGGAAAAGAAGTCTTCTGCTGGATAAAGCTGGGTAGAGAAAAGAGAGTCTTTGTGGGGATATTGCCTGCTTTAGGGATTTGGGACAGAGAAGTTACTTTGTGCCAGGTGCTGGTTAAACACTATATCTATGTCTATATCTCTGTGTCTGTCTCTCTATATAAGTATCTATCTGTCTATCTATCCATCTATCTGTCTGTCCGTCTATCTATCTATCTGTCTAATCTATCTGTCTGTCTAGTTATCTATTCTTATTTGTCACAACTCTATGAAGCAGATACTACCATTATCACATTATTCATAGAGATGAAGAAATAGATACAAAGAAAGGTTAGGTAAATTGCACAAGGTTACATAACTAGTAACTGGATTCTAGTCCAGTTCACCTGACTCCAAAACCCACACACTAGATGATATGGTCTTGTTGGATTCCAGGCAGGTAGGTCTAAAGTCAAATAGGTATTATGGGAAGGCAAACCAGCATGTTCAGTGCAGGATCTTAATGAGGAATAATTCTGTGTGTGTGCGTGGTGTGTAATTGTGGTGGTAAGGGGTCAGGAGAGCAGGGAAAAGGAAAAGACAAAAAAGTGGTTGGAGAACCAGCAAGATGTGCCTCAGCTGAGCTAGGATTTAAGGAGTTGTACTCAGCCTGGCTGGGGCAATATTTAGTAGTATGCTAAGGAAGAGAGGATGAGCTTCTCTACAGAGGATTGGACTTGAGTGCTCATAGGACATCTCTGGGGGTTGCCTTGGCATCAGTTAGACATTTGATCTCCTAGTTCAGGTAAGCGGTCCTCACTTAACACTTAGGTTTGAGAATCATCTGCAGAGGTGGTGGCTGACATCATGGGAAGAAGTATGATTGAGCATGGGGCGTGTGGAGGGACAAAGCAGGTGAGGATGCAGGAGGAGTCAGGGAACCACAATGAGATGTCTGACTAAGCCAAAGAGGTGTAATCAACACCAGCAGGGTGTGATGGGCATTATCAGCAGGGAGATGAACCTTATATGGAGGAGGGAGGGGCTGGTTGGCTCAGACACTCCAGAAAGGTCCAGTGTGTGACTGCATGTATCTCCAGCTTGGATCTTCCCCTGGACTCTAGACTCACACATCCAGATGTACATTAGGCCTCTCAAACTTGCTTGTCCAAAAGCAAACTGATCATCCTGTCCCAAGCCTGCTCCTCCTGTTGTCTTCAGGATCTCAGTAAATCCCCCCGGCTTCTTGTCTTCCATCTCTTGCATTCAATCTATCTTCAAATATTGTGAACTCAGTGTTTATATATCCAGGTATATCCTGAGTCTGACCACTTTTTGCCACCCCCATGTCAACCAGTCTGGCCCAAGCACATTCTCCAGGTTATCGCACCAGCCTCTTAACTCATCTCCTGCTTCCATTCTTGCCATATTGCTGTACCACAACATGGCAGACAGATGGTGTATTAGTCCATTTTCATACTGCTATGAAGAGATACCCTGAGACTGGGTAATTTATAAAGAAAAAGAGGTTTAATGACTCACAGTTCCACATGGCTGGGGAGGCCTCAAAATCATGGTGGAAGGCAAAGGAGGAGCAAAGGCACATCTTGCATGGGAAGATAGTGTGAGCAGGGGAAATGCCCTTTATAAAATCATGAGATCTCATGAGACTTATTCACTCTCATGAGAAGAGCCTGGGGGAAACTGCCCTCATGATTCAATTACCTCCCACCAGGATTATGGGAGCTACAATTCAACATGAAATTTGGGCGGGGATACAGCCAAACCATATCAGATGGTTGCTGCAAAAGTATAAGTCCAGACATGTGGTTCCTTTGCCCAAAACCCTTGAGTGGTTGCCCATCTCATTCAGAGGAAACCCCTTAATAACAGAACTGCAAGGCAGGAGCCAGTGTCCTCCTGGGGGGACAGCCAACAGTTAGAAGGTGCCATGAGGTGAGATAGTGGAATGTTTACAGCCTGGCTGCTGAAGGGATTGTTTCAAATCCCAGTATTTGCTGGTCCCCACACCTCTCATTTCTTTGCTTAAAAACGATGTAACAATCCCAAGTACAGGTTACCCAAATAAAAGGAGATTCATTACTTTTAAGCAAGAACATGCTTATTTCAGTGGAAACTTGGTAGTGTCAGGGGATGCAAATTGCAGATTGTGATATCGTCTGAGAACAGTCAGGGTCTTCCTTGCTATGTTGGCACACTCACTGGAGGCTACCTGTCCTTCAGCCTCAGAGTGCTACCAGTAGTGGACACTTCCTCAGAGGCTGGTGACCAAGGGAAGGCGTCCCAAAGATCCATAAGTTGGGCTACTTCAATAGCTTTTTTATGTTTGGTCACTTTTGCAGAAGAGTAAGCTGTCACTCAAAAGGACAGTTGGTCAGTTGTTCACTGGTGACTCCAGGCGTGACACACAACTTCCCCTCCAGTTGCTAACAATCTCCACCCCCTGGAAGAGTAGGCAGCTATGGTGGCACTACAGTTGTTAGGAAAGGCTGAGGTTGGCTACTGCCATTTGCAGCAATTGTTGGTTTTAAAAATGGATCTAGGAGGGAAGGAATTAAGACAACCAACAGAATAAGTTTTCCAAGGAATAATGTACCTCTCTTTTTCTTCTCTTGCTGAAATATTTCTTTGGATTGGGAGCCAGGGTCACTTTCTTGGTTATAGAGAAAACATGAGTGTGCCCAAATCATCCTTTTGAATAGCAGATGCCCAAAGGGCACATATATGTGTGTGAGCACATGTGAGTGCATGCGTGTGTGTGTGTGTTGGGGGCTGCAGTGCTGCTAAACCTTTGAAGCAGGCCTTGAAGACTTTCACAGAGGAATAGGCAGGGTGAGGCCCTTAAGGAGTGTGGTGAGGGTTTAGAATGGATTGCTTTTCTGAGATGTTTCCAAAAATCCTCCATGCAAGAAGAAAGACACATCCCTAATGCAATGGTTTGTGGGTTTTCAGTTCTTCAGACAATGAAGGGAGTATAGGATGTAGTGTAATGAGTTGAAAATTTTATCATACTTGTAGCTGGGATCAGCATTCTCCCTTGAAGGAAACTCTTTGTTTGGGAAAATACTTTGTTAAGTATCTTGGAGTTGAAGATAAGATGTTGGCTGGAGCTCAAGAAAACAAACAGACCAAAAGTTACCTATCAGGGCTGGGTCCTGGCCACCTCTCTGACCTCCCCTTGCCCTGTGCTCACTTTCTCCAGCTCCACCCAGCCACAGGCCCTGCGTGGTCCCACCACACCACAGGGCCTTTGCAACTGCTGTCTGCCCTGCCTGGAAGACTCTTCTATAAGACGTCTGATGGCTCACTTCCTTACTTCCTTCGAGTCTTTGCTTAAATTTCATCCAGATCATTTCTAACTAGGCTTACAAAAATAACACAGCCCTAGTATGCAGGAAGTATCTGTGGAGTGGGGTAATGCCCAGTAATTGTTTGTTGAATGGATGCAGGGAAGTTTAAGCTGCTTGCATGAGAAAATGAGAGGAATTTGATTTTGCTGTCGAAAAGCAGGAGTAGGGGAGAAAGGTGAGAGGGAGCAGAGAAGGGAGGAGGTGGAGACTGTAAGATACTGAAGGTGGGCTGGGGACCCTGAAGATAGATGGGGAAGGGTTGTTGAGTGACACTTTATGAAGGGAGGGCCCTAACATTTAACTTGAAGTTATTTTGTTACGTTGACATTAACCACTCTTCTGTCTCCTCTCTTGAAATACAGGGGAAAGCCTACTGCATGCATGAACACTTTGTGCTTTGTGCATGTGTGAGGTGTGTGTGTAAGCTGTGTGTATGAGGGAGTGTGAATGTAAGAGAATGCGTGCGTGTGTGTGAGAGAATGTACATAAAGGTTGGGAGTGTGAGAGAGTATGAGTGTATGTGTGTGTATTTGTGTATGAGTGTGTGAGTACGTGTGTGTAGAGTGAGTGTGCATGAGCATGTGAGAGTGTATGAGTATGTGAGTGTGTGTGTATATATGAGTGTGTATGTATTTATGTGTGAGAGCATAAGTGTAAGCACATATGTGTGAGTGTGAGTGTATGTGTGTGCATGTGTGTATGCAAATTAAGAAAAGGCTGAGCTTTGTATTGGGTTTTAGCAGTGTGGAACAGTGATGGGAAACAGAAGTGTGAGGGGTCTGCCTCAGGGGTCTGGGGGTCAGTTTCCACTGAGATTTGAATCGATCTCATTCAAGTCCATGGGTTAGGGAAGACTTAAGTAAGCTCCCAGTCACAGGGCTGACTGACTTACAGTAAGCCAATAAAAAGAGGTCAGAACACCCGTGGTGGAGTCAAAATAGGACAAGGAATCAGATACTCTGCATCCCAGCCCTAATTCTATGTCTGTCTGTTGAATCTTGGCCAAATTATTTCTCCCTCTTTGGGCCTTAGTTCCTTCCTACATAAAATCAAGACTTTGGACCGTGTATGATCTTTAAGCCCTTTTCAGCTTTAACACTCCTTTGGATAGAGTTTTATAATTTATTTTTATTAATTTTTATGACCCCTCATTTCCTGGCAAATTGGGATAATAATCTGCCTAAGAGCTGTTATGAAGATCAATTGAAATCATATTTGGAAATGGACTCTGCAAACTGCAATGCATTCTAAAAATGTTAGTTCTCATTATTATGATAATGTCATGATAGGGTCAATGTATTATGAAAAGACTGTGTTCGAAATCATTATGTCCAAACGGAAACAAATTGTGTTTGAGTCACACTGTCTGTTTTATAAAAGGTAAAGACAGGTGCACGGAGTATACTTGCAATGCTTTGGATGCTCACCCAATGAACGGAGATGTTATTTTTCTGGGGAGGGAGAAGGCAGGAGGGTGGCTGGAAGTGTGTGGCTGACAGGCAATTAATAATTCCAATAGGCTCATGGTGTTATTCTGCAGGGCACCCTGACTCTCGTAACCCATCAATAAAATATTGGGTTCAGTTGTTTGGAGCCCACAGCTAATCTGAGAGCAACATTCTCGTTCGGAAATGCTGATTGTCACAGGCACCAGAGTGTCAGAAAAGTCTGTGGGTCTGGAATAAAAATGTCAGGGAAGGAAATGAATTTAAACACTCCTTCTCTTACTGCATCCAAAAGGGCAGGGTATGGCCCTGAAATCTGGGTCAGCAGTGGTGGCCCTGGGAAAATTATCTCTCTACCTAAAGGGGAGCGCCATACAGGGCTGTCTGTTGGGCAGGGCTCCTCTGAAAGATGTCCACTCCGTTCTAGGAGTGGTCCAGACCTCTGACTCAGGGTTCAATCAGCAAGGGTCAAGTGAAATCCTTCGCAGTTTTTAAAGTGAACCCATGTTTTACTTTTGCTTAACTGTCACTTTTTTCATTATTAAAGTAACACATACTTATTAAAGAATATTTTGCAAATACAGACAAGTAAAAAAGACTCAGAAAAATTGCAGATGTTCACTATTTCAATAAAATCACTGTGTGCTTAATAACAGCAACAAGGCTGGGCACAGTGGCTCATATCTGTAATCCCAGCACTTTGGGAGGCTGAGGTGGGCAAATTGCTTGAGCCCAGGAGTTTGAGACCAGCCTGAGCAACATGGCAAAACCCTGTCTTTACAAAAATACAAATATTAGCTGGGCATGGTGGCACGGGCCTATAGTCTCGGCTACTCAGGGGGCTGAGATGGGAGAATCACCTGAGCCTGGGAAGGCTGACGCTGCAGTGAGTGGTGATCTTGCCCCTGCATTCCAGCCTGGGCCACAGAATGAGACCCAGTCTCAAAAGCAAAACAAAACACAACACCAGCCACAATAAGCAGTATTTGAGTGTGGCGCAAGGCCAAGCTAAAGCGCTTGAAATGTATTACTGTCTGTTATCTTTAGGGCAGTCTAATGAAGTGCTGTGGGCTGACAATCTTGTATCCACAAGTTCAAAATTCAAAGAGCTCTAAAAGCTAAAGTATGTTTTGTGGCTAATTTGGGAGCAAAACACGAGTCCTATTTAGAAACGTTAGTTATGCTACTTGGTGTAAATCGTTATTTGTTTACAACATTAACAGGCTTAATTATTGCACACTGCCTCAGGCCCCTGGAGATGTTTCCTTGTACAGGGGTATCTTGGAAATAATGTGGGTTTGGTTCCAGATCAATGCAGTAAAGCAGATATTACAATAAAGTGAATCATGCACATTTTTTGGTTTCCCAGTGCATGTAAAAGTTATGTTTATACTATACCATAGTCTATAAAGTTTGCAGTAGCATTTTGTCTAAAAAACAATGTACCAACCCTAATTAAAAATACTTTATTGTGTCCAGGCACAGTAGCTCATGCCTGTAATCTCAGCACTTTGGAAGGCCGAGGCACGTGGATCACCTGAGGTCAGGAGTTTGAGACCAGCCTGGCCAACATGGCAAAACCCCATCTCTACTAGAAATACAAAAAAATTAGCTGAGTATGATGACGCATGCCTCTAGTCCCAGCTACTCGGGAGGCTGAGGCAGGAGAATCGCTTGAACCTCAGAGGTGGTGGTTGCAGTGAGCTAAGATCGTGCCATTGCACTCCAGCCTGGGTGACAGAGTGAGACTCCATCTCAAGAAAAAAAAACCCCAACTTTATTGCTCAAAAATTGCTAACAGTCACCTGAGCCTTCAGTGAGCTGTAATCGTTTTGCTGGTGGAGGGTCTTGCCTTGATGTTGACGGCTGCTGACTGATCAAGATCATGATTGCTGACAGTTGGGGTGGCTATGGCAGTTTCTTATTTATGCTAAATCCTTTGCTGTCATTTCAACAATCTTCACAGCATCTTCACCAGGAATAGATTCCATTTCCAGAAACCACTTTCTTTAATCATCCATAAGAAGCAGCTTCTCATCTGTTGAAGTTTTATCATGAGATTGCAGCAACTCAGTCACATCTTCAGGCTCCACTTCTAGTTCTAGTTCTCTTGCTATTTTCATCACATCTGAAGTTTTGGCCTCCACTAACGTCTTGAACCCCTCAGAATCATCCGTGAGATTTGGATTCGGCTTCTCCCAAACTCCTGTTAATATTGATATTTAGACCTTCTTTCATGAATCATGAATGTAGCATTCATGATTCATGTAGCAAAATGCTTAATGGCTTCTTGAAGGGTAAATCATTTCCAGAATATTTTCAAGTTATTTTGCCCAGATTCATTGGAGGAATCACTATCTATGGTGGCTATAGCCTTATGAAATATATTTCCTAAATGATAATACTTGAAAGTAGAAATTACTCCCTGATCCATGGGTTGCAGAATATATGTTGTATAAGAAGGCACTAAAATAACATTAATCTCCTTGCACATCTTCATTAGAGTTCTTGGGTGACCAGGTGCATTGTTCAATGAACAGTAATATTTTGAAAGGAATCTTGTTTTCTGAGCAATAGGTCTCAACAGTGGTCTTAAAATATTCAGCAAGTCATGCTGTAAACAGATGTGCTGTCATCCAGGCTTTGATGTTCCATTTATAGAAGACAGGCAGAATGATTTAGCATAATTCTTAAGGGCCCTAGGATTTTCACAATGGTAAATAAGTACTGGCTTTAAATTCAAGTCACTAGTTGCATTAGTTCCTAACAAGAGATTCAGATGGTACCTTGAAGCTTTAAAGCCAGGCATTCACTTCTCTGTCACTATGAAAGTCCTAGTTGTTATCTACTTCCAAAATAAGGCTGTTTCTTCTACACTGAAAATCTGCTATTTATTGTAGTCGCCTTTATCAGTGATTTTACCTAGATTTTCTGGATAACTTGCTGCCGCTTCTATATCAGGATTTGCTGCTTCATCTTGCATTTTTCTGTTATGGAGATGGCTTCTTTCCTTAAACCTCAGGAACCGATTTCTGCTAGCTTCAAACATTCTTCTGCAGCTTTCTCATCCCTCTCATCCCTCAGAGAATTACAGAGAGTTAGGGTCTTGCTCTGGATTAGGTTTTTGCTTAAAGAAATATTGTAGCTGGTTTGATTTTCTATCTAGACCACTAAAGATTTCTCTATATCAGCAATAGGGCTCTTTCACTTATTTATTTTTTATCATTCCTGTGTTCACTGGAGGAGCACTTTTAATTTCCTTCAATAATGTTTCATTTGCACTCATGACTTGGCTGTTTGGTGCAAGAGGGCTAGATTTTCAGCTTGTCTTGGCTTTAGATGTGTCATCCTCACTAAGCTTAATTATTTCTAGCTTTTGATTTAAAGGGAGAGATGTGAGGCTCTGATATGGTTTGACTGTGTTTCCACCTAAATCTCATCTTGAATTGCAACTTCCATAATTCCCACATGTTGTGGGAGGAACCTGGTAGGAGGTTATTGAGTCATAGGGGTGGGTCTTTCCTGCGCTGTTCTCATGATAGTGAATGAGTCTCATGAGATCTGATGGTTTTAAAAATGGGAGGTTCCCTGCCCAAGCTCTCCCTTTGCCTGCCACCATCCATATAAGATTTGACTCCTTAAAACCTCTTTCTTTTGTAAATTGCCCTGTCTCAGGTATTTCTTTATCAGCAGCATGAAAATGGACTAATACACTAAATAGTTGCCAGTAGAGTACAATGCTGCTGAAAAGGTGCCCAAAAACATGGAAGTGACTTTGGAACTGGGTAACAGGCAGAGGTTGGAAGAGTTTAGAGGGCTCAGAAGAAGACAGGAACTTCCTAGACACTTGTTGAAGTTCTAGACACTTGTTGGAGCTTCCTAGACACTCATTGAATGGCTTTGATAAAAATGCTGATAGTAATATGAACAATAAGGTCCATGGTGATGTGGTCTTACATGGAGATGACGAACTTCTTGGGAACTGGAGCAAAGGTGATTCTTGTGTTTTAGCAAAGAGAGTGGCAGCAATTTGCCCCTGTCCTAGAGATTTGTGGAACTTTGAACTTGAGAGAGCTGATTTAGGGTATTTGGTGGAAGAAAATTTCTAAGCAGCAAAGCATTCAAGAGGTGACTTGGGTGCTGTTAAAGACATTCAATTTTATAAGGGAAACAGAGCATACAAATTCAGAAAATTTGCAGCCTGACAATGTGATAGAAAAGAAAAGCCCATTTTCTGAGGAGAAATTCAAGCCACCTGCAGAAATTTGTATATGTAATGAGGATCCAAATATTAATCCCCAAGACAATGGGGAAAATGTCTTCAGGGCATTGCAGAGGTCTTCACAGCAGCTCCCTCCATCACAGGCCCAGAGGCCTAGGAGGAAAAAATAGTTTCGTGGGCCAGGCCCAGGGTTCCCATGCTGTATGCAGTCTGGGGACTTGGTGCCCTGCATCCCAGCCACTCCAGCCATGACTAAATTGAGCCAAGATACAGCTCAGATCATGGCTTCAGATGGTGCAAGCCTTAAGCCTTGGCAGCTTCCATGTGGTGTTGAGTCTGAGGGTGCACAGAAGTCAAGAATTGTGGTTTGGGAAACTCCACCTAAATTTCAGAGGATGTATGGAAATGCGTGGATGTTCAGGCAGAAGTTTGCTGCAGGAGTGGGGATCTCACGGAGAACCTCTGCTAGGGCAGTGTGGAAGTGAAATGTGGGGTTGGAGCCCCACACAGAGTCCCTACTGGGGCACCACCTAGTGGAGCTGTGAGAAGAGGACCACCATCCTCCAGACACCAGAATAGTAGATCCACTGACGGTTTGCACTATGTGCCTAGAAAAGCCACAGACACTCAACACCAGCCTCCAGGCTGTACCTTGCAGAGCCACAGGGGGAGAGTTGCCCAACACCATGGGAACCCACCTCTTACATCAGTGTGACCTGGATGTGAGACATGGAGTCAAAGGAGATCATTTTGAAGCTTTAAAATTTGACTTCTCTGTTGGATGTTGGACTCGCATGAGGCCTGTAGCCTTTTTGTTTTGGCCAATTTCTCTCATTTGGAATGGCTGTATTTACCCAATGCCTATGCCCCCATTGTATCTAAGAACTAACTAACTTGATTTTGATTTTACAGGCTCATAGGTGGAACAGACTTGCCTTGTCTCAAATGAAACACTGGGTGGTGGACTTTTGAGTTAATGCTGAAATGAGTTAAGACTTTGGGGGACTGTTGGGAAGGTATGATTGGTTTTGAAATGTGAGGACATGAGACTTGGGAAGGGTTAGGTGTGGAATGATATAGTTTGGGTGTGTCCTCACCCAAATCTCATCTTGAATTGTAACTCCCATAATTCCCACATCATGGGAGGAACTCAGTGGGAGGTGATTGAATTATGGGAGTGGGTCTTTCCTGTGCTGTTCTCTTGATAGTGAATGAGTCTCATGAGATCTGATGGTTTTAAAAATGGGAGTTTCCTTCAAGAAGCTCCCTTTTTGCCTGCTGCCATCCAGGTGAGATGTAACTTGCTCCTCCTTGCCTACCACCAGGATTGTGAGGCCTCCCCAGCCATGTGGAACTCTAAGTCCATTAAACCTCTTTATTTTGCAAATTGCCCAGTCTTGGGTATGTCTTTATCAGCAGTATGAAAATGGATTAATACAGGTTCTTGAACTCTTAGAGGCCATGGTAGGGTTATTAATTGTTCTAATTTCAATATTGTTGTGTCTCAGGAAATAGGGAGGCCCAAGGAGAAGCAGCAAGATTGGGGAATGGTTGGTAGTGGAACAGCCAGAGGACACGTGACATTTATTGATTAAATTTGCCATCTTATGTGGGTGCAGTTTGTGGCACCCCAAAAAGAATACATAGTGACATTAAAGATCACTGGCCACAGATAACCATAACACATATAATAATAATGAAAAAGTTTGAAATATTGCAAGGATCTCCAAAATGTGACACAGACACAAAGCGAGCACATGCATTGGAAAAATGATTGTGACAGACTTGCTTGAGGCAGGGTTGCCACAAACCTTCAATTTGTAATAAAATGCAATATCTGTGAAATACATAAAGTGAAGTGAAATAAAATGAGATATTTCTGTATATGATACGTTTCCCACACTTTTCAAGTCTTACAACTTCGGGATTCTAAATCACAACAACTTCCTTTCTGATGCCCAGGTGGTAGGTAAAGAGTCTGGGGCACACAGAGGTCCTGCTGCATGCCCAGCATCAAACAGCTGGTAAGTGATAAATATAGCATTCAAACCAAAGCCTGTGCACCTCAAGAAACTGCCTCTGAGTAGTTAGCCCAGTACTTTCTGACCTTTTTCATCTCACAGGACAGAAAGAAAATAAAAATCGCTGTTTAACCCATTGGGGGAAGAGGATGAAGCTGTTTGGGATCAGGACAAGTGGCCCCAGGCTGTCTGAATGGCTGTCATTCCAGAGTTTTTCACAGCTTACCCATTCACACAGCCTGCAGCATGCAAGTGGGGAGTCTACTCAGACATCCAACTTTCATTTAATGAACATTATTCACCCCCTTACAAGCTTCAACAGTGGTGTTTAAGGACAGGACTCTTGAGCTAGACCACCTGGCTTTGAATCCCTGTTTTCCAGTTGCTAGACCTTGGGTGAGTTGCTCAAGCTCTTTGTGCCTCAGTTTCCTCATTTGTAAAATGGAGATGACAACATAGTTGTAACTTCCAGTGGAAAGCAGCTACACTCCCATGGTTCCTAAAGAAGGAAGGAATTGGTGAAACTGGTGTGGGGGCATTTCTGAGCTCCAGGTGACCCACCTGGCTTTATGTGATGGCAGATTGTGAGGCAGCAGCTCCTCAAACCCAGTCCTTGAATGAAAGCTAAAGATACCTTGCCCAATCTCTAGGCAAGGCTGTGCTTGTCTCACGGGAGACTGTGCTTTTCCTACACAGGCTGATGAATGGTGGGGGCACCCACCTGGATCAGCTTCCAGAAGAGTAAGTCAAAAATACAGAGTTATTGAGAAAGCCTCAACTAAACCTTATTGAATTTCTCCTTGTATTTCAGCATTTCGGGCACCATTCCCTTGGCATGTGTTTATCCTTGACATTTCTAAAATCAAACCCCACATCTCACAGGCATAGTTCAGAGCAGGAAAAGGTAAGATTGATATCCCTGTCTAAAATACTATGCCAGGTTTCCCAGAAATCACTTGACATTTCAGGTTCTTTTACTAAGTGAGCTGAATGGACCAAAAATGTAGGCAAACAGAAACATACTTCTAATTCAGGAAGATCGTGTGCCTTCATGTCCCCCTCCGGACTCATGCAAGGCCCAAGAAGAGGGTTGTTTTCTTAGCTATTCAACCATAAGCCAGTTTATGGTTCTGTCTCTTGTCCTTTTGCCTTAGTATGGAAAGACCACATCTGCTGGTTCCAATGAATGTGCTGATCTAGAGGGAAGGGACTCAACGTTTTGGTGCTGGGTGAATTGGAGTAGAGGCCAGATGCCCACTTGATGGGCTCCTTGGCAATCTGATGAGAATTCTCAGCATCATCATGTCCCCTTGCTCCTCTATTTCCTGGAGTCCTGAATGAAGTCACACCTCCCAGACCCAGGATGGAGTGTCCACCTCCTCCATATGTTGTATCTTGAGGGTTGACATCATTGAGTCAGGAACAGGTTCTGGGTGAAGCTTTACAGTGGTAACCCCACTGTCACCCCCAAATTGGTGGCATCCACATGCCTGATGGTTCTTACCTTAGTTTCTGCCCAGTTATCTTGCCTAGGGCCAAGTTCTTCTAGTCCAGGGACTTTGTCCTGAGTCCTAGCTCAGGGTTTAGAAACGAAGTCTTTCCCTACTAGCCTCTCTTCTTGGGGGTAGATCCAGCTCACCATGGCTTGTCTGCCTACTGGAGTCTCTGTTGATACTGGCTGTGGTTTTGAGATGGGCCTTATGCTCTGGGGTAGACCAGAGCTTGATGATCTACATCAAGTTTTCTGTTTTTCAGATACCGTGCCTTCACAGCCTAACTACCTTTTGGAGGCCAGCCTTTTTGCTAGCTTTGTTTGCCAAGCCTCGACCTACCTGAGCTCAGCTCCCCACCTGCATCTGGTGGTTCCAAGTCTCAGCAGGCATGAAGCTTTACTTTGTTTAAATGTCCTCAGTCTGTTGGACTGAACAACCCATGGGGCTTTCCTGACCTCGGATTCTCTGAGTCTATGAAGATTGTAACAGCCTCTGGCATTGGTAGAGGGATTTACAGTATGCTGAGGCTTTTCACTTGTCATCTTCACATTCCTTTGGGGCCTTGCATGAATTTGGAGGGGGCATACTTCTTTGATGTGTATATCGTTTCCTAGAGCAAACAGCATCCCAAATGTGGTTCAAAGTTCAAGGTTTACCTGAATCAATTCCCTCTCTGCTTTGTGCCTCAAGAGAAGACAGCTTCACTTCTAACATTAGGGTCCCACTTGAGATGCCTCAGGTAGATGTTTTTTTGAGGGTATATCTACTGTGGATTTGTTACCTGGGGCTAAGTTTCTTTTAAATGGGATGGTGTTCAGAGTCAAGTGTTTAGAGAATGGTTGGGATTTTATAATTCTCATTCAATTACTTAAACCTTGTACCTCCAACATAGCGCTTATCAGAATAGCTTAGTGTTTATAAACATGGACTCTGGGCTCAGAAAGACTCAGGTGCCTGTGGCATAGGCAGTTACATTTCACTTTTCCTTTTGGTAAGGGAACACAGGAATCATCCATTCCCTAACTTCCCCTGCAGTGAGGTGGGACAGAAAGATGATGTATGCCTGGTAGCTGAGACCTTCTAAGTGATTCTTGTTTCTTTCCCTTTTTTCTCCTCAGATGGCTGGATAGAGAGGGCCAAGAAGAGAACTCCAATGCAGAAGGAGGTTAGGCTTCCCAAAAATTGCACAGGAGACCCCTTGACACATATCCAATAGAACATAAGCAAGAAGTACATCTTTTATTGTGTTTTAGCCACTAAGATTGGGAGTTATTTGTTATAGCAGTTGGCTTTTATTGAACAATATAGTTATGAAGCTAGTTCTACAACTAACTACATGACCTTGGCCAAATCCTTTAATTTTTCTGGGCTTTCTCACCTGTATGAAATTTTCCTGGCAATCTTGTGGTCATAAGCACGTAGGTGTCTTCCAGGAAACAGTGTGCTTGCCCACAGTAGCTCACTTACCCATTGCCTTTCTCATTGTTCCTCCAATGTGCCGGACTTGATACCCCTCTGGGCTTTCGCACTTGCTGTTACTTTTTCTTGTGAAACTTTTCTCTCAGGTCTTATGGGTCACCTCTTTCTATTATTTAGGGCCAATCATTGACATCACATCTTCAAAAAAGCCTTCCCTGGTGACTCAGTTAAATCAGCATCCCTGTCCTCCCATTCTTTATCCCAAGTGGCCAACTTAATTTTCTTTGTTGCCTCTACCTCTATCTGAAAGCAGATTATTATCCCAAGTGGCCAACTTAATTTTCTTTGTTGCCTCTACCTCAATCTGAAAGCAGATTATTTATGTATTGGTTAATAAGAATATTATATATTATTCCCCAACCAGAATGTTAGCTCTATAAGGGAAACACTTTTGCTAGGATTTCCCTGGAGGATAGGACAGCCATATCCACATTGTAGTTGCTCAGCAAATACTGATGAACGTACTGGTCAAGTGCTGTGAGGATTACAGGAGGTCATTATGTAAAAAATTTGGCGCTTGGCCTGGCACATGGCAAGTGCTCAAAAATAGCAGATGGTGGTGAGTATCTGACTGTATGGAGTTTCTGTTCACTTCACATGTCCCACTCTTCCACCTAGTTGTAAGTCTCTCAAACTCTCAAAGTCAGAAACTAGATCTCATTTATCTTTGCCTCCCAATAAACCTTGTACACAAGAGGTGACCAATAAATATTTGTGAAGGGAACATTTGAAGAGAATCTCAAATTGTGTCCTTGATCTGGTACATTCAAAGACCAACGAAACCATCCTTGTTCTAAAAAAAATTAAACCTTTTTATTAGTATATTTATTTTATATATAAAAGAAATACAAAAAAAAAAAACAGAAAGAAAATGCTTTTATGGCAAATCAGATTTGTCGGTGCCTTCAGCCTGGGCTCCAGGCTCTGTGCCGCTGGGTGACAACAAAGTCCGCCGGTTGTAATGACCCTTGATGATTCCTGTGTTGTTGTTCTCATTGAGTAGCTGCTTCTGCCTTTGCCTATTGAGGGACTGGACAAGTCCCAGGACAACCGCGGCCAGGGAGTACTGCCCAGGCAGTCTTCTTGGGGGCAAGATGAATGGGTTGGGTTGGACTCTTCCCAGAAGAAAGTACGTTTTGATTTTTCCTTCCTGTTCACTGATACCCTTCACATAGATCTCCCCTCGGTAATCAAAGGCAAAGCCCTGGTCCTTCAGGATGAGATAGGTCTCCTCTGGGACTTGGATCCGGCCACTAACCCCCGTGCTGTCCATTCGGCTTGCCAGGTTCACAGTTTTGCCCCAAATGTCATACTGTGGTTTCTTAGCGCCGATAACGCCAGCTACCACTGAGCCGTGGCTGATGCCTGGGGGGTGAAGCAAAGGAGCAAGAAGTCAGAGGGAGAAGGGGGACAATGGGGTGTTTGGACCCCTCCCTGGGACAGTGATCACTATGTGTGGGGTCTCTGTGGATGAACGGGAGGGTCCAGATCCTGCCCCCAGTCACTTATTAGATGTATCACCTGGGTCAGTTAATTAACCTATTTGGACCTCACTTTTCTCATCAGTAGAATGGAAATAATTAAAGGCAGATTTAATGAGATAATACAAGTAAAGCCACTGTGGCATGGTGCCTGGCAACCAGTGAGTGTTCAATTGAATATAATTATTATTGTCATATGAGCACTGACTTGTCTTAGTCTGTGAGATGATCAGAGCATGGACCAGAAGTCAGGACCCTAGGATCTCCTGCTTCTGCTGACACAGTGCTCTGAGAGCCTGCACAGGCCTTTTCCCTCTCTGTTTTAGCCCAGGTCCTCAGCATCATTCCCTTGGTCCATGGCGATGGCTTTCTAACTGTCCTCCCTGTCTCCTCCCTTGTTCCCTTGAGCTCATCCTCCACACTGCTGCAGGAGCGGGAGGGCTCGTTCTGATCAAGTTGCATATCTGATCAAGTTACAACCCACTTAAATATCTTCCAGGGCTCCTTTCACTTACAGGATAAAGCCAATGATCCTTAGACTCACAATCAATAACCTCTCTGATATGGCTTTTGCCTGATTTTCCAGCCTCATTTATCCCACTCTCTTCCTTACTGCTGCATTATATTCACACTGAACTGCTGGAGTTTTCCTAACCTTCCAGCCAGTACCCACCTTTGTGCCTTTGTCCTGACTTTCCCCCTGCTTGTGCTATTACTTCCCCACACTTTCACAGTTTATCTGGTAAATACTTTTAAAGACAGTTTCAGTGCCTCCTCCACTAGGAAGCATAGAATTCTAGAAATGGTAGCATTTCACTAAACCTGTTAGTGGGCATGTATGTCTCTTTCTAAAAGACAATTATTTCATTCTACAAACATTGACTAGGCACTTGCTATGAGCCAGGTACAGTCCTAGGCATTGGGGATGTGGTGGGAAAGGAAAGAAATACAGCCCTGGTCCCCATGGAATTTACCTTCTACTGGGGAGAGATAGAAAATAATTTTACAAATGTAATATAATATTAATGAATGATTAGGGCTACAAAGAAAAATCAATGAGGGTAAAATAATGGAGAAAGATGGAAGAGAGTATATCTCGGAGTAAGGAGGTTAGCAAAGACCTTGTTGAGCAGAGAATATGGTGGGAATAGCCATGCAGATATCTCGGTAAGATTATTCTAGGCCGAGGCAAAAGCAAGACACGTATACCCACTGATATAAGTGACTGGAAATTTGAAAATCTCACTCTATGGAGTACATGGGAATCACAATGATAGTTAGCTCTTTAAAATTTGCAGAGAACTTTGACAGCCAATATCCCATTTGATTCTCATATTATTATTGTGAGGTAGAGAGGCAGAGGAGGTAATAATTTAACACCCAGCTTACATAGGAGGAAACGGAGACACAGAAGGTTTAAATGATTCACCCAAAGTCATACAGCTGGTTACAGCAGACCCAAAACACAAATTGAGATGCTTAATTCAGTTGGGAAGTTAATTTTCCAACCTCTGAGATCAGTGAAACTATACTACGAGTGTAATATGTCATGGCAAGGGTTGACCCTGATTTGGCAACATCTTCAGAATTTACTTAGAATATCTCTGTTCAGCATTACAGTTCCCTTTTTATTCCTGGTTCAATTGTGTAGTCAACAATTTCAGAAATGACATTGATAAGATTGATGGAAGATGTGGGAACAAGCGCTGAACATCCCATCCATAGATCAAAAACATAAAATATAAGCCCTTTAATGCAAAGAGCAAAGACATATGGCATTCCTTAGATCTGACAAGTCAGATATTGGTATTTCTTGACCTGTTTTTCTTGAAAGCTGCTAAGGGAGAAGCAGATAAAGTAAAATGGCATATCAGCCAGAAGATGTCTACAGTGTGAGGACCGTAGCAAAAGTTATTTTAAACTGCACTCTGGCAGCCAGAATGTCATTGTCTCAGAGTTAGGAAATGCTGGAGCTGCTGCTGGTGTGACTGTGTGATCTTAGGCTAGTTACTCCCTTTTCATAGGCCCGCATTTACTCATCTACAAAATGAGAATGTGGACTAGACCAGGGATATTCAGACTGCATTTTAGGAGGTCACTGAGGCTCAGTAGAGATGTGGAAGGAATGGCAAATATAAAGGATTATTATTGATTGCAGTGATTAATGTTACGTTGTTGCTTTGTGCGGTGATGTCTTTAAGCCCAAAGAAATGGCGAGCTTTGTGGCTGAGTAAAGCCTGTCCCTGGAAGTATAGTATCTGCCATCCTCAGGAGTAGAATCCTGCTTTTGTCTGAAGGAATTATCCTGAAGACCTTGAGAGCAATACATTGACCACCAGCATTGAGCTACCCAGGAGTCAGAATTAAATGACTGATTAGTCAGCTACATCTCTATGCACGACCTTGCATGGGCAGGCAAGTTGGAAGAGGGGTTCACAATAGTCTAGCATTTGCCAAAGGCTGGCTGCTTTGTATTTCTGCACACAAGCCAGTATCCTACTCTTGTTTCCAGCATCTTGACTGAGAGGAAACTAAGAAAGGCCTGAGCTGACCTTGTCCCTATCCTTGGCAGGGTCATGCTAGATCTATTGCATTTTGCAGGAAAAAGCTTTCCTGGATTGATGCCCAAGGCAGGGGAGGGTCTGTTGGAGCAAGGTCAGCTGGCTCTATCAGGCCCCACCTGCAGCTGCTACTCACCAATCCGGAGTTCAAAATTGTTGAATGAATGCTTGTTGATCTCCTGTATGCTTTCTGTCAGGGCGAGTGAGAAGTCAGCCAGAGCACACAAATGTCCCCACTTGTCTTCACATTGCTGAAGCAAACATGAGGAGAAGAAATCATTTAATGCGGAATGTGGGGGAACATTAACATTTCTGCAGCAGGGGCTTTACGTCCTAACCCAACCCTACCTGCACATCCCTTTAAGGAAATAATCATGTGGGTGAGCCCCTCTACACTCAAGTCACTGGTATCTCAGAACATGGGAAGACATAAGATTTGCTTGCAAGAGTGTAGTATATGTGGGTCATTGTATTCCTTCTTCCACATCTACACCTGTCTGTTCAGGTTGATGTAGCATCAATTCCGTAGTGTATGTTCACTGGCATGTGTGTGAATGAGTGTATGTGTGTATGTGTGTGTGTGTTGGGGGTGTGTGGGCGTGTGGGTGGCCGTGAGTGTATGTGGGTATGGGTATGTGTGTGGGTATGGGTATATGTGTGGGTATGGGTATGTGTGTGTATATGTGCTCTTATGTATGTGTAGTTTTCCAGTCTAAGAACTGTGTCTATTTCCTTTGAATTGCTCACAGTGTGTGTTTAAGGGATACATTTGCTTACAAAACTCCTAAGGGAAGTGCTGCATAAGCCTCTGGGCCTCTCTGAACCTCAGTTTCCAAATCTATAAAATGGGGATAAGCATACTTGCCCTTCCTACCTCGTAGGTATTGAATGAGATTTTTTATATGAGAGAACTTTGTGCCCCTGTAGAACAGAGGTTAGCAAACAGTTTCAATAAAGGCTAGATAGCCAATATTTTAAGGTTTGTCGACCATATGGTCTTTGTTGTGACACTCAACATTGCCATTTTAGCTTGAAAGGAGCAATAGGCAAAATATAAATGAATGGGCATGGCTGTTTTCCAATAAAGTTTTATTTATAAAAACAGATGGTGGGCCAGATTTGACCTGTGAGCTGTAGTTTTCTGATCCCTGCTGCACACGTACCAAATAATAACCAGCATGAGTTTCATCCCAGATAGTCACTCTTGAAGTATTTTATTGTTTTTAGTTGGAAAAAAGCATACGAAGGATTGGAAGAAATTGATGAGAATTCCATTTCCCCAAGTATCTTGGACTCATATTCTTTTAACACTAATTGAGGACTTTACTAGATGCAAGGCTTTGCTTGGGGAGCATGACATTATCTGAGATAATTCATCCATTAACCCTGGAAGGTAGACAGTGTTGCCATTTAACACCAGTGCCTGGAACACAGTCAACACTCCAAAAAGCAGCAACTGTTATTATTATGATGTAAGACTTTTGAAAGACAAAACCAAAATAGGAAAAAAGAGGCTAGTATTAGGGGTTTAGTAAGATCCACAACTAAATCACAATAGGCTATTTCTGGGCTCTTGATTTTGTTCAAGGGAACAATGAGGTTCAGAACAAAGCCTAGAAGTTTCTCAAAAAAGCAGCGTGGCTTCATCTGGTAGACTCTACCTACCTTGGGGGCAAATCCACATCACGTAACTATTATAATCCAGTCCATTAGATTTTCTCCCCATCTTTCCCCAAGGATCTTGGTGACAGAGGCTTCACCACCGTCGGTGACATGACAACAGCAAGACCCCACCATGCATTGTGGCTGAGTCCAAAGAGTCCTTTACCTGTTTTTCAGGTGACAGGCCTGACACGGCCATGTAGGTGCTGCCAATGGTCTTAATCTTTTCAATGTCTTG
This sequence comes from Homo sapiens, assembly GCF_000001405.40. NCBI lineage: Eukaryota > Metazoa > Chordata > Mammalia > Primates > Hominidae > Homo > Homo sapiens. The sequence goes on from NC_000008.11 coordinate 130,785,455, forward strand.
AAATCGGTCTTCACCAAGCAACTGAAAGAGAGCCAGGCAATGGTGTTAGCCCTGGTGTTTATTCTTCCAGCAGCCTGGGCTCCTGAAAACAGGCCCCTGGCTCACAATGAGCTACCTCTGATGGTTCAATATCCTCTAGTTATCTGCTTTTCTCTCTGAGAATCATGCTTTCAGCCAGTCACATATATTTAATGAGCACTTGCTAAGGGTCAGGAGTGGAGATGGGTGTAAATTGGTACTCTTTAAGGAGTAGGTCTGCCCCTTCACATGTAAATCAGATCCTGTCCCTGCTCTGTGCCAAACCTCCTATGGCTTTCTGTTTTACTCAAGGTCAAAACCAGTCTTCACTGTGACTTGCAAGGCTTGCCAAGACCTGTCCGCTCTCTTATCGTCTCCCTCTCTCACTCTGCTCCAGCTGCACTGATCCCCTTTGCCCCTTGCCACACTGACCTGAGAACAAGCTCAGCCTGCTTTGGCCTCAGGACTTCTGCACCTGTTGTTCTCTTGCTGGGCTACTCTTCCCTGGGACAAGTGTATGGCTTACTCCCTCACCTCCTACAGGTCTTTCCTCAAATCTCATCTTTGCAGTGCAGTCTTCTTGACCACCTTATTTAAAATTGAACGCAGCATCCCATTCCCACATACATATTCTTATCTTCCTTCCCTGTTTTACCTTCTCTCCTTAGCACTTATCCCTGATATTGCTTATTTATTGTCCTCTTCCTCTAGGGAATGTAATATTCCTGGAGCATATATTTTCCACTGTTGTGTTTACTACTCAGCACCTAGACAGACTGTAGAGAAGAATGAATGAGTGAATGATTAAATGAAGGAATGGGTGCTATCCTGGGACATTTCCTTTACCTTTACCTGTGGTTTCGGTTTTAATGCTAAGAGAGGGAAACCTTGGTGTCTTATTTAGCAATGGTGGTAGGCAGAATAATGCTTCCTGAACCCAGGCCCCAAAGATGCCTGTGTCTTAATTCCTGGAACCTGTGCATATGTCAGGTTACATGACAAAAAGGACTTTGCAGAGCCTCTGGAAGGAGCACAGCCCTGTAAGTTTCATTTTGGATTTCTGACCTCCAAACAGTAAGGTTATAGATTTCTGTTGTTTCAAGCCACTAAATTTGTAGCCATTGGTTACAGCAGCAGTAGGAAATTAATACAGTAACTATTCATTGAGTTCTTATATGTTGGATGAACAAGATACATGAGCTCTACCAACCCAAGTAGGGAGGTCAGATGTTAAAAATAAATACACAGAACATGCCCTAGTTCAATTTTAATAGAATTTATGTTGGAAATATACAGGGTAGAGGGATGAGGAGATCAGGCCATTTTGATCTAATCTGAAGGATCTAGGAAGGGATCCCTCAGCAAGTGATTTCTAGCTTCAGTTCTAAAGGGTGAGGAGGGGTTTTTCTAGCAGTGAGTGTATGAGTTTGTGTGTGTTGGGGAAGCTAGGGGCATGGGAAGGGGAGCATCCAGAAATAGGGGCCAGCATAGATGAGGTCTGGAAGTTGGGGAGAATGTACAGGAGGTCCAAAGAGTGAAGACGAGGTCAGTTTGGCCACAGTGTGGTAAGCCAGGCCATAAGTTGAAGGAAAAGAGCTGAGAGAGGTAGTGGGGGCCAGAACACACAAGGCCCTGGAGGACACACAGATGATATTGAAGACAATGGGTCTCTATGCTAAGAGTAGTGACAAGCACTGAAAGGGTGTAGGCAGAAAGAGACCAAGTCAGGTTTGGATTTTGGAAAGTTCATTCTTATTGTCATGAGGGGAGGGAAACATGAGGGGAGACCTACTGCAAGATCCAGGCAGGCAATGACAATGGCTTGGGTTAGGGATGGAGTCAGATATATGGATATTTTGAAAGATTATATTGGTGGTGATAGAATCAACAAGATTGGTGCTGTGTGGCGTTCCTGCAAATTAGCTTCTAACATTTGCTAGTCCCAGATGTAGATTTGTGTGTGTGTGCCTGTGTGCAACTATGTGTGCATATTGCGTGTGGGTGTGGGTGTATATGTGCATATATGTGTGTATGGTGTTTATGTGCATGTGTGTCCACCTGCATACATATGTGTGTGGACACACATGTGGGCACATTTGTAGTGATGTGTGTATGTCTACATGTGTACAGTACATGTGTAGTGATGTGTGTATGTCTACATGTGTACAGTACATGTGTGCATGTGTGATGTTTATGTGCACATGTATGTCCATGTATGTGTCCACATGCATGCATTTGTGTGAGTATGCATTTGCATGTGTGCATGTGTGTGTTGTTTTCATGCCTGTGTCCACATGTATGTGTGCCTGTGTGTGGGTGCACACACACATGTGTGTTGTTTATGTGCATGTGCATCCACATGTGTGCATTTGTGTGTAGTCATGCACATATATGTACATATGTGTGTGGTGTTTATATGTGTGTCCACATGTGTGCATGTGTGTGTGCGTTTGTGTTCGGGGCAGTCAGGCGGCAGAGAAGGGGTGTCAAGAAAGTCAAGAATAGTTTTGGATTATATCACATGCTTGTCTATCACATGCATTTATTTCATATTGGCTTGGTGTTATGCACCAAGAATTTCTAAGCTCCAAAGATTGACAAGCTATAAACTCACATACAATATTTCCCTTCATTTGTCATTGAACACTTAAGTTGATTTCATATCCTGGCAATTGTGAATGATGCTGCAGTGAACACGGGAGTGCAGACATTCCTTTGGCATATTGATTTCATTTCCTTTGGGTATACACCCAGTAGTGGGATTGCTAAGTTTCCATCAATGGATGAGTAAATTCAAAAAATGTGTTATATATACACAACGGAATACTATTCAGCCATAAAAGAAGGAAATCCTGTCATTTTAGAAAACATGGATGAATCTGAAGGGCATTATGGTAAGTGAAATAAGCCAGGCACAGAAAGACAAATGTCATATAATCTCACACATATGTGGAATCTACAAAAGTTGAACTCATAGAAGTAGAGAGTCAATGGTGGGGACTGGGGATGGGGGTGAAGAGGGACTGGGGAGATGCTTGACAATGGGTACAAACTTACAGTTAGATAGGAGGAATAAGATCTGTTCTATTGCACAGTAGAGTGACTATAATTAATAATAATATACTGTATATTTAAAAACAGCTAGAAGGAAGGATTTTAAATTTTCTTATCACAAATAAATGATAAATATTCGAGGTAATGAATATGCTACTTATTCTGTTTTGATCATTACATATTATATACATGTATCAAAACATCACATTGTACTCTATAATATGTATAATTATATTTGTCAATTAAAATAAAACTTTAAGAAATTAAAAAAATTTGCAAATTTATTTGCACCAAATTGGAAACTACTCCAGAACAAAAATAATGAACTCTTGAAACACACAAGAATATGATAAATCTCAAACAAATTACACTAAGTGAAAGAAGCCAGATATTAAAGAGTACCTATCATGATTATTTCATTTATATAAAATTCTGGAAAATGCAGAGTAACCTATTGTAATAGAAAGCAGATCAATAGTTGCACTGGAATGAGGGGACGGGGAGGAGCAGGAAGAAAGAATTATGAAGGTATGAATAAACTGTTGGGAATGATGGATATGTTCAGGATCTTAATTGTGGTGATGTTTCATAGGTGTCTAAACATATCAAAACTTATCAAATTGTATATTTTATATGCAGGTTTTTGAATCAACTATAAGACAACAAACCTGTTAAAATAATTACATAAAACCAAATATATGCTATTAAGAGTAAAGACATTCCCTAAACTCTAATGGGCTGGCTAATCTCAATGTCTGTGGGCTCCCTAGACAAGTTGAAGCATGTATCCCTGTGCCTGGCCTCTCCTCTGAGGAAGCTTCGTGGGTGCCTCTCTCTGCACCAACAGCCCTCGTCTGTCATCGTCACTTTATATTGAATGATTGGTGTTTGCCATACCAAGTGGACAGTATAATTTTGGAGAGTGGGTACAACATTGCATGTTTCCTTGTACCCCAAGTCTAATGGTCTGGGATGCACTGATAATTGTTAATATTCCTTGGAAACACTAGGTGATATTTGGATGGCTTCTCACCTCAGTGCAGTTTAAGAAAACTTCACCCGATATCCATAATATACCTTGCAACCCTGTGCAGTCAATATTTTGTCCCCATTTTATATAGGAGGAATTTGAGGCACAGAGGGGCTGACGGAATTGCTAAAGGCCACCCAGCTAAGAAGAGTCAGAACAGAATTTGAATCTTGATTGCTTGACTCCAAAGTCACGCCTGCCTTTCCTGCTACCTTGCCTTAAAGCAGTGATTTTCAAAGTGTGGTCCCATAAGCATCACCTGGGAACTTGGTTGAGTTGCAAAATTGCGGCCCCTTCAGTCCTACTGACTCAGAAACTCTCGGGATGGGGCTTGGCAACCTGTGTTTTAACAGGCTTTCCAGGTAGTTCTAGTGCATGCGTGAGTCAGAGAAGCACCACTTTAAAGGAAGAGGATGAGCTGCCTGGGGGATAGTCAAGTCATTCATTCATTTATTCATCCAGTAGGTAGTTATTGAATATTATATTCCAGGCACTGAGGTAGGGATACAAAGTCTTTGCCTTTGATGGGCTTGCCGTGTCCTGAGTTGCACATCCCCACACATCATGGACAAGTGCATGCTGCTTTGAGGGCTGGAGTTAATGTGGATTTGAACTTCTCTTCCAGATTTGAACTTAAACTATACGGTTCTGTGGTGTCTTCTACCTAAGCACTGAATAAGCCATGGCACATTTCAATTCCCATTCTCAGATATGATTATTAGAGAGACCCATGGGATGCGTTGGCTTTGAATTCCCCAGTTTGAAATGATTTAGGAGGGTGAAACGTCAAAGCCTCCTATCTCCTTGTTTTTAATATCTATAAGTGTTCATGTATGGTAGGGGCTATGATAGTACACAATCCCATTATAAAGTAGCCTGTTCTATTTTTGTGACCTGCATGTCAAAGTTCGCTCCGTGCCTAATGAAACACAGCATGTCTCCACCTCTGATTACACAGGAAGCCTTGCCACCCTCCTCAACTTTCTAAATATCTACTCTGCTGAGACTTTAACCTGGAGTTTGCAGTTGAGGCTTTTCAAAGAATCAAGCCTCACATTTTTGGTGGTGGTGGGGCACAGACAGGTCACAGATGAACAGGATTTAGTTCCAGGTCATCCATTTTACCCCCATCTATGCTGGCTGGTAGGGATTCACTCCCTGGGGACCTCAGCTCAGGCCACTGTTGGGAAGCCTCTGAATGAGAGATCCTTCCTCCGTCGATCCATTATACCTTTGGGCTGAGATGGCAGCTCTGGGGCAATATAGAAAGAGCCGAACTCTTCTCCATGGGCCAGCCCTTCAAGTGACGGTACTCAGAAGTGGTTCTTACATCTCTCCTATTTCCCAAATCTCCTTTGAATTTCCCCAGAGTAATCTCTTGATGATGTAGTTTCCAGATCTGTAGTACTCAGTTTACACGTTCATGCCCTTTCCCAAATTCTTGGGAACAGCATGGGCCAACGGCTAGAACATGGTTCTGTGTGGTTCAGCACAGCTGGGTTGGGTCTCCTCTGCTTTTACACTACTTACTTTTTGGCTTCAAAGTCAAAAATAAACAGACATAAATCCTGCTCTCTCTCATGAAGCTTATACTCTATTGTGGGTGAAACAATCAAAAAGAAATTTTACAGCAGGCTGTATGCCAATGGGAAAGATCTAGCAGAGAGGGTGATGGGTGGAGTCAGGGAAAAGGGGAGAATGCTGGAGCAGCATGCCTAGGTGACAAGGGATGGGACCTATGCATGCCTGTGGGCCTCGGCCCTCACCAGGAGCCCTGAGAGTTCCTCCCCATTCCTGGAGAAAAGGCACATATGTGCACACAGGGGCAGGTGCCGGTAAGCGGAGTGGGCTGGAGAAGTGCCTGGAGAAGACAGGAAAACTGTGCTGACCTCTGGTTTAAGAAATTGCTTACGACATACTGATTTAAAGGCAAAGGACTAGCTCTAGCCTTCCTCTTACATGTTGTATGCCCAGGGGCTGTGGCATAGGTATTTTCCTATTACAAGAAGAAAGTACCTGAGACTTGGTGATGCGGCTGGCTCACCTCCAAGGCTGCACAGGGCACAGCTTTAACCTCATGTCTGGAGTGAACCTTTGGCAGGAGATTATAGTAGTGCACACCTGCTTCTACAGCTCACTCCACTTACCTGCACCTGTGTGCACACATGTGCCTCTCTCCAGGTGTGGGGAGGAACTCTCAGTGCTCCTAGTGAGGGCCGAGCCCCACAGGTGTTTACAGGTCCATCCCTTGTCATGTAGGCATGCTGCTCCAGCATTCTCCTTTGTCCCTGACTCCATCCATCTCACCCTCTCTGCTAGATTTTTCCCATCAGCATACAGCCTGCTGTGAAATTTCTTATCCTACAGCAGTCTTTCTTGACATCACTTTCCTTTCTACTTGTCTCCTTTTTTTGCTGTACAACTTCTGAAAAGAGTTGTCTAGACTGATTGCTTCCATTTTCCTCCTCCCCATTTTTTCCTAAGCCTGGTCCTGCCATGCCACTGAAACTGCTCCTTTCCAGGTCCTGGAGGCCCTCCATGTCCCATGCTGCTGGCTGTCCTCAGCCTCGCTTCTCTTGGGCTACCAGCAGCACTGGACCCAGCTGATGGGGCTCTACTCCTGTTTATACCTTTGTTCCTACTTAGCTTCCCCAACTTCAGATTTTACTTCCACTTCACTGGTGATGCTTCACCAGTCTCTGTGGTTAATTCCTTCTTTCCACCATTATCTTATATCATAGGTGAGCCTCAGGGCTCAGGCCTCAGACCTCTTTTCTTTTCCATCTAGCTCATTTCCTTGTGGTATCATCATGTCTTACAGCTGTAAATACAATCTCTTTGCTGAAAACTCCTAACTGCATGCCCTGCCTTGACCTTCAGACTCAGTATGGAATTGCTTACATGATGTCTTCATTATAGGTCTAACAGGTGTCTCAGATCTGCCATTCTCAAAGCTGGCCCCTTGTTCCTCCTCATCGACCCCCATCTTGGTTAGTGGTGTCTCCATTTTACCAGTTGCTTCAGAATAAAACCCATATAACCCACATCTAATCTATCAGCAGATCCTTAGCCCTATCTTTAAAGACATTCAGGTTCTGACCCTGTCTCATCACCTCCTTGGTCCTAGCCACCCTCATCCATTTTCTTTTATTGAAATAAGCCTCTTAATTGGCTCCCTTCTTCCACTCTTGACCCTGTTCTTCACACAGAGCTGAGAGGAACCCTGTTAAAATCAAAGTTACGTTACATCCCTTCTCTGCTGGAAACCCTCGTAGCCATCCCCATCAGTCTCAGAGTAAAAGCCAAAGCCTTTGCTCTGGTCCATGAGGTCCTGTAATATTTGGCACTCTGGCCCTTCTCTCCATCAGCCACTGACCCTGCCACGCTGGTTTAAAGGCAGGAACCAGCTCCAGCCTTCTTCTTGCATGTTGTGTGGCCAGGAGCTGCGGCCCAAGTCTTTCCCTGTCTAAATAGAAAGTACCCAAGACATGCTGATGCAGCTGGCTCACCCCTAAGGCAGCACAAGTCAGGTTCCATCACCTGACTTGCTCAAGAGAACAAGAGAAAGCCTGCTGCACACACCCTCCTCAGGGCTTAGAACGTGGGCTTTTCCTTGCCTGCCGCCATGCCCCCCAAGCTGTTTCTATGGATCAGTTCCACGTCCTCATCTCCTCCAGGCCTCTCAGTAAGCCCTTTCTCAGAACCCTCTCTGAAATTGCACTATGGGTGTCCAACCATCTCGGTTCACCCAGGTCGGGGGATTTTTTGAGATGCAAAACTTTTAGTGCCAACACCAGGAAAGTCCTGGGTAAGCGATGAGTGGGTGACTCTAATTGCACCCCTCCCTCCAAACCTTCCTTCCCATGTTCCCTGCATTATCTTCCCCCACCGAATGTATCTCTGTCTATTGTACAACATATTTACTTGTTATTCTTTTTGATTGTTCTTCACCCACAATAGAGTATAAGCTTCATGAGAACAGGATTTATGCCTGTTTAGTTTGTCATTATATCTTGTGCGCCCAGGGCAGGACTTCACTAGATACTGGTTCAATAAGCCCATAAACAGCAAATTCTCTGAGGCTGGCTTTCAGTGTCACTCTTGTCAATGAAGCAAGATTCAGTTAATCACTGTCACATGGACTTCATATTCGCAGTGCATTTCCAGGGTGGAAGAGTATTAGTTGCAGAATGATGAGAAGTAGAACATATTAGTTTAGAAGATCATAAGTGCACCTCTCCCTTCCTTTTAAACAAACTTACATTTTATCCCTATGCACTTCTAAAAAGGGTGTGAATACTATACTGGGTTAAATAGTGCCTCTCAAAAATTCATGTCCTCACAGACTCTCAGAATGTGATCTTCTTTGGAAATAAGTTTTTTGCAGAGTAATTTTTAAAGCTAAGAAGAGGTCATATTAGATTAGGGTGAGCCTTAAATCCATTATGGCTGGTGTCCTAATAAGAAGAGGAGAGGGCACAGAGACACACACAGGGACAAAGACATGTGAGGATGGAAAGAAATTGGAATCATGCTGCCACGGTCAGCCAGCCACCACCAGAAGCTGGGAAGAGGCAAGGCAGGAGTTTTCCCTAGAGCCTTCAGAGGGAGCAGGGCCCTGCTCACCCCTTGATCTCACTCTTCTTGCTTCCGGAATTGTGAAAGAATGCATTCTGGATTTGTTTGTTTGTTCGTTTGTTTGTTTTGAGACAGAGTCTTGCACTGTTGCCTGGGCTGGAGTGCAGTGGTGCGATCTCGGCTCACTGCAACCTCCACTTCCCAGGTTCAAGTGATTCTCCTGCCTCAGCCTCCCGAGTAGCTAGGATTATAGGCACCCACCAGCACGCCTGGCTCATTTTTTGTATTTTTACTAGAGATGGGGTTTCACTATGTTGGCCAGACTGGTCTCGAACTCCTGACCTCGTGATCCGCCTGCCTCGGCCTTCCAAGGTGCTGGGATTAAGGCATGAGCCACGACGGCCAGCCTCTGTTGTTTAAAGACACCAAATGTGTGGTACTTTGTTACAGCCACACTAGAAACAAATACACATAATAATAAAATGAACTTTTAATGATCATAGTTATGTGCCAAGTGTATTAGTCTGCTCAAGCAGCCATAATAAAAACAAACAACAGAAACTCATTTCTCACAGCACATGAATTTTAGGGAGGAGATGCTATTCAGTCCATCACATCAAATACAGTCTTAAGTGCTTTTTAATCTCTGCATTTAACTTACAATGACCCTACTGTATCTCATTTTGTAGATGGGAAAACTGAGGTGCATAGAGGGATTAAATAACTTGCTTAAGGACATAGAGTGAGAAAATGGCTAAATTACATAAATTCAATGCCCTTGCAGGTAACTTTTAGATTAAAAATTCCAGGCTGGGGTGGTGGCTCACATCTGTAATCCCAGCACTGTGGGAGGCTGAGGCAGGCAGATCACCTAAGGTCAGGAGTTCGAGACCAGCCTGGCCAACGTGGTGAAAATCGCTGTCTCTACTAAAAATAAAAACCCCACAGTATACAAAGCATAAATTAAACATTTTAAAGAGATTAAAAAGTAGACTGGAAGAGGCGATGTCCGCATATACTGGGGCACAGAACTAGGGGCTCTGCCTCCGTCGATCATCTGTTTCTCTGAGTGGCACTTTGAGCTTAGTATTCACTTTGCAGATGAATCAGCAGAGCCTCCATGCGGTAAAATAATGTGTCCCAAGGTCCCAGGGTGAGAAAGGGGAGACAGGACCACGCATAGTTTGCAGGGTCCAGTGCAAAATGAAAATGTGGAACACCTTTTTCAAAAATTAAGACACACATGAGAGCAATAGCAGAACATTAAAACAAGCATGGGTTCCTTTTGGGACTGCACAAGCTGCACACTCGCGAAGCCGACCCTGAGTGGGAGAGTTAGGCTAAAACTCAAACCTCACTGATTCCCAAGTCTAAACTTTGTCTTCTTATTCCCACTCTTGGCAGATATTTAGATGTAATTTCTGATTCTCTAGCTTTTGCCTCCATTTAAGATTGTAATATCCTCCAGGTCTCATGTCATCCTGGGGTGGACAGACAGGCAGACGGAGCAGAAGATGGGTTCTCTACAGACTCTCTTGTTTCAGGCATCATCTCAAAATTAATCAGGGGCTAAGAAACTTGGAAAATTCCTCCTTGAGAGGAACTCTTCTGGGAACATGGAGAACACAGGTAGGTGCTTGGCTTTGGTGTGTGTGTGTGTGTGTTTGTGTGTATGTATAGCCTGATTTACAGCAGGGGCAGCCTTTGTTTATTATTTTTGTTTCTTGAACTAAAGTGAAGCCCCTCTTCTGCTGTCACAGAGATTCTGCCAGTCATGCCCAGGGTACACAGGTCTTCAGCCTTGGATCATGACTGATCTTTGCTTTCAGACACTAATCAAACATATTTGGTGTTTTGGCGCCCTTCAGCTGCTAATGTTTCAGCTTAAAAATCCTGGAACATCTTCAATTACTCACCTCCCTCCCTCTGCCTCCCTGTAACTACTTTCCCCCAGCTTTCTGCTGGTGGTGGACTGATCTGATGTGGTCCTGTGGAGAGCAGGTACTTTTCCTTCTCTTCTCTTCAGAATCACTTGGCCAAGAGCCAGCTTCAGGCTCTGGTAAGCCTCCCCCTCAGAAGATAATTTGGAGGCAGAAAGGAACTTCATTATCTCATTTAATATCCATCCAGCAGATTTATTTACTCTATAGCTAAAAGTGTCTGGGGGCATAGAGTGGTCCCTGATCAGCCCATTTGTGGAAGTCAGATGTGAGAGGGCTCTTCAGCCCTTTATTGAGGCAGGGGCTGTGGGATGAGGAGCCCTTGAGTTGGGTTATTGCAAACACAGTCTTGGAGATGTGATCTGTGCAAAGTTCAGCTTTTCTCTGAGCCAGGAAAGAATTTTGCATGATCTCAGGTTCCTGTGGTAATTATATCAGCAAGAAGAGAAGCATCAGTATTAAAGTGAACAGCAGGGGTCTGGCTGGAACTCAGCCAGGCAGAATCTAGAGGACCTCTCTTGACCAAAACAAAACAAAACAAAACAAAAAAGGCAGGTCTGAGTGACCCAAGGACCCACACACAGGCAAAACTGAGAGTGTTTGGGCTGGCAATTCAGGCCGCTTTTTTATTTTTCCTGTTGACTATATTCTCCCCTACCTTCCCCCCGCCTCACCCTTTCTCTTCCACCTCCTCCCCTTTCCTCCTCTTTTCATCCTTCTTCTCTTCATCGCTGCCTCTCTTCCCTCTCCTCTCTCCCCTCCTCCCCATCTACTTATCCTCCCCCTCCTCTTATTCATACTTTTCCTCCTGGTCTAATGCCCATGTTCTAAAGAACCCAGCCTCCTAGACCAATTCCCTGTTTTCCAACTTCCCTCTGCAAACACCCATTTCAATCACTAGGGGCACTGCCCTCTTTCTCCGCTTTCCAAGACTCTAGAGTGTCAACAATTTGGTTCACTGAGATGCAAATGTAATTCAAATATACTTTATTCACTACAATTTTAAAATATGAGAGGGAGCACTTTTGGAAGATGGGTTGCTATAAAGCAAACTTGTCCAACCTGCGGCCCACTGGCCACATGTGGCCCAGGACGTCTTTGAATGTGTGGCCCAACACAAATTTGTAAACTGTCTTAAAACATTATGAGACTTTTTTTTGCGAATTTTTTTAAAGCCCATCAGCTATCCTTAGTGTTAGTGTATTTTATAGGTAGCCCAAGACAATTCTTCTTTCATTGTAGCCCAAGGAAGCCAAAACACTGGACACCCCTGCTATAAAGTTTAAAATACAACAAAGCCTGACGTCTTAACCTTTAGTCAGATATTTTTAATAGGGTAATTAAAAAAATTGGAAGTATGTTTTGAATTGCATTAACCTATCTTCACCTTACTATCTGCCAGCTTGTTTCTGTCCCCCCATTAATGAATTCATTCCTTTAGCAAGTACTTAGCAAGCATCTGCCATGTCCATCTCTTATGTGCTAGACACAGAGCTGGGCCCTGGAGACTTAACAAGATACAAGAATATGGTCTCTACCTTAGTGACCTTATGGCCTAGCATAGAGGACAGGAGTTAAAGGTGCTATTGTCACAAAATTGCCTTCCCCTCCCCACCTTGCAAGACCCTCTGTACTAGTACACTTACCAGTGACTTCTTGTGTAAGGGCAACTCATAGTCACCCTGCCTCCCACTGGATGGTGAAGCCTTGGGAGGCAAGAAGTGATCACGTCTTATCCATCTTGACCCCCCACACCCATCCCAGGGCAACTACGGTGACCATGTTTGAGCTTATGACTTCAAAATCATTACCATGAAATGCCAGGTAAGTGAGAAACAGTGCAACACAAATGATTACAAATCAAAGCAGTATGGGAGACTGGGGTTCAAATCTTGGCTTTGCCACTTAGTGGTATGTGACTCTGGTCATTTTTGGTGTTTCTAGTCTCAGCTTTGCTCATTTTTAAAATGAAGGCTAATAATTCCTAGCCTAAGGGTTTGTATGAGAGATAAATAACTATTAAATGATATATATTGAAAATGCTTTGCATTTCTGGCAACACTTGTAAAAACCTATAGAGATTAGTAACATGGGTTTCTACCCTAGAACTAAGTGGCTATTGGGTGGTAAACAGGGTGGTACTGAAGGGTTTCAGCCTTTATGATAGGAGGTTTTTCAGAGTATGAGTTTTTCATTAAAAAAGGAGTGACAACATTTACCTGGATAGAGATGGGGGTTAGAAAAAAGCCTTCAACCGTAGAAGTAGCGTTGAATTGACTGTTAAATGAATGTTAGCTTTTCAGCTGGTCATGGAGTCGAGGGAGAGAGGATGGGGTAAGGGCGAGGATGGCATGGCCTCCAGGCAGAAAGTGCAGTGTGTGAGAGCCAGGTGGGCTTGTTGGCTTGTAAGTAGTTAGGTGGTGCTGGCCAGGTGGCCTGCAGTAAGAGGTAAGGCTGAGAGGAGGCAGGGACAGTGAGTGCAAGACCTACTAGAGTTGATGAAGGGGAGCCACTGAAGTGTTTAGGCTTCAAAGGGATGTGACAAAATTCTCCTGCCTTTGGTGATTGCTAATGGTGAGATGCAGGCAGGGAGAGCAGATAGGACATGACTGCAGTTGTCTAGGAGAGAAATAATATGGTCTGAATCAAGGTAAAAGCAGCATTGATGGTGAGAAAAAGGCAGGTGTGAGAGCTATTAAGAAAGTTGATGAGATGTCTGCACGCCCATGTTCATCTCAGCATGTTCACAACAGGCAAAATACAGAATTAGCCTAAACTTCCATTGAGAAATGAATGGAAACACACACACACGCATGCACACACACATGCACACACCACACACATACACATATACACACACACAGTGGAATACTATTCAGCCACAAAAAGAAGGAAGACCTGTCATTTGCAACAACATGGATGGGTCTGGAGGATATGATGCTAAGTGAAATACCCCAGGCACAGAAAAACAAGTACATATGACATCACTTATACGTGGAATCTAAAAACGTCAAACTCAGAAGCAAATAGTGGAATGGTGGTTTTCAGAACCTGGGGGGTGGGGTGGGAAGAGGGAGATATTAGTTAAAGGGTATAAAGTTTTAGTTAGACAAGAGGAGTACTTTCTGGAGATCTATTGCACAGCATAGTGACTATAGTGAATAATAATGTATTGCATACTTGAAAATTGCCAAGAGAGTAGATCTTAAATATTTCTGGCACAAAAACGTTGTAAGATGTGAGGTGATGGATTTGTTAATTAGCTTAATTTAATCATTCCACGATGTACACATATATCAAAACATCACATTTTGCACCATAAATATATACAATGGAAAGAAGGACTTCACTGGACTCAGAAGCTGGATTGAATGTAGGGATGGAGGGACAGGATGCTGTTTAGAGTGATGTAGTAGTTGTTTTTTTTTCCCGCCCCAAGCCCCTTTGTGGGGCCATCCTCCAAAATGCCATGAGTGCTGGCTGCTGACAATGCATTACTGCACCTCCTTTTGGAGAATTTGCTTGGCCTCATGAGAACTCCCTTGCTGGAAATGCCTGGGAGGCTAGGTACCCCTACCAGGGCAGCCCATGACCAATAATGACTGACCAATATGGGTATCCAAAAGCCTGGCCCCCTGCCTCAGTGTGAGACAGTTGTACCATTTATGTGCCTGAGTTCCCTCTGGAGTTAGGCAGGGATTTGGCTTATTCCGTAGCATTTTCTCAGTGAATCACTTGCTTCCCAGCTCAGGCTTAAGTAACTGGATGGACACTGGTGTCCTTCAAGATGGGGAATGGGGGAGTAGAAGGCCCACTTGTGTCAAGTTTATGAATGGAACTGAAGTGCAGCGTGAGCATTTCCCCCCACAGAATGTGTTCACTAGACTCATGGAGCCTGGAGGAAGAAACCGCTATCTGTAGTATGTTTGTACTTGCAATTAGTTCTCTGACCAAATGCAAATGGACAGTTTTATCTTTGACACTTTGAGAAGATGGAGCAATGCCTGCTTCAGTGTCCAGCCTCTGTGGTGTCAGTGCTTGAGTAATATTGGCCTCATAGAGGCCTCTAGTCAAGTCCTGCCTTTGCCATCTGCCAGCTGTGTGACACTGGGTTATGTTACTTAGCCTCCCTGAGCCTTATATTCCTGATCCCCCAAATAGGGAAATAATAGCATTTAACTCAGGTGATAATTGTGATAATTAAATCAGATAATACATGTTTGTGTTTATAATGCAGGCTGGAATTCCGTTAAGTGCAAAAAAAAAAAATAAGTAATTCCTACAATGAATAACACAACGCTTTGACAACGATGCCCATTTGTGATTGTAAATGTCTCAGGCTTAGATTTACCTCATCGAAGTCAGCAATGATCTCATTGAGCAAGCGCAGGCATTCCACTCCCTGGTTATTCATTTCAGTCTGAGAGTAAAAGTCCGCAAATCCTGGGATGGAGGCAAACATCACCCCAACAGCATCATAGGATTGAGAATACAGCTCCTGGACAGAGACACACAGAGGGCACCAGAAATGGTCATCAGAGGTCGGTTCTGCAGTGATGCTTCCTGTGCACACATGTGGGTACACACGTGCACAGTCACCCACAGAGAGACAGAAAATGAGGCTTGGATATCGTTATGTCAACAGTGTGTTTTAGTCCATGTGGGCTGCTATAACAAAATACCTTAGACTGAGTGGCTTATAAACAACAGAAATTTATTTCTCACAGTTCTGGAGGCTAAGAAGTCCAAGATCAAGGTACTGGCAGATATGATGTCTGGTGAGGACTCACTTTCTGGTTCAGAGATGTTGATTTCTCACTGTGTCCTCAAGTGGTGGAAGAAGCAAAGCAAATCTTTGGGGCCTTTTAAAATGAGGGCACTAATCCCATCCAGTAGGGGTTTTACCTTCATGATCTAATCACCTCCCAAATTTCCCACCTCCTAATACCATCACCTTGTGAGTTAGGGTTTCAACATAGGAATTCTGGAGGATCATGAATATTCAGTCCATTGCACCACAGTCACAGCATCATCACCATATGGAATGTGATGACTGAAAATTCATGGTCTCCAGCCTCAGCTGGGGCCTGAGTTCTGACTGCCAGTTCATTCATTCTTGGTAAGCTTCCTTTTCTTTTCTCCTCAATGGCTAGTCCAAACCTTCAGATCTCCACTTAACCCTCTACTCTATTTCTCTCAGTGGATGATCTTACCTTTCTACTTCATTGAGAACATGGTGGTGGCTCTTGGTGGTGACTTACCTCTGTTCCAATCCTCATAGACTTGCCTGTTATTCATTTTCTTCTCTTTCACTTCAACTCCAGATGATGATGTGTCTGTCTTTCCTTCTCTTGCTGAAGGTCAATACTTCTACCTGATCATTTTATAACTTCTTCAGCAATTTACTTTTTCAGTGATCCTTTTCTTTCTCATTTCTTTCTCCTAGCCTCCTCTCCCTGCTCCTCCTCATCTTCTAAGAGTCTCTTCTAAGAAAAAGAACAAAGTGCCCTGGATCCTGCAGACACTTGTGGCTATCAACTAGGTTCTCTTCCTCCTTGTTTCCAAACTTCTCAAACTAGTTACCTTCACTGCCTATTCCCACGCTCTTAATGCCCACTGGCATCTCAGACTGGAATGAAATGAACTAAGAACAGTCTAGCCTGCAGTCAAAGTGGAAAAATCAATGCACACATGTAAGTTTATATCCTGCTGGACACCTGCAGATTGGTGTTTTTATTGATCACCCCAAGATCTTGATTCTCTTGACTTTTTATGCTTTAGTGATGTCCTTTGCTTTTCTCATGCCTGGCCCCTTTGAGAATGCCTTTTTTTTTTTTTTTTTTTTGCTTCTCTTACACCTTAAATGTTGGTGATTGCTATGGTTCTGTCCTTGGCCCACTGAATGGCTCAACTTTACACACTTACCTGGTCCATCTCGTTTCAATACCCATGTGCTGACGGTTTCTAAATTCCTGTGTTAAGGTTAGTTATCCTTCTTGGGCTTCAAGCTACCATGTCTCATGCTTGGTTGCCCTCACCCTCCTCCAATCACAAATTCCATAAACTGAGTGCATCTTCTCTCCAACTAAGCCTGTGTCTACTGCATTGCTCTCTAATTCACTTGGTGGCACCAGCATTGCCAAATCATCAAAATGAGAGACCCTTAGAGTCATCCTGACTCCTTCCCCATTGTATCCATCTTCAATAAATCATCAAGTTCTGCTGGGCTTGTTTTTGTCTTCTAAACATATTTGCTCCTACCACTGTGTGTGTGTTTTTAAAAATCGGGCTCTTCCCATTTTCCTTCTTGATCACTAAAATGAGAGCCTTCTACTGGGTTTCCTGACTCCAGTCTTGTTCCATTCAAAGGCATCCTTCACACAGCAGCCAGAGTGATCTATTAAAGATACACTATTGACCATGCCTCTCCCTATCTTAAATCCCTCCAATGGCTCACCATTGCCCTCAGGATAAAGCTCACACACTGAAGCATGACATATATGCATGCCCCTGCCTCCACCTATCTCTTCAGCTTTATTGTCTGCAACTCCCCAGTTGGATATGTGCTCCAGAACACGGAAGCATTTGTACTTCTGTGTGCATGTGGTGTCTGATGCTGTAGGTGCTCTGCCTGCATCCTCTCACCCAGTGTTCAAGTGTCAACCCTTGTGTTTCTTCTCCGCTAGATGGTGTTTTTGTCTGGCCACTAGAGGGCACTCTGCCCAAGTGACACGCAGCCTTGGGAGGTGCCAGGAAATTAACACCCCTCAGAAGCAGCACTTGACCAATGCCAGTGGGAACTGCTGGAGAGTCCCGGCTCCCTCGCCCCTTGGGCCTGATAACTTTGAGGCATGCTCTCACACCATTTCCCTGAATTTCCCAGCCGGATTAAGCTCCAGTCGCCCACAGAGGTAACTAATCGGATGATGCATCATTTATCGGTTGCCTTCCTTTTCATTTTCCAAGCTACTTGTGTTTACTGGGACCACCGCTGAGTAAATTACTTGCATTCAAATCCTTGTCTCAAGGTTTGCTTCTGGAAGAACCCAAACAAAGACACAAACCCTGTTCTATTTCACACTTAAATGCTTTTATTCCTACCGTCTGTCCCTGGGTGGGAAATGTTCTTCCTTCCCTGCAGTTAGCTTCCTTTACCAGGCTAACTCTTGTTTTCTGCCTCCGCTAACCATTTAGAGACCACGACTTCCACAAGTCACAGAGGGGGTTTAGAGGCTGCACTTGGTGCTTTGCAGTGACCTCAAAAACTCTACAGTATAGCCCTTGCCACCTGCATTACTGTCTTAACATCCATTTCTTCCTTCAAGTGTGGATTCCATGAGGGCAAAAACCACATGCCATTCATCTTATTGCACTCCAATTATGTATCATGCGATTAGTAGTTTTTAGATGCCCCTATATAATGCACACCCTAGACAGTCTGGTCCAAGGTAAATACTCAAAACTGTTGGTTGATTAATGACTTCCTGACCTTCGTAGGAAACATGAAACCTTATAAATTGCTTTCATATGAATTCAGTGATTTAATCCTTGCAATAATTCTATGAAGTCATATGATAATTATTCCCACTTTACTGATACAGGAAATGAGACAGAGAGGAGTTAAGTCATTGTTTTGGATCACACAGCTAGTAGTGGAAGAGAGGATCAGAGGACTCCCAAGGCCTTTCCCTGCACTACACATGTGAGTGTGCCTCCTCCACATGCATGCCCTAGGTCAGAGAAAGATGGTGTCACTGATTCATCATCAATTTCTCTTGAACTTTAAGCATGGATTAATCTAAACTGATGCCTTCTTTAGTCCTTATCCAAAAGAGCACAGGCAGCTGATGACTGGCTAGGTAGGGCTGGGCAGGGTAGAAAGAGTGCAGATAGCAGTCAGGGAGCAGAGCAAAGGTAAATGGCTTTCAAAGGTGGATTTCTGTTTTCCTTGGCTTTGAACAATATGGTGATGCCACGAAGGAGCCTGACTGTGCAGCAGGAGTCAGAGATCCTGCTTAAGTAAATGTGCATCCTCCTAATGGCTGTGGTTTGGTGGGAAAGTCTCTGTTTACTGTATTACCTATAGTATTTGTTTGCTAGGGCTGTTGTAATAAAGGACCATAGACTCTGTGGCTTAAACAACAGATGTTAGTTTTCTCACAATTGGAGAGGCTGGAAGTCTAAGTTCAAGGTGTTGGCAGGTTGGTGTTGTCAGAGGGCTTTCCCCATGGTTGCAGATGCTGTCTTCCCTGTGTCTTCACTTGGTCTTCCCTTAGGTTCTAGTCTCCTCTTTCTATTAGGGCACCAGTCATGTTGGGTTAGGTCCCCCTAATGACCTCAGTTTAACTTAATTACCTCTTTAAAGATGCTGTCTCTAAATACAGTTACATTTTGAGATCCTTGGGGTTAGGACTTCAACATATAAATTTTCGGGAGACATAATTCAGTCCATTATGCCTATATTTTTATTTTCTGCTTAGAAATAGAGAAAAAAGAGAAGATCCTACCCTCTAAAATTCATTGTGTAATTATGCAGTCCAGATCCCTTCCCACTTTGGTTTATGCCCTGTGATGTAAATGTCTCCATGGTATAAAATGGCAGGCAGCCAGGGGTGTCTTAACGATTGTTTGTCTCCCTGAATATTCTAATGAATGCCAGCTCCTCTCACACTCTTTTGTTTTTGTTTTTTGAGACAGAGTCTCACTCTATTGCCCAGGCTGGAGTGCAGTGGCAGGATCTATGCTCACTGCAACCTCCACCTCCTGGGTTCAAGTGATTCTCATGTCTCAACCCCCTGAGTAGCTGGGGTTACAGGCGCCTGCCATCATACCAGGCTAATTTTTGTATTTTTAGTAGAGATGGGGTTTCATCACATTGGCCAGGCTGGTCTTGAACTCCTGGCCTCCAGCGATCTACCCACCTAGGCCTCCCAAAGTGTTGGGATTATAGGCATGAGCTACTGCCCCCAGCCTCATGCCCTTTTCCTTAGTTTTATTTCTCAGTCTTTCCATCATTTGAAATATTCTGATTGCTTAAATAAAAATGTGATAATAATATTAGCTACTTTTTTGAGCACTTACTATGTGCCAAGCACAATGCAAAAGATTGCACATACATCATCTCATTTAATGTTTACCATGTCCCCATGAGACAGATACAAGTAAGACCCTTATTTCATCTATGGGGAAACTGGGGGATACAGAGATTAAATACTTTACCCGAGCCCCATAGTTGTTATGACGTAGAGCTGAAATTTGTACTGCTAATAATAACTATAATTATAGCAACAACAACAGCAGTAATAATAATAATGACAAGCAGGAATAAGTGACATGGAAACTGAAAACTGGTTTAGGTTTGTCCATCTGATTGGGTGGTCGTTTCACAGTGGAGGGGTAAGAAAGAGCTTGAAGAAATATGACCTGAGTTCAGATCTTGATTCTGTGGTATCCTGCTGGAGGTTGGAGAAGTGGGAATAGGGTGGGCTGGGACTCACCCCTCCTTTCCATAAGATGCTAACTGATGGAGGGAGTGGCTACAGGGGTCTGACAGTCAGTTGAAGACCAAACCCCCAACACAGACTCTCAGATAAGGATGGATTGGACAATGTGTCTTGGATCTGAGGCATAAATGGGAACCTTTAGCTCCTTCCTGTGAGACAGAGTGGGACTGAGCTAATTTGTCTATTCAGTGGCTGGCAGGGAGCCTGGAGAATGGTGGGTCTTTAGCTTCTTGTGGGGCAGAAAGGGAAACCTGTGTTATGTGGCTTGCCACATGTGAGGAGAAGGTGGGTTCACCTTGGGCACAAACAGGTCCATGAGGATACAAGACAGATTGAGGTCTTTGTGGGTCTTTAGCACCCGGGCCCCACAATTGTCTCGAGGTCCAGTGACCCTGTCTTTCCCCAGTCTGGTGGGGTAAAGCACCATAAGAGAGGGAGAGACTCCCTCCCCGGCATTTCCCCACAGGGTGGACGGTGTTAGAGGGATTTCCTCCTCAGCTGGTGAAGGCAGGAACGTGGGAAGAGAGGAGCGCTCGACCCCCACAGCTGTGGGCACATGACTCTGGGCAAGTGAGGTGACTCCTCTGACCACAGGTCCCTCAGCAGTTGATGACAGTGCCAGCTCTTGCTCTGCTTTTGCCCTTGGTGGCCCTGAGATGCTCCACTCCAGTTGTCTGCCTGCTCCTCTGTGCCATGACTGGCAGTGGCTACTCACGCTGGTTCCAGTAACTGCTTTTTCTCCTTGTCCCTTTCAGCCTGGGAGCCATCACAGCTTCCCACAATTGCTGAGCACAGTGGAATATTCATCTCCTCCTTATCCCTATTGCTTCAATTAGAGACCCAGCAGAAAAGAGGGCACACATTCAGATCAAGATGATTCAGGAAGGGTTAACTGATAAAGGGCTTAATTAGAAAGATGAGGGCAGGAAGTAGGGAAACCCTAAGAAATCTCCCAGAAACCCAAGGCTAGTGGTGGGAGAGCAGTCATCCCTCTAGGCTCAAAGGGATGAGAAGAGCCCAAAAGGAGTGAGCTCGTTTGACATTGGAGGCAGCACAGCAGTGGCCTTGGGAGGAGATATTAATTTCTGTGAAGTGACATAGCCAGCCTCAGGCAATCGCAAGGGAATAAACATCCTCACCTCACATTCCTCACTTCCCCTCATCTCTTACCCAGGGCCGGCCATTGATGATCCCTCACCTGGGTGCCTGAGGGCCTAGCAGGTCACAGATGTAACCCATGTAGATGAGCCCTCTCACCCGTGACCCCTCAGGAAGAGCAGAGAGAAGAGGTGAAGGGATTTTGAGGGGCACACGGAGGAGCTCTGGACAACCTACATACACCTTCCGAGACAGTCCCTTCACTCAACTCACTCCAGTCAACAGCCTTGAGTGTGCCATCTGTTTCTTGATATTTTGGGCTTCAAAAATATAAAAACACTTTGTAAACTGGGGAGGAATTGATGAATATAGAAAAGCTATTATTGGTTTATTGTGATCTTCCTCTGGTTGGTCGAAGGTATGGACTTAGTAGAGGATTTTGAACATGTGCATGCGCTCCGTCGCACACCTGCATATGTCAGTATGAGGACTGACGTCCTCTCTGCCTGGGGAACTATAGTCTGGTCCTTCACCTGCTCAAGCAACTCCAAGTCCTGCGTTGCTTATACCAAGTTAAGCCACCTCTCAGCATGGGAGAAACTATGTCTGAGACTTGCAAACCTTATTAGCATCCTTTCATGTCATTCAGGTCTCTGATCAAATGTCACCTCCTTAGAGAGAGCTTCCATGACCCTTGCTCTTTTCTGAATGTGTCCCCCAAATTCATATGTTGAAACTTCACTGCCAGTGGGATAGTATTAAGAGGTGAGGGCTTTAGGAGGTGACTAAGTGATAAAGGTGGAGCTCTCATGAATAGCATTAAGGCCCTTGTTAAAGGGTATGAGGGAGTGGATTTCTTCTTTCTGGCTCTTACACCATGTGGGGGCACAGAGTTTAAAGTGCCATCGTGGAAGCAGAAACAAGGGCCCACACCAGACATGAAACCTGCTGGCACTTTGATCTTGGACTTTCCATTCTCCAGACCTGGGAGGAAAGACATTTCTGTTCTTTAAAAATTGGCCAGTATCGCCGGGCGCGGTGGCTCATGCCTGTAATCCCAGCACTTTGGGAGGCCGAGGCGGGCGGATCACGAGGTCAGGAGATCGAGACCATCCCGGCTAAAACGGTGAAACCCTGTCTCTACTAAAAATACAAAAAATTAGCCGGGCGTAGTGGCGGGCGCCTGTAGTCCCAGCTACTTGGGAGGCTGAGGCAGGAGAATGGCGTGAACCCGGGAGGCGGAGCTTGCAGTGAGCCGAGATCCCGCCACTGCACTCCAGCCTGGGTGACAGAGCGAGACTCCGTCTCAAAAAAAAAAAAAAAAAAAAAAAAAAAAAAAAAAAAAATTGGCCAGTATCAAGTATTTGGTTATAACAGCACAAACAAACTAAGATACCATTGTAAATACCCTTTCAACACTTTATTCCATTATTCAGCTACTTCTATCCTCATCAAATTCATCATTCTCTGACACTATGTTATATATTTATTTATTTGCTTCACTGTCTTGTCTTCCCACAGAAACACATGTTTCAGAGCATCAAGGCCTTTGTTGTTTTTTCACTGTTTTAACCCCGGTATTTAGAATAGCACCTGGCACATGGTTGGCCCTCAATAAATACTTGAGGAAGGAATGGTTGAATGAAGGGATAGGGGATGGGGCTGTGACTGGGAAGGAGTAGAAAAAATAGCAATGACTCACATATATAAAAAACAATAGCCAACAACCAGTGTGCGTTTAAAATATGTCAAGCACCATGTAAGTGCTTTAGGCTTGATAACGCATGTAAATGTAATGAATCAGATGAAGATGCAGAGTATGGTTATGATCCCTTTGTAGCACAACAAGGGGCATGAGGAAAATGAGGTCCAGAAAGGGTTATTATCATTTGCCATTGGTCATAAAGGTAGTGAAAGGAGGAACCAGAACTAAACCCACAGCACTGGGGTTTTGAATGCACCTACACACGGCCTTTCTATAATGAAGCTGCCTGGCACCGGGCTGCATTGGGGACTTAATGTGTTGTTATCCGATTTAGCTCTGACCCCAATTCAGCAAGGTCGGTATTATTTCCCCTATTAATCAGATGAGGAAATGGACTCCAAAGAGTTGGGTAACCTGGCGTAGGTCACACAGCTAGTTAGTGACAGAGATGGGATTTATGCTGTGTGGACTCTCCAGCACCTGGGACAGCTGCCCTTGCTAGTGTCTTTTCAACAACTCCTCATAAAGCCATGATGAGCCAGTGGGTTTCCCGGGACTCAGAGCTAGCCTGCTTGACATTGATGAGATACTCAGGCCGGACCTCCAGCTGGCTTTATCTGCAAGAATGTTCCTGACCAGAGGAAGTGAGTGCTATTCTAAGCCAAAAGCACAGCAGAATAGCAGAAGCTGCCAGAATGTTGGTGTGGGTAACACTGCCTTGGACAGAATGCTTCTGGGTGTGAGGCCCTGTCCACCGCCTGTGTTTGGATGGTTTGAGTCATCCTTTGTCACAGTTTCCCTTCTCTGCATGTACTTACAGTGAGGTGGAGGGGAAAGAACACTGGCTTTGGTGTTACGCATACCTGGGTTTGGATTTGAGCTCACTACTCACTAGCTTTGTGACCATGGGTAAATTTCTTTCCTTCCCTGAGCCTCAGTTTCTTCATCTAGAAAATGGGGATAATAGTTCCTACCTCCTATTACACATTGAATCAGATCCAAGCTACTTCAATGCTCTTCAAGACTTGTCTCTTTGTACTTATGATACCTTTGCTCTGGCCTGTTCTTTCCCTTAAAATATTTGGGTGCTTGTAGTCCCCCCAGTCCTTCTCAGCAAATATCCTATAGTATCTCATTTTTATGCCTTTGGCCATTTGGGCCTGTCTGTCTGGAATTCTTTTCCTCCACCTCCTTGACTGATTAACATCTGGTCCTAGGAGGGTAAGAATTAGAATCATATTACAGTTGAAGAAACTGAGGCTCAGAGAACTTAACTAACTTGCTCCAAATCACACGCTAGTAAGTGGAAGAGCTGGGATTTGAATACATGTCCTTCTGGCTTAATACGTTGGGATTTTCCCACTAGGTCACATGGCCTTATTTGGAACACCTCAAAAGGGGTTAGAATCCAAGGAGGGAGAGAAAAGAGAGTCTGAGCTTGCAGCAATGATGGCACTGATGGCTTTCAGCATACCCCTGGCTGCTGTGGCCAGGGACATACACAAAAGTTACAACTAAGAAGTTATCTGGCTTTGCCAGCTGGAGGCTGTACATTCGGTTCCTCTTTGAGTGCGGTCTGTGGAATTATTTTCTAAAGTGTGAGGCCCACATTGATGCAAACAAGTCAGTTGGAGGCTTTGTGCATCACACAACTCTTCTAGGTCAGCTGAAGATCAGCCATGAAGGCACTGCCACCTCAGGGATACACCTGGGAGATACCTGGCATAAGAGGAAAAGGTGGTGCTTTGGGTGCTATTGTGGCTCCGTGAAACTCACAGATGTCCCCAGTCAGATGTTCAGAAATTTGTATCACAGTTCAGATCTGTAGCAAGAGGAGAAACTAAAAATGCCTTTGCCTCTTACGGTAACAGAGAATGAAACTGGGAGTTCTTGCCGGCCACTACAGTCCTGCCCCTTCCCTGTCACCCTTTCACATATTGTATGACTCTGTCTTTCTCTCTTTTTCTACACACACACACACACACACACACACACACACACACACACTAGTCTTGCCATACTCCAGAGGTGGTATGGGTAGCAGCATTGTAAGGGGGAGAGGGGCACAGAAGAAAGCAATCTGAGGGACTGGACTCCCCTTGTGGCTTTGCATAAAGAAAGTAGGGCATACCCTGCACCTTTCAGGGCCCCAGTTTCCTCATCAATACTATGAGGCTGATGGAACTCTCAAGGTTGTAAATAGAATGAAAGATAATTTTCTCAATTGCCTATTTCAGTATCTGGCATGGAGTAGGTGTTCAGTAAATGATGTTTTATCCTAATGTGAAAATTCTCTAGGCAATGTAACCATGATTGGTGTTTAATCCTAGTCCAGTGTGAACTGTTTAAATATTTATAAAATCTCAAATAATCCTGACAAGATGTCTTATACATGCGATTAATGCTGAAGCAGTCCTTTATTTTGCTTTGGCCTGAATGACAGCTGATGACCTGGAGTCTCAGCATGCGTCTCTGGTTGGTTTCCTTCCTTTCAGGATGGAACCAGTATGTCCTTGCTCTTCTCCACTGGTCCTATGTGCCTCACTGTTTCGGTGTCTTGATTAAAAAGCTGTTTTTTTTTCTCATTTCTCTTTGGATTTTACATGTGGGGTTTTATTGTCTCCATCTGGTGGTCATGGTTGATACACACTGATATTCTCTCTGCTTCCATGGCTTCATCAAGAAGCTCTTGCAACAAAGACACTGACCTTAGGGAGCCTTGAGGAAACCAGGCCTGAGCCCAGTTTCAGGGAACTCCATCTGTTGAGGAGGGTGGAGTCTCCGCACCCAAGAGACTCTCAAAGACCTGAGTACATCAAGATCTGATTATTCCAGTGGCTGATTACTCATTCCCTTGGCTTGTCTTCCACTAGTTTTTCTTCAGTGGCTCAGATGAAAAATGGACCTCATCATTCTCTCCTAGCTCTGCCCTCTATGGTCCTAAGGCAAGGATCACAAACCCCAATGCTTTTAGGGGCGCTACAGGTAACATAAATGGCAGGGTACAGATGGGTAAACTGAAGAGCCATTCATAAATTAACTATAAACCAATCAACTAACCCACTGTCCAAGCCAACTGGCTCATTGGTCAGATTTGTCTCAGGGTCTTAGAGTTCGTAATTCTTGTCCTAAGGGTTTTTCATTTCCTGTTTAGCTCAGTCTGAAAATCTAGTCCTGGAAGAGCGGTATTATCCCTGCCTCTCAGACAATCCATATTGCCTTTGTAGCATCCTCAGCAAGGGGTTAGCTTTCCCAAGTTAAATGCCTCAGCAAGGGAGCCCACTACTCCAGTTCATCCACAGGCATTTTAAGAGCAGGGGCCACAGCCAGGCACAGTGGTGACCAAGGGTGATGTAGTCCCTGCTTTGTGGATCTAACTGTGTTAGGAGGATGAGATGGCCTGATGGCTCTGTCCTTGTAAGGCTCCTCCTAACACGAAACCCAAAGATGTCCCCTGTGGGCCAGTCCATGGTTCTAGACCTTCCCTTGGGAGTCTCACAGAGTAAGACCAAACCCATTCACATAATAATGCCACTTTGGGCTTTCAAAGACACCTTCAGTTCCCTCTTGAGTTACTTTCCCTTGAAGGTTAGAGGGGGAACCAAATCATTTGATTTTGTCATTTCTCACCTCCCACATCTGCTCCATTATCAAGAACTATTGATTCTATATCCTAAAGGTGTCTGTAATTCATCTTCTTCTCTCCATCTCCACTGCCACCATCCTAGGCCTCATCACCAGGGTCTTGCCTGGGCCCTTTTAGAGTCTCCTGCCTGGCTTTGTGTTGCATGATCCTCCTATCCACTCTCTATCAGTAGCCAATTGACTAGGTTACACTTAAAACTTCCAAAGGCTCCCATTGTATGTGGAAATGACCATCGCCCATGGAGCTTGACCATTAGGCTCTGTCTAGGGTTTCCCTTCACAGCTCTCACCATACAACCCTTCCTCCTTCTAGTGGTCCGAATAGTGCCTAGTGCCTCCTGCCACCAACACTCATGCTCCCCTCAACAGTCATGTCCAACATGGTACTATTTGGAAATAGGGTCTTTGCAGGTGTAATTAAGATGAGGTCATACTCAATTAGGGTGAGCCCTAAATCTATGACTGGTGATGTTAAAAGGAGAGTACACTTGTCCTTTTAAGAAGGGCTGTGTGAAAATGGAGAGAGAAATTAGAGCCAAGTGGCCACAGCCAAGAAACTCCTGGGCCTAACAGAAGCTGGAAAAGCCAAGGAGAGATTCTCCCCCAGACCCTATGGAGAGGGCATGAGACTCCCAGCACCTTGATTTCAGACTTCTAGACTGCCTTCATAATGTAATAAGAAAAAACAGTTTTAAGTAAAAAGAACATTAATGAGCATTTGCTACATGCTAGGCAATGGGCTAAGAAGATATATACACACATATGTATGTATATGTGCATATATGTGTATAGATATTGATATATAAATATACACACATGTATCACACATATATGCATACATACATTTATGTATATATACATGCATATATTTTATTATTTTTAATTGTGGTAAAATGCATATAATATACAATTTACCATCTTGATCTTTTTTTTTTTTTTTGAGATGGATTCTCAGTCTGTCGCCCAGGCTGGAGTGCAGTGGCACAATCTCAACTCACTGCAACCTCTGCCCCCCAGGTTCAAACGATACTCCTGCCTCAGCCTCCCAAGTAGCTGGGATTACAGGCGCCTGCCCCCACGCTTGGCTAATTTTTGTAATTTTTAGTAGAGACGGGGTTTCACCATCTTGGCCAGGCTGGTCTTCAACTCCTGACCTCATGGTCCACCCGCCTGAGCCTCCCAAAGTGCTGAGATTATAGGCGTGAGCCACTGCGCCCGGCCATCTTGACCATTTTTAAGTGTATAGTTTAGTGGCATTAAGTATAGTCACATTGTTGTGCAACCATCTTCACCATCTATCTCTGGAACTCTTGTGATCTTGCAAAACTGAAATTCTTTGCACTCATGAAACAATAACTCCAATTCTCCCCTCCCTCCAGCCCTTGGCAACCACCATTCTACTTTTCATCTCTATGAATTTGACCACTCTAGGTACCTTATATAAGTGGAATAATATAGTATTTATTTTTTGCGAATGGCCCATTTTACTTAGCGTAATGTATTCAAAATTCATCCATTGCTGTAGCATGTGTGAGAATTCCCTTCTTTTTAAAGCCTGAATAATATTCCACTTTATGTATATATCACATTTTGTTTATCTATTCGTCCATCAGTGGACCCTTGGGGCTGCTTCAACTTTTTGACTATTGTAAATAATGCTTCTAGATATACAAATATGTCTTTGAGACCCTTTTTTCAATTATTTTGGGTATATAACCAGAAGTGAAATTGTTGTGTATATATACATACATACGTACATACACATACATATATATACATATATATACACACACACATGCATATGCACATACAACTTTAAAATTCCAATGTAGTCTTTCAATGGAGACCTTATTATATCCATCTTGTAGATGAGGTGCCTGAGGTTGGGAGGCCATGTGTAAATTTCATAGTGTTAGGAGTTTCTCCATTCTCATGCACTCACATGATGACAGTGAAATTCTCCCAGAGTTTGGGATCAATGTGAACAACTGCACATCACCCACCACCACCCTTTCTCACTGGCTAGACCAGCCCCTGGCTCACCTCATTGTCTCGGTCCTTCTCTAGGAAATGGCGGGCCACATGGCTGGGTAAGATATTCCGGAGCATGTTCTCATTGTGTTCCCTCAGCTCCTTCATCTCATTGATCTCCTCTTTGGCCTGTACTCGCCAAAGGAAGTCCAGGCGGGCTGTGTACTCCAGCTGCAGTACATGTGAGAGAAAGAGGAGAATGAGGTAAACTTCTGAGGTGTAGGCTTCAGGCACAGACAACTGGGAGGCAGGAAAGGCTTCTCTGGAACTCTTCACAAATGAAACAGAGCCTGATCTGAATATTTTGGGAGGCATTTTGTTGGAAGCCAAGTGATCAGAGAATGATTAGGTTTCACAGGGATGTGCGCCTGCCTTTCACAGCATTATTGCCCCCTGTGATTTCATACTTGTTTGTGTGATTACCTGATAATGTTGGTGTCCTCTACTAGACTGTCAGTGTTGTATGGTGTATTAGTCCATTCTCGTGGTGCTAATCAAAATACACCCAAGACTGGATAATTTATAAAGGAAAGATGTTTAATGGACTTCTAGTTCCACATGGCTGAGGAGGCCTCACAATCATGGTGGAAGATGAAGGAAGAGCAAAGGAACCTCTTACATGGCAGCAGGCAAGTGAGAGCTTGTGCAGGGGAGCTCCCATTTATAAAACCATCAGATCTCATGAAAGTCATTCACTACCATGAGAACAGTATGGGGGAAACTGCCCCCATGGCTCAGTTATCTCCACCTGGACCCATCCTTGACATATGGGGATTATTATAATTCAGGGTGAGATTTGGGTGGGAACACAGCCAAACCATATCATATCGTCAGAGGTGCTTCTATCTGTTCGACTTTACATCCTTACTGTTACAGACTGAATGTCTGTGTCCCTCTCAAATTCATATATTGGAGCCCTAACCCCCAATGTGATGGCATTTAGAGATGGAAACTTTGGGATGTAATTAGGGTTGATGAGGTCATGCTGGTGTATCCCTCAGGATGAGATTACTGCCCTTGTAGGAAGAGACATGAGAACACTCGCTCTTTCTCTCTCCACATGCACACACTAAAAAAAGGCCAGGTTGGGATACAGCAAGCAGGTAGCCAGCCATCTGCAAGCCAAATAAGAGCCCTCATCAGAAAACAAACCCTTCCAGATCTTGACCTTGGACTTCTCAGCCTCCAGAACCATGAGAAGATAAATTTCTGTTGTTAAATACACTCAGTCTATGGCATATTGTTATGTACGACAGGTGGAGATACGAATACACTTACCACGTAGTAACAGGTTTGGCACAGGGCAGGCACTTAATATTTGATGGCTCATTAAATAAGTTATCATAATAAAACTAGCTAACACTTACATGGTGCTTATCATATACCAGGAATGTTTTTAAACAATATACATATATTAAATCCTTTAATCCATGTAATAGCCCTAATAGGAAGGTATTATTGTCATTTCTTATTTTACAGATAAGAAAATCAAAGCAAACATGAATTAATAACTTGACTAAGATCACACATGAGTTAGTGGAAGCCAGGATTTGAACTTGATTCAAAAATCAGAATATAGAATCTGAATTGTTAACCACTAGGTAATATAGAATAAATGAATGAACTCATTAGTGAAAGGATTACAGATTTAGTTGCTAGACAGATATAGCTTAGAGTTCTAGTTCCACATTTACACACTTTAACCCTGGACAAGTTACTTCATCTCAGTTTCCTCATCTCTGAAATTGATGTGAACATCAGTGACCAGGCAGGGGCGGAATAGGCATTATAGGAAGTTATAGATAAACACATGGCACATAGTAGGCACTCAATACACATTGGTTCCCTCTTGTCCTAGCCTCCCCTCTCATGAGAAGGTGCACAGTGTCCTTTCCAAAGGATCTCACAGCCCGTTTTTACTGCAGTTCTGCGTATGTCATTATTTCAGTCTTTAACTGTTGACATGAACAGTATGCTGCCCTGGTAAACACATGGTGAGCTGCCCTGAATTCAAGGGCTTAGACAGTTCAGATAGCTTCTTTTCTTTTTAAAAAAATTTTAAAGTCTCAGTGGATGGCAAAAGTATGAAAAGACCATATGCAAAAGGTTATCCATTCAGCAGAATTTTTAATAACAAAGGCTGGAAACAAACCAAATGTTCATTTTGTTGGCTGAGTAAACTTTAGTACAGAAATATCATTGAACATGATGCAGCTATTAAAAAGAAATGAAGACTATCTCTCCATACTTTGAGGAACTGGTCTCCAAGAGGAGAAAAGTGTATATAGTATGCTACCATTTATCTAAGAAAGATCGATCTCTTTATCCACATGCATGCACACACACATATTTCTTAATTAATTTTTTTTTCTTTTTTTTTTTTTTTTGAGACAGAGTCTCGCTCTGTCGCCCAGGCTGGAGTGCAGTGGCACTATCTCAGCTCACTGCAAGCTCCGCCCCTCGGGTTCACCCCATTCTCCTGCCTCAGCCCCCCGAGTAGCTGGGATCACAGGTGCCTGCCACCACGCCCAGCTAATTTTTTGTATTTTTAGTAGAGACAGGGTTTCACCGTGTTAGCCAGGATGGTCTTGATCTCCTGACCTCGTGATCCACCTGCCTCTGCCTCCCAAAGTGCTGGGATTACAGGCATGAGCCACTGTGACTGGCCTTCTTAATTAATTTATTAAAACATTAACATATAAACCATTTTACATTTTATAAAATGGTTTATATTTTAATCTATGAAATGACAAAGGAAGGGAATGGTGTGGGAAAATAGGGTTAGAATTTAAATTTCTTTAATTATGTCTTGTTTTAAGTAAATAACTTTAGAATAATTCCAATATTTTACTTATTAAACTAAATCTATTATCAAAAAACTCTGTAAAAACAAATAACCAAGCAGACAAACCAACAAATGAACCTACACAGAGAGGAACTATATCAGATGTCCTTTTGCACAATAATTTGATGACATGCTGCCAGAGGGAAATACCCTAAGGATAAAAAGAGCTCAACAAGAATGTCAAAACTGTTTACAATAATCACATTATAGGTGGTAACAATTGTATTAATATACTTAGACTATTATAGTAAATCACAAGATAAAGTAAATGAGTAACTGTGTTGGTGTCATTAAAACTGGAATTTTGGGGAAGAGAAAAAGGAGCTGCAGATACAAGATTGATGAAGTTAAGTCAAAAGCTTGTGGTCCTCACTATGAAGTGGAAGTATCACACTGTGAACTCATGATGTATAGATTTTCTAGCTCTGCCCACTGAAATCAAGTTCTAGAAACAATGAAAACTTAGTAGTAATAACTCCCAGTGTCCAGATTGTGGTTTCTAAATATCAGTTCCTACAAAAAAATTCCCATTCTTTTCAGAGGTGCCCAAATTTTAGGTACTTTTAATTATGTCTTGTTTTAAGTAAATGACTTTATTGGAAGATTTTTTAATACGGGAAACCAGGAGTCTATCAGAGACTACCAGGGTTATGTCAAAATGATGCAAAAGCCAACTTGAATGAACTCCCACTAGTCAAAGATGTGACACGTTTAGCTTAATAAGACTAATAATTGCAATGAATTGAAACACAGAGAATATGGTAAAATGTGTAAATTCAAAATGACACTTAAAAACCAGAACCTCATGGTCACCTCTGAATGATGCTAGGGAAAAAACTTATGGGGAAACTTAAACAAACTTATAGGGAAAAAATTCAGCATTTATCTTTGCTTTATGAATTGTACTTCCAGGTAACAAATAGTGAGGAGATGGTTCTCTTTAGTAACGTATTCCAGCTAATAAATTATGGAGAACTGATAGGATTAGCATATCACTGTATAAAATAAGTGAATATAGGCGATTATCATAAGCAGCTGCTAACATCACAAAAAGATAAGGAGACATTATGCACCCCCTAATTGTAGTCTATAAAACCAACCAATTAAATGTTTTGCAGAAATCATTAAACCTGAATCTCACCAAGCTTCTGGACAGAAATACAGTACAAACAAAACAAAACAAAAACAAAGGACAGGGGAATTTCTTAAATGCCTTAGAGAATGCAATCAATAAACTGTAAGAAATGACAGCCCTGGAAGGTTGAGTCTCTCAAGGTTACCTATTCTTGAAGTGGAATTGCTAGGACTCAAGCAAGAATATTTGGTTCCAAGGCTTGAGTCTTTCCTTCTGAGCCACACAATCTCAGGTGCCTGCCATTATCACACCTGGAAGTTACTGGAGACAGGACCTCATTATTCTCTTTCTCCTTGTGGAGGCGTGGCTTCCTCTGCTAAAACCGAAGAGTCCCAGGCAAAGCCCAAACCTCCAGGGCTACCAGTGAATCAGGCACCAGGTGGGAGGCACCCAGTTGTTTGCTGTCTCTGTTCAATGTTGAGAATGTTCACCTGCCTCAGAGGAGGAAGTGTTTGGCATGTCATTTCCACATATGTGCAAGATAAAAATTTCCAATTATTCAGTTACATAACCACCTCCGTCCCTCTGGAGATGTTTAATTACACATGCCCCCACCAGACGCTTCTGCGTACCAGGCATCAGTGGGCATTATTTAGCCCCTATTAAAAATAGAGGGCCTCTGAGTCACAAGGGAAAACCAGTAGAAGCAGGGAGCAAGCCCAGGAGTGGGCAGGCTTGATCGGAGATTAACAGGACCCAAAACGATGCTGCAGATAGAAGACACTTGAAGTGATACAACCCTGCAGAAAGCCGCCCCTATCACAGGGAGGCAGTGGCATGTGAAGGAAACAGAATGGAACTAGGAGCTTGAGCATTTGGATTCCCGCTCCAGTCTGGCGTTTCTTACAGGCTTTGTGACCTCAGGGGACTTCAATCTCTGTTCTTGTCTTAGGACCAGATGGCTAACAATACCTGCCTTGTTTTTGTCATCAGCTTATTTTTAAAGTAAAATATTAATAGCTATCAATTTTGAAAATTTATATGTGCGAGCCACTGGGATAAGTATATTACAATTATATTCTCATATAACACTCTAACAACCCGATGAAGTAGAACTTGTTATTATCATACCCATTTTACAGGTGAGGAAACTGAAAATCAGAAAGTTAAGTAAATTGTTGAAAGTCACATAGCTACTAAGTGGCAGAGTTGGGGTTTTAATACTATCTGCCCAATTCCAAAGCCTGTACTTGTAACTGCTATAGTGATGAGATGTGGTTATATAATTTCAAAGCCTTTTGAAAGTTAAAAATAAAAGGGAAAAATATCAGATGTCACTTAAACCCAGTCACTCAGACCCTCACTGAATACTTACATACCCGTACTTTACCTATAATCTTAATGCAATTAGGTTATCTGCTTTCCCAGGACAAATGGAGCACAGGATAAATCAAATCTGAATGTTATTAGGGTACCATTTGAGGAAGGCACTGACAGGGCACAAAGTAATTCCCTAAGGTGACAGAAGAGACAGAACCATTCTCCTTTTTATGGAATGACGACCCTTACCCAGAACTTGTTCTCTCAGCTATTTCCAGGGATTTCTCACTTGTCAATTTAAAACCTGTGTAATTGAGTGAGCATATGTTTGTCTATAGGGTGATGGCCTTGTCTAAATCTGTTTTTGTAGTTCTCAAATGGATTGTCATTTGTGTGTCAGACTAAGGCACTCTCCCCTAGAAATGAAAGCTGTCAAGTAGCAGAAGACAAGACCCCAGTCCTCACAGATAGCTGGAAAGACCTAAAAACAGGAATTCTAGAAATGGCTAGACTTTGACATTTGGCCTAGTGTTTCATCATAATTTTAGCCAAAATGGGAAAACAAGTCAAAGCATATTGCAAGATGCAGTGTCCTGGGTCACTGTGTTCGTATGCAGACAGCATCTTTGTTCTGCTCTGATCAGCCCAGTGAAGTAGAAAGGGGAGGCTTTGAAGACAGATCAGGATTTGAATTCTGGTCCTCCTACTTACTAGCTGAATAGCCTTACTTTCATCGTCCATAAAACAGGAGTAATAATAACTTCCATTCCAGGTTGTTGATAGGATTAAATGAGAATAGAGAGAAAGTGCTAGGCACATAGTAGGGACTCAATAAATATTAATTCTTTATTCATTTCCTTCACTTGCCAAGTTTTAATATTATCTATTTTTTTCTTGACTACACTGTACAATCCCCTTTATTACAAATAACTTTAATTATGTGTCTCTGTGTTCTTGGGGTTTTGGGCTGTTTCATCCCTATTTTCTCAGGGTTCGTTACCTCCATTTCCATGGTGATTTCCCAGCAATGTGCTTCTATTTCTGGTCTGGCTGACAGTCTCCTTGCTGTGCTTTCCTCCTTTTCTGGTTATGGTTTTTGAAGTACACACAGACCACAGAAAGATGGACCAAGATCCAGAGAAGGGTAGTGAGGGAGGCAGTGCCTGATTTCTACCAGGGGGTGAGAATCTCCCCAAGCGACGAACGTTCATGGGTTGGAGTTCACCTGGAGAAGACCTACTGGTCTTTGAGAACCCTGCCTAGATGTTCCTATGAAGAATAATTTTCTTTCTCGAAGTCCCTAGCTAAGTCTGTTCCACACATAACATGTTTGCATTATTTGGGGTCAGCTCTACTCCAGGAGACTGGACCAGAGCTGGGATTTTGTACAGTTCTGCCCACAGTGCCCACTCCAGATTCTGGTAAAGAGTAGGGGCTCATGGAAAGCATAATCCATATGGCAGGCATTTTATCTAATTAGGACAGATCTGTAACGAAGTCTTTATTATAAACAATGCAAGTCAGTGCACAAAATTCTACACACAGTAATCTGCAACGCTTCCTCAAGACAGCCCTATTTAGGTATTACTAATTTATTTTAGAGTTGAGGAAACTGAGGCTCATGGAGATAAGTAACTTGCCCAAAATCATACACTGCTGAGAGTAAGAACTGTGATTAGAATCCAGGCTCAGCTGAACCCACATGTTTACCTAATATAGCACACAACTTTTGTAGTAGTAATAATTTCATCCAGGCAACAGAATTGGGAGGGATCCCAGTTTGTCTTAGGCAGAAATTGAAAGCTCTTTCACTAGGATGATATTTTGAAAGAGATGTATCCAAAGGTCATTAAAACCACATTGTTTACCAGATCTTCTCCAGCTTTGTTTTTCATTAGGTGGTCTTTATTAGGAATTGATTCTTTAAGAACCACAACTTGCCACAGGCAGCTAAAAGTTATTTGCTGCAAAGAGCAGCAGAGGCCAGTTTGATGGTAACAAGAAATGTCAGGTAACAGAGCAGTCAGAGCGAAATGTTAGATTACCTGCTGTCCATGGTAGAACACAGCCAGGAGGAACATGGCCATCAGTAGCAGTGATACCTCCTTGGTCCCCAGGAAATCTCTGTTGGAAGAAAAAAGGAACTGATAACCATGGGGGGACTTCAAGGAGACCTATGAGAAAACTGAGGTTCAGAAAGGAGTGGTATAAAAAGAAAAAAACACACATCTTTTCAGCACCTATTATGTGATAGTGGCTGCTCTAAGGGTTTGCACATTGGCTAATTCAAAAATCAATTGACCCCCAAGGGTATGAGGTGACCCAGAACACATATGGTGAAAGAGATTCTAGAGTCTAGTGTCTAGATGGTACACTCACATTAATAATAATGTTTTCTATGTGCAGAACACATTTTATAGATTTTAAACAGCCTTTATACTTTCCTATCAAAATCCATGTGAAGATGGAATCTAGCTTTATGCTAAAAAAACCTTCCCAGCTTATACTGGGCCAGGCACAGTTCAACTCATCAGGATTGGACAGGGACTTAGACTTAGGAGTGAAAATGTACATTCTTAGGGAGGTATTTTGCATATGAGGATTAAGAGGACCAAATAACTCTGTGGGCTGGGACAAGAGTCAAATCTGTGAATACCTTGGAGAAAAGATGTTAACAATAGATGATACTAATTATTATGCTTCTATAGACCCAGAGAAGCACATAATTATTGAGCATCTACTGTGTGCCAGGCATAATATTCTGGGATATAGAGATGAAGAAGGCATGTTGTCTTTGTCCTTGAAACATTAAGTAAGAGAAATAAATACACAGATAATTTTATAATATGATAAACTCCGTGGAAAGGATACATCCTTGTTGCCATAGGAATACACGGGAAAAAAAGCAACCCAGGCTGGGTGTTCAGGGAAGGCTGAAGAGCTGAATCCTAAAAGATAAGGCTTCACAAGGAAAAAGTGGGATGGGTTCTCTAGGTACAGGACATCTATTTTGCTTAGCTAGGTGGTTTATAGGTCTCCAGTATGGGGATAAAAAATAAATGTCATATATCATGTTTGAAGCCATATGTAGACTCAGGAGGAGAGAGTGCTAACAGAGCTGTCCACTGTGAGTGCTAAAGTGAAGAGGGCTGGACTGTGAGCCACACATTGTCATCCTGCATTTTAGGGCTGAGGAGTCATCCATCCATTCATGAATCCATGAATCCATGAATCCATGAATCCATCCATCCATCCATCCATCCATCCATCCATCCATCCATCCATCCATCCATCCATCCTTCCAGCCATCCACCATCACCATCAGGCTTATTTTGAGGACATAGACACATTCCAGTACCATCCTTTTATTCTTTCATGTCACTCAATTCTCTAGCCTCTGAAGTTTGTGGACCCCTGAAAAAAGATTAAAGACATGAGGTTTGGACTCGTGAAGATCCAGGTTCCAATGTCAGCTTTTCTACTGACCAGTTGTTTGACCTTGGAAAGGTCATTTAACATCTCTGAGCCTCAGTTGAATGTATTTAATAGTGTATACCTCTATAATTGTGAGGATTAAATGAGTTAATCATGGTTATGTGCTTGGCACAGTGCCTGGCCCACATTTCCCCCTTGCCACCCTGTGAAGCACCTGACACATCATCTTGCTCATGGTGGTGGAGCTTTAAAAAGTCACTTGTTCACATTGCTTAGTTTGAATGAGCATGTCCTGCGTTCAGCTCCTCCTTGTGACTTCTTCCCAAATCCCTGCTCTGCCTGGCACTTTGGATATCCTTTGCTTTGCCATACAGAAGACTTTAAGCCCAGAAATTTATCATTTGAAACACATTTTCAAGAGAAAACACAAATACCTCTTGAATTATTTTGAAAGCAGTGATTGACCAAAAATAGAAAGATGACTAGACAAAACTCAGAAGAAAAAGTAAAAATTATGAACAATTTTTGAGTCATTCACTGTATTGCAGATGGAAAAAACAGCCTGAGCACAGACTGCAGAATATGCACAGTAAGTCAGCCAGGCTGAGGAGCATCAGAACTGTGGTTTGAAATTAGAAAGTTTTTATTTTTGTAGTTTCAATGATTCCTTAAAGAACTTCCAAAGAGAGCCAAATGACTGAAATCTGTACTGTATTATAATGTTTTGCTTAATATTGGTTGCCAGGGACTTAAAACCAAGAACATGTTGAACTAATTTATTTGTATTAATAAAATCACTGAGTTAATACTGTCATCTCTTTATGCTAATAGAAAGGAACATTCTTAAGTGAAAACCCATGTAGCATAATGTAATTTTCAGGGCTATAACAATCTTTAGAGATCATCTTATCTGATGTATCACAAAAATTAATATTTGAGTGCTATTCATTACAGAAATATTTATGCTAATTATAGTGAGTTTGGAAACTAATAAAGATGCACATATAAAAAAATAAAAATTGCCCTTAAGCCTACCACCCAGAGAAGACAATGGTTAAAATTTTGGAGTTAACTAAATGTCATTTCCTTTTACCCCATACAAAAAAGTATGTTTACAAATTTAGGATTGCATAGCTCTCATACTGTTTCGTAAGCTACTTCAGACTTACTAAAAATTATGAAAATAATTTCAAGTAATTAAGTACCTTTTGTGCACTTAGCAGATTTATTCTAGTTCATATTATGTGCACCACACATAATGTAATATCCCTTGAAGCCTTTTATTTTACAGGTAGAGACTGAGGCCCACGGAGGAGTAGTCATTTTCCCAAGGTCACATAGCTCATTTGTGTCAGAGCCAGGATGAGAACTCATAGCTCAGGCACCAAATTCAGCATGTTCATTATAGCACATTTGACCCCGAATTTTTAGTTTATTATTAGTTCCCAATTGCTTCTATGACACTCATAATAAACCATTCAGCTTGAATTTATCTTTTATTCTGTTGTCATAATAATGACTGTAAGTGCTAATTTTATGCCATACTCTAATAACCACTTTACATATTCTGCCTACTTTAATTGTCATATCAACAATCAAGATACTATTATTCCCATTCTAGAAAAAAAATCCAAGACTGAGTTGTTAAAAAATTTAACTTAATTAGCTAGCGAACAGTGAAGACTAGCTATCAATTCAGATCTCAGTGGTATTTTTCAGTAGCTACAATGCCCTCCTCTGTGTACCTACTTATAATTGCTTGCCCTTAAGGTCCTAAAGGATAAAAATAATGCCTTATTCATCTATGAACCTGCAGGGCCTAGTAAAAACCCACAGAAAACAATGTAATGTGTATTGAATGGATACATGGACGAATTCACGAAGGTCGTGTGATGTTGGACAAATGTTATTTGGCTTTGACTCTACACGTGGATTATTTCCTGGTTGTTCATTCCTCCTATTGACCCTGCTGTTTCATGTGGATTAGTGCAATAGCTAGAACTGGTTCAATAATTTGTGGACCCACTGTAAAATGAAAATGCAGGGGTTTCTTGAAATTTTTTTTTAGAGAATTTCAAGATGGTGAAAGCAGGGCATTAAACAAAGCAAGGCCCTTCTGAGTGCAGAGCCCTATGTGAATGCACAGGCCACATATCCATGAAGCTGGCCATTACAGTTGCCTCCCAAATAGTCTTTCTGCATCCATTCTTGTCCCCATCTAGTCCTTTAGTTGTAGCAGACAGTGTTCTTTTGAATTACCCCAACTTCTCATTGGTTAAAATCCTTTTGTGCATCCCAAAACCTTCTTGATTCTTTTTAATTTTATTTTTAATTGATGTGTAACAATTGTACATATTTATAGGGCACAGAGCGATGTTTCAATACATGTGTACTATGTGTAATGATCAAAGCAGGTTAATTAGCATATTCACTACCTCACATATTTATCATTTCTTTGGGAACACTCAAAATCCTCTCTTCTAGCTATTTAAAAACATACAGTAAATTATTGTCAATTATAGTCACCCTGCAGTGCTATAGAACACTAAACATACTCCTCTTATCTAGTTGAATTTTGTATCTATTAACCAACCCCTCTCTGTAGGAAGGACTGATGTGTTATACAACGCTGAAATGTTGCAGGTGTCTGTTTTCATGATTGGGTAGCAAGATCTGCATCACTTATCTTAATTCTACTTTTGTGGCATTTGCCTTGAAAGGCTGAAGATGATGAATGGGAAGTGTGCCCAAGTTCAAGTGTACTGTGCCCTGTGATTTGTATTCATATTTTGTGTTGTGTAACTCAGACTGATGAGGTGCACTTGGCCCAAGTGAAGTAGTTTCCATCATAAACCTGGAAAAGTTCCTGTTTTAAGGCTGGGCCTAGAGAAGATCAGTTCTGCTTCTAAAAAGTCTGATGTGTCTTTATGCAGACATTGTTTTCTGCAACAGTATGGTCACTGATGAGGCACTTGAGGATGGAAATCTTAAATCTTCCTTGAAGAATGTGGCTAACCTCTTCGCTGTGTCCTGCCTATACTGACCTAATTTTTACTTTTTAATTGAGCAGACCTTGATTGATTTACTCTGGTGTGGTCTGTGCCTGGTCTTTCTGTCTCTCTGCCTCATTATTGATCCATCAGCATAGTGGCCACACAGGCGGTCATCCTGAGACACTAAAGAGACTCAGCTGCATGGACTGAAATTATCCTGGAGGACTACTTCCGCAGGATCTTTCAGCCACAGTACTGGGCATGGCAACAAAGTTGGAGACCTCCTAGGGTTATTTTCACTTTGATGAATATTCTCGTATAAACATGAGAGTAGAATTGGAAATGGTTCAGTGAAAAGTACATTGAACATGGTTGGCATAAAGAATGGCATTCCAGAACTGGCTTTGTCATATACTAGTAGTTCATAGTTTCCCTATCATTAAAAGAAGACTGAATCTTCCTATGTTTGAAAAGAGGAAGATGGCACTCACATCAAAAGGTTATCAAGATGTTTAAATGAGATGATAAATTAGAAAGAGACATATGAACTATTAAGTATTGTATATATATGAGAGAAAATTGATATATGGCCACTATCATCAGTCTTTACAATTCTGGTTATTTATGAGGACTGTGTGGACAAATGAACATTTCCGATGTAATAAACAAATGGGGATCAAACTAAAACAATTTTAGGTCAGAAAAAATCTTTTCTCCACCACATGGCTTCTAGATTCTGCCTGTGCCAATTTTCTTTAATTCCCTCCAAATGCTTTTAGATAAGTGTTTTTCCTAGATACTATCTATTCTAACTCATTCTCATTCATGAGAATGGTAGTACATTTTATGTCTCATCTGGTAGTACATTTTATGTCTGAAATGCCTTCAACATCTAACATTATTGGTATAATCTTGCAATGATTATTTTGGTAACCATGGCTTATCTGCAGCCTGGAGACCTCTGAGAAGCCCCTACACATGCTGTTAGCCTCCAGATGCCAGAAAGCGGAAACAGCAGTGTCATGAATAAAGCGGTGGGTATTTGGGGTGGGATGGGGTGGGAGGCAGCTAGATACCAAAACAAAAGGCAGAGGTGGTATTTGTTGCTTTTGTAAGCATCTTCTTTGTAACAACAGGTGCACAGTAGATCTTAAGATATTTTGTTGAACATCACACACCAGGGCCTGTCGTGGGGTGGGGGGTTGGGGGAGGGATAGCATTAGGAGAAATACCTAATGTAAATGACGAGTTAATGGGTGCAGCAAACCAACACGGCACATGTATACATATGTAACAAACCTGCACATTGTGCACATGTACCCCAGAACTTAAAGTATAAAAAAAAGATGTTTTGTTGAATTAAAATATATGTTCTTGATGTTCTGCGGAAGCAGATGAGTAGTATGAGTATGTTGATATAGGAGTTAAGAAGAAATTTCTTAGGTAGATAGTGAGGGTATGGAAGTCTTCATTAAGGTTTCCCTTTTAATGAAGAGCATCCCCAAATTATTTTCCTTTCTAACAAGGGCAGCCTGTAAAATCCAGCTGCAGACACAGATGCTGGCAAGTTGTGCCAATCATGTTCAAGATGGTGGCTCCATCTTCTCTTCTCTTTGTCATCCAAGTGTACAGTAAGGAGCAGACAAGATGGCACTGGTCAACTGGAAAGCCCATTTGCATAATAAGATTAGGGTGGGGCAGCCAGCTTTCCCCATGCTCTATGTAAACATCATACCTGATCGAACCAATCTGTGAGCCTATGTAAATCAGACACCACCTCCTCAAACCTGACTATAAAATCTGGCACATCTGCTGCTGGCCAGTCTTTTCTCTTGGAAGTCCCCTCTTTTCACTAAAGAGAGAGCTAGTTTCCTTTCTCTTCCTTTCTCTTTCTTTTGTCTATTAAACCCCACTCCTAAACCACTTGTGTATGTCTGTGTCCTAAATTTTCCTGGCACAAGATGACAAGCCCAGGTGTCTACCCCAGACAATGTAGCTGCTTCATATTGGGGACCTCATCTGGGATACCAAGGTACAACATTCATTGAAATGGTAAATAGAGGAGTGGACTCCAACTCTATCCTTTCATTTTGGAGCTCTCAGCCTCCATTTTAGAACTAAATAAAATCAAATCAATAACAGGCATCTGTCAGCCAGTTAAAAATATGGTTAGTGTTGCTGCTGTTCTTAAAGACTCAGATACGATCATTACTGGGGAGAACATGGAGAATCCTGGTTACTGGGCATGTTGGCTGTGTTTGAACCGGCTTCCTTTCAAGGAGGACTTAGCCTTCGTGTGGGGCTGGAAGAGGTTCTGGAGCAACTGAGGATTTCCAGCTGGGGCTAACCCCCGGGGTTATCCAAAGGCTTCTGAACTGACGCCAGCCTCCAACTGCCTGATGGGGTGTTGGCAACAGGATCTCCAACTTTCCTATTGTAGTTTCCTCCTTTCCTGTCTGAGACAGCCATGTCTCCTATCCTCTCTGTGTATGCAATGTGGGGGAAATTTTACAAAAGTAATCTTGTTTGGCAAGATTAGGCAATGTCATAGTAACTAGGCATATAGCTCAAGGGAAGGCGTACTTGTGATTTTTGAGGAACAGAGGGTCCCCCCCACCCACAGTGAGTGTCTCTCTCTGCCCTTGGCCTGGAGGGCACATGGCACTTCCAAGTCACTCTGTGCCCTTGGTCTGGAGAGCACATGGCATTTCCAGGTCTCTCTCTGCCCTTGGCCTGGAGACCACATGGCATTTCCAGGTCTCTCTCTGCCCTTGGACTGGAAACCGCATGGTGTTTCAAGGTTAACAGTGCCACCTAGTGGAATAGGGATCCTTTCCATGAGGCAGATTGTTGGTCTTTTTCTGAAACACCCTAGCTTCCCAATTCTCCCTTTTTGTGCCCCTCTACTAAAAACCAGGCTTTATGCTGCTTTGGTGAATGGGAAAATTCTGTCTTCAACAATTAGGAGTAAAATATCTTCTGAAACCAAATTTTAGTCTCAATACTGTCCCATCAGTAGGTAAATGGCCATTTGGTCCTTACATTTTTTAAGGCACCTATTCTGCCTCCAGTTAGAATGGTACTTACTTAGTAAGGGGATTTTAAGTTTGGAAGTTAACCAGAACCATTCTTGGAGGGTGAACACTTTAGCACAGGTGATAATGGCAGGGTATAGAGCTCAAACCAGCACACTTCCTTTATAAAGGAGGGAAGTGTAACAGTTGCCCAAGTGCAAATGTCACGTAGTCTCTCCTGAGATCCATTTCTTTTTGGCTGGGGGAGCCAGGCAGGTCACAAAAGTCTAGATAGTCAAAGGGAAGTCACAGGCAGAGCACTAGAGTTGCATGGGTGAGCGTGACAAATCCCAATTACCTAGTTCCTCTGGTTCCATGGCCGAGGTCACGCCTGCAACCATGGGTGGCACATTCAACACCGTGCCTGGATAAGCCAGTTTATCGATCTGGGTAGGCAAGCTGATCCATCAAGGGCAGGGTTTATAAAATATCTTAAGCACTGATCTTGAGAGCAGTTTAGAGAGGGTCAAAATCTTGTAGCCTCTAGCTGTGTGACTCCTAAGCCATGGTTTCTAATCTTGTGGCTAGTTTCTTGGTCTGGTTCCCAGGTAAGAGGGAAGTATATCTTAGGAAGGGGCTGGTATCATCTTTGTTTTAGATTGTGAACTGTAAACTTTTTATTGGGTTTGGTAATATGTCACACCCTGGCTTTGAAAAGAAGTTTATAAAGGAAAGAGATTTTATGTAAGAAAGGATCTTGTATGATAAATACTTGTCCTAAAGACAATAGTTGGTTGTTTAAAAGAAGCATGTTTAGGACAAGTCAGAAGGTCTAAACATGTTGTAGATGGTTCATGGAAGTCATGAAAGGATTATAAGGAAGGTAAATACTTGTCCTAAAAAGAATAGTTGGTTGTTTAAAAAGAAGGATGTTTGGGACAAGTTGGAAAGTTTAAGCATGTCTTACATGGTCTATGGTAGTCATGAAAGGATTAATAATTGCAGGAAAGATTTAGCCAAGGTTAACACTAAAGTTACTCTAGCCACCCAAATCCAATGCCACTTATCCTAAAAGGAATGTTACTTCTATATTGACATTTCAGCAACATCTGGTGGAGGTAAACCAGTTTTACAACCCACTGGAATGG
Source organism: Homo sapiens (assembly GCF_000001405.40). NCBI lineage: Eukaryota > Metazoa > Chordata > Mammalia > Primates > Hominidae > Homo > Homo sapiens. Next base: position 130,829,887 of record NC_000008.11, read on the forward strand.
CTGACAGCAATCAAACTCCAAATGGTGCTGTAGACAGAACCATGCATGAACATGCCTTTCTTCCAAGGACCCTTAGATTTACCCCAGGAGGAGCCCTAGCTGCTGTTCTTCACACAATGCCCTTTTCAGCAGGAAGTAGCCAGAAACCTTTGTCATCCAACACCCCTAACAGCACTTAGGGTTACCAATCCAGAGGGAGGAACGATACAGGAGTTAAGAAGAAATTACTTAGGCAGATAGTGAGGGCATGGAAGTCTTCAGTAAGGTTTTCCTCTAATTGAAAAGCAGCCCCAAATTATTTTCCTTTCTAACAAAGGAAAGCCTGTAAAAATCAAGCTGCAGACATAGATGCTGACATTGTGACAATCATGTTCAAAATGGTGGCTCCATCTTCCCTTCTCTTTGTCAGCCACGTGTACAGTAAGGAGCAGATAAGATGGCACCAGTCAACTGGAAAGCCCATTTTCATAATAATATTAGGGTGGAGGGGTCAGCTTTCCCCACATGATATGATGTCATACCTGATTGAATTAATCTGTGAGCCCTATGTAAATCAGACACTGTTTCCTCAAACCTGATTATAAAATCTGATGCATCTGTCCCTGATCATTCTTTCCTCTCAGGAGTCCCCTCTCTCTCAATAGAGAGAGAGCTGTTTTCCTTTCTCTTTCTTTTGCCTATTAAATCTCCACTCCTACACCCCTCATGTGTGTCCATATCCTAAATTTTCCTGGCATGAGGTGATGAACCTTGGGTATCTACCCCAGACAACATAGCCACTTCACTGTCATTGCCTCTTCCAAACTTTAGACTAAAAAGAGGGTGGGTTTGTGAGGGAGACTCCCTCCCAGCACATCACCTACAAGGTGCTGTTAGGACCAGCAAAACTGATGCTCTTATTAAGTCTATTTTGTTGCCTCCCTGAATTAAAAACATGCCCACTGATGAGTGGAAACAGGTGCCAGAACTCAATTCTAGGTTTTCTAACCTGAATTACAATGCATTAATGCATTCCAGTATTTTGCCTATGTTTTAAGAAGTCAACAAGGTGTAGGTAGTGTGGAAATAGTATCTTCTGGTGATCAGTTAGAATACATAAGTAATAAAGACTATGAGAGGACAAAACACTAAATGCTTTGGAACAAGCCAGAAGGCTTGGGCAAATAGAAAAAAACCACATTAAATGTGAAGTATGACACAAATCCAAAAGCAAATTGTGCTTATAGGTTGAGGAGCACATATTATAAGGGCAATAATGAGAAAAAATCTTAAGGGTTGTGAATGATAGTTGGCTTACTGTGTGTGAATCAATGATGTAATATGATTCCAAATGAGCTAATGCTTCTTTCAGTCACTCAATCATTTAATATTTCATTCTGCAAATATTTAATTGGACACCTTGCCAGATAACCCTAAGTGCTTACTATATGAACATGAGTAATGGTCCTTGTCTTCAAAATTTCCTATTTTAATGGAAGAGGAAGACATGAAAATTAGTTACTTCAACACAGTGAGGTAAATGCAATAATAAACACTTAAGTACACAGATTGGAAAATGAGGAATGGCCAAAGATGGTTTTGCCAAGGAGAGTGTCCTTAAATTGGGTCTAGAGAATGATAGGTTGGAATCATTCAGGGAGATGGACATATCAGGCAGGGGGATATATGTGCAGAAGCTCATTTGAGAAAAGACGTGATTTCCCATGGTTCGAATACAGCCTATAAATGTTGACCTGTGTAGTAAGGAGTCAGTGTGGTCCAGATGAAGGAGAGATTTAAAAATCCTAAGTAAACTGGTTTGAAAATTTAACTTCTTAGAGGTAACAAGAAGCTCTTAAAGGGTTTTTAGAAAGAATATGAGTTCACCACATGCCTTTGAGGAGGGGGAATTGAGAGTGGAGTTTAAGAGATCAGTTAGAGGACATCAGTCCAGAGATGAGAGTGAGGATCTTTCCAGAGTGGCAGCATTTGTGATATGGAGGGGTGATGTCTAATAACAAACATTAGCACATATCAAGTGCTTATCATATGCCAGACCTGTGCTAAGCTTCTATTATCACACTTGTTTCCTTTTATATTTCTACAGCATAGGGACTATTATTATTCCCTCCTTACTGATGAGAAAAACAGGGCTTAGAGAAGTTAAATCATTTTAAATTAATTTGATCAAGATCACATATCTGGTTGATGGAACAGCTGGGATTTCAATTCAGTTGGTTTAAGTCCTAAACTTGTACTCACAAGTATTGAGATATAGTGCTTCCCTACAAGAAATGCTGAGGAAGATGGGTCTCTAGTGACTGCTAAGATGTTAGGGGTAAGGGTGCCTCTCCTGTTTTGGGCTGGGCATCATGAACTAAATCAGAGGGTTGTTGTGGGACAGGTAGTTTGACGAGCAGATTGGGAGATGTCAGTGTGAAGTATTCAGGGCCATCCCAATGAAGATGCGGCCAGGTTGTTGTGTCCAGGGTTTTCTGTGCTACCTTTTACATTTTATCTGTTTTCCCCAGATACCTAATGTATAGGAACAACCAGCAAAAACTATTCTTGAACTATTGTGAACTCCTAAAGTGTTGGTTAAATCCAAACAGCGTGAGTAGCCTACGACTGCCAATTCACTACCGAGTGACTATCGACCTGTAGATTTATAATACAGCTGAGATGGAAGGCTGGCTGAGTTCCTTCATTTCTTATTGATTTCATTCCATTGATAGCAAAGAGTAAGGCAATAGAAGACTAGCCAATGATTGTTCTCAAGTCAGGAAAAAGCTGAAAAAAGCACTTGATCGCCAGCAGCAATGAACCTGGAGTTATATTTACTTTCATGATCTTAGTTAATTTGATTACAAACTCTTCCTGAAGACCTCCAAACAGAATCCAGAACTAAGCTTCTCTCATAAGAAGGAGAGAGGGAATAGGAATCAACATATATTGAGTACCTGCTATGTGCCAGGCAAATAACAGCCTCACAGCAGCCCTAGGGCAATGCTATGAAATGAATTGTCTCCCCTCAAATTCATATGACTTTGCATATGCAACAGAGTCTAGATTTGAAGCCAAAGACCCAGCTTATTCCGTTAATGTTGTGTCTGCCTTTAATTCCATAAATTGTAGATGGTTTTACTTTTATTTTTACTCTAAAGGTGGCTTATTTTGTTCATACATATCTTTGCCCTCTTTTGTGTTCATTTTTGCATGGCCATGATATATCCATGGCCACTAACCATCTTACCTAATTTGAAAATGTTTTGAGTTTCTTTGAACCCTTGGAATATGGTGGAATGTTATTCAGTATGATTTAAAAGCGGTGCACACAGTACTTAAAAAGTGGACTTTGGAGTCAAAAAGACCCAAGTTTGAATACGGATCTGTTATTTACTGGCCGTGTGAACCTGGGTAATTGCTAACTTTTCTTAGCCTTTGTTCTTCAGAATGTTACTCTGAAGATTAAATAAAGCACACAAAATGCTTGATATACATGTAAATTAGACATTAGTATCTGAAGTTTATAAAGAACTCTTACATCCTGGCTATTGTGAATAATGCTGCAATGAACATGAGAGAGCAATCTGAAATTATTCTTCAGTGGATAAATGGAAAAAGAAAATGTGGTATACGAACACAATGGAATACTATTTAGCATTAAAACAGAAGGAAACCCTGCCACTTGCTACCACATGGATGAACCTGGATGACATTATGTTAATGAAATGAGCCAGGCTAGAATCTGGATCTGGGACTTCCCAGCCTCCAGAACTGTGGGAAATAAATTTCTGATATTTATACTAGTCTGTGGTATTTTGGTTATTGGCCAACTGAGCTGACTAATATAGACAGATGATATATATGTCACTTTACCTATGAGCAAACTGAGCACAGGGTCACTACTGGTAGGCCTACTCTTGTTGACAAAACTGCATGTTATCATTTATATATGGAGTCTAAGAATTTTGAACTCATAGAAGCAGATAGTAAAATTATGGTTACCAGAGACTTGAGGTGTGTGTGTGTGACATGAAATTGAGGAGCTTTTAGTCAAAGGATACAAAATTTTAGTTAGACAAGAGAAATAAATTCAAGAGATCGATTGTAAAACATGGCAACTATAGCTAATAGCAATGTATTGTATACTTGAAAATTGCTAAGAGAGTAGATCTTACGTGCTGTCACCACCTACAAAAAAAGCATGTGAAGTAATGCATATGTTAATTAGCTTGATGTAGCCATTCTACCACATATACATAGGTCAAAAAATCATGTTTTATACCATAAGTATATACAATTATTTGTTAATTAAAAACAAAAATAACTCTTACAAATTCAACAAGAAAATGATGAATAACCCAACAGAAAACTGGGTAAAGGATATGAGCTGGCAATTCACATAAAATAAAACCCAAATAGCCAACAAATAAACAAAAAGATGAGCAAGCTTACACATAATCAGAGAAGCACAAGTGTAAACAGTGCAATAAAACACACACTCAACCAAACAAATATTTTAAAAATCTAACAGTGTAGGTGGGAATGAGAGCAACAGGACCACTGCTTGTAAGAGGAAAATCGTGTCAGTCACATTGGAGAGCAATTTGGCAATATTTTAAAAAGTGGAAAACGCAGATACCCTACAATCCAACAAGAGTGCTTTTATGTCTACACCCCAGAAGATATGATCAATGATGGTAATTAAAGCATTTTTTATAATAGGGAAAACTGGTAACAACCTAAATGTCTCTATTAATAGGTCAAAGGATAAACATATTTTGATGTTTGTGTTATTTCATATGTACAGACAACAACTAAAATGAAATCCATATATATCAACCTAGATGGATCTAGAAAGATAATATTACATCACAACAAAATAGTAAATATTATAAATAATTTATAGATACAGACCTAGCTATATGTATATGTAAATATATGTGTGTGTTTATATGTGCGTGTGTATATATGTGTGTATGTATACATTATATATATAACATGGATGGGAAGGATATATATTCAGTACATTAGAAGTTGGATTTGAGGAGACAGAGAGGAGAATAATACTAGAGAAAGGAATTTCAACATCTGAAACACATTATCCTTTTAAAAATGCATAAGAAAATATGACTAGTTGTTAGCATTGTTTACTTCCAGGGCTTGGTTCATGGACATTCATATTATTAGTTCTGGGCATATTTTCTTAGCCTTCTTGGATTATCTTGGCCTTATTCTTTTCCTTTGACTGTTGGCCACTTATTCTGGCCTCAGCTAGTCCTGTGTGCTTCCAATACCTGAGACCAATCAGCCTGGACTGGCTCCTTCCATCACTTCTTGTGTGGGGTCTGTTTACCCCAGCAGCTGTGAAAGGGTCCAAGTGATGTCATCAGAAAGTGCATGCAAAAAGGGAACTCTTGCCAATGGGAGAGACAGGGAAGGAGCCAGCAGACATATTTTTCTGCCTTCCTCTGTCCTGAGACACTTTTTCCCACCTTAGAGCCTGCCCAGAGGCATTTCAAATGGCTCTGCGAGTGGATTTTCCAAGGCACCAGCTGAATCTCTTCAGAGCCCATGTTGCCAGCAAAATGTAGTGGTAGCTTGCATTCGCCTCTCATCCTTTTCTTCCTCACTTCTCTTTTCCCTCACTTTCACTGCCTTGGGGTTTCATTAGCCTTGCCTTGGGCTGTTTTTCTCTAAGGAGTCTGGGTAAGATATTCTTTTTTGTACTTTTCTATATTTCAGCAGTAATACGTTTGTCCCTTGGTATCAGCCCTGTGGATACCAAAATCCATGCATGTTCAAGTCCCTTATATAAAATGTCATAATTTTGCATATAACCTATACATATCCCCCCCATGCTTTAAATCATCCTTAGATTACTTATAAAACCTAATACAATGTAAATGCTATGTAAATAGTTGTTAAACTATACTGTTTTTGTTTGTAATATTTTTAATTTTTTTTAAAGTATTTTCAATCTGAAGTTAGTTGAATCCACAATGCTGTGGATATGGAGGTCCAACTGTACGATGCAATGGGAGAGCATGAGGGCTTAATACACAGTGGCTGCTATTATTAATATTGCTACAGCCAAATTACAAACAGATCCTACAAGTGTTGAAGCCACTAAATTTGAAGAAATCATAAGTGATCAGACTTGGAGGAGACCTGAGCTACTATTCAGTCCAAACTTTGATTAATTCATCTGTAATTCATATAAATGATACCACTGAAAAGTCAGGATTTTTGCTTGGACTTGTAAACTACAGAATGCCTGATTTGAGATATAAGTCAATATCCAATCAGGCCTTAAGTTTTAGTAATGCAGCGGGCATCATTTTCCCAACAATTCCACTTCCCACAGGAAGTTGAGCACACTTTGGACTCACGGTGGTGGGCACTTACTCTCCACTGTGGTTGAGGTTGTCATAACGCAGAAAGAGGCCTGCGTAGACGGTCTCAGTGAGCAGGGCATAGATGGCAATCATGATCAGCAGCACTGCCAGCTTCAGGACGGAGTTCAGCCGGAGGAAAACTGCACAGGTCACCATGGCCAACACCCCCGTGAAGACAAAGTACTGGAAACAGAGAATGCAGGTGGTCAGATTCAATGGGGGCAGCAGTTCCCTCTCCTAGCCATGGATGCTAGTAGGTCTTACACACATTTGCAGAGAGTTTCCATTTGGAGGTCTCAAGGCCTCCTGAAATTCAACAGGTCCCAAATCAAACTCTTCATTTGCCTACTGCCAAGCCCTACTTCTCTGAATGGCATCACTATTCATAGCATTTCCCAAGCCAATAACTTTGGTTTCATCTTTGTTGCCTTCTTCCCTACACAGGCCATCCTAAGTTGGTAGATTCTACTTTTTTTTGTTTGTTTGAGATGGGGTCTCATTCTGTCACCCAGGCTGGAGGGCAGTGGTATCATCTCGGCTTACTGCAACCTCCTCCTCCCAGGTTCAAGCAATTCTCCCACCTCAGCTTCCCCAATAGCTGGGATTACAGGCACATGCCACCACACCTGGCTAACTTTTCTATTTTTAGTAAAGATGGAGTTTCACCATGTTGGCCAGGCTGGTCTTGAACTCCTGACCTCAGATGATCCACCCACCTTGACCTCCTAAAGTGCTGGGATTACAGGCATGAGCCTCCATGCCTGGCTGATTCTTCTTTAATAGATCTTCCCTTCAGCCAGCCTTCTTCCACACTGTTTCTGTCTTAGTTCTCACCAACAGCTCTAGAATAGCTTTTTGGCAGCTCTGTCTGCAGTTAGTCCCCAGTCCCCACCCCACACCCATATCGTTCTCTACTCCATATTTCTAAAGCACAGATCTGATCATGTCACCTCTTAACTTGAAGTTCTTTCATGGCTCTCCACTATCTCAAATTATATTCTCCTTTCTGAATAGTAAAGCTCACAAGGCCATCATATATCAGATTTCCTTTCATTCTCTAAACCCTTCTCCCAAGTCCCAGGGCCCTGTTGCTCGACTCTCATCCATATGCCTAGGGCTTACTCTTCTGGCAAATGTCAGCTTAGGTGTTCTCTCCTCTAAGAAGACTTCCTCAATATCTCCAGCTACGTTTGGATCTTGCTTCATTCCTCCACAGCACCCTGCATAGACCAGCATAACACCTATCACCCTGTATTAGAAGTAACTGCTTAAATTGCAAATTTGGAATTAGCCAAGAGCTGGAATATTAGAGTAGCCCTTAGGTGTCAGTCTACCCCACCAGATTTCAGCCTTTTATGGGAAGCTCCCCAGCCTATTCCTTCCCTTAGAGAAGTATCCTAATATATCATTCTGGATGGTGGGTTCAGACTCTGACTATCAGGAACAAAAAACAAAAAGAATAAAACTTGCATTATCAAAGGCCCATTTTGTGGCAATATTGTGATCTCTATACACATTTTCACTTGTAACATTCAAAGTAACTGGTCAAGATGGGAGTCATAATTCCTATTTTATAGGTTAAGAAACTGAGGTTCATAGAGCTTAAGTAAATTGTCCAAGATCTCTTGGCTATAAAGTGGCATCTAGGTCACCAGGATATAACCAATTCACGTAAATGGGACTCTAGTTAAAATATTGGACTTGATAATTTCTAAAATTCTTTTTGGTCTTGTTATACATGGCTGTTTGTAACAACTTGTCTTTTCTATTACATAGACAATTTTTGTATGGGCAGGGGTGTTGGGTAAGAATTTCCAAAAATGTCTAAGTAATTACTGAAGATTGTTTACAGATTTCTAAGCCTAGCTGGCTAATTTATGCATCCTTTCAACAAATGTTGACATTGACAAGTGTGGAGAGTGTCCTGACTGTGTTCTCTCAGAGGGCAAAGGCCCCATGCCTTTGTGGTACATGGGGTGGACTCATAAGTGAAAAAGGCATTTCCTTGCCATTAGGAGCCTAGTGTCTAGTGTCTCCTTTACTTCTGTCTTTTCCTTTTCCAAGAAATCCAATTATTTTCTGGTCTCAAATGGGATGATAGGCTTTCTTCAGCTATCCTTTAAGATCTTGGGGAAGATTTTTAGGTAATTCATTTTGATGCCTCTGTATAGGAAGCTGTGTCTGAAGTGACTGGGCAATAAGAAGTTCATTCTCCAGAGCTCATTTTCTGCTCCAGAGAAACTCTAAGGCCCTCCAGTTTGACAAAGGCCAAAGAAAGAGGACTAGATCTGAGGGGTCCTGTTTCATTGTTGCCTGTATCACAACAAGGGGCGGTGCATGGCTTTTTGCAAATTATGAATCATTTATTGGATAAAAAGCCATTGAAATGATTGTGTCCTTGGAACAAAAACTTATGTGGTCACAACAGTTAATTTATAAAATGTAATAAGCATTTATTGAGTGCCTATTACAATCAAGACATGGTGCTAGGCACTGGAAATTCAAAGGAGAGTAAGAGATGGCCCAGGCCTAAAGGAAGTCGTGGTCTAAAATGTAAAGCAGACATAAAAATACAAACAATAATCATGGTGGAAAGTGCTTTGCCAGCAATGTGACCAAATGCAATGTGGGTACAGAGGAAGGACAAAGCGTTGTGCATTCTGCAGGCACATCTGAAGAAGGCTATACAGGGGACATGAGTTTGAACTGGACCTTGAAGGACAGAGAGGATTTCACACAGTAGAAAATGGAAAGGGACGGGCATTTTAGGAAGACAGAATAACATGAATGCAAAAGTGTAAAGGAACAAGGTGTCAGGAGGATTGATTCCTTAGGTCATATTAGAGAATCATACAACTACTCATAAAGAGAACTAGTAACACAAGCAGAAGAAAAGATTTGAAGGTGTTGCCCTCCTCCTTTCTCTAACAAGGCTGCTGAAGGTATAATAGGCAAATATAATTGTACATTTGCACAATGTGTTGATGGGTCTTTCTCGTTTTGTTGCCTCAATCAATTGTGGCAGCATGCTCTTGCCTTCTTTACTCCTATCCCCCATTCCATCTAAAGGAATCACCCACTGCCTTGCATGGTTTAGGTAACTTTTTACTTTAAAGTAGAAAGGTGAACCTTTTGGAGGTGATATGAACCGTGGGACATCAAACAGAATGAGGCCCCTGGACAACATCAGAGGAATCTCCTCTGTGCTTTTTATACCTTGAGTGAATAGTGGGGGGTGGGACCAGGAAATGGGAGAACAACAGGAAGCTACAGAAGTATTATGGCTTTGTGAAAGCTTTGTGAAAACATTTCTCTTTTGCTGGGTCTGGACCCATAAATTGCATGTGTCCTGTAACTTGGGAAGAAACTGGGCTCAATGCAATTACTTAGTTTCTGTCAAAAAACAAGCAATTTTTGTGTTATATTACTCCAGGAACTTAGAAGGCCCACAGCTCCTAAAGTGTCCCCTAAATGGATCCTGGGTATAAGGGGCTCATAGGTATAGTAGGACAGAGTTAAGGGGCAAAACCACACTGTAAAAAATCCTCTAGTATGGAAATCTGTACTTTATTCTGCAGTCCGTAAGGAACCACGGATGAGTTTCTTGCTTGTAATGGATTCATTAGGTCAGTGCCTAAGAAATAAATTGCGGTAGGGTAGAATATACGATGTATCAGGATTAATTGAGAAAAGCTGAGGACTTAAAGACAAGATCTTGGCAAATATACCCAATAAACTTAGCAAGATATAAAAGTTGGACAACATTGTCTAGTTTTATGGGGAGGTAAGAAAGAGAGAGGAGTCAGAGGTAGCACTAATATTTCCACTTTGTATTAATCTATTAAGTAAGAAAAAACTTAAAGTATGAGGAAAAGGCAGTGAGTTCTTTTTTTAGGCCTATCAAGCTTTAGGTATAGAAGGGGTGATTCAGGAAGGATGTTTAGTGAGCAATGACATAAATGAGGCTGGGGTTCAGAAGGCAGATGGGGTCTGGAGACACACATTTAGCATCATTCAGCTGAACTTACAGGTGTGGAAGAAACCACTCAAGCAGAATACAAGTAAAGACAGAAGATACAGAGACTAACATTGAGAGCCTACCATGTTTGAAGGACTGTGGAAGAAGAGAAATAAGAATATTGATTAGGCATTTTTGGGGATGTGAGGAGGAGAACTAGAAGACAATAGTGAAGAAACATGTGCCCGAAGAATAAAGAGCTCTATATACAAGAGTTTTCAGAGGAGCCTTTTAAATGACAACAAAGAGTTTTCAAAATAATTTTAAACTGGAAAGCAGGGTGTAAAATTATATATATACTATGATTACAAGAATGCAAAATATGTCTACACAGACATGACATGGCTTTTGAGTGGATTATTTCCTTTTGTAATGTCCTTTAGTTTTATTTTAATGTGCAATATCAAATGAAACAGTAGGTTGAATACAGTGTTTTGGGGTAAATCCCTGTACTCCAGAGAACTCTGACTCCCATATAGTAATGGGGTTCTCTGTTTTTTCCCAGACCTTTTAATGATAAAAAATAATAATGCCAAGATTTGTATGAGAAATGTTAGGTAGTGAGCAAAGTTCCCAGCAATCTCTGATACAGGAAGCAGACAAGCTATGCATTGTAAGTGCATCACCTTTGCCTTGGGAAAGTATATAATGACACCTCAGTTTTTACCGTTAAAAAAAATTGGTTAGGAAAAAGAAGTCAAAGGCATTTCAATAGGTAAAATAAAATGTAGACAGGAGAAGACAAAAAACCCCTACAGACGTGGAGGTGTGAAAGAGACCAGATTCATCTTACATTAGATGAACTCCAGGTAAGATTGGTGGAGGGACCAGCTGGGTTGGGGATGTCTGTAAATCAGCGATTAAGTTGGTGGAAAGTAGATGTAACAATTAAACCTAAATATTTATTGGGCACGTATTCTGTGAATGTCTTTGAATGACTTTATGTGTTTCATCTCATTTAACTCCTTAAATGACCCAAGGACAGGTATTATTCTTGGGTCCACTTTAAAGAAGAGAGGAAGTATATGTAACACTTTTCTTCTTCTGAATATACAAGGTTTTCTTCTCTCAGATAGATATTCTGGCTTGGGAGATCAATTTCTTCAATGTCTGTACTGAAAAAATTGGAATCTCATGATATGACAAGGTGTTAAGGGCAGCAACAACTGAACCTGTTTCCATGAAACAAACAGTTTACAAACTAAATCATGCATTTTCCCACAATTGTTGACTGAGAACCCACTACACACCAAAAACTGTGCCAGGCTGGAAGGACATTGTCAATGCACCATGAATTGCCTTGGCAATATATGCACAATTTACTCTTAGAAGAGGAGGAAGAAGAATTATTTTAGACAATGATAACTGACGAGGGAATTGAGCATCTACCCACATAAGTCAGACAAACTGGACTCCCTGGAGCTATCTGGTTGCTGCCAAAATCCCATAACATCATGAACTCATGAGACAAGAAGAAAAGAAATCAAGCAGACAATTTTCAAAAGTCACTATAGTTTAAAGAAATCATCTGGACTTATTGCTTTACACAAAATCTGATTCTTAGCAACTGTAGCTCTTGGCATAAGCAACACAGTGAAGTGTGTCCAGGCAAATGACAGAAGCTGCTCTGCTTCTTCTGAGACCAGCCTAGACTCTGCAGAATGTCGAGCAAGGAGGGCATCATAAACCTGGGGACCACCACAAGGTGATGGGAAGATGGCTGGTCTGACTCTCCAGGGTGTTCACTGGGTTGTGTTAATTAGGGGAAAAGAAAATTTTGTATGTGGTTGGTGCTCTAGTACACTCCTAGTGGTCCTTTGATTCATTCAAGATGCTGGTTTTCCATGGTTGTATTTTTGAAAAATCTGCTGTTATTCATATCATTGTCTTTTACTATGCAATATGTTCCCCCCACCCATTTTATGATTTTGTCTTTATTATGGCTTGAGTAATTTGATTATGATGTGCCTTTGTGTGCCTGTGTGTGTGTTTATATTGAGGTTTTGAACCTGTGGATGTATGGTTTTCAACAAATGTGGAAAAACTCATGCCACCATTTCTTTAAATAGCTTTTCAATCTCCTCATCTTTCTCTTAGTCTTTCTTTTAGGTTAGCAGCTAGGACTCCAATTACACATATAGTATGCTGCTTGAAGTTGTCCCCAGTACTGCTTTTATTTTATTATTTTTTAATTTTTGTGTTTTATTTTGGATACTTTATATTGCTATGTTATCAGTTTCACTTTTTTTCTTCTGCACTATCTAATATTTGTCTATCATGAATACAGTTATAGCAATTATTTGCCTGGCTGGGTGCAGTGGCTCATGCCTATAATCCCAACACTTTGGGAGGCCCAGGCAGGTGGGTCACTTGTGGCCAGGAGTTTGAGACCAGACTGGCCAACCCCATCTCTACTGAAAATAATAATAATAAAAAACTTAGCTCGGTGTGTTGGTGCATGCCTGTAGTCCCAGCTACTTGGGAGGTGGAGGCACAGGAATTGCTTGAACCTGGGAAGTGGATGTTGTAGTGAGCCGAGATTGCACCACTGCATTTCAGCCTGAGCAACAGAGTGACACTCTGTCTCAAAAAAAAAAAAAAAAAAAGTTAATTCAAATATACTCAGTCAAATCTGAGTTGGTCTTCTTTGGTTGATTTTTTTCCCTCATTATCAGTCATATTTTCCTCCTCCTTTTGATGCCAGTAATCTTTGATTGGGTGCCAGACATTGTGTATTTACCTTGTTAAATCCTAGATATTTTTGTATTCCTATACATATTCTTGAAATTTATTCTAGGACACATATTAAATTATTTTAAAAGGTTTGATCTCTTTGGATCTAACTTTTAAGATTTTAAAGGAAGGATCAGAGCAGCATATGATGTAGAAACAGTGATTTTACTCTGCTGAAGCAAGACTTTTCTGAATACTCTAACCTACTACCCCATGAATCTTTCTCAGTCTGACTGGTGGGAACAAAAATTATTCTCAGCTCTGTGTGAGTTCCAGGTACTGATCCTTCCAGATGGTTCTTTTCCCATGTCAGTTTCCTCACATGCATGCACTGATTGAACCCTTTTCAGATCTCTAGGTTTTTCTCTCTATGCAACTCTCCAGAGTAGTATGTTCTGCAGACTGTAGCCACCTTGGTCTCCCAGGACTCTCAGCTTAGTATTCTCAAATCAGGGAGTCCACCTTGGTTTCCTCTTCCTGAGCCATAGTCTAAAAATTCTCTTAAAGCAATAATAAAGCTCAGGCAATCACTTGCTTCCTGTCTTTCAGGATTATTGTCCTTTACTGACTGATGCCCAGTGCCTTGAAAACTATTGCTTCATATATTTTGTTTGTTTTTAGTTATTTCAGATGGAAAGGTAAATCTTGTTCCTGTTAGTCTATTGGAAGAATGCTTCCTTTCTCTTTAAATATTTTAAAACATAGATTGTGGGCCTTGTCCTGTGCTGGGCCCTTTAGTCAATCTTTAATAGCTATACAATATTATCTTCACTCCTTACGTCAATAAATTTGACAGGATGGAAAGGATGTCCTAGATAAATAAATCAACTGTAGGAAGGATGGAGTGTGAATGCTAAGATGACACCATAAGGGTATGTGAGATGGCAGGAAGGAGAGTGACCTGAAGGAGTTGGGCCTGTCAAACCACATTATGGAAAAAGGGATGCTTGAAGGCTGGGTAGGACCTGAATAAATGGAGAAGAAAGGGAAGGAAATGCCAGCATGCCAAGACACAGATGATCACATCTCTATGGAAAAATGGGCTCTTCAGGACCCTTTAAAACCATAGCAAGCTCTGACTGCTCTTGCAGATACAGTGAACTGTTTATTCAGATGTGCCAGAGCATATAATAAAGGGGCGTAATTCTAAAGTGAGGGTCTTCCCACCGAATCTCCTGAGAACCACATCCAGATGTTTGAGATAATGACACTCTGGGTTTGTGCATGTGATTTGCATTCATTTCACAAACCTGTGCCTTTCTTTCTCCTTGACTACTCTCCAACCATGACTGGAATATAGCTTTCTTTACTTTCATTCCTGGCATCTTCACTCTTTTTTAGCATCTGACAAGCTTCGAATTTAGAACCAAGTTATACTTTATATCATACATTGTAAAAGCCTCATTTTTTGTATTACATCATCCAGTTTGATAACATGTTTTTGGACTGGATATTATTTCTCATAGGGTGAGGCAGAAATGTCAGGTATACATTTGAAGAAACTGAGGATCACAAAGATGAAGCGATTTGCTTGGGGACACATACTTGTGAGTATATGAGTGCTGGGGAGTTGGATTAACTCTTTCAGAAGGTCTGAATATCTAATCCATTTTAGTTTGGCAATGCCTAGTCAGTGAAGCATGTGTGCGCACATACACATGCACACGTATATGCACACACACATACATACATGTATCAGAATGTCAACTGGTGGGTCAGATCAGGTGGTTGTTGCAGCTGGTGAATTTGGCCTGTGGCTGTAGTTTGCTGACCTCCTGAACAAGATGACCGTTTCATTGTGGAGAAAATGGTAACATCAATCCATATTCATTTTATCTTACTTTTAAACATTTCTGTTGTTGAGTTGTATCATAACATACACGGGTATATTACGCACAGTGGTTCGGGTATGTACAGGTGTTTGACGATAACATACATTGGCATTACATGCTCAAAGCCCTTTTGTTGAAAATAATACATAAATCATAGCAGACATTTAATGAGCAGATACATTGTGCCAGGTGTGGCTTCTAAACACTTTATATGGATTAATTCACTTAATTCTTGTAATTAACCAATAAGGAAGGCCCTACTTTTATCCCCGTTTTACAGATAAGGAAACTGAGGCACTGAAACAAAGCTGTGTGATCAAAAATCTTACCCACCACTTTCTTAGGATTTGGCTAATCTCTGAGTGCTGTGGTCTTGTGTTTGGGGGTTCAGGTGTTAGGTCAAGGGTATACAATATTAATTCAAAGTGATGTGTGGGCACAGATAAATAGCTGCTTCATGTCAGATGCCATGTGAAGAGCTAAATATTTGCTAACCCATCTAGGCAGGCACCATGAGAACACATTGTTTAACTCCACAGTAGCCATGTAAAGAAGGTATTAATTTTCTCATTTTACAGATGAGGAAACTGAGGTCCAGAGAGGGTAAGAACTGATTCAAGGTTCCACTTCTAGCAAGTGAGGGGGCTTGATTGGAAACGAAAACCAGCTTTCGCCTAGCTCTGACCATCCAATTCTGGGCCACTTACTCTCTCCAAAAGTTGAGACATTCCCTAAGCCCCTCAAACCAAGAATTTCTCAGGGAGCCATTGTCCCACAGAGTACACTAAGCTGGGACTCCACTCATTCCTAGGTAGAAGGGAGTCCCAGGGCACATGGTCTGGCCCATGCAGCTCCTAAATGGGACCTAGTCCCATCCTGTCCTGCACATCCATTAGTAGAGTCTACTTTCTCCTCTAGGGACCAGGGAAGATAAAGAATAAGGTAGATATGGTTCAAATTATAGTATCAAGCCTTGATAATTGAATTAATAAAAGAAGGAAGGAAGGATAGAAAGAAGAAGGGAGGGAAAGAAGTGAGGAAGAAATAAGATCAGGCAGGTGTGGCCCTAACCAGCACTGAGCAAGCTGCTTTCTGAGCTCTAGTTTTATTATCTATAAGACGGAGACAGTAATAGCCTCTACCCCAGACATCTGAAGGATTTGATGATGTTATGCATATCAAGCAGGTGCTCTATGCAAATGGACGGACGGAGAGGAGGCTTGGTCTCCTTGTTGGAATGTTTCTGGGACCAATTCTTAGGCCTAGAAGAGACTACAGGGAGCCTTTTCTCCATTCATATGTTGGAGGGCCTTCTGAGTGTGGCAGCCTCTTAGAGAACAAGAATCTACCCAGAGTCCTAGGTATGGGGTTGGCTGGGGTCTGCTGGGACATGTTAACTGTTCTACTTTATGACCCAGAATGTCTACCCTAATATGTAAAGTTCTGGGTTGTGAATAACAGACCCCATAGGCTGACCCCAAGGCCCAGAAACAGACCACTGGCTCTGTGGTAAACATAGAGTAAGATACACATATTATGATCATAGGTGGCCTGTTGGGATGCCTACAGAACACATGGTGCTTCTGGCACTCTTTGTATCAGTTAAGTTTAGTTCTAATTTTCTGCCTTTGTAATTCCCTTCCTCCCTCTCTTCCTTCTTCCCTCTCTCCCTCCCTCCCTCCCTTCCTTCCTTCCTTCATTCCTTCATTCCTTCCTTCCTTCCCCTTCTTCCCCTCCCTCCCTTCCTTCCTCCCTCCCTTCCTTCCTTTTCCTTCCTTCCTTCTCCTTCCTTCCCTCCTTCCTTCCCCTTCCTTCCTTCTTTCTTTCCTTCCCCTTCCTTTCTTCCCCTTACTACCTTCCGTCCTTCCTTCCCCTTCCTTCCTTCCTTCCCCTTCCTACCTTCTGTCCTTCCTTCCCCTTCCTTCCTTCTCCTTCCTTCCTTCTCCTTCCTTCCTTCCCTCCCCTCCCTTTCCTTCCTTCCCTCCCCTCCCCTTCCTTCCTTCCTCCCCTCCCCTCCCTTCCCTTCCCTTCCCTTCCCTTTCCTTCCTTCCTTCCTTCCTTCCTTCCTTCCTTCCTTCCTTCCTTCCTTCTCCTTCCTTCCTTCCTTTGTTCCTTAATTCCCTCCCTCCCTCCCTCTTTCCTTCTGCAGCAAATACTGTTTGAGAAAGAACTCTGCCTGCTAATAGAGATAACAGTGCATTCTGCTACAGGATTTTACAAATAAGCTAGGAGAAATGCATAGAGAAGGAAGAGATAAGGGCAAATGGAAAATGGATAGAAGGAAAGGTGAAAAGGAAGAAAAGGAAGAGAAAGAGGGAGAAAGAAATGAGGAAGGGGTGAAGATGAAAAAGAGGCAGAGGAGGGGACAGGAAAGAGGACTGGGAAACAGAAAATATAAGGGGAGAAGGAAAGGCAGAAAAGGGAAAGAAGAAGAAAGGAAAGAAGAAGAGGCAGAAGAAGGAAAACAGGCCTCTTGAGTATTTTCTATGGCCCTTCAGCCAGTCTTGTTTATTTGGAGCTGGTAGAGATATATCTATGTCCAACTCTCACCAAGGGGAGCTCATAAATAAATACCTCTGGGTAGGAGCAGATATCTGTAAACACAGCTGAGGAATTGAAAGTCAGGTTCTTCAAGGGTATCGACTTGTCAAAATCACACCACAGCTGCGGATTAAAAAAAAAAAAAAAAGAACAACAAAAACAAAAACAGGAACAACAAAGTCAGTGTGAGTGCTGGAAATGGAGCAGTGTGCTATCAGTGGCTGGGCTTCAGCACGAGCCTGGGTAGACTGAACCCTAGAGGGGACTTGAAGTCAGAATGGAAGTGCCAAAGTGCCAGCTTTGATTTCTTTTATTTAAAAAACAAGTGCTTGCTCAGAAAGACCTTTTGTAAGCCAGTCATGAAACTAAGTTTAGACTGCTCTGTTGGCCCCATCATTTAAGGTCACTGGAGTGTGCTTGTGGAGCTCAGAAGAGAAAGCCAGATGGCAGGAGAAGAGGTCTTGGGTAAACTCATAGCCTGTCTCCAGATCAACAGCTGGGAGGACTTGAAGAATCTGAAGGGGTACATTTTCCAGAAAGACTCTTAGCACTGGGGTGATGGGCATTTCCTAGGACAGAAGTTGCTGCAGGAGATTTTGTGGTATTAGGAAAAGAATAACTACCATTGGCCAAATGCCTCCTCTGTGCCAGACACTTTGTACAAAAAAGCCTCACAACCACCTTGTGATGTAGCTGCTATTTTTAATCCCCATTTTACAATTGAAAAATACGAAACTCTGAGAAGTAAAGTAACTTGTCCAGTGTCACTGAGCTGGTGACTGGTGGATCTGAGATTTGAACACAGGTCTATCTGACTCCAAAGCCTCTGATCTTCCTACCACACTACTCACTGAGGCACAGTTGGCCTCAGAGGTAACCCTGACCTACAGTCATTGGGCTTACTTACAAATTCTGCACCCCAGAAATATCTAATTTGTTATCAAGACTTAATTTAAGGTCCTGGCTGCTTCTCTGCAGCCTGTGATCAATTGATCCCATGTACTTCCATTTCAGTTATCATAATCTATAAAATATTCATTAGATGATGAACTAAATTAGATGATAATTTTCCTTTTCCTCTTTTCCTTTATCCACAGAGCCTTCACTAGAAGGACAACCACAGAACTTAAGTAAGGTAATTACTGGGCCAAATTGGACAGTGATTTCAGGCAGTCTAGGGCTCCAAGTCACAGGCCAACAATTGTGGGAGTCTATAGCTTGGGTCCCTGCACACTTGGGGACCCTCCCTCAGGCCCAAAGGGCACAGTGATGGATTCAACCACATGACAATGCCTCAACTAGCCTCTCTCAACAAGCCAAGTTTAAGACCTGGAACCAAACAAATCACCTCAAAAATCTAGCTGCCTGAGTCATGGACAACACAGACTACTTGTAAAAGCACAGAAAATACCTATAGCTACCATGGTACAATTCTTGAGAAAAAATGAAACCATGACAATGTGGGTCAGCAAATTAAACAGTGATAAATATCATGGCAGTTGGAAATTCATCTGAGTTCTATGTGTCACGTGAAATACAAACTTTTAGAAAGTATAGGTGAGATACTCAGCTTTCCTGAAATGCAGTTTCCTCATCCATTAAATGGGGACAATAATACCTACCTGTAGCACATAGTAGGTGCTCAATAAATGGCAGCTATTTCATTTCCATTTCCCCCACCCCACTCCCACTCCCAGAGATACAATTTAGCATATTAGAGGGGCGTGGGTCATGGAGTCAGACAGACCTTATTATCAAGTTATTTCATGTCTCTGAGCCTCAGTTTCCTCAGCCATAAAGTGGGGATAATTAAACTTACCTCACGGGGTTTATGTGAGGATTAAATATGAAAAATATGTAAAGGTCCTCCTTCAGTGCATGGCACATAGCAGGTAGGTACTGGTACTTGATACATGGTAACTCTTATTTATGATGTAATTGGCTACTGACAATATGGAAATTGAAGGGCTTTTGGAACTCCTTTGGAGAAAATAACCTATCCCACTGGGAAATAGACAGTTTTCCAACAGTAAAATGCACAGTTTTGGCAGTAGCCACATCTTTGTTATCTGTCCCTAAGCTTGGGGCTGGACCAGGCACATAAAGGTAACTGGTACCAAGGAAGGGTAATGCAGGAAGCTGCAGGCTCCATAAACTTCATGCTCAACTGCACACTAGACACCAGAGGGTTGGTGGATGTGGGATGCTTACGATATTTAAGATGGCACCCAGGAAATTAATCAAAATGGATGCAAAGATGATGACGTTCCGGGCCAAATAGGTCTCATTAATCCAACAGCAAGTTTTCCGGAGGATGAGGGGCAAACATTTATAATCCTCTGCTGTGGTGATGAGGACCAGAGCCGAGTGCAGCATAATCAGAATGGAGAACTGGATGGTCATTGGCATCACTCTGCAGGGAAACACAGAATGTTGGGTCATTGGCATCAATTGTCTGAGCAACACTGAAATTCTATTCCTGGTCTTCCTTTCCCATCCCTTGCATCGGATACTTCTTTGAAAGTTCTGTTTGTCCAAGAAAAAGGTTATTAGCAGGAGAGATTTTTAAAAATTACATGCATCCCTAGAGCACTCTCTCTATTGAGAAACTTTGCAAAAAAACAGAATATTTGGCTTGATTTATTGCTCCTGCCCATTTTTTCCCTCTTATTAATTTTTGTCACTAGGCAATTGCTGTCATGGCAACACACCACTCTAGTTTGATATCAACACTCTGGCTGTGGGATGAACCCACATACCCTTTTCCCTTCAAGGTGGGTTTTATGAAGATTTCCCCCTCCACCTATCCTGATACCAAGAACTGGATTTGGCATTGGTTTTAAGTTGCTCAGGTTGGTTCCTGGTTTTGTGGTTTTCATGGACTATACCATAAGTTATTTGAGACATGGGTAAGGAGAACTCATCCTTGTCCAAGGCATCAGCATCACTCTCGAGTTTACATCTCGAGTTTCAAACTCTCATCAAAACTCTGTCCCATGGTAGCCTGTGTCAGTTGGACACCTGTGCTCGGTGTCAGGATGCTTAGTCAGTCTGTGATCTAAAACTCCATCTCTGGAGGCATCTTTAACTCCTGTCTCCCCTATCAACCTATTTATCACCATGCAATCTGCTTCTCCTTGGGAATTAATTCTTTGTTCTCAACTCTGTGTAGCCATTCATGTTCTACACTGGCAGCTCTAATTTTTCCATCTCTATTTCAGGCAGCAAACTGATGCAGGTGTTAAAGGGTACCTTGATAGAAGTGGAGGGAAATTTTATATCTGCTCCTTTTTCTATAAATTGAGGTTTATTCATCTGGCATTAATATCTTCCATTGGCCAGTGCTAAATAAATGTGTGTTCAGCAAATAAAGTTGAACTCACCTTCTTTTCCTAACACCATCTCTTACTATCCTCCTCCTTAAACTTCTTATGTATTATTAATAACACTAGTATAAATAATGTATCGAGATCTGATTATGTGTTAGCCACTATGCTGAGCATTTTATATATAATATCTAATTTCCATTCCTTAGAATGAACCAAAGAGGTCTTTTTATCTCTTTTTTTCCAGATGAAGATTCAAGGCTCAGAGGGAAGAAACTTCCCAGGCATCATACAGTTGGTCAGTGTTAGAGCCAGAATTTAAAGTCCACTCTGTTATACCGTTCTGATATTCTAATCACTTTGGTGAGTAATAGATCTCCCATGTTTGCAATCATCTTTTTTGCTTTTATGGTTTCATCATAATATTTATTTATTCAACAAGTCTTCTTCCCAGGTATACAGTGGCAGGCATCAGGGTACTGGGGCCAAAGACACATCTTCCTCATCTAGGTGATTATAATTGAGAGAGGAATATAAACATGCAAATGATGAACTATTATATAATATTCCGGGATCTATAAAGAGTTCTAAACAAACATCAACTGAAAAATAGGAAAGGGAATCAAGGGAGGCTTCATAAAAGAGGTGACATTGGGTTAGGCTGTGAAGGTTAAAGAGAAGGCTTGCAGGTAGGAAAGAGTGGGGAGCATGAGCAAAACATCAGAAGAATGGGAGTGACCAGTGTCTTCAGAGTTTCCCAGTAACCCAGGCAGTGTGGCTGTGCTCAGGAGCTTTGTCCTGTAGGCAATGTGCAGAAGGAAGTAATCAGATCTGCGTGTTTGAAAGACAACTGTGGTGGGAGGTGGAGGATGAAGTGAAGAGGAAACGTGTTCAGAAGAGTTAAATAGTTAAGGCATGAGTTAATGAGGGAGGAACACAGGGGAACAGTATGATAATTGGGGGGTGCAGGGAAAGATGTGGAGGTATATTAATCTGTGTTTTGTATGTATGTGTAGAGGGTATTTGAGAGAGGGAAGTCATTAACGATGACATTAATGTTTTTTATTGTAACTGGTAAATGCAGGAAAAGAAGCTAGTCTGTACAGGAGATAAGTTGATAAAGTTGATTTTGGACACAATGCATGTTTGGTACTTGTAGATCATTCAGTTACAGATATCTAGATGTCCAGGCAGTGAGGGACAATTGAGGAACTCTGAGGCTGGAGGGAATAGGTGGTGATTGAGATCAAGGAATGGAAGCATTTGCCCAAGGATAGTGTGTACAGCAAGAATCAAGAGGACCCAAGATGAGCTGTGGGGGATGCTAATGGGCTGGAAGAAGAGAAGACAGCAAAGGGAGTTTATGAAGTGTGGTTAGATAAGCAGGAGAGCAGGAGTGCATGGCATCATGGCAGCAGGGGGGATAAGAAATTCACAAGGAAAGAGTAACCAAGAATGTCAATTTCCTCTGCATGATGAGGCTACTTTAAGGCTGGAAAGTGACTCCTCCCACAGCCTCAGCTATTGTTGGTAGAGGTTTTTTTTGTTTGTTTTTGACTAGCAAAGTTTTGATTTTATGGATCACCTTGACAAGAAATCTCTGTAGGAGTTCTATATAAGAACAGAAGGTTGGTGCATCAGTGAGTTCCCAGAGGGCTCTAGGCAGATGGGAAACTTCCCTCCAAACAGGCTGGAAAAACACTCCCTGACAACACACCATTATTTCTGGGCACCAGGGGGAGATAAATGAAAGAGAATGCAGGCGGATCGCTTTGTCAGGAAGTCCCATGAGAGAGGGGGCCAATTGCAAGGCTCATGTGGCTCATTCACATGAGGAAACCAACGAGTATAAAAATGTCTCTTTTCAAAGTGTGAGACAGAAGCAAACCAGGGAAAGGCAGCTTTGAAAGACGCTGAGTTGGAGCCTCAAATTCTTACATGGCCACCACTGCCTGTGGACCTCCACATGGCATACAGGGCCTTGAGTGTCTGCTCTTGGCTCTCTCTCCTGCCTTTTTTTTTTCCTCCCTCACCCTTCTGCACCCCATGGTCTGGACAATGCTGAACTATGTGCAGTCTGTCGCCAGTGCTATGCACTTTCTGCCTTATGGGCACTTAACATGGTGTGTCCTGTTATTCCTGCAAGGCTCAGCTTTCCTTTGGATTCTTCCATGACACCTGGCATAGGGCTGAGTATACAGAAGGTGCTCAATAAGTATTCATTGACTTATGCTTTTTCTGGGAAGAGAAGACTCTGCTCCTCCCCTCAGCAGCCTTCACAGGGAAGAAGACTTCCACCTACATGCCCAGACTATCTCCCTGCCTGCTCACTATATCTCTCCAAGGAAGGAGGAAGGGCTAATCCAGAAACTATCGGGGGTGCTCAGTGGACCTCATTTTCCTTGGAGGGCAGGGCCATTGTTAAAGGTCAGTATATATGCACAGTTCAGACACTTATATTCTCCTCCTCTTCGATCCACTGAGATGACAGGGAAGCCAGAGCCTTGATCTACCCTATGGGAGGAGGGCTGGCCATCTCTTCTCTTTGGCCAGGGCATCTCTGCCTTTAAGGAAGAAAGCCCAGGTTGGCTTAACCCTGGCTCTGGCCACAGATGGCACCGTCTCAGGTCTGCCTCATTCACCTTTGACACTGGTGGAGTGCGTTGGTTTAATCTTTTGCAGCATCATAGTGGTAGGATCTCACACCAGAGTTTAACTGTGGGATATGAGGGCCAGCAGAGAAGAGATTCAGGATGGAGGCCATGTGGTCTCTTGACTTAAGCCACATTCTGTATTCCAGCTTTTATCACAGTTTTGCATAGGCTAAATGGGCAATTGTTTGGAAATTTGTAAAATTGATGTTTTTTTTTTTTTTTTTTCTCATTTAGCGATTGAACTTATGTGTAATCTTTGGCATGGCGGGGAGTTCATCAGGGTATCTATAGGGCTGTGTGGGAGGATTTGCACACAGAACTCACCTGAGTCCCTGACCCAGTTTTAAATGGCTTTCTTCTGGGTTTGCTGTAAAAGGGAAAGGGAGGTGAAAGACAGGCCATGTGGTCCAGTGGCAAGAGCAAAGTCTTATATGTTTGAACCTGTAGTTCTGAAGCATAACTAGTAGTGTGGTCATGGGCAAGGTAATTGATTCCTCTGAGAATTACTTTTTAATCTGTAAAACAGGGATTTTTTAAGCCTACCTTTTAAAGGAGGCTCTGAGATTAAACAAAGTCATAAAGTAGTATAATAAAAATTTAAAGAAATGTTAGTTCTCTTTCTCTATTCATCATGAAATTCAGGAAACCAAAAGCACTTTAAAGTTCTATGGCAAGGGTATTAATTACAAGATTAGCTTTTTAAGCAAAAGTACTGACACTGTGTATTACATTTCTCTGGAAATCTCTGCAGCAGTTCCTCAGCATTCATTTATTTCTTTACATGTAAACATTATAACATCAGATTGTACATTTTATCTAATTATAGAGCCACTCAGGCATCCAGGGGTTCTGAATTTGCTTTTGCATTGTTGGTGCACATAAGAGGCAAGGAAACCTTTCATTTCTGAAATCGAGTCTCAAAAAGAATGACTAGTTTTGCAAAGCTCTATCCAAATCATTTCTAGACATTAAGTCCTAATTATTCTCTGCAGTCTGTCTTTAAAATGGTTTGTATTGATATTGTGATTTGACATTTGCTGGGAAGGCAGGAATCAGTGGGGATGAGTGAACAGCCTATAGCAGCTTGTGGTGCAATAGGAAACAAAAACTCAGATTATACTGAAAGATGGCACCTGGACAACACTTTAGAATCTACAGACTCTATGGGTACAATAGTGTCTTTGATCCTTGCAGCAACCCTGAAGAAAGATATTCTAAGCCC
Organism: Homo sapiens; assembly: GCF_000001405.40. Taxonomy (NCBI): domain Eukaryota; kingdom Metazoa; phylum Chordata; class Mammalia; order Primates; family Hominidae; genus Homo; species Homo sapiens. The sequence goes on from NC_000008.11 coordinate 130,854,593, forward strand.
TTTCAACAGATGAAAATACTGTGACTCCAAAAGGGAATTTGCCAGAAATAGGCTTGGTTAATTTAATTTTTACTGCAGTCTTGGCAAGTGGGCATTATCATTCCCATTTTACAGATGAGGAAACAGAGGTTTCAGAGAGGTTAAATACATACATATAGGTAGTATAATGCACAGAAAATAATAAGACCCAGTGCCTGCCTCTTTCCCTCCGTCCCTCCCTCCCTCCCTCCCTCCCTCCCTCCCTCCCTTCCTTCCCTCCCTCCCTCTGTAGGTCACTACCTCTCTTTCTTTTCCCTTTCCCTCCCTCCCTCCCCCTTTTCTTTTCCCCCTTTCTGCCTCCCCCTCTCTCTTTCTGTGTCTTTGTCTCTTTCTCATCATCACATGCAGACCAGATACATTGTTCTATAGTCCCAAGAAGTATTTTCTAGTCTTTCCTTCGTTTACCCTTCTTGGAGAGGAACATCTGTGGGCATGTGGAAATTAAAGGAAAGAGCTGGGTAAGCACTGTCTCTCTCTCTCTCTCTCTTTTTTTTTTTTTCCAGAGTCCATTAATTTTTGCTTTGGGGGCTAAGAATTAGCTGTGGTCATATGAGTAGAAACTCCCTCATCTGCCAAAAAAAATCCATGACAGAAGAAATGCGAGTGAAAAGCACCCACCATCTGTTTAGTTTCAAAGCATCAAACAGAAACAAAATGAGTTGGAGAGGGAACCAGCACATATTAAAGAAAGCTTTTGCTGTGTCTGGGGTAAATGGGCTACCCAATTCCCACAGCATATGGATTGTCTGGTCAGAGTTCAGTTTCCTTCCTTGTCAGGATTTTTCTCCTCGCTAGGTAAGGTTGGGGTGTGGGCTGTATTTCAGTTATGGGCTTCACCTTGAATTCTAGAGTTGGAGACTCCTTATGACTAGCTGCTGGGTGAGGGTCCAGGTCTCTTCCCCCTGAACCCCAGGAACCAGGGCATCAAGGCTTGCTCCCCTCCCCCACCCCGTCACACCACCTAGAAAGAAATCCAGCCCAGGCCCGCTGGGAAGTGTGAGGCTCGCTTCTCGTGGAGGACAGTGGCCCCTTCTCCTGTCCAGTGCCAAGTCCAGATCCGCGGGCTCATCCTGGTCTTCTCCATCTCTCTCATCCCCCACATCCAGCCAGTCACTGTGAACCGTCAACTCTCTGCCCTAAATATCTTAAAAATTCTTCCTCTCCTGTCCACCCTTCTGCCACTCTCTTCTCCTTATTATTTTGTGCCAGATTTTTTATTTGCAGTTGCCTCCTAATTGGTCATCCCAAATCCAGATTTCACTCCCACCTCTCCATCATCCCCGTTCAGTATGATCCTTCTAAACATGAATCTGATCACATCATCTCTTTCATTAAAATGCTTTAATGAAGACTCCTCTGCCAACCAGTCACAACGCCTCAATGAACTTCACAACTCCTATCCTTCAGAATGCTCTATTTCCAGCCCTTCCTCCCCTTAATCCTTCTCAGTCTTTTTCCATGACCTGGTGAGCTCCTTTAGGAGCCAGGTGAGCTGTCACTGTCATCTCCTCTGGGAAGCCTGCCCCAGAGGCAAAAGGACTACTTTTGCCTCACCCCAACTCCCACACATCGAATCCCAGCTTACACCTTTCCTATCACAATAGTCATCACCCCATATGATAGCTGTTCAGCTAATTGTCTTTTAGCCCTACTAGATGGTCAGCTTTATGATGGCAGAGACCCTGACTGTATATCCCCATCACTATCCAGCACAAACTGTCACACTGATGTTTGTTGAGTGTTTGCCAGGAATGTTAACACCTTGAGCTCTAGGAGTCCAGAGGAAGCAACAGACACGGCCGGGCCCTTCTTGGCTACCACCTTCCCATTGACAAGAGTGACTAGAGGAGCCCAGCAGGTTTGGCTGAATCCTGCCAGGCCCCACCAACACTCACAGCTCGCCACCCCGAGGTGCCTTCGGTCAGGACCCTAGTCCTCATTGTCTCTTAGGTAGTCAAGAAACTCATTCTTTCCTGGTATTCTCTGGTACCCTTCTTCTGATTTATTAATTGGATAACACATAAATATCGACATACATAGCATATACATATCTACATATGTGTCTACCTTCGTAGGATATAAGTAGCTACATATATAGTATATACACCTGGACAGATACATATATATTCCTTATGTCTTAGTCTCATTCCACCAGATTATACAGTCCAGGAGGGCAGGGATTTTGTTCTTGTCATCTTTTTTTTTTGTCTTGAGATTTATTCCTAGTGTTTGGAATAAGTCTGGAACATAATAACCACCAATGGCTGTTGGTGGGAGGACTCCTAGCCCACATTTGGCAAAAGTCATTAGTAACTTTTTAAAAATGGTAAAACGAAGCATAAATAAAGAAAACCACACAAAAGTATAGCTTAATTAGTTCTTATAAAGTGTCTGCCTTTGTAATGACCATCAATTCCTGAAATAGAACTTTGCAGGGCACACCAAAAGCCCATCCATTTGTGGGGTGGGGGAGGGGGGAGGGATAGCATTAGGAGATATACCTAATGCTAAATGACGAGTTAATGGGTGCAGCACACCAGCATGGCACATGTATACACATGTTACTAACCTGCACATTGTGCACATGTACCCTAAAACTTAAAGTAATAATAAAATAAAAATAAAAATAAAAACAAAAGCCCATCCATGAGCCCTGTCCCAATGATAATCCTCTCTGTCAACCCCCATTAATCACTTTCCATTTCCATTTCTTTATTAGTTTTATCCTTTCTTTATAGACACTACAGTTTAGTCTCATCCATTTTTATTAAATCTGATTTGTCTTTTAAATCTTAAAATCTGTAACTTGTCTCTTTATCCTTTTATCTTCCTTACAACGTATTTATCGAAAAACACATGCCTCTGACCCGTAGCATTTCTCACTGTCTGGATTTTACTGGTGTGTACTTAGTCAACATTCTCTGTCCTCTATAATTCCTGAAAATTGGAAGCTGGAATCAAAGGCCTGACCAAATTTAGGTTTGATCCCATTGGCAAGACCATAGGTGGTGTGCGCCCCCACCAGGAGGTATGGCTGTCTCTCTTGTTTGTGTTGATAGCATCCTCTGATGCTCAATTTGTAGATTCATTAAATCATTATGGGTTGGAATATGATGATATTTTAATTCTTTTATTTCTTTAAAATGTTATAGCTAGGATACTTTTATGATATTTCCCTCACTTACTATTTAGTGATCTTATGGTGAAAAGCCACTGGTTTCTCTCACTTTTTTACAAGTTTTCCAGATAATCAACCATTTCCCTATCATCCACTAAACACTACAAACTTAAAAAAATCATTACAAACTCATAAAGCTAAATATATTTGCTGGGTTTTGATAAGTATTTTAATAATTATCCCCATTGCAGCTCAAATTATTCCATCTTTGGACAGTGGGAACTTCTATAATGTGGCTCCTGCATTCTTTTGATATGATCCTAATAGTGTTTGATGGCATCCTTGCTTTCTTGTAGGACAAGATGTTCTAGGCTCATCTAGCACATTTCCTGTTCCAGCCCTAAAATTAGCCATATCTCCAAAATTGTTTTTTAAAAAACAGATATGTTACTTCAAGACCATAATCTAGCCCTGAGGTATGCTCATGGATGCTGAGTTGGTCATTCTTTCTAAATCTCCCCATAGGTGTTTCTCCAGTCCAGGATATCATCTTCCATTTAGTTGTTATGTCTCCTTAGGTGCCTCCTTGCTGTGACATTTTCTCAGACTTCCCTTGTTTTACATGACTTTGACAGGTTTGAGGAATACTGGTGAGGTGTTTTGTAGACTGTCCCTCAATTGAGATTTGTCTGAAATTTTCTTCATGATTACATTACGGGTTTGGGGAGGAAGACCACAGAGGTTATATGCCATACTTACTAGATCCCATTAACATAACTTATCACTGTTGGTATTAATCTTTATCCCCTGGCTGAGGTAGTGCTTGTGAGGTTTCTCCATATTTGCCCCCTGTACATAGTTTACTCTTTGGAAGAAAGTCACTTTTGCTGTTGCCCATACTTAAGGAGTGGGGAATTAAATTCCTCCTCACTGAGGATGAATTATCTTCATAAAATATGTAGACTTTCTCTGCATGGGAGACATATCATTAATTTATATTAGTATGAACTTGTGGATATTTATTTTATATTGTGGATTATAAATAAATATTACATTGTTTATTTTGTTGCTCAATTTATTCCAGCTTTGGCCCTCGGGGGCTCTTTTGTTGGTTCCTGTGTCCCTTTGAAATACTCCCATTATCATGTATATGTGTGTGTGTGTGTGTGTGTGTGTGTGTATGCATGTGTATGTATGTATGTTTTAGCACATTCTTATTTTCTGGCCCTACAAGATCGCCAAGGCTAATCTTGTATATTTCCTGTCTCACTGTTAGACTCAGACAGTTCTCCAAGGAGCCCTGGTTCCTTTTATTGGATATCGGCATTAGAAACCAAGATGTGAGTGGTAGATGTGCTCATTACCACTGAGGTGTCATTGCTTCCAGGCCCTCTCCACTGACAGAGGAAGGAAATGTATGTATACATTCTAACCTGTGCATATAAACATATCTATAAATATTCCTACATGTAACCATCTCTATCTATATTAAGCTATACATGAGTTCATATGGATGTCTCCAACTCTAATCCATTACCACCAGGATATTTCTAACTTTCTCCCTTCATTTGCATGTAAACTTCCATTCCAACAATGAGAAAACTGACTCCCACCATCTGCCATCCACTTACACAATTGTTTAGTTCCAGTATACCTATATAGGTGTTGCAAATTCTTAACCCATGCCTCAATGGGAAATTCCTATATCAACTACAGCACAGTGCTTAAGTGCAGTTTCTCTTGCCTTTAATCCTACAGACTTCTCTCATTTTCAAAGCTACTTAGTACACCATTTTACTCCCCACATCCCCTTCAGGGAGGTTGCTTCATACACTTTTAATACAGTTAGATTCTTTTGTCACAGTCTGATTCCATCATGGGATCCCCTAAACTCCTAAATAAAATGTTTTAAAGCCTGTATATATTAAAGTTCATTCTCTGTGCTGTAAAGTTTTATAAGTTTTGATAAATGCATGGTGTCAGGTATATACCATTACAGTATACTGAATGCACTACCCTAAAAAATATGCTGGACTTCATCTCTTTTATTCTCCTTTCCCTCATTCCCCAAGCTCCTCTCACCTAACGATCTATTTACCATTTCTATAGTTTTGTCTTTTCCAGAACATTATATAAATGGAATAATATATATAAAGCCTTTCAGACGGTTTCTTTCACTTAGGAATATGCATTTAAGGTTCATTGATGTCTTTGTGTGGCTGATATCTTATTCCTTCTTAAAATGGAATCTTACTTCATTGTCTGGATATGCCACAGAGTTTTTGTTGTTGTTGTTGTTTTCTCCAGCAAATGGTATTGACAGTTATTTATTTATTTATATATTAGTCATTGTACTAGGTATGTAGTGGTAGGTCATTGTTTTAATTTAAATTTCCCTTATGGCCAATGATGTTGAGCATTTTTCACATGCCTATTTGGTATCTGTATATCTTGTTTGGTGAGTTGTTTGTTTAAATCTTTTGTCCATTTAAAAAATTGGGTTGTTTTCTAGTTGTTGAGTTTTGGGAGTTCTTTGAATATTTTGGGTGGAAATCTTTTCCCAGACACATGTTTTACAAATATTTTCTTCTGGTCTGTGGTTTGTGTTTTCATTCTCAAACAGTGTCTTCCACAGATCAGACATTTTAAATTTCAGTAAAGTCTGACTTACAATTTTTTTCTTTCATGGATCATAATTTTGGTGGTGTGTCTTAAAACTCATCACCAAATTCAAAACCAAAATTTTATTTGTGTTTTCTTCCAGAAATTTTATAGTTTTGCATTTGGGTATATAAACCATTTTGTGTTAATTTTTGTGAAGGTTTAAGGTCTGTGTATAGGTTCAAGTTTTTGCATATGGATACCCAATTTCTTAATTTATTTTTTTATTTTACTTTAAGTTCTGGGACACATTTGCAGAACGTGCAGGTTTGTTACATAGGTATACATCTGCCATGGTGGTTTGGAGCACCTATCAATCCATCGTCTAGGTTTTAAGCCCTGCATGCATTAGGTATTTGTCCTAAAGCTCTCCCTTCCCTTGCCCCCCACCCCCAACAGGCCCCGGTGTGTGATGTGTCCCTCCCTGTGCCCATGTGTTCTCATTGTTCAACTCCCACTTATGAGTGACAACATGCGGTGTTTGGTTTTCTGTTCCCGTATTAGTTTGCTGAGAATTGGGCATCCAATTTTATCAGTACCATTAGTTAAAAAGAATATCCTTTCTCCATGGAATTTTCTTAACATCTTTGCTACAAATCAATTGATTATATTTGTGTGGGTGTATTTTGGGGCTTTTCTTTCTGTTCTATTGAGCGATGTGTTTATTCTTTCTTTAGCATCATACTGTAGCTTTATAGTAAGTTTTGAAATCAGGTAGTATTAATCCTCTAGCTTTGTTGTTATTCTTTTATGGTATTGTGTTGGCTATGCTATATTCTTTGTCTTTTCATACAACCTTTAGCATTGGTTTGTTGATATTATAAAACAGCTTGCTGAAGTTTTGATTGACAATGCATTGACCTATAGATCAAGTTGGGAAAAATTAACATTTTAACAATAGCAAGTCTTCCAATCCATGAACACAGAATATCTCTTCATTTATTTACATCTTTGATTTATTTCATCAGTGTTTTGAAGATTTCTTGTACAAATTTTGTTAAATTTATATTTAAGTATTTCATTTTTGGTGCTATTGTAAATAATATTGTTTCTTTAATTTCAAATTTCAACGTTAGATGGCTGATATAAAGGAAAACAATTGACTTTTGTATATTGACATTGTATTCTGTGACTTATTTGTTTATTAGTCTTAGAAATGTTTTGGTGGGTCCTTTGGGATTTTCTGTATAGAAAGTTATGTCATTGGTAGATAAACATAGTTTTATTTCTTCCTTTCTGATATGTATGCCTTTTATTTCTTTTTGTTGTTTTGTTTCAATAGCTAGGACTTCCAACATGATATTAAATACAGGTGGTGAGAGTGTATTTTTGTTTTGTTTCTGATATTGGGGGGAAGCTGCAGTCTTTTTCCACTAAAGATGATGTTATCTATAGCTTTTTTTTTTGGGAGATATTCTTTATCAAGTTGTAGAAGTTCCCTTCTGCTGCTAGTTTTCTGAGAGTTTTTAACATAAATGGACGTTGAAGTTTATCCAATGCATTTATTTGGCAATTGATAAGATCATATGATTTTCCTTCTTTAACTTACTAATATAGTTAACCACTATTGTTTGATTTTAGAATGTTGAATAAACTTTATATACCTGGGAGAAGTTCTGTTGGAGCATGGCGTATGCTTCTTTTTATACATTGTTAGATTTCATTTGCTAATATTTTGTTGAGAGGTTTTATGTTTATGTTTATGAGATATTGGTCGGTAGTAACTAGATTTTAATTTTGTTAATTTTCTTTATTGTTTTCCTGTTTTCAGTTTTATTGATTTTTGCCCTAATTGGTAGAATTTATTTTCTCCTTTTTGTTACAAGATTAAATTGCTTTTTGTTCTGTAGTTTCCCAAGGTAGAAGCTTAGATTGTTATTAATTTTAGATCTCTTTTCTTTTATAATATATGCATTTAATGTAAATTTTCTTCTAAGCACTGCTTTCATGGCATCCCACAAATTTGGTAAGTTGTGTTTTCATTTTCATTTAGTTCAATTTTGTTTTGTTTTGTTTTGTTTTTTTAGACCGAGTCTCACTCTCCCAGGCTGAATTGCAGCGGCGCAATCTTGGCTCTCTGCAAGCTCCGCCTCCCAGGTTCACGCCATTCTCCTGCCTCAGCCTCCCAAGTAGTTGGGACTACAGACGCCGGCCACCACGCCTGGCTAATTTTTTGTATTTTTTAGTAGAGACGGGGTTTCACCGTGTTAGCCAGGATGGTCTCGATCTCCTGACCTCGTGATCTGCCCGCCTCGGCCTCCCAAAGTGCTGGGATTACAGGCGTGAGCCACCGCGCCTGGCCCAAAATATTTTTAAATGTCTCTTGAAATCTTTCACTCACGTGTGATTGAAGAGTGTGTTATTTAATCTCCAAGTGTTTTGGGATTTTCTAGCTATCTTTCTATTATTGAATTTTAGTTTAACTCTACTATGATCTGAGAACATACTTTGTGTTATTTTTCTTCTTTTAAATTTATGAAGGTGTATTATGGCCCAGAATGGGGTCTACCTTGGTTACTGTTCATGTGAGCTTGAGAAGAATCTGTATTCTTCCATTGGGTGGAATAGTCTATTAATATTGATTAGGTAAATTCAGGTTATCTATATCTCTAATGATTTCCTGCCTACATGATGTATTAATTACTGACAGAGGGATGTTGAAGTCTCCAACTATAATAGTGGGTTTATTTATTTTTCTTTTCAATTCTATCTGTTTTTGCCTTATGTAGTTTGACATTCTCTTGTTAGGCACATAAATGTTCATATTGCTCGTTCTTCTTAGAGAATTGATTTTTTAATCACTATGTAATTTCCATTTTTATCTCTGATAATTTTCCTTGTTCTGAGTCTATTTGGTGTGAAATTGATATAGCTACTTAAGTTTTTTTTTCATTAATGTTAGCATGGTATATTTCTTCATTTCTTTAACTTATTTGAGTCTATACCTATAGTGGGCTTCTTGTATACAACATCTATTGGGGCCTTTTTTTTTTTATCTACTCTGACAAGCTGTGCTTTGTAATTGGTATCTTGAGACCATTAACATCAAAGAGTAATATTTTTGTGCTTGGTTTAACATCCATCATCTTTGTAACTATCTTTTTCATCCATTGCATTTATTCTTTGTTTGTTCACCTTGTTTAACATTCTCTCTGATTTTGATTGAGCATTTTATATGATTTAATTTTATTTTTTCCTAGCATATCAATTATATTTCTCTCTTTAAAAACGTTTTTTTAGTGTTTGCTCAAGAGCTTAAAATATGCATTTTAAATTAATGTAACTCAGCCTTCATACCACTTCATGTATAATGCAGTTACCTTAAAATAAAGCATTACCAATTCCTTCCTTATGTCCCTTGTGACATTGCTATTGTTCATCTCACTTTTATCCATATTTATAACCACCAAATACATTGTTAATATTGTTGCTTTAAACAAAAAATAATGTTTTAGATCAATTAAGATTAAGATAAAAACATTTTACTTAACTTCATTTATTTTTTCTCTGATGCTCTTTCTTTATGGAGATCCAAGTTTCTAATCTACATTATTTTCCTGCTGTTTGAAGAAATTTTTCACATTTCTTGCAGGGAATGTTGGCTAAAAATGTAGTTTTTGTTTTTCTGAGAAAGTATTTTTTCTCTGCTTATAAAGGATATAGAATTCTAGGTTGATGGTTTTTCTTTTAATACTTTAAATGCTTGACTCCACGCTCTTCTTGCTTACATGGTTTCTGACAAAAAGTCTGATGTAATTCTTATCCTTGTTCCTCTACAGGTAAGGCAGTGTCCTTCCTTCTGGTAAGATGATGTCCTTCACTGTGGTATCCTCTAAGATTTTCCCTTTGTCTTGCATTTTCTGCAGTCTGAATACAATATCTTTTTTTGATGTTTATCCTGGTTGGTTATTTTTATTTAACCAAAGTATTTAACCTTTAAAATTCTGTGTTTCTGTGATTCTGTGGTTTGTTGTCTATTATTAATTTTGGAACATTCTTAGCCATTATTACTTTAAATATTTATTTTGCTTAGCTCTCCTTTCTTCTCCTTTTGGTAATCTAATTATGTGTATATTTCTTCTTTTGAAATCATCCCAGAGTTCTTGGATGCTTTGACCCGTGTCCCCTGCCCAACCCCCATTCACTTTTGTCTTTGCATTTCAGTTAGGGAAGTTTCTATTGACCTGTCTTCAAGCCTACTGATTATTTCCTTGGCCTTTCTGAGCCTACTATTGAGCCCATTGAAGGCATTCATTATTTCTGTTAGGTGTTTTTAAATTTTTATCCTTTCCTTTTATTTCCTTTGATTTTCTTAGAGTTTCCATCTCTCTGTTTATATTGCCCATTTTTTCTTGCACATTGCCTACTTCTATTAGAACCTTTAATATATTAATAAGTTATTAAAAATTCCCTGTATGATAATTTTAACACTGTTATATCTGAGTTTGATTCTGATGATTGCTTTGCCTCTTCTTTTTTTTGGTGTGCCTTGTAATTTTCTGTTGAAAACTGTTCATATTGTATCAGGTAATAGAAAATGAAGTAAATAGATATTTTCTGTGAGGATTTATATCACTCTGGCTGGGAGTTAAGCTATGGTTAAGGTTTGCTATAGTTGTATGTTCCAGTAGCTTCAAATTCCTCTAGTGTATTAGTTTCCCCTCTTGATATGGGCTTCCCTAAGTACTCTTCCTCAGAAAGAATCTGTGTCTTGCAGTTCTTTCAGCTGTTAGTATCCGTGGTTAGTATACAGGGTCCTTGTTGGTGTGACATTAAGGTGTGGGGAAGAAGGCTCTGTCAATCTTTTAAATTTTCTTTTTGACTTAAAAAATGATGTTCTTTCTTTCACTTTCTATATTTCTTAAGTAATTTTTGCTGCGTTTATGTGCTGTTTGTTCTCTTTTGCTGTCTTCATTTCTGAAATATATATATTTTAAAATTTTTATTTATTTCTTGAGCTGTCTTTCCAAATTTCTAAGTTTTTCTAATTTTGGTTAGGTTGTTATTTCATGTCTTGAACAACATTAAGTGCTTCAGCTTCTTTTAAAAGAATAGGTTAAAGTTTTGATATATTTTGTGAGCATGTCTTTCTGGAGCACTTTCAATGACTATAAGAAGATTATTCTACTTGTTATTCTCTTATTTTTTATAATAGTATAGTATTGCCATCAATATATTTTGTTGCTCATTTTTGTGTAAAACACTTCCCTGAACTTTTAGAAAGAGCATGGTTCAGAGTTCTAGAAAGAGCATGGGTTGTTTATTTATTTTTTTAACTCTATAGAGCTTTCTCTTTGGTTGCTTTCATGCAGTGTTTCAAAACATCATAGCTAGAATTCCTTCCCACTTTAACCTGTATAGCCCTTATTGTAAGTGATTTTGATTTCACTCACACAGTTCCTTTCAGGCCTTTATCATGAGAGGGAGATTAGATGATCAGTTTCACGAGTTCATAGTGTCTTGATGGTTCCAGCTCTTCATGCCTTTCAAAAGGTTATTGGATTGGGCAAACTCCTTCCCACTTTCATTTGCTTTCTTAATTTGGCTCACAGCACTTCTCAGTGCATATCTGTTGGCTGTATTGAGATCCTTTTGTTCCCCGGTGTGACATGCCCAGTACTTCTTTCTGCTTTCTCCCATACAGGTACTGATATCACACAGATTTTGGGGCTATTGGGGGATTGTTGCTACCCACTTCTATATTGGAATGTATGGGTCTATCACCCTTGTTTATTATAAATATAGTCCATGAGGTTTTTGGTTTTGCTATCTAGTTGGTCAGATTCGTAAGAATTCTGAGAGATTAAGAAATATACCATCTGTCCCATCATCTTCCCGGAATCCCCTCTCTCTTTCTAATGTCCTCTGCTAATTAGGGGGAAGGTCAAGCATGGCCTGCCCTTGCATATTAGTTAACTTGAACATCTTTCTTCCACAGCATCATGCTACAATCTTCCTAAAAATCTCCTGGGGCCCCTTCTCACCCTCAGAATCAATTCCAAAGTCTTTAACATAGTTATGAACATTGAACTTCTGCTGGTTCTCTTCTTTTTCAGCCATAGTGTCTACTATATTCTTGCACAAGCCCTTTGCTATTGGCTCTTACATTTAATCACTATTCTATAAACACAAGGCCTTTCTCACTTGTATGGCCTTGCCAGAGCAGTTTTCCAAATGGAATACTCTCCTACTTTTTCCTCTCTCATCTTAGTGAAATCAAAACCTTTTCTGCAAATTTTTCCTTGAGTCATGTGGTCAGAATGAATCACTAATTTTGATGCAAAGCAGTCTAGTAACTAAAAGCACAGACTTGGTCTCTGGGTTCAAATTTCAGCTCAGATATTACACAGACATGTGACCTGGGATAAATCCTCATCTACGAATGGGAATTGGAATGCTGCCTCACTCATCAGTTATTTTTGAGGCTTTTTGAGACAATCCATGGAAAAGATGTAGTACTTTCCTGGCATGTATAAGTGCTCAGTAACTGGGAGCCATTGTTAATGTCTTTGTCACCTACTAAATTATGTCTTAGAGGTTACAGAACCTCTTCTTCCAAAACTGTGTCATCCTCAGGGGCTATAATGTTCCTTAGCCTATATTAAGTATTTAAAAAATATTTGTTGATATTATTTTTAATCATGTGAAAGGGGAAAACTCATAGTAAGTATAGGGAGAAGGCAATTTAGCTGAGAAAAGAGGCAGGAGCTAGCTTATAGTTTAGAGGAGAGGAAAAAGCATAGCTATTGGACTAATCCAGAACTAGGTTCAAATCCTGGCTAGAGCATCTATAACCTGGACAATATGTGTTTAATAGAGGGTTAAGAACCCAGACTCTAGAGCTAGTCTTCCTGGGTTGAATCTAGGCAGTAACATCTTGAACTATGGGATCTTAGGGAATTTATTTAACTATTATGAGCCTCAGTTCCCTCCTCTTTAAAATGAGGATAATCATGGCACCTACCTCATAAGGTTGTCATGGGGATTCCAGAAGTTTTTGTACGTAAAGTAGAACAGTGGCTGGCCACAAACAGGTGTTTGCATTATTATTAAAGTGTTGATTTTGCGGACCCAAGGAGCTACGATGCTGTATCTGTGAATGAATTATACTAACAAAAGCACAAGTAAATGGTGTTGAGGTTCTTATACCTATTTTCTGCATTCATGAGTGTCATGTCAAATAAGAGTGGGGCCTATTTTAATTTTGGTTGTTGTTTTTATTAAGATTGGGAAAAAGATTATTGTCTGGACAGAGTTTTGAGATTATTAGCAGAGTAAGACAACCGGAATAGACATTGATACTGTCAAACATTTTGGTATGCGTCCTGGACTCAGTTATTTTAAATTCTGATTCTTTGAAAAGTCAGCTGGCTGACTCCACATGAGGAATCTCACAAAGATATTTCACCAGATCAATTAGTTCTTTTACATTTACCTTGAAGAAGGAAGCAAACTTTGTATTGCCGTGATAAATAGAAGAACGATAAATGCACAGACCAAGTTTGACTTGAACACTTCATCCCTCATTTGAGAATACTGTAATTAAAAAAAGAGAGAATGAGTTACTTTGCAGCAGAGTGCAGTGTTTGAGGTTGAGGGAAACATCAAGAAGAAACAAGGCAATTAGATTTTTTTTAAATTAAGAATAATTCATATCTTAATAAAACCTTCACAGAGCATTATCCCCATCCCTCCTGCCAACTTTCCAGTGAGAGCCCAGGAGTAAATACAATGGGAGGGATACTTTGCATGAGCTTATCCAGTTCTTCCCCTCCCTCTGAACTAACATTATTTTAACAGAACAGAAGAGCGCACATCCATATATGCAGCAAATCAAATTTGCATTGACTTTCTTCATGAGTAAACTTAAGTCATTTAAGGATCTTGCACTGTTTCGTGTTAAGTTTGGGAACACAGGGAAATGTTTTACCAGGAAGTCTTTCTGCCTCCTTTTTTTTATTAAAAATAAATTCTCAGGCTCTTAAAATAGAAAATAGCCTAAGAGATCTCCAGCTAGTGTAGCCTTTTCATTTCACAGAAGAGAAACCAAGACTAATAGACCAATATGCTTGATGCCCTTCGTGTCTGCTCAAGGCAGCCCTGGGGAATGGTGGTAACTTTATTTTGATTATCCAGAGTACTCAGTAATTTCATTGTCTAGCTTTAAAAGCTTCTAGAAGGTCAGCACTCAATGTGTATTTGCCTTACTTCTGCCTACTCTCTTGAACTATCTTGGAGTTACTAAGCTGGGGAATATCTACTTCCTCCAGAAGGTGGGAAAGTTTTTAAAACTGAAAAAGACCTTAGAATTAGCCTAAACCAAGCCCCACATTTGACCTTAATGAGAGAGAGGACTAGTAGCAGGCAGGTTATTTTATTTTTGGGGGATAGAAAACTAAGTGTCACTTTGGAACTTTGTAATCTCTGATTTGCATTTCATGGTTACTTCAAACAAGAAGCTGGCAAATAGAGGTCTCACAACATCTTAGGCTCTATGTCCACAATACCAAGACAAGGTTTCAGTCAGGTCAAGAAATAATAAAATCAGTCCAATCTGTTGTTGGTATGGTGTTTGCAATAAACAGTTACATGATTTTTATTCTTTTCTGACTTCTTGGGGTGGTCTGGGTTTTAGACTGAACCCCACTTCTTAGTGTCATAGCTAAGGTTTGGAGAATATCCTGTAGTTGTTGAGCTCTCTGGATGAAGCACAATGCTGTTCAGAGACTGCACAGTTATTGCTTTTGCAGGGCAATGCTTTTTCTACTCTCCAGTATTGAGGCCTCTGTCCACTTGCTGGCAACCTGCTTGTTATCTGGAGGGAAACCAGGAACATGGCTCTGAAGAATCACTTTAAGCCATCCTCAACCCTGATAAAACCACAGAAAGCCCATATTATTAATATTATTAATAGTTACCAATAGTGCTACCCAAGAACAGGTCACAATCATAGAGGCCTACACAGAGCAGCTTGAAAATTAATTAGCCACAAAGCAGTTAATTCAAAGAAAGATAAATGTTTGAATTCCTTCTAACAACCAATTACAGAGGATCTAATTATTCATCCTTGGCTTACTGTTTTTTTTTTATTTTGTTTATTTTTTTTTGTTTTTTTGTTTTTTTTTGAGACAGAGTCTCGCTCTGTCGCCCAGGCTGGAGTGCAGTGGTGTGATCTCGGTTCACTGCAAGCTCTGCCTCCCAGGTTCACTCCATTCTCCTGCCTCAGCCTCCCGAGTAGCTGGGACTACAGGCGCCTGCCACCACGCCTGGCTATTTTTTTGTATTTTTAGTAGAGATGGGGTTTCACCATGTTAGCCAGGATGGTCTCGATATCCTGACCTGGTGATCCACCTGCCTCGGCCTCCCAAAGGGCTGGGATTACAGGCGTGAGCCACTGCACCCGGCCGGCTACTGGTTAATTTCAAACCAGCATGGTTGCGTAGATTTGATAATGAAAATTTAAAAACAGCAGTAATAATCATTTTAGTGTAGTTAATCAGTACACTAAAATTCCTCCTCCTCCTCCTCCTCTTCTTCTTCTTCTTCTTCTTCCTTCTTCCTTCTTCCTCCTCCTCCTCCTCCTCTCCTCTTCCTCTTCTTTCTTCTTCTTTTTTTTTTTTTTGATGGAGTCTTGCTCTTGTCACCCAGGCTGGAGTGCAGTGGTGCAATCTCGGCTCACTGCAACCTCTGTCTCCTGGGTTCAAGTGATTCTCCTCCCTCAGCCTCCTGAATAGCTGGGATTACAGGTGCCCACCACCATGCCTGGCTAATTTTTGTATTTTTAGTAGAGATGGGGTTTCACCATGTTGACCAGGCTGGTCTCAAACTCCTGACCTTGTGATCCGCCCACCTCGGCCTCCTAAAGTGCTGGGATTACAGGCATGAGTCACCGTGCCTGGCTCTTTTCTTCTTTTATGTCATCCACCCATCATCATCATGAACATCACCACCTGTCATCATCACTATCATCATCACAGCATCCTGGAGCTGTAATTGACCATTGCCTTCCCAATTCAGAAATCCTTTTCATAACATTCTTGATGTCTCCTCAAATGTCTGTTGATTATCATCCGATGACCTTCTCTGCTTTATCTGGGAAAGTGGGTTTCTTTTCTCTGGTCCTAAGCAGGGCATCTCAGGATTCTAAACACCCTCAAGTTGAACACTCAGATCCTGAGCCTGAGAGCTCATTGCTTTGCAAAGGCTTCCTTTCCATTATTGGCCCATGATCCTATGAAAAGATCCCTTCCTATAGATCCCAAGCCTGAGTCTCTGTGACTACTTTTATGAAGGTTTTTTACTGATGACTTAAAAAATGTGACATAATCATCATTTGTCCAGACTAAAGTTGCGTAAGATATTATATTTTCAATTTTCTTCAGATGGCAAATTGGGTGGAGACAAAGTACGGAGACGTACTTTGCTTTTAGATTTGTCACTATTTTATTGTGAGCAAAGCCAATTTCTTTGAACCTCACTTTTCTTATCTGTCAAATGGGAACATTAATATAGTTCATAAGTTTGGCGTTAATGTAGTTCATAAGTTTGAAGCATTCTATTATTTTCCTGTTTGAACTTCAGTGCTTAGCATAATCACATAAAAGAAGAATCTTATAATTGTGAAGTTGACATCATCAAATATAAAATGCTGTGTTTCAGAATGTGGTGCATTGTTACTCTGGAAATGCAAGGAGAGCAGGACTTCGAAAAGAAAATTCCTAATTGGCTCAGAATGATAGAGTACTGAGATTGATTAGTGATTCATTTAACTTCCTCTTGACTTGTAAAGGTCTGAACACTCTGGCTCATAGCTTTATTAAGTTAGTTGTGTGCTTATTGCCTGCCAAAGTTAAGGACTCCTTGTCTCATCTCTGTTCTGTCCTCACCTGGCCCCACTTATCCTTTTATATCTCAGTTGTGAGCATGAACTAATCAAGAGCTAGATTAAGTGGATTTGAATCCCAGCTCTAACACCTATGCAACCTTGGACAAAATCTTTAAGCTTTCTATGTCTCAGTTTCCTTATCTAGAAAATGGATACAATAATAGGAATTATCTCATAAGGGTTACTGGGAGAATGAAATGAGGTAATATATATAAGATGCTTAGAACAGTGCCTTCCACGATAATCCTATATAAATGTTACCTACTGTCAATCAATTAATTATACTTATTTTATTTCTATACTTTCTTCTATGTGAAGCTTGCCTTTTCAATGGTGTTGCCTTGCAGGATGCTGTCTTCTATTCCTCTGTACAGTATTGTACCTTGCACTCAGCGGTGACCCCAAAAGTGTTGACTGATTTTTCCACCATGTTATAAAAGATTCTTCTAAAGAAATTATGACCTCCTGTGTGTTTTTTAACTTGGAAGAAGACCCCACTCTCATTATTCCCCTTGCTTCTTGAAAGATTACCCACCACCGGGTAGAATTCTTAACTTTTCTAGGATCCTTAGGAAAAGTGTTCTTGGAAATGACCTGTGAACCCTTGTAATTTACTGAGCCCTTGGTCTACAAGAGAACTTGGCAATCACACACACACACACGCACGTGCACACACACACACATATGTATATAGATATATATTTTTTTCAGATAGGAAACTTGAGGATCAGAGATGTGAAAGAGCTTGTCATAGTCAGTTGGTGGCAAAATTCAGACACTTGGAACAAATTACAAATACTTCTTCGGAGATCTTAGATTAGGATTTGGAATATTATTATTTCTCAATCTTTAGGGTCTTAGTTGATTCAAAAAAAGGTCAAAATCTAGGATAAGGAATTTGAATAATAAGGACTAATATCTAGTGCAAGGCTGGTGCTGTGATACACGCTTTACATGAATGTTCTCATTTAACTATTGCAACTCTTGAAGAAGGTCTTGTTTATAATATCCTCACTTTGTAGATAAAGAAACTGAGGGTTTGAATAACTGAGTAACTCAACCACACCTTCACAGATTGCAAATAGAGAATCCAGTGAGTTTTGCTCTAGAATGCAGGGACTCACTGGCTACTGCTTCCTTGCTATTTTCAGAGTAAGGCTATCTTGTTCATAGGTGCATGATCAGATTTCTTGGGTATATTTCAGTGATGCAATTTATGATATACAGAAAGGGAATGTGTTAAAAATTTAAGCCTATGTAAATCTTGGTTAGAATGAAAGTAAAGCATATGGGCAAAGAATGGACATTAGAAACAGCCTAAAAATTAGTTTAATAAAATGCCACTGCTATATTTTCCTGATTGATGAATGGATCCTCATCACAATGCAATGCAAAATAATGAGCCCCTTTTTAGGCCAGGATGGGTGAACTGATAATAGGGAAGAAAACAAAAGACAGTAGATTTTATTTAAATGCAACAGAAGGAGAGTGACCACAATCTTCAAATGATAAACAAATCATTTCAAAAATGAAAATTCCTGTTTGATTTGATGAAGTTCAGACCCATTCCTTCCAAGGAAGTGGAGCAGGATAAACTTGTGTTTCATTTTGTTCATGTCTGGGGATTCTGGCCCTGAATTATCTTGAAAGACATATTCAGAAATGAAATCATAGTCATGAGGGTCAATGGGTTTTTAGATCCACCACAAAGAAGCTGAGAAACCCCAGTCTGATCACATGCAAAACAAATCTATTTCAGATTTCTTATCCACAGAGAGATGATCAGGGAAGTTCGTTTACAGAGGTGATGGACAGAGCTTCCAGCCTTCCATGTTTCCATGCCTGGGATAGTCCTAAGAACTCTTCCTAGGTGAGGGGGAGGAAAACCACAGTGCTTTCCTAGACTCTCCATTTTGACTGTAAGGTAAAAGGCACTGAAAGATTCTTACATTTCTACAAGATGTAGAAGATGCTTATAACTAAAACAATTATCTAGTTAATTGCCTAAACTGTAACTGTACTCTGTCTTTTTTTTTTTTGAGACACGAGTTTCACTCTTCTTGCCCAGGCTGCAATGCAATGGTGTGATCTCGGCTCAGCGCAACCTCCACCTTGCAGGTTCAAGTGATTCTCCTGCCTCAGCCTCTTATGCAGCTGGGATTACAGGCATGCGCCACCACACCCAGCTAATTTTTTGTATTTTTAGTAGAGACGGGGTTTCTCCATGTTGGTCAGGCTGGTCTTGAACTCCCAACCTCAGGTGATCTGCTCGCCTCAGCCTTCCAAAGTGCTGGGCTTACAGGCATGAGCCACTACGCCTGGCCACTCTGTCTTTTTATCAAAGATTGTAGGTGAGATTACAGAATCTTCTAGGTGGAATGAATTGTATTTGTCATCTTGCTCCAATCTTTACTAATGCCAGTTTAACTCACTAATATCTCTCAGGTATAAGCTGTTAACTCCTGCTTGAATATTTCCAGTGTTGGGGGAAATCAAGTCCTCAATTGGGAGCCCATTTCATTTTTGGATAAATTTAGTTTGATTAAAGAAAATTTTCTAGCACATCTTTTATTAGTATATATTAATATAGTTGTAAAAGAAAATTCTCAACTGGGATAACCTGTTCATTTTGCATTAGTGGATGAAGAAATTTAACCACTGTTCTGTTGTTAAATTCATGCATTCTGTAGCATGGCAGTAGCATAGAGCATCCTTAAAATAGACCATTTGGGCTGGGAGCGGTGGCTCATGCCTGTAATCCCAGTGCTTTGGGAGGCCGAGGTGGGTGGATCATCTGGGGTCAGGAGTTCGAGACCATCCTGGCCAACATGGTGAAATCCTGTCTCTGCTAAAAATACAAAAATTAGCTGGGTGTGGTGGTGTGCACCTGTAGTCCCAGCTACTCAGGAGGCTGAGGCAGGAGAATCACTTGAACCCAGGAGGTGGAGGTTGCAGTGAGCCGAGATGGCACCACTGCACTTCAGCCTGGAAGACAAAGCAAGACTCTGACTTAAAAAATAAATAAATAAATAAATAAATAAATAAATAAATAAATAAATAAAATACACCATTTGGATACAAGGCATAATTGCAATGAGACTAATTTTCAGTAATTTTTGAATTTCAAAATAGGCCATCTTCTCTATCTTGGTTCCTACACCAATAAAATTATTATTAAGAGCAATTAATTCTATGAGTGACAGGTGAGTGTGCAGAATGTCTCACTGACATACTTCTTCCCAAGCAAACTGACCTCTGAACAAATGTGGATTTAATCATGTTAAGTTGACTCACAAGGAAACATGCTAACATGCGTTTAAGATTGATGGGCTTCAGAAGTGCAAGGCTGGGAGGACACCTGCCCAGGGGTGACAGAAGACCCTAGGTTGGTAATACATTTCCTAATGTTATGTCCTTCCTTGATAGCGGGGTTAGACTGGGCACATGAGAATTTCAAGAAAAACTTTTAAAAACCTTCCATACCACCATTCTTCCAGCTCACCCTCCCCAACATCTTTCATCCTTGGGAGGAAGAACTCTTCCTTTCTTCACTGGTCCAGCCCCCCACCCACACCCCCAGCCATGGAGAAGCCAAGAGAGTGGTAACTATTGCTATATTCTTTACCTAGAAGTCCCTGGTTGTAGATGATAATGATGTCTACCCATGAAGCGTTACAATTGCTTCAGTGACCAGGTCAATGGCCTCATAATTCTGTAATTCTATATTACACTGTTATAGGTGAAATTGGCACTTCTGACTCTGAAAATGCTGGCTTTATGGGACTGGAACTGGCTAATTGATCTGATTAAAAAATACACACGAAATGGTACTTGATATCATTTGACTACCTAGAGGGTGGTAGAAACAGCTGTAATTTTGCAAGATAATATCAAGACAATAAAGGAGTCTTATAAGGCTACTGTCTCATTAAGGGATGGATTTCTTCCCGAAGCCTCTTTGAAACCTGTCCTTCACATCTGAAGGAGGAGGCCAAGATATTCATACTATGTTGGGACTTACTAGAGCAGTAAAAACTCAAGAGCAGCCTGATGCTATAACAGAATAAATCTTTAAAAATCATTTTAACAATAAGATCATGAAAATGACTAGGAGATATGTGATTTAGAAAAATGAAAGAGAAAAGCTGAGACCATTTGGTTCATGCTTCATGTTCCCATTTCTGTTCATCTAAATAAGACATGGAGTGGTTCAACAAATTCTGAATGTCCCCAAGACAAAAATGTGCATTTTGCTCGTTACCTAATTCCAGAGTCCAACATCATAACCCATCAGAAAATTCATTCATTTGCTTAGCCTTCTTTTCTTTGCCCAGATTTCTCCTTTATTATTTTATACTAATCATTACAACTCCAATAAAAGTTGATGGGATGAAGTAAGAAACATTTTAGAGTTTATGATTCATTTTTCTTGAAGTTTTTAAAGCCTCCATTTAACTTTGATTTTCTTTATAAATGACAGAAAAAAACTGAGAGACATTCTGGACATAGCTAAGAACCAATTGTACTGAGCCAAATAATTATCTAAAGATTCTCTTGTGTGGCAAATCCTTGGTTTTATGTGGCTGCTAACCGAAAAAAGAAATAACATTAAATGAATGTTTTTGAAAATACTCAGCACAGAACTTGGTTCATAGTAAGCACTATTTACAATAGTTATCATAATATAAAACTGGCAAAAGCTTAGTTGTGTGTAGCAAACGAAGCTCATTCAACTTCAGTTTTGTTTAATATGAATTTGATCTTTTTTTTTTTGAGATGGAGTCTTGCTCTGTCACCCAGGCTGGAGTGCAGTGGTGCGATCTCAGTTCACTGCAACCTCTGCCTCCCAGGTTCAAGCGATTCTTGTGCCTCAGCCTCCCGAGTAGCTGGGATTACAGGTGTGTGCCACCACACCTGGCTAATATTTGTATTTTTAGTAGGGGCAGGGTTTTGCCATGTTGGCCAGGCTGGTCTTGAACTCCTGACCTCAAGTGATCCACCCGCCTCATTCTCCCAAAATGCTAGGATTACAGGCATAAGTGACCACTCCCGGCCGGGTTTGATTGTTCTGGGAGGCTATTTCTGGCTTTGTCTTCTCTTGAGCCATCTTGTCACAAAACTACCTCCTTGATTGCTCAAGCTAATCAGCCTTTTTTGGGATACACAGTTCAACGGTGGTTCGAGGACTCATCATTCCTTCTCCCACTGGCCTAAGAAAAAATGTTTCATGTGTTCATGTATTCACTTATTTGATTCTTACGTGTTCATGCATAGTTAGGGTGATAGAGTTGCCTTTGTTTTCAGGCTACCTTTATCAAGATTGTGTCTGTTGCCAGAAACAAGAGGTGGATTGTTTGTATATGTGTGTGCCTATGTATGTGTACATGTGTGACATGTGTGGATATTTGTGTGTGTGTAGGGGGGCAGGGGGGAATGAATAGAGGATAAAAGAAATGTTCATGGTTTTAACTTTTTTTTGGTCTCTATGGTATATTTGCCATATGCATTACTGTATAACTCCTCCCTTGCAACCCACTGGCTGCATCCTTCTTGAATTTCAAACTATATGAAAATCAGGTGCTTAGGAGAAAGACAGGATTTTTCAAGGTGTGGCAGAAGTGGTAGAATAGCTTGGGAGACACAGTGAACTCTACTTGAATCCCCACTCTGCTGCCTTCTATTACTGTGGGCCTTGGAAAAGCTGCTCAAACTCTTTGAGACTCCCTTACCTGTCAAATAGTACAATTAGTACCTCCATAAAGGAAGTTGTGACACTTAAGTAAAATGAGGTAAAACATTTAAAATAGTCATGATAGGGCCTGATATGGTAGTAAGTGATCAGCAAATACCAGTTTCCTTGTCACATTGCTGCCTCAGTTGCAATTCATTGCAGCCTCCAAGGCACTTAAGTATTATCTGCATTTCATCTGCACCACCTTGCAAAGTGGCCATTATCATGCCCAATTTTAGGATGGGAAGTTCCCAGATCACAAGCCAGAGTGTAAGTTCCCAGGGCACAGAAGCTGTGGCTTTATGTCTTCCTATATCATCTCAGTATAAGATGCCCAATGGAGTGGACACAAACAGAATCCAAACCAAGCATACTGAATGCTCTGAGCTGTTCCTGATGGACTTCCCAAGAATCAATAGCATGAATGCTCTGAGCTCTGCTGGAGGCACTTCCCAAGAATCACTAGAGTGAACACTCTGAGCCATGCCTGATGGACTCCCAAGGAATCACAAGAAGTGTGGACAGAAAGACAATCTTTTGCAGGAGCATAAAGAAACCCATGCGTGAAATATCTAATCCTTGGCTGGCTTGTCCTCACAGGAAGAAAAGCATGGCCTTTGGGAATGATAAAACATCTATCATCCTTGAAGAGAGAAACAATCCTTATCTTTTTTTGGAAAATAGTGATAATAAGGATCTTAGAATAATCAAATCATTTAGAGAAAATACAAGCAAATGACACCTACAAATTTAAACACATCTCAGAGGCCAAGGTGGTCACTGCTTGTGCTCCAGTGATCCTGGGAGATTGTTGGAAGCACCTCTTCCAATGAGCTACAAGGCTGTACTTGCTTAGATTAATGACGGTTGGAACCCTGGTACCCTGGGATACAAGACGCATTAAGATTGGCCCATATGAGATTTATCTTAAAGAGGGTCTTGCCTTGTGCAGGTTTGGGTTAGAAGAGGATTAATTAGAAGGACAAGGGAAAAGAAAGACTATTGCATTTATACAAACTTCTGTTATATGAATATTGTGCCATTTAATTTTCACAACAACCCCTAGGGGCAGACAATCATACTCATTTCGATGAGATCAAGCCCCTTGCTTTGTATCACCCAACCGGTAACTGGTTGGAACTGGGTTCAAGTCAGAATCCAGTCTATGTTCTTTCCTCTGTCTTTCAACGAAGACTAAATACTGGTGAGCGAAATGAGGATTTTATACGTGTGTGTGTGTATCCATTTGAGTGACAGAAAGATATCAACTTGTCATTACCCATTATTGATCAGTAAACTAATCAACTGTCCTTTATGCTCACTTCTATTTCCAAAGTGGGACTTGAACTGAGGTCTAGCTGATCCCAAAGACTGTGGTCCTGAAGCCATTATTAGTCTCTTGGAGACATCTCCTCTAGACTTGTTAAAAGCCATATTACCCTTGAGTTAGGACCCGGGGACTTTTTGATGTAAGCTGATCTCTGAAGATGTGGGGCAAGTGACCAGCCCGAGTCTCATGCTCAATCAAGGACAGAGAAAGATGGCCAACAACCAAGAATAACAAAATCCAAAAAAGAGTATTTACCAAAATGCAGGTCTTCTTGCAAAATCAGAATCTTGGGGGCAGAGTGATGGGATGGTACCTGCATTTCAAACAAGATCCCCAGATGATTCTTAAGTTTGAAAACTATTAGCCTGAGACAAAGAGAGTTTTAGTACATAAATTTGTCACAAGGACAAAGGATGCCTTTTCTCAAAGCAATTAAGAATCAAGAGGAAAAATATCAGCATTAAAAGAAGGAAGGAACTTTAATCTTCCTTGATATGGCTTGATTATCACAGTTTACCCACAAAAATGCCCATATCCAAAGCATAAATATGCAATCAATTTTGAAGTATATATTAAACATGTCTTAATCTTTATTCAAGATGAGGAAGTCACCTTATTATAAGGTGATAATATTGTTTTTGGAACACTTAGCTTAATGAAATAATTCCAAATAAGTGTTCCTGTGTTATTAAGCTCTCTTAAGATGCTAAAGTTTTGGGTTGGCTACTCTGGCTTGGAAACATCCATAAGTAAATGTAATTAATTGTCTTCCCTATCCTAAGCCTCATTCAGAGCCATTTCCCAGAAGAGAAGTGAGGACCAGAGGCTGAGAAACATCACCTTCTTGTAAGTGCTCTGAAAATGGAAGGGCCCAAGATAAGTGATCCCACAAAAGGTTAAGTTCCTCAGTGTGTAAAGAAGGCTCACAAATAAAAAAGACAAAGGTGAGCACTGCGATAAAAGATTGGCAATGAAGACAAATGTGTAAATCATACCATCAAGGTATAAGAAATGTGCAAGTCACAAAAGGAGAATTATAAAGGCCAAAATATGTACTGACAAACCTTCTACTGCAATAATAATTTTAAAAATAAAAACAGAAATGCCAGGCAGGTGCTGCTTTTTACTTCTTACCAAATTGACAAGTTTTTAAAAGTGTAAGCACAATTTTTGAGGGCAACTTCAAAATGACTATTAAGTATTTTTAAATGTGAATTCTCTTTCACCCACCCCTAGGATTTTATCCTAAAAATAAATAAGCAAAAGTGCATAATTTAACTATGAGAATAGTCATTACAACATAATTTGTAATTTATAATAGTGAAAAACTTTTTTTAAAAGCCTGAAATAGTTAAATGTGCAATGAGATAGTATGTAAATACTAAAATTACTGTGTAAGTGAATATTTAATAATGAGGAAAAAAGCTCAAGCAAAGAATGTTTAACACTATGTTACGAAGCCCTGTGCATACAATGGTCTATTTTTATAAAAATTTTTGATATGGTTTGGCTCTCTGTCCCCACCCAAATCTCATCTTGTAGCTCCCATAATTCCCACATGTTGTGGGAGGGACCCAGTGGGGCGATGACTGAATCATGGGGGTGGGTCTTTCCTATGCGATTCTCGTGATAGTGAATGGGTCTCGTGAGATCTAATGGTTTTTAAAATGGGAGTTTCCCTGCACAAGCTCTCTCTTTGCCTGCTGCCAGCCACATAAGATGTGACTTGCTCCTCCTTCACCTTCTGCCATGATTGTGAGGCCTCCCCAGCCATGTGTAACTGTAAGTCCAATAAACCTCTTTCTTTTGTAAATTGCCCCATCTTAGGTATGTCTTTTTCAGCAGCATGAAAATGGACTAATACGGTTGTGTACATAAGTCTATAGATTCACACTCATGTAAGACCAGAATGACAGATGCCAGAATGGTAACAGTGGTTACCCTGGGTTGAAAGATCCAAAGAGATTTCATTTTTTTCTTTTTGCCTTATACTTAGTATCAACTTTTACTGGTGAAAATGCATTCTTCTTTTAATAAGAAAATATCCAATAAGAAATATTCAATAAGGAAATACCAATGTGATTGGTAGCATCTGACAGACACATTAAGTTTTCTACATATCTTTACCATAGTTCTGATTTGTGCTTGCCCATGAGATCTGTAAGCCCACTTAGGAAATATCTAGCCTGACTAAAGAAGGGCAAATGATTCATCTGGGAAATGTGGGAAGAGCTGAAGAAGGCCTTTGGCAACTGCAATAGGTCTCCTCTCCCCTATCCAGAGTTCTGCTTAGAAAGTCCTGATGATTGGCTGGGTAGTGAAGGAAGATGTTGAGTCACTAATTCTAACCTGGCTGAGGCCCAAGCCTTGGGTCACATGACTTGTTACATATCATCCACACTGGGTGATTTTTTAGAGTGAAGGGAGGTGATACTAATTTCACATTGTAAAAATAGACATCTACTACTCTCCTGGGCAAACCAGGACATATGGCCACCATGATCATAGGAAATTCACAGATTTATAGCATTAACTGCTGAAGTGGTCAGCAGCTGTCCAACGTCCTCATTTCACAGATAAAGAATCCAAGGACTAGAGAAGGAAAGATATGTTCGCTAAGCTACATGAGTCATGAGCATACTGTTCTGAAGCTTAACTCAAAAGACTCCTGTGAGGGAGCAGGGAGTGAGCCACCTTTGAAATTCCATGGCAGGGAGTACACAGAACTTTTGTTCTCTGCTGAAACTCCACTAAAAAGAGTCAGATCAAAATTGACCCATGCCTTTCGGCTCTTAGAGTTCACAAAAAATATCCTGAAAACAGCTACAGGGGGTGAGGCAGTCTTATCTAACCTTCTTAAACTGAGTCTTTATTCATTTCCTTATTCATTCAACAAGTATTTATGCAATACCATGAATTATATAAAAGTCCTGTTTCACATAATGTTGTGGATAGGCACGCCAATTATTATAGGCAAACGTGACCAGGGAATGTGTGAATGATATTTCTGTACATTTCGATGGAGCTTTGTTCATTTCGGTGTTTGAACATTTCAGTGTTTTCATAAAGGTGGAAAGGCAAACGGGTTCCTATATTCATTTGTCTTCTTA
The DNA here is from genome assembly GCF_000001405.40 of Homo sapiens. Taxonomy (NCBI): domain Eukaryota; kingdom Metazoa; phylum Chordata; class Mammalia; order Primates; family Hominidae; genus Homo; species Homo sapiens. The sequence goes on from NC_000008.11 coordinate 130,881,467, forward strand.
TTGTTCAAACGGAATAAAGCCTTTCCTTTCCTACAAAGATTGCAAAGGAACAATTATTTTTCCATTTCCATTTTTCCTTTCAGAAAACATACTTTTATGGTCCAGACTTGTTCCCAAGAAGAAAGGTAGGGCAGTGGGAAGAGAAAAGGCTTTAGAATCATAAATATTGTATGTATTTAAAAAATTCTAAGATATATATTCTTAATAAAAATGTTCAATTTTCCTTAAAATGTACACCTTGACATCTCTGAAATCAGCATGCACCTTATTATCAGGGGAATCCTAAAATCTTGAGTTCTTTCCAGGGAGGTTTGCAATTGCTTCTGTGGTCACCAGGTGGCAATATCAACCCAGGATCATTTTAAATTAAATTCTCTGATAATTTTTTTTTTTTTTTGTCCACATTCAAAGTGTGAATTCATGCAGCAAACCTATGCAGATTCCATTTCGGAGTTTAAATTCTTGGGGAGCTTCTTCCCTTTATTAAATCAATACCAGGGTATAGGCATATGGGTTTCCTCACTACCCTTGTCTAAGGGGGTTGTCCCACTAGCCCCTCAGCCCCCCATATCCTTACCCGGAGGGTGTAAGCCCAGTTTATTAGTGTGTGTGTGTATGTGTGTGTGTTTCCTCTTAGAAACCCATATTGAGGTTTTTTTTTTTTTTTTTTCCTTTCTGAGAGCTGCATAGAAAATACAGCATCTCACAGTTGATGACACCTTAGAGTCAATGAAATATAGTAGCTGGATTTTGAGATCTAAGATCTCCACTTAACCTCTTGGAGGTTCAGTTTTCTCTTTTGTAAGTGGAATAGTAAACTGATGTATCTAACAGCAAGCACAGAGGAACTGCATATTAATGCTATTTTCTGATTCTGGAATCCTATGTATTTGAAAGCCTTGTTTTAATTTTGTTATGGCTCTAGAACCCTTTCCTACTTAGCCTCTCCTGTAAACTCCCTCTCTGTGCCTCCCACTGCATCCAAAGTTTGACAAAAGGAAAATGAAGACAGCACGGGATTGTCTTCTTCGTACGAAACCCTGGGAAATCAAGTCCTGGGGACTCCTGGCAGAGGCAGCATAGTCAACAGACAAGAGCAGTGGCTATGGCATCATGGTAGGCTCAGATTCCAGTCCCTCTCTGACAGTTTGACTTTGGAAAAGCTTCATAGTAGTTTCTCCATGTCACGTTTCACCAAGTATAAAATGAAGCTCATAATAACATCTACTTTTTATTACTGTTTTTGTCAGTTGATTTATGCAGACAGCTTAGAAATAGTGCCTGGTACTTGGTAAATACCCAATGAATGTTACTTGTGATATATTCTCTGCTCAGCAGTAACACAGTCCCTAGAGATGGTCTCAGAGCAAGAGTCAATGAAGAGTATCTCGGTAAGAGTCAGTGAAGAATATCTCGGTGACAGGAGAGGAGTGATCGTTTGCTGATGTGTCCTGTTGCCATCACCACTGGGGAACCCATGCAATGCATAGCACAGGCTAGGTGGTCTGTGGCTAGACTGTCAATGGGCAAGTCCCATGTTTGTTCAGGGTGCTGTACTCTGGCTCTTCTAGAAGAATCTTCCCTGGTCACAGAAATCAACCTCAGGCATGCTGTTCCTCCCTTAGATGTGAATGCTATTAAATAAAACACACTAGAAACTATCTGTAGTATGCACGGGTTAGGTTATTAGTGAAGCAAGTACATCTTTAGCAAAAATAAATAAAAGCGTTTTGTATAGCTCTGGACACAGGTATTTACACAAGCTAATTGAGAAGTTTCTTTGTAAAGCAATCTGCTCTTCATCCTAGCTTCTTCAATGCAGTAACCGGGAAAGAAAATGTATTTAATTTGGACCTTAAGCCCTTAATTATATGATGAATAAGAGAAGTGTGTCTTTTACTTTTTTTGTGTGGGTTGAGTGAGGCAAAATGTTTCTTTTCCTTTTGTTTTGTTAGTACATAGACACAATCCATCTCAAATTGGGAACTGTAGGTGAAGGTATTAATTTTGGAGTCTGCAATCCTTAGGTAGCTATCAAAGAAGCTCATTGGGAATGCTGTATGTGCACAGAATTGTGAATTCTCTAAACTAAGGAAAGCAAATCTCCCAGGCAGCTGAACAAACTTACAAAAAAATTGCTCACTGGAGCTTTACAGAGTATTGAATCAAACTCCTGAAATTTGCTTGTAGATTCCCTGCTGTTCCTGCCCAAGGCTCCTGCAGATGCCAGGCACCTCTTATGCTCAGTCAAGGAAGGTCTGTCAGCTTCTATCAGCACAAAGGAGCAACCCAGTTAAGCAAGGTCGGCACCCCATCTGCCCACTCCCTTCTCCAGTTCAAAGCTGAGGTGGGGGAGGGGAATGGAAAAAGTCATCATTAATGTGGTGATAGCTGCCATCCTTGAACACTTTACCTAATCAAGGTGTTGCCCTGAAGACTTTCATATTAACTGTGAGGTAGGTGCATTCATTATCCTCATCATACAGAGGGGAACTCACGCTCAGAGAGGTTACTTTACTTATCTAAGTTCACATAGCAAGAAAGTGGCAGAGGTGGAATTCAAATTTGACTCTGAATCCACAACCCATTTCTTTCTACTATGCCTAGGTCAGAAGACTCTGAGGCAGCAGACAACTGGGGAAAGGGGAGAATAGATATCTAAAATCTAAGAAAGACAGTGTTTATCACTGACCGCTTACATCAAGTTATTGGGTGCCCTCATTTATTATGTTAAAATGGTTGCAGCTGATGTGAATTCATCTAAAAGCAAAGGTAAGTGGCTGTTAATGCCACTTGGCTTAATAATCTGAAAGTGGAAGAAACTCTTGATGCTTACTGAGTTAAAGGAGTCTTTGTTCTTTGAGTCTTCTTTTCCTTAAAGAGCAAGCTGATGTTCTCTTAATCTAACTCTCATCTCCTTTCATGACCTTCAGTCTACTCATGATTTTCAAGGAGAAAAATGAAAGACAGTACCAAACCAAACCAAAGCAAACAAACAAAGAAACCAAAACCACAGCCCCTGGGCTCTCTCTCTAGTCCCATGAACATCTACCACAATTTACTCAGAAAAAGAGCCGCTGTGGAGACCCAGCTCTACCTTGTGCTCCAGGCTGGAGTCTTTAAACATCAGTGAGAATGGCTTGATATGCTCTCTTCTCAATTTATCGCCACTCCGCAAGTCGATGGTATGTTCTATTCTCTTGTTAATTTCCTCAGGCCCAGACTGGACATGCAAAGCTTGTGCAAGATGGTTTGGAAGCAGATTTATTGAATTTCTTGTTAGGGCAGCCAGAGTCTAGGGGGAAAGCACATGCAAACACAATAAACCTGCTAGTCCCCTTTAGATAAAACAGAAATGCAATGTTTTTAAATCATGTTGCATTGCAAACAGTAATAGCATTCCATGCAGTTGTATTCAGTGAAACCTACAGAAGTTGATCTGATAGCATTTGGTGCAGAGAAATACAACCTGGCAAAATATCACATCCAGAGGGACACTTCCTTTTTCTCTATGTAGGCACACTGAATTCCTTTGGTTGAGGTATTTGGAGAGTTGTTGGCTTAGAAATGTTAATCAAGACCCTTTCTCTAACCAGGCACAACCTGGGTATGAGAGAAAGAGAACCAAAAAAATAACAGAAAGTAAATATATGTTAAAAGTCCCCAAAAATGATCATCTCCAACTGAGTAGATTCCACATTTTCGTGTGACCTTTCATTTAATGGTGGTGGAGAGACTTGGGGTCTTATGGCTTGCATTTTTTTTTTTTTTAGCATTACTCATAGAAAGACAGCCAAATATGCCAGGATCTGCTCCTTAAACTTGATAAAGATTGCTAAATTTTTTACTTCGCTAATATGTCCCTCCCTCAGCATAGGCCATTATATATCTATATATTCATATAGATATATGTGTGTAATTTCTTTTAGGTAAAAAATGCAAGCAACTTGCAGCCTCCCACCATTTCACAGGGTTACACAGCACGAGACGGGGAAAGGCATAACCACCACGGCTGGTCACTGGATATGGATACATGGATGCAGAAACTGCATTGGCTTACGAAGACACACCAGGTTTGGCAAGGAGACCTTTCCTCCTGGTGATTCAGTAGCCAGGATAAGATTAACTGGCTGTATCTAGCCAAATGCAGTGTTCACTCACAGCACCAATTTAAGGCAGCTTCTTAGACCAAAAAACAAAAAAAAAAGTGTGAGTTGGACCTGAAGGGATATATAGGGACAAGGAAGCCCAACCCATCCTTCCAATAGATCTTCTTGAAGGAAAGTAGAGGATGCCACGCATCTGTAGAGTGAGTAAGGAAGTGAAAATTCTCTGCCTTTATACACACTCACTGCATTTGCTTTTCTCTGCCAGCCTCTCAGCTTGGCTATGTTTAGAACACAGGCTAGATGAAGATAAGATTATGGAGTCATCAAATGGCAGCCTGTGAGAGGTGACATAGGACCTTGCAGATCCTCTTGCCAAACCTTCAGATATCGATGAGCCTCAGAGAGACTTGCTCATTTGCCGCCAAGCCAGATCTGCTGACTCCAGGACCACAGCTGGAGTCAGGAGCTTTGACCTCTGTGAAGCCATCCAGCCCACCCCATAAGGATTCTCCCTATGGTGTTATTGAACCCTTCATTTTAACCTTCATGAAGGTAATCAATGTAACATAAATTCAAAGCTTCTAAAGCATTCTATAGCAAGGCTCATCACGGCTAGACTTTACTGAAACCCTCTTCTCCAGCCCTAGAATAAAGAATAGAGCTGCCTGTGCCAACATGAGAAAGCAAAGTACATGCTCTTAGGGCACTGAAGCATGTAATTTCAGCTCTGAGTACCAAAGAGACTACTATAGAGAAAAAAATAGATGTTAGGGGGTGGCATGTTAGGAGAAGGGCTGGAGCAGAGACAAGGAGGCCAGAACCAATGTTCTGGAGAATTGAAAAGCAGGATACATGCGGGGCCAGAGAGTTTAGTCCCTGGAATTAAATGCTATTAGTGCAGCATCCCAGAGAGCAAAGGAAGCTGAACTGTCAGCCACTTGGTGGATTTCTCATTGGTTTTTTGGTCAGAAATTTTTTTCATATGGCATGGAAAGTGATAAAACTCCATTTTCCGTCTTGGAGAAGAGATGGAAATGACAGTCCAGCTGTCCTCGTCTGACCATACATTCTGACCTTGGGATGCCAGGGTGCCCTCGTAAGTGCTTGGAGCTGGGGTCTAACAGCTGGAGAGGAAATCTGCTACAACATCTGAGCACATTCATAGTTAGGCATCTCTCACTGTCTGATATTTTTATTTGTATATGGTTTTCCTTCTATTAACTAAATTGAGCTTATCCACTCTACCAGTCCCTTGTGCCTTCAGTGACTCTAAGACTTTTGGATTTCACAGAGGAGAGAAGTTTCAAAAAATAGTTTGGGGATTGATTTCTTTAAATTTCAGTAGCAGCAGCAGCAGTAGCAACCACAGCTCTTTAATATGACCATTATGTAATAGAAGAAAGGGCGTTTTTTTTTTCCTTAACAGGAATGATGTAGTCTCAGAATAAAAGACAGTCCTTTACATTGAATACATTTAATTTAATAAATAACTATCTACTTTGTCCTTATTTTTCTCATATTAATGTGAACTGGTGAAAATGTTAGCAGGAATTGATACTGGTATGTAGAGGACATTTGGAAATTAGGAATAGACATTGCTTCCTGGTTGCCTGTGCTGTATTCAGCCGTCCATTCAGAGAAGGATTCTGCTGCCATTGGCCACTTCTGTAGGATACAGACCAATGAAATCTCCTCCTTTCGAAACTCCCCTGCTCCTCTCCACATTCTATTGGCTGTCTATGTGGTTGCTTCAAATGAGAGAGAAATTTAGAGGCATTCTTCTTTCTTTCATCACCACCACCAAGTTATAGGTAATAGTTGGGAAGGAGCTCCTTTCATCAAAATGTCAATAATGTGGTGGAGAATTCTTTTCTTGCCCATGTAGTTATTTTTATTCTTTGCAAGTGTTTTCCTAGCATTTTATGCAGGTAGTCAATTTTCAGTGATGTTTTTTCTGATTATTTCCTCTGTCAATTACATATGACAATTACAAATGCTGTTTGGCCAGCAACCTCTCTAGCACCTACCTTACTCCTTAGGAGTATATGTGCTTAAGGGAAGACCATCATTAACTCAAGAAGGCAAGCAAATTGAAACTAGAGAGGGACATCAGGAAATCATCTGCTTTCATTTAACCCTCAGTACACTGCAAAGGCTACATGTCTTTGGGGGTGACTATGATTTGGGATTATCTGTGATACCCCTCTATCTCATTAGTCATTAGTAATGACCACTAAGATGTCACCTTCAGTGGGATAATGTTACCAACATAAAAAATCCATACACTGATATATTCACTATATTCACAGTGATTCATTTGTAATCAGTAGTGGAGACAGGTATAACTTGTCTTATTTGTCTATTTAGAGTCATTAGAGTCATACTGGAATGAGCTATTTTTAATAGAATAGGGCTTTCTCTTTTTAAGACTTACAGCACCAGTGCGAGCTAGACTGAGATCATGTTTAAAAATAGCATAAGCTTCCAAATGTGATTCCAGTATTAAATGGACCTCCAAAATGTTGAGACGGTTCTTTCACATAAACACTCTAAACAATTGGCTAAAGAATAGGAAAAACAAATGGACAAAATGGAATAAAATGGAAAATGCCATAATACTTGACTATAATATAATATATATATAATAGAATACATATATTTGAACGTATGCTTCAATGTATGATTGAAGTATACATTGTATTTATATATAATATATGTATATGTGTATACTTAGCTGGTGTTTTTGATATTTGGGATGTCAGATTGAAGCAGCAATGTAATAATGTTATAAATGATGTTATAAATAAATAATGCTATTCATTTACTTTAGCTGGTGTTTTAGGTATTTGGGAAGTCAGTTGGAGCAGCAGAAATGGCAGAGTTTGCAGCTGAGATGGCCTCTCATGACTGAGTTTTTTCCCAAAATGATGTTGAATTCCCTAGATTTATCCTAATGGAGATTCGTGCTCTCCTCAGGTATTTCCATAAATGTTTCCTCCCTCACAGGTGCTTGAGATAGATCAAAGTGCAAATGAGAACCAGAGTTCCTTCTGAACTGAGTCTCTGATGATAGGATCTTGCTTGACAGTTTGGGGGTTCTGGTGAAAATTATAATGAGAGGGTCAGGTAGCCCTTTGTAAATTGCATTTGAATGGGCTGGGGGAAGTCACAAATCCTCTTAAGCTCATCATTTGGTTTATGATCAGAAGACTCTTCTTTAGGACTTGTCTTTTATCTGTGTTCCCAGTAAAATCCTACTTTTCTTGCAGATCCTATCACTTCATGGATTGTCATAAAATTTGGTATTCATTAATCAGTTTGTCACAGCAAATAATTCTTCCCAGCAAGACTGCAGGCTGAAGGTGTACTGTCTAGAAACATCCAGTTTTGTTGAGTCAAAACCATTTCAGGTCTTAGGGATCATACGCTCAAATCTCAAAAGACCCTTTAAAGCATCCTTACAGACACTGCAAATCAGCTTACATAGTTACAGCACTGGAGTGATCTATTTCGTTGTTAGATCCTCCTAATTCACTCTTTCTCAAAAATGTGTTTCAAGAAGCACAAGAATGATGAGATGTTTCATTACAAAGTGGTTCTGTGGACCAATCAGTTTAGAAAATGTAGATCCATTATTTGTTTACTGCCATTTCTCCTTACCTTAATTTTGTCTCTTTTGTTCATGTCTTTGTCCCCAGGGCCTATGACAATGCCTGATACTTTGTAGTCACTTAAGTACTTTGTAACCACAATAAATGTGTTTACTGAATGAAAAATTTCTTATATCTTCCTATCTCAATACACTTTATTGAGATAAAGGCACTGATAAGTTCCACAGAAATAAGACTTTTAAACTCTGCATCTTCCAAACTTTTTTGACCACAAATCCCCCTTTTCTTGAATTGCCTCTATATGTTTCATGGAATGCTATTTGGGAAACAGTGCTTTAAAGTTCTTCCCTGCTTTTATTCAGAATTTCCACACACTAGACCTGTTTCCGATTTCTGAACAAGATCTACATCCATCTCCCTTCATGTGGCTGCTTTCCAGTGTCCTTAGCTTTCTTCACCAGGCACATGAAATGTATTTCCCCAGTTGTTCCATAGGTGATATAGTTTCTACATATTGCATAATTCTTCTTAGTTTGTCCTTGCCTTGTGGGCACTACTTCACAGAGTATCAGACCCAGTGCACGTGGCATCTGACCTTGTGGTGGAACATGGACACCTAACATAATCTGACCTATTAAGTAATTACTCATTTTATGCATTGAAACATGTAGCATCTAGGCATGTATCCTACTGCTACTATAAAAAACAAATAAGACATCACCTCCTCCAGTAAGCCTACTCTGAGGCTGCAATTGTCCTTATCACCATTACTATGATTCATTGTAATTGCCTAATTAGGTGATTGTTTCTCTAGACTATGATCTCCTTGAGGCCAGGCACTGTGTTTTATCTATAACTGAGTCTCCGGCACCTGGTATATCTGCTAGGTTCATAATAAGTGTATATGAAAGGAAGGAATGGATGAGTGGATAGACGAAAGGTCAAGTGCCTTTATAAGAAGATTGTCGAACACATGGACACAGGGTGGGGAACATCACACACCGGGGCCTGTTGTGGGGTCAGGGGAGTGGGGAGGGATAGCATTTGGAGATATACCTAATGTAAATGACGAGTTAATGGGTGCAGCACACCAACATGGCACATGTATACATATGTAACTAACCTGCACGTTGTGCACATGTACCCTAAAACTTAAAGTATAATAAAACATAAAACTAAAAATAAAAAAATAAGAAGATTGTCCCTAGGGCAGTGTTTCTGGTCTTTCACTGCAAAAGTCCCTTTAGTTTTTTTCTGTTCTCTCCCAAATGGACTTCAAATTTTGGAAAGATTCTGTTTACCAAACTGTATTAAATAAGAAGTAGTTTATTTTCCTGCTATTTGATCAAATGCCTAGTTTTTCTCAGCATGAGATAAAAGGCACTACCAATGCAGTTAATATTCCAGCCAAGAGCAAGGGCCTTTAAAGGCAGCCTAGTGACGCTTGTCAATGTGAGGTTTTATTCAGACTTTTGGGATCCAGAGAATGTCACTCCCATTACTACTTCCCAGTGCTGGCTGCTAGAGCACCAGAGACCACAGGCTGGCAAGGGGTAACCTTGAGCCTTTTCTGGGACCAGCACCTGGGCTAACTTCAGTTTGTGTGTTCTCCATGAGCCAGTTGTGGAAGGAGGTTAAGGTCACTAGTGAAAGCACTTTATTCTTTATTAGCTCCTGGACAAGGCAGATGTGGTAGTCTTTAGATTTAGCTATAGTAGTTGTGACTGAGGTCTCACAGTGTGGGCCAACTCATTGCTGATATGGAAAAGACCTAGCGAGAACGCCAGGCTCAGCAATCTCAAGGCACAGCTGTGCAGCTTCTGTCTTTCATGCTGAGATGTCCTAACCTTTCCCAAAGACTCTGCTTATTTTCAGTTTCAGGCTGGAATCTTCATTCAGAAGTAGGTAGGGCCAGTAGTTTCCCCAACCTATTCTGGGAGCACGCTTCCATTACCCCTGTGGCAGCATGTTTCTGTGCCTAACTTGGAAGCCTCTGTACCTCTATTTTAAACTTGATGCCTGCAGCCTTTGGGTTGTGGAAAAGGCAGAGGTTCCACCTTTCAGTTCTTATGAACTTCCTATGTCCTACAAGACACAGGAAAAACAGTGAGCCTAAGTAAGAGTACCTCAACAGTGCACATTACAGCGATTCTTTCTCTACTGTTTGTTAAAATGCCAACCCAACCCCTGGAAGAGAAGGCTTCTACTTTAAAAAGAGTCATTTTGTGTTCTTTTTTTGACAGATTATAATAATATACAATTATGTGGTACATTGTGATATGATATACGAATATGTTGTACAATGATTAGATTAACCTAGTTAATATACCCATCATCTTAAATACTTATCATTTATTCTTCTTAAGAAAGCTCATACCTTGGGAAAGCTTCAAGGTGATCTAGTCTACAATGGTTTGCATTGAGGACCTCAGGGAGGAGAATGCTTGTTATGTTTGAAAATGGCACAATTTTTTTCCCTCAAATCTGGGAATGGGGAGATATGAGATGAAATATTTTCCTAGTAAGAAAATGCTAAGTGGTATTTGAGTAAACATTGACTTGGGGAGCCCTTGATAAAATATCCACATGAGATCTCCAAGACCCTGTCTTATAACAAGTTTTCCTTCTTATGGGAGTGGAGGTGCTAGTGAATAGGACCATTTCCCATAAGCAAGGTATCTTAGTTAAGATTGTTGCAACTTTTCTTGTCTATACTAAGAGAAAATGAAACAGTACAGCCAAATGATCTGTTTGATGCTTTTTTAGTTAGAAATCATGCTTACTTTTCCTTTTATTTTTTGAATATTTATGTCACTGTAATCTGTTTTCCAAGAAAAGCAAATGAATGTTTAACGAGATCTTATTGTGGGAGAAGGTCTGTGGGATTCTGCTATGGAAAGCGGTTTAAATAATTTTCATAATAGTCTCATAGCTTCTGCCCCAGGAAACGATATAACAGGGGTCAGAATGTCCATTCTGTTGCAATAATAGCCTAGACATTTCTATAAGCCTACTGTAGGATTTCAGCACCCCTCTGTTGTCTGGTTTCCCAGTTATGAGTAAACAATGTCAGTCTGGGGCTCAGGTCATTTGGGAAATCGTTGCTTCCCATCTTTAGGCAGAATTGGAAGTTTCCGACTATTGTCTGGATGCTAACTTTGATAGGGATGAAGGGATCTGTGACATCCTTTGATTGACTTTTGTTCCTTGGTGTCCTGAAATTTCAGTCTATGATGAAGAAAATAAAACAATGACAAGGCAGGTGCCCCGACTCTGGCTGATACCACACTAGGCACTTACTCATTTGCTACTCATTGGAACCCCACAACCTCACTCTTGGCCTTTCAACTAATATTGGTAAACTGGAGCATGAAAACAGTTTAATCATTTGGGGGTTTAGGTCCCAGGATATCCAAGCACAATCCTGGGCTGTCTTCCTGGTGTGCTTTGCCTGGCATTAAATGCCTCACCTCTTGCTTCAGTTCAACCTACTCCTGGGTCATGGCTTTAGACACAGATGTACTCTCCTGGTTCTCTTGAGATGTGATGTGGGCAAGTGGTCCGCTGTGGCTTCTCTCCAGGTTCAACCACAATTCCCCGTGATTGGGCAGAGTTCTCAGGATAAGAAGACTGAGACCTCACAGAGGGAATTACCAACATTCTAGATTTTGTCCCTTAGAGCTGGCCTAAGGAATCCAGCCAGGTTAACTTGGGTCAAGTGGGGTCTGACAATGATTCCCTCCTGCCTGAGAAGCTTGCCTGACTCTATTCCACCAATCTATTAGCTAATCCTAGATGCTTGCCTCTGATATTATTCTTTGAGCTCCTTAAAAAGAAGATTCTCATCTCAGTTTGGGAAATGTGATTATGTCTGAGACATTACACACTTGGGTCATTTTTATAAAATCAAAAAATGTTGTTAAACTTCTGCAGAATTGGCGGAAACAGAACTTGGCACACTCATTTAGATCCGACCACTTTGACGCCACATGATTTGAGGCAAATTGTCAATTGAATTGAATTTTTAGCTTTTTAAGTATCACATCCGTAGTAATGTGTGGAACAGATATGCAAACTCCAGCACGGACTTCATCTCGAGATTAGGGATGGTGTAAGTGCTGGGATAAGGTACGATCTAGGAATGGAGGCAAGATTTCTGCCAGGATTCACATGGGACTCACAAGTAGGGGAGAGAGAAACTGAAACATTGGTGGTTTGTTCATAGGGCCACAGGGTAGGTGTGAATTGAAATATCTCCTAGCACTGAATTAGCTGGGTTGAAATGTCATTGGCTGTAGTTGGTGAGATGACCACTATCCCATTGACTGAATGACCTTGGGTTGGCAACCTGGAGAATTTTAGCTCAGGAAATGAATAAACAAACATATATCCAGACCTAAGTTACTCCATTTTCTTGTGAACATCAAAGATGTGGATTTTTTAGAGGTGTCAATACCATGGGGAGAAGAAGGTGTGTGTGTGTGTGTGTGTGTGTGTGTGTGTGCATGTTTATATGTGTGTGTGTGCATGTTTATGTGTGTGTTTGTGGGTGTGCAAGTTTATGTGTGTGTGCATGTTTATGTGTGTGTGTTTGTGGGTGTGCATGTTTGTGTGTGTGCATGTTTATGCGTGTGTGTGTTTGTGGGTGTGCATGTTTGTGTGTTTTGGGGTGTGCATGTTTATGTGTGTGTTTGCGGGTGTGCATGTTTGTGTGTGTGGTTGTGGTTGTGTTTTCTTAATAGAAATTTTGAGAAAATTGAAATAGAATTATTTAAATGTTTAGCTTTGAAGGTTCAGAAGTAACTTTTAATTTAGGCAGATGAAAAACTTACACATCTTGGGTTGCTGATAAATTGCTCATGTTTGGTGTTTTAAATTTCTCAGTATGAGTTTTTTCAGACCACTCTTATACAATTTACTAATCACATGTAGTTATTGATGCTTTCCTTAATTTAATTCCAATGGAGCAACAAATTACTGACCTTCAAGAATCCAGCATCTCTTACTTTTCACCAGTTGTGTCAGGGCAAAACTGGGAAAAGAAGAAACGGTCTATGTTAGAGCTACATTGCTACCTCTTTGGGGTTGTGCCTGCTACTTCCTTTTACCCTAACTTTCCCAACACACACATTTCTATAAGAATGGTGTAATTGGTTTAGCTTTTCTGGTTTTTTATTATCCCGCGTGTTTATTTCCAGGCTTATCCCTTATCAGTGGTCCTGTGTTTAAGTTTTCCCCAGACATGAAGTCCAGAGTGGGTGATACTTCATACAATGTATCCAAAGTCCTTACTATCTCACAGTGTGACATGATTCTTTAGGGGACTAAAGGTAACATAAAAGTCACACAGTGGGAAGAGACACTGCCAAATCTAGTGGTGCATAACCTGAAATTCACAACAGTAGTTTGGGAATCCTTGAGATAGAAGAGGACCTTGCAAAAACTTCCATCCATACTGTATGCTTACTGAAGATAAGCCACTGTAAGTCTCTTTTGACACAAGGGGAAGTAAAAAGAAGTACATATATAAGTACCGTGGCTGTTCAGGCCAACAAAAATATCCGTTATCTTTTCTCTGGCTAGAATTCAGTCACCTTAGAATGGGAAGACCCTTGTGTTTGTGTAGAGCAGGAAAACTGGTGGGTCAGGGCACATATAAAATTACTTGAAAAATGGGAATAAAAATTCACTCACATCAAATGCAATTTTGCTTGGAAAGAAAAACCTTCCTCGATATGAACTGCGCTGTGTCAAACAATAAAAGTTATACTTGGTGGCAAAGAGATGAGAGCAATCCTGGTGTAGCTCAATGAAGAGATTTTACACTGAAGGATCTGAGCCCAGTCCTTGGCAAAGTGAACACCAAGAATGATAGAAAATAAATCCCACTTCTTTGTTTTCAAATTGAGGAAATAAGTCAGGGGAAAAGAATCCAGATTTTTGCTTTTACTCTTCCTACCTATCTTCTCATATTTAAAATATCATACATTTCCACCTTGACATATTTAAAGTGCTATACGTTTATTGGGTCTTGTTTGTCAGCCCTCAGTTTTATGACTCCCCAAACAATGACTCAATATCTCATAAAAGAAGAGTCCAATTCGTTTGTGTAGAAAAGTTTTAGCAGGTTATCAGCCATGGGAGTAACCGTGGCTGCATGATGTATGCTTGACAACCTAAATGTGTATTTTTCATGTCTGTGGTTATACATAAGCCTCAGTCCTATCTCTACCTTTATCTCTTCTTCCTTAGTCTACCCCAGGAACTTCAGAGAAAGGAAGGATGATGAGTCAAAGCAAATGGATCCAATTGCCTACTTAATCCATTCAATGTTCTCTGGAAGCCTTCAAATCCACTTGTCTTTTGAAACAGAGTGAAAAAGCAGACCCCACTAATGATTCTCCCTGGCTGAACTCAGCAGCTATCCTCAGATTCAGAGCTCAGGACAGCCTGGGGAGTTTTATTGTCAGAAAAAGCCATGTTACTGGAAGAATGCAGCTTGACTTCAGGAAAATTTCCAAAGATTTCCATGTTCTTGACCCTAAGTCTGCAGATGTCTTATCTAATAAGCATCAAAACTTAATCTGATGTTAAAATGGTTAAAAAAATTACCTGTGGGGAAAAATATGCCTGTGATTCTCTGCATATTTATATTGAATATGGACAATTAGATGTCCTGTAACTTATCACAGAAGCAGTTACCTCTGAAAACACACCTTTCTAAAGATCAAGATTCAATATTTCAGGTGTTTTTAGGGGGAGGAATTTCAGGTCAGAATTCCCTGTAGGGAAAGAGAAATCTGTGCTTTGGTCTTGAGCAAAGAAACTCAGGCTGAGATGGTGGACTTGCTTTTTCTCCCATTCTAAGGTCTTGTTCCCTCATTCTTGGCTTAATTCCTGCTTGCCTGTAGATCTCAGCTTAAGGTATTTCCTGATTAACTCAGATCAATTTTCCCTCATCTACTACTCTACTACTCTGTCCTGCCATAATTGTAACAATGTTCACAGTGAGCCTGCTGACCTCTTAGTAGCACCATCAAACTAAGCTCCGGAGTGCTTGCCCCACCTTCGTCTCTATCCCCAGATCCTAGAACTTTACTGGCAAATTGTAGTTTCTCAGTAAGCTGTTGATAAATGCATGGCTGAATGAATGAATGAACAAATAAGCATCTTGATAGGATTGCCTTTCTTAAGCTGAATGATAAAAGTAAGATGAGTTTGAATTTAAAGAATGCATTTTTTTGCACGCCTTCATATTCACAAAAAAGAGGCTTGCCCCTTAGTTTGAATCCACCCTTTAGGGGCAGAAAGAAGAAGGAAAGAAATCAAATCCCAGGGAACAATATCACTCAATAAGAGAACATAATGACCATGGTGAAAACAGGACCTTGAAAGCAGGCAAAGTGTGATGATGTCTGTAATGATGTTTGGGTGTTTATCTACATAAAATCATAAGTTATGCTTAGAGAAAAGGGTAAATCTCATTCCCTAGTTAGGTAAGATTTTACCTCAAATACTTTTTAATTTTTTTTTCTTTAACTCCTGTTGCTGAATTTGGTATTCATGTTTTAAGACGGTTCACCAGGATAAGTGTAGCTGTTACCCTACAGTAAGATAACTGTAAACAGTGGATGTCCCCATGGCTTCCTGGTAAATTATTTATGGATGGTAGAATTCTGAAGTGTATGTGGCTCACCAGTATGGCCACAGTCTTGGAGCCTGTGTCTGAGGTAGGGAAACTGAATAGGGCAATGTCAGAGCTGAAAGGAATTGTTGGATCATCCAGTCCAGTTTTGCTATTGTTCAAATGAGGACACCGAGCCTTGGAGGGGAGAAGTGGTTGCCCAAGGTCTCTTAGTAGCAACTGGACAAATCTGACTCCAACTCAGTTCTGCTTAGTTTCTATTCAGGCCCTTCCACTATCATATGTGCAAATTTCAATTCCTGCAGAGATTTACTCAAAGATCACAAGACTCACAGTCTACAGAATTAACCAGTTCACTCTGAGGAGCCTGAGGCTCAGCATTGGATCCACAAGGAGGTTTCAATCAGGACGGCAATCAGATGAGAATTCTTCCTTTTCTTCTAATAAATACAGAGAACAAGATCTAAGAAAAGTCCCAGCTGGAATTGGTGAAGATATAGTAACCTAAATATATTCTTTGACCATGTTCACCAGCCCAGCCAGCCCCCACTGACTTCACATTTCCTTTTCTTCTGGTATCAACATTTGCCAACTCAAGTGGGACTAAATCAAATTGTTGTTTGTTTGTTTTTACTACTAGGCACATGTGAGAGGCTGCCTAGTGTTGCCTTGTTCCAGGCAAACAATCATCATGCGAGGACACTCAGGCAATGAGATCCTTCTTGGTTGGGTAGGATTTCCAAAATTTAGCTGGAGCAGAATCTGGTCATTTCCTGATGTTTTCATTTAAAATTTCTAAATAGCCGTGGTGAGCAAGTGACCCACATATATGAGAGGGTGAATACATGTACACACACATACACACCTCACATCATATGCACATACACACATCACACACATACAACACATGCAACATATACATACATACCACACATACATCCATATATACACACATCTCACACACACCATACCACACATATATACATATATCACACCACATACACAGCAAACATACATAATACACATATAAACACCACACACATACACCACATACATACCGTACACACATATACATGCACACTACACATATACACACCATGTACAAATACACATAACACACACCACACCACACCACACACATATTCACACACACTACACACACAACACACATAAATACTCACTCACCTTCTGAGACTGACAGATGACCTGAAAACAAGGTAGAAGATGACACCCAGCATATATCTTCAGGCCACAAAGATGGAAGCAGTGTGAACTGATGGAAAGCATGGGGCTTTTTGAGTCAGATATATGGGGCTCTAATTCCATCTCTGTTATTTACCAGCTATGTGTCCTTCAGGGAATTAATCAATTCTCTCTGAATCCCAATTTTCCCATTTGTGAAGTAGGCACATCACACTTACCCTGTAAGGTTGGTGTGAGAATTAGGTGGAAAAACATGGGCACACCACTCCCGACATGCTACCTGTCCCGAAGCTCTCTACTCCTGTCAGTGTTGGTGACCTTGTGGATGTTTATCTATATTCCAGGCAATGAAGTGTGTTTGCTCTCCATTTGTTACATGGAGATAGAAATTCCATCTGTGTTTATAATCCTCATGGTAAACACATTAATTTCAAGATAACAAAAATGCCTCAAATCAGTCTATTGCATAGAAATGACTAAAACATACAGTGGAGGTACCAGTTGTGTACTTTTCTCCATATGACTCTTTCAAAAGGCCTAGCGGAGTAACAGAAACATGCCTGGATTCTCAGGCTGTAATAAATGTGAAAGGGATGGATGGGATGAAGATGATTCCACAACATACGGAAACAAATTCCAGGCTCTGAAAAGGGGCCTTGCTTCTCAAAGAGTAGCCTCAGTTCTCTTGGCATATCACTTGTCATAAAAATCCAGTTAAAATGATTAATATCCTACACACAATACATTTTTATAGCTACATAAAAACCTTTGGTATCTTCTTGAAAATCTGAAGTCTAAGACGGATCTTTTTTCTGCTAAGTCTACTCTTGTCCCGACAGTCCATTCTTCACAGGCAGCCAAAGTGATCCCTTAAAAATCTAATTGAGATCACATCACTGCCCCGCTTTTACCCTTTCTATCACTTCTGGAATAAAATACATCAACAAAGCTTGCAGGACGGAGGTCCCAGCCCCTTCAGCTCCATCTGTTACTCCTTTTCCCTGCTCACTATGCTCTAGCCACTTGGGACTTTTTGCTGTTCTAACACACTAAACTCCTTTCTACCTCAGGGTGTCTGCACTGCTTTTCCTCTGTTTAGAATGCTCTTTTCCTGCTTATTTGCATGAGAGTCCTTTTAGCACTCATATTAAATCTTTAGAGAGACTTTCTCTGACAATGCCTTCTGTATGCTATATACTCCCTGGTCATATCTCTCTATTTCCTTCATTACACTTATATGTTTTGATTAATTGTCTGCATTCCTCACTCCTTTGAAATGTAAGCTCCTGGGCTGGGTGCAGTGGCTCAAGCCTGTAATCCCAGAACTTTGGGAGTCTGAGGCGAGTGCATCATTTGAGGTCAGGAGTTCGTGACCAGCCTGGCCAACATGGTGAAATCCCATCTCTACTAAAAATACAAAAATTAGCCAAGGGTGCTGGCACGCGCCGGTAATCTCAGCTACTTAAGAGGCTGAGTTGGAAGAATCGCTGGAACCCGGGAGGCGGAGGTTGCAGTGAGCCGAGATCGTGCCATTGCACTCCAGCCTGGGCGACAGAGTGAAATTCCATCTCAATAAAAAAAAAAAAGGAGAAAAGAAAAGAAACATAAGCTCCTGGAGGACAGGATTCATTCATTACTGGATCCTCAGTATGTAGTACACTTGAGTATCTGTTAAATAACAGAATGAACAATAGCTCAAGCCCAGATATAGATTTTACTCAGAGCATGCAGCAGAAAAGGAAAATATAACCTTTATGATAAGGATCCTGTTCTTATCTTCCTTTCATTTGCAATGTTGTCTTTCAACTGAGAGATTCAATGTCCATGTTGATAACTCATTTAATAATCTAGCCTTGAACTTCCTGGATATTCTCCCCCATATGTGAAATTTTTCACTTTTGATCTACTTCAATCATCTCCTTCTACTTTTTAAATCTTAAGTTCCAATAGTCCACCTGTGATCATAAACTTCTTGCCTTCTAGTTTCCTTACTTTCATTTCACCTGGAAACTCAAGGCATGGGGAGTCTCACTGGGATCTGAGTCAGGGTTCAGGAAACCAAGGCATCAAATTAAGAGGCAGAACATCTGCACTTGTCAAGGGCCAGGGATATAAAAGGGCATGGGTGTTCAGGATGTCCAAGAGCAAAACTTGGATACCAGAATGGGGTCAAACCAACAATTTTAACCCAAATGGATACAGATACAGGGGCAGACAAGACACAGCATCAAAACCAAGGGAGTATGGTCAGGCAGACAGAAACTGGAAGACTCACATAAGGGGCCACAGATAATTATTAGTGATTTTCATTGCTCCTCCAAGCCATTTACAAACTACTGAAATGGGTAGAGGGAAGGGAACAGGGGTGGAACTGGAGTTCTTGGAAACCCAGAGCCACCTCTTACCAATTATGATGACCTGGCTTCTGACTCTACCATCTCACCAGATCTGCCTCTTGCCAATGATGTCCTTCAATCCAGTTCCAATAGGCAGCTATCAGTCTTCATCTTCCTGGGCCTCTTGTCTCCATTTGACTTTGCTGATGGCCCCTTCCTTCTTAAAATGCCATACTCTAGGCTTCTGTGACACCACATTCCCTAGTTCTCTTCTGACAACTTTGACTGTTTCTTCTCTGTCTCTGCCAAGGAATACGAATCTTTCACCTTCCAACTTGTGCTCCTCAAGGTCTGCTTGTGTCTTCTTGTTCCTTAATTTTACAGATTCTCAACAGTGATCTCTTTCACTGCCATGTCTTCTACTAACACCAAAATTCTCGTGACTATGAATACCAAATTCACATCCCTTGCACAGTTCTTTTATGCCTGAGTTTCAGAAATGTGTGATCACTCTCCCTGGATTTTTCCCAGACACTTCAAGCTCCACATGTCCCAAAGAGAATTCCTAGTCTTCCTCACACAATCTCCTATTCCAGTACTGCTTATTTTAGTTGGAAGTTCTATCATCGACGCAGTTCCAAGCAAAAAATCTAGAATTCAAACTTGACTGATTCCTCTCCCTCACTACCCATATCTATCATTTAATTCACTTATTCAACAAACTTTAATCAAGCCCTGTGATTTGCCAGGTATTGTTCTAATTGTGGGCTAAATTGTGGTAAGTGAAACGGATATAATTTCTATCTTCATTAAGAATATAAACCACTGGCTGACTTTGTCTCTAAAGTGATTTTTTTTCCCCATCCCTCCTCTTTTTTTTTTTTTTTTTTTTTACTAGCAGTAGTTGGCTTGTAATAGATGCTCAATTAATCCTTATTGAATGAATGAATACATGAGGATGTAACTATCTGAACATCTGCTATCTACATAGCACAGAATATGACACAGCAATTTGATGCCATTAAACATATTTCTAAGCACATATTATGAATGAATAGAAGCCAAAACATCTGGCCAATTTAGCTGGAATACCCCCAGTGAAGCATTAGCATGCTTTATCTGTGTTATGCAAACACTCAGATGGTCGGGGCTTCCGTGGAATTGACTGGGTGTTTTGGCAAAGCATAGGCTCAGCCAGACCAGTCTTGATCTCTTCCAGGGACAAATTATGTCTCTGAATTGCACATATGGCTCACTGACTTCTAGAGTTAGGCATAAGTACAAACATTGAATACTTGTGACGGTTTTAATTGGCTCAGTAATTTCCAAAATATTATTGGTGGCACGCGGTTATTCATGAATATCAGCACACATTCACTTGCTCTTCAGTCTGAAGGCATCAAAATGAATTCAGATTTTTCGTGCTAAAGATGGCACAGATGGGTTACATCCAGGCAAAACTTGGGCATTAAAAAAATACACGGTATGGTTAAACAACACTAACAATCTCTAGCTAATAATGACATCTCTTATAATAGGTATTTGGTGACATCAGGAAATATCTTTAGGAAATCAGCAAATAAATATTTCAAGCATTCCTATACAGTTTAACCACATCAATCAACTATAGAATAAAACCAAGAACCTCCACCTCCCTCTTCTTGGCTCTCAGTTATTAGTAGCAAGTTCATGTACAATACAGATTAGAACATTAAGGAATTATCTTAATTCCTACAATCAGCATAACTGGAGAGAGATTTTTCAAAAATAAAGACAAAACAAAAACTAAAACTGAGAGAGAGAACTTTATGCTGAGGTATTCAGGATGAGGCATGCATTTCTTTCTCTTTAAATAATCAGCATACAGACCCAAGCTAACAATAGGCAAAAGCAGCAGAGAGGGCACTGTCAGCTGGTCATGCACCCACTCCAGGAAGTATATAACACCATTATTTTATAAAACAGCAAACTGTACCATGCACACCAACTCAGAGATGGAAAGAACCTAGGCATTGCAATCAGTTATGACTTTTGTGTGCATAATAATTTTTGGGGGAAATTAAACACTCACAAAAGAGCTGTCGAAGACCTAAGGGTCAACTCTTGCAAGGCATGCAGCCTAGGTTCAACCTGCAGCTTTTCCCAGTGGAATCTGGCCCATGCATTTTCTCATAGTTTTTCCCCCACAGATCCAGAAAGAAACCAAAGACAGCCTAGTCTCAGAGTGCCCCATCAAACTTTCAAATGCAGAAAAAAGAGGGGAGACTTTCAGCATTTTAACCTTTCCATTTAAAATTTTTTTAGGCAGACAGATTTTTCTTATCTATAAGTTAATGAGAAATGTTGAGGTCTATGGAATTTAAAAATTAACCCTTATATGTCTTCATAAAACTCCAGACACTATTGGCTGGGTACTTCATGGTACTCTCAGCTTCTGCTTGGTCGAGGATCTTATCAGAAACTGTCAGATAACTGTCAGATAAGTGTTATATATTGGCTATTTTTATTTCTTTCTCTAAAAATGTATAGTACAGTCACATCATTGAACTTATGTGAATTCAACTAAATGTGCTGTGTCTAAGAGGTTAAAGGGAAAATCCATATTAGAGCAGGTAATTTTGCCATGGCTCCAAGCAAGCATTCTGGGAGAACAGAATCTCTGTGTCCACCTTGGTTCTCGACCTGGCTCAGCCTCAGTTCTCTAAGTGCCTCTTGGAGTCTGAGCATCTCATTGGGTTTACTGTGATTTCAATATTTGAATAAATAATTTAAAAAGAATTTTGGTTATTGGTGATCTACTCCTTATGTACTGACTTAGTAGCCCTGTCCTTCATAGAAGATGCAAATCCATGCTATATAAAAATAGAATCATGTGGGTGGCTTTGAAATTGCATGCTCCTCCTGAACTCCCTAACTCTAGGCATCACTTGGTGCTCCTTTCCTATTTCCAAATCTGCAGTGCCCCCCTGATTTTGAATCTCAGAGGGTGACACAGAACTGATGATGGCCAGCTACCGAAAAAGGGGCATTCCCATGTACTTGATCCTCCCCTTTAGTTTAATAACAGAGGGTTTATTTTTTCCAACATGAGTGGTTTTTTTTTTTTTTTGGTAAAATTACAATTCAGCTTCACATAATATTTATTTTTAGCTAGGTTACAAAAAAAAAAAAAGAGAGAGAGAGAGGGTGTTAGGAACCCTCTGGCATTTCTGGCATTTCCTGAAATTGCATACGAGGTTAATTCTGTCCTGAGGAGACAGAGAGATAGTTTGATCATTTGCAATTATGGTGTTCATTGGAGAAAAGGTTAAAGATGAATCAGTTTTCTCTGAGGTGTCTGGATTGGAGATGCACACGAGCATGCATTCATGGCCAAGCAGAAGGAGGAAGAGAGGACTTACATTCTGTTTCCCCACGATATTATCAAAGGGCAGTTCAGGGCTCCAGGATCCTTCAGTGAATGTGGCCCCACTGTTTCTCCGGTCTGAGGAGCTCACTGACTCCTTGACGATATCTTCAGGCAAGGACAGCAGACTGTCCTCAGGCTGCTTAATTAAGTAAGTTTCGATATTATGCTTCCTCAGGAATTCATTCCTCTCTTTACCATGGCCCTCTTCCACGTTATAGTCACCGTTGAGACAGTCCAGCGTGGCTTTGGAAATGTGAATCCTCCTGTGTGTAGAAGGCATAGGTCATTACACACTCCTGATGTTGCCTGCAAAGGCTATATTTTTTTGACCTGTACAAAACCAACACCAGGGTTACACAAGGGTATTATTAGGACATGTCCTCAGGGACAATACTTGTCTTCCTAAAAAGTAGAAAGAATAAAAGAAAATAGAAGCATAAATTCATGAGCACAGTATCACGGACATCGTCCCAAGAGACACTGCTGCCTCTGATAAAATACAGCCCTTCTGAGCCACACCTAAGCACATCTTTTGGCTTTTCTTATGATTGTCAGCCTGATCCCAGCAAACTTTACAAAACAGTGATTTTTTTTTTCAGTCGTGTTGATTATATTGGAAAAACAAGTGCTGCAAATGTTTCTGAACCCCAGTGGCAATCATTATCCAAATCACCATGCAAAAACAGTTCTTTCTTCGTCTTGGAACCTGTCCTATCATTTCAATCTTCATGTATTTGTAACTTGTTTCTCCAACTTGTCTATATTCTTCTCAAGGGTGATTCTGATAAGTCCATAGGGCTGCACTGAGGGTCCTTTGGGAAAACCACTGTAGGGTACAATTTCCCCTATAACATGTATATTATAAGGAGCAAAGAACAAAGCTGTGGACATGTGCAGGCTGGCAGCTGGCTGGGCTCACTCACAAGTGAAGTGACTCATGGCTGCACAATTGTCAGCCACTGTGGCTCATGACTCAGGCTTCTTTTTTAGCAAAATAACATATGACATCAGGGCCTTGAGGATCAAACTTGATTCATGGAAATTTCACATGGTAAATTCTTCTGGGGAAGAGTTTTTCTGTCCTCGTAACTGTCTAACTCAATCATACTACTTATTGCGTTATAGTGTGGTCTGGGTAGACTAGCAAGGTAAGGTGGTTACAAACATGGACTTCATTGCTAGATCTCCTAGATTCAAACCGTAGCTCTGCCACTTGCCAGCTGAGAGATCTTGGGCAAATTACTTAGCCTTTCTATCAGTCCATTTTCTTACCCATAATATGGGAAACATAATAACACCTATCTCTGACTATTATTGTGATTATTCTACGAGTTGATTTGTGTAAGGTAGTCAAAACAGTGCATGGTACAACATATACACTATAAAAGCAAATATGTAAGTTATTAAGAGTATTCTAAAAAATGCCATTGTCATCATATTACTGTTGTGTATTCCATGCCTTCTCAAGGCTTGCAGAAGACTATTGTCAGGCCTTCTGAATAAGGCCTCCAAGCTTTCATTCTCTGGCTCTGTCACTTCAAAGCTCATTTTCTGACACTCCTCTAATATAGCTCTCCTATGCTCTCTCCAGCTATTCAAGTAATTGGCAATTCTCCAGATTCAACGTACTATTTGGTGCTTACTAACAATTTCCTACTGTCCAATTCTGCTCAAAAGTCATCTTCCTAAGTTTACTTTAGTGTTCATTTGAATGAAAGAATGCTTAATATTTTGATTGGCTTTTGGAATGCTAAGAACAATATATCCAAGTAAACAGAAAAGTTTTTAAAAAAAATTTAGAGTGGCTTTTAAAAATGCACTGTAGTGGCTCATGCTGAGGAAGCCGAGACTGGTGAATTGCTGGAGCTCAGGAGTTTGAGACCAGCCTGGGCAACATGACAAAACACCATCTCTACAAAAAAATACAAAAGTTAGCTGGGCGTGGTGGTGCATGCCTGTAGTCCCAGCTACTTGAGAGGCTGAGGTGGGAAGATCGCTTGAGCCCAGACAGTTGAAGCTATAGTGAGCCGAGATCATGCCACTGCACTTCATTCTGGAGGACAAAGTGAGACCCTGTCTTAGAAAAAATAAATAAATTCATTAATTAAATAAAATGCAGTTTACTTTTAGTATTAGCTCTGCTACTCCCTCTCATCCTTCTAACCCATTCTGCTAAATCCCTCCTTACAGAAAGAATAGTTCATTGCAAAGAACATGTGAAAAACCAGAAACTACAAACAAATCATTTCTGATACTTCATGTTCTCCACATCTTCCACATAAATATCTTGATTGATTTCAAGTGCAAGATGTTAAAAATAAATGTGTGAAAGATGTTTTCACTCTCTTGAGAAATGTGCTGAATAAATACAAAATATTCCCAAGATGCATTTTGTTAATACATATGAACTCAATAATATTGACCTGGGAGAATAACAGATCGTTTGACCTTCCATGAAATGGAAGTCCCCATCCGCTTTCTCAGATGAATCTGAGTTAAGACTGGAAGCTTACCTTTTCTCCTAGACAAAATGAACCTGGTAGGAGGGTTTTCTAAAGTACCATGGTTGATTTTCTTTTAAGATAATTAAGTTACATATCAACCCCTTTTAGCATTTCTCTGGATTCTATTTTTATTATTCTGCTGTCAGTATGCAAGGGGACAAATACTTCCATGTATTAAATCAATATTATGTTTTCACTAGTGAAAGAGATCCTTGCCTTCACTGATTCTTCTGCTGAAGTGCTAATCAATATGCACTTAAATGTTTTGGTAGAAACTGGGTTTTAGATGTTTCTTTTCATCCTTGTTACTAACTTGAGCTTTGGGGTAAGACATTTGCAGATGAGATTCTGAAGATTGCATTTCTTTCTAAGGAAATGTGTCAGTTTTCAGGCATTTCTTTCTAAGGAAATGAGTCAAGTAAACTTGGCATTTTCTGATAAATTTTAATGCTAGGATATAATAAAAGTAGTCATGATACTAAATTAAGACCTAACAATTGTGTAACTCTTGTTTTGCATAAATGTTATCTAGTAGCCAAAGGTGTTACTGTGTGCCCCATGGATTATCTCATATAATTTCCGTTCTTTCAACAACCTTAGGTATTAGACATTTCTTTGTCTCCTTTTGCAGATGCTGAAACTGGCCCAGAAGTAACAAGTACATATTTGGCCCCAAATCATATTAGTGGTTAGTGGCAGTGCTGGATTGAGACAAGAACTTTTACTTTCAGCGTCTCTCTACCACCCTGGAACTGTATTATATGGTAACTACTACCAGCACAACCACAATAAATATTTACTGAGTACAGGACAAAGGACTTTATATGCATTATTTCATTTAACACAAGTTCAAAAATGGTGATCTTCATGGTGTGGTACTAAGGCCAGCAGTTCCTACCAGGAACTGGTAGAAAGCATCATCTTGAGTTCCATGCCAGACATACTGAACCAGAAACTCGGCAGTGGGGCCCAGCAAGCTATGGTTTAATAAACTCTCGGGTAATTCCAAGGCTGAGGTTTGAGAACCGTTCTTCTAGAAACCCAAGGCTCAGTGGTGTTAAAGAAGAAGACAATAAAAAAGTGGAAAAATATATAACAATATCAAACCATGGTGAGTCTGGGGTCCCGTTTTGACATTCCTGCATTTTGCACATTGACAACATGCCATGGCTAAGCAGAGATGGATACTGAATAGAAGACTAGACTACGTGCTTTATAAGCACTATCATATTTGAAACTACATTTTTAAGGCGGATAATGTTTTCAGTCCAAAATTACAGTGAAGAAACTGGGAAGGGCATGAAGTACTTGCCACAATCTTCCAGACTTCATAACTGGTAAGTAGTAAACCCACGGTTCAGACTCATGACTCATGATATGAAAAATAAGGGTGTGAAAGATGATTTAAACTCAGTCACTTTTCTGTTTCTTTTTACAAATTATTTTATTCGTTTCTTTCCTTTTTCAACTTTTATTTTAGAATCAGGTGGTATATGTGCAGCTTTGTTACAAAGCATATTGTATGATGCTGAGGTTCGGGGTAAGAAGGAACCCTCACACAGGTAGTGAACATACTACCCAACAGGTAGTTTCTCGTCCCTTGTCCCACTCTCTCCCTTCTCCCTCTAGCAGGCCCCAGTGTCTATTCTCGTCTTTATGTCCATATGTACTCAATGTTTAGCTCCCACTTAGAAGTGAGAACATGTGGTGTTGGGTTTTCTGTTTCTGCATTATTTAAATTAAGATAATTTCTTTCAGCTGCATCCATGTTGCTGCAAAGGACATGATGTCATTCCTTTTTATGGCTTTGTAGTATTGCATGGTGATGTGCTGATTTAAACTTGGTCACTCTTCTGTTTCTTAATGTTATTGAGAACAATAGCTAAACTGGCTTCCAGATATCAAAGCAGTATCTTACAAACCCCCAAAGCATCCTCTAAGGTTTGCAAAAGGAATCTATTGAGTATATGGGCAATTCCCCATTTGGTGATGCTTTTAAGATACAGGCCTGGAAACACAGATGAATTGGCTAACTTGTTTGTCTAAATTCAGCAGGTAGTTACTTGTGGGAAAATCCTAAAGAATGGAAAGATTTAAGAAACCCAGCAGTGACACATCAGACCTTCCTCAATTCTAAACCTGTCTGGCAAACAGCCATGACACACCACATAGAGTGAAGGATCCCCATAAGAATAGTAACTGACCTGGGGTGTCCCTGCACAGTGTACAAAAAAAAGCGCTTCATACCCATTGCCTGAGATAATCTTCAGAGGAGACCTGTGAGGTGGATTATGCCATTATAGCAGATGAGAGAACAAACTCTCATGGAGGAGGAAAATAAGTTCACAAGGTAGCAAATCATAAGTAGTATTATCTCTCTTCCTGCAGTGAAGAAAGTTGGACTCAGAAGTTAAGCACTGGCCTGAGATCACACAGGTAGAGTGATGCAAGCCAAGTTCACACTAAAATCACACGCCAGGTGCTGTGCATGCTTTACATAACTTGCTGAAGATAATAGAGTTTAGCAAGGGGCAGAGTGGGAATCCTAGTTACTCTGATTCCACCTCTTGTTGTCTGTTTCCCCCATGATAACATATTACTTGATATTAAACATAGTTTGCAAGGAGTGATGGCACATACCAGAGAAATCTGTGACTCCAAGGGCAGTTCTAGGGGGTAGGAAAAGGAATATGTGGAAGTGCTCTCTCTCTCTCTCTCTCTCTCTCTTTCTCTATCTCCATCCATCCATCCATCCACCATCCATCCATCCATCCATCCATCATCTTTAAGAAAGAGAGGCTGCAGAAAATCACACTGGCTCACATATATCTGAGATCTTATTAGGTCCAATCTGTGTAAACAGAATCTTGATACAACTTTTCAAGACTTACATTAGTTGCAGTGGCCTTTGCAGACCACTAGCACCTTTGGGGATCCTATGTCAACCAACCTTGACAGCCAAATTTGAAATGTTGAGTTTCTAAGGAAGAGCCTGATTTCCTCACTGAGTCCTAGATCATGCATGGAAAGTCAGTAGGTCTTAATCCTGGCTGCCCATTACAATTCACTGAAGAACTTAAAATAGATTCTGCACAGATTCTGCTTTAAATAAACTGGCATGGGGTCTGGACACTAGTATTTTTTAAATGTTCCTTTGGAGATTCGAATGTGCAGCCAAGTCTAAGGACCAATGCTGTGCAGGGCAGAGACCCGAACACCTCAGTGTTATTCCACATCCTTGTTGCCTCTGATGCATTTTACTAGATTTTGGAAGCTAATAGTTGTATGATGTTTCAGTGTCTGGTCTCCTTCCAAATAATTGCTTCCTAGATCTAACCCTGAATTTCTGTACACAGGAAACCCACTGTCACAAAATAAGCCAATGACAACCGTTAAGCATGAAAAGGGCTTTGCTTTATCTTACCCAGGGATTCCTCCAGATTCGAGTTTGTTTGCAATATCCACATCCCAAGACCAGACATCAAACTGCCACTTCCTTAGTCCCAAAACACCGCACAGCACCGAGCCGGAGTGGATTCCAATCCTCATGTCAACATCGTGTTTTGTCCTTGACCGCACATACCTGTTGACATAGGTAAATGGAGAGACACATGTATAAGACCAGAGTGGGCATCGTTGGCTCTGCACTTTCTTTTCTTTTTTTTTTTTTTTGAGACGGAGTTTTGCTCTGTCGCCCAGGCTGGAGTGCAATGGAGCTGCAACCTCTGCCTCCCGGGTTCACGCTATTCTCCTGCCTCAGCCTTGATGGTCTCGATCTCCTGACCTCGTGATCCTCCCGCCTCGGCCTTGCAAAGTGCTGGGATTACAGGTGTGAGCCACCACGCCCGTCCACCTCTTCACTTTCAATGTCACCCCTTCCATGAAGCCTTCTTAGGTTCTTTAATAACTAGAAAGAGTCTCTGAACATCCTTAGCCTTTTATCTGTACTTTTAAGGGCTCTTTGAAACCTTCCTCCAAAACCTGCTCTGTAACCTCTGTCTTAGGGAATGGCACCAGCATCTTTTTCTACCCAACATTAACCTGAGATAGATTATTGATTTCATACTTCATTACACATTCCATTTCCAACCAAAATGTCAACTGTTTCCTTCTTTCTAGCCCTTCTGTGACTTAGTTCAGACCACCATCATGCCTGAGTCTGGGATCCCTGCCTCAGCCTTACCTCCTTCCAGCCCATACTGTCATGGTTTCCAGCTGCTCCTTCTAAACACAAATGTGACCTCATTACCCCATCACTCTTTTCTGACCTACTACTTAGAGCTGTGGTCTCTGAAATAGAGTGTTTACATCCCAGGGCTGAACTGGGTCATCCGTTGAGATGCAGGAGGAAAATGTTAGAACTTCCATTCACAGCTTTTGTTACTTATGTTGAAAAGCTTTACCAACATTTGATATATAGATTGATATTGGAAACTTAGGGGATACATGTCTGGTCATCCTCTGACTGTAAGTATGGAGGAGGCATCTTGAGAAGACAGAAGAATTTCTACCATTGGATGATTTCCTGTAGTCATGAGCGTTCTTTCTTTCAGAGTATTTTGAACAATTTTAGTTTATGATTAAATGATGTCATTTATGCAGAAAATCAAATGGTAGAAGATAATACTTTGTAGTAGAATTACTAGAAAAACCTTCATTGCCCCCAAATGCAATGATTATGTGACTTCAAAATGCTTAAAAGAGTTGTCAGACTTAAAAGTGAGCTATTCATTTGTCTTTGACAGAAGACAAGTGTTCCAAATTTGCTGATATTTTTGTGATAATAAGTCGCCATTAATATTCCTTCTAGCATATATTTGAAAAAAACACACAAACTTGCTTAATTTATTTCTTCCAACTCAAGATGATGACTTAAGAATGAGCAAGAAAGTAACTGATTTTTAAAGAAATTGATGCTCTGAAGAAAGCATTTTGAGAATGGAAGTTTGGAAATGTTTCCATCTTTTTAAGAATTTTGTTGTAAAACCAAAGTTATGTTATATCATCTATCAAAATTCTTAGAGCTGCACATTTACTAATGTTTAAATATCTTCTAAATGAAGATTTCTGATGAGGTCAGAACCCATTTATAAGGGCTTAAATCCATTTATGAGATTGGAAAACATTTATAAGATATATGTTTAGCTCTGATAGCCACTGAAGCCTGGTATAGAGATAAATTGAACTTAAAACCTGACCTTTACATTACTATATCACAAACTATTAAAAATTTTTTTTAAAAAGAATTATGTTTAAACCCATTGCTCTCTAATAAATGGTGAAAGCAGAAAAGTCTAAATTAAATTGTAATTAATTTAAAATTTTAAATTTTAAATTTGTAATCAAATTAAAATATTTAAATTAAATTGGATACTGTAAATTAAAATACTTTAAAGTATTTTTATTTTCTCATTATCCTTTAAAATCCCTATATTATGTATATTTTATGGTATATATTTTTAAACATATGAATATAATTAAATATAATTAATAGAATAGTTAATAAATATAATTTTATTAGATATGCATATCTTCATATAATTTTATTAATAAAAATAGGGGATCAAAATATTTAGATACTACTGGTCTATAAGATACAATGGAAAATTCCTAGTCTGGCACACAAAATTCCTCATGATCTGTCCAGTGCCTTAGTTATTCTTCTCATTCCTCATGCACACATTAGACTCCAGCCATCCAAACAACAAGTCATTGTCTGAACCTTGTGTTCCTTCTTTCCTCTCTGGGACCATGGTGCTTCCTCAATCTGGAATGTCCATTACCTCTTTCAATGGAAGAGCTTCTACTCCATCTTTTAGAGTGAAGCTTGGTTTAACTCTGGCCAGTAAGCTGCCCTGATTTCCAAGTCTGACTATGTACCCTTCCCTGTGTTCTCATTGCATCCTGGGTGAACAGTAATTAGGGTGCTGTGTTATAATAATCTGTCTCCTGTAAACTAATTGAGAATGGGGACTTTGAACAACTACTCTGTATGTTCCCCTCTTAAGATTGTACTGTATCTGGCACGTGGTTAACACTTAGCAGGTGTTTACTGAGTAGGTGGATGGGTGGATGCCTGGGTGTCCAATACTTTCTATTAATGTTCATATATATCCAAGCTTTTTGGTAAAGAGTATAAGGTCCTCGAAGGCATTATTCCTGCCTGAGGCAGCCTTACATTCCTCACAGCCTGGAGCATCCTGCTTTCCATACAGTAGGACTTAAGACATGCAGTGTCCTTTTTTAAAAGAAAAAAATAAATAAAGAATGAATGAATGATTCCATGTACTCAATTGAATCTTTGCAGTCTCTGTTCTTAAATTGTAAGGTAATGCAAAGCTATTTACATAAGAAAGTAAAGTTGAATTGGGTTGAGAATATGGAAATATTGTAATAAATTAGACATTAGGCAGGCAACCTGTGAACATTAGAAGAAATGCTTGTAACTAATGGATGAGGTTTTTCTTGATCTTGGTGAAGTTCCTGGTTTCTGGGTCATTGTTTTTACTTTAACTCCCAAGTTAAAAAGCATATGGTACTTTATATCTACTGACAATGAAAACTGTAGGAGCCATTTAAAAAAAATTGACAAGGCAAGAGAAGAAATGGAATCCAGCCTTTGAGAGGAGCACATCAGTTTCTGAGGCACTTTTCCAGTGAGCTTCTGTGCAGGAGGTCATTGAGAGGAGTCATTTGTGCTATCCACAGCCATGCCCACTACTATACTATTCAAGTGTATAGTAGGATTGTCCTCCCTGCATAATTTTTTAATTTTTAATTTTTGTGAATACATAGTAGGTGTATATATTTATGGGGTACATGAGGTGTTTTGAGGCATGCAATGTGAAATAATCACATCATGGAGAATGGGGTATCCATTCCCTCAAGCATTTATCCTTTGAGTTGCAAACAATCCAATTACACTCTTTTAGCTATTTTAAAATGTACAATCAAGTTATTATTGACTATAGTCTGTTGGGCTATCAAATAATAAGTTTTATTTCTTTTTTCTATTTTTTTCTACCCATTAACCATCCCCACCTCCCTCCTAACCCCCCACTACCCTTCCCAGCCTCTGGTAACCATCATTCTACTCTCTATGTCCATGAGTTCAATTGTTTTGATTTTTAGATTCTGCAAATAAGTGCAAACATGTGATGTTTGTCTGGATATTGATGTTACTTTTGACCAATGAAATATGAGCAGAGGTAATATGTGTCACTTCTGGGCAGAAGCTTTAAGACCATGATCAACCACAGTCTTTAAAATTTTTTCTCTCCTGTGTCACCATCATGAGTCAAGGAGCTCCTGATGAAGCCTTCTAACCAGGGTCCTTGAATCAGGATAAAATGTTATGATATCCTGCTATCACACCCCCCTCCTGTAATAAAGTGTGAATGAAAAATAAACATAAAGTGTGAATGAAAAATAAATGTTTACTGTTTTAAGCACTGAGATTTTAGGGATGTTTGTTACTATCCTGACTGGCACAATCATGAGTCCCAATTGATGTTTTCCTTATTACACTGTTGTCACTGTAGTATGAGGGTTAATATCACAGACTTTAGTGCTAGACAGCCAAGTTCTCATCTTGTTCCATCACTGACTGGCAACATGAACTTAGAGAAGTTATTTTATTTCCCTACAGATGCTTTAATCTCTGCATCGATAAAATGTTAATAACGTTGTCAAGATTAAGTGAATAAACACATGCAGGGAGTTTATAACAGTGCCTGGCCTATAATAAGGACTAGTTGCTTGTCTACTATTTATGAAGGAATTGTAGCCTGAGAAAGTAAAATGATTTTCCCTATGGCCCAGAGCTGGTAAGTAGGATTCCAGGACTAAACTGGTACTGTTGTGTTTTTAAAACCCATACTCTTTGAACATGTGATCCTGGGCACATAGTTTAATCTGACCCTGAGTTTCCATAGTTGTAAAATAAGGCACTACCTGATTGCTTCACACACAGAACTATTGTGAGCCCCGAAGGATATAATAATGGATGTTAAAGTGCTTTGCCAGCTAATGGTGAGAGACTACTAAACAGCACACGGCGCTAATGTCATTAGGCAATTAACATTATACAGAGAATGCACTGGAGCATCTTAATGAAAAGACATTTAGATGATTTTTATTTTCCTCTACAAAACAAGAAGCATAGCAAGAAGACTTCACATTTTTTTACTGCATAGCTTTTCTTTCTCTTTCATTTTGTGTCTGGGATTTGACTTAAAGATAAGAATGAAACTATATAAAAGTAATTAATAATTTACAGACATTGATACTCATTAGTAAGGCTACCCTGTGGTTGCAAAGAACCACAAACACACACAATGTATTTCAAGATCAGTTCTTGAGGGGAGGACCTCGGAGCATTCTTGAAGCTAAAATGGAGACAATTCTACTCCTAGCGACAAGTCTTGTTCAGTTCTTCCAGAGCAGAGCCCCAGGGATGTTTTGCTGTGCCTAATCAGTCACAAATTAAGAGAAAAGGACTATAGATGACATCTGCATCTTCTCTTTCTTCTCTAGACACTCGGATTCTGGAGGGCAGGGATGCCACCTTCCATTCCCACTTAGCTCAAAGCTCAGCACACAGACATAGTCAGTGCTGAAAGTTATTTATCAAGTTAATGGAGAAAGCTCAATGGCTTTCTGGGTTCACAGGCCTTTGGCTGTCCCAAGATGGATCTAAGAGTCCCAGAGAAACCACTGAGTTGCCTTAGGACCTCCTAGTTGGGGAGGGGATAACCCCCTAAACCTCCTCCTTTCAAACAGAGCAAATCTACTTTCTGTTCTTCATGGTGAGATTCCATTCAAAATTTCTTTTAAATAAAAAACACACGTAATTATCATTATTATTTTTGCTCACCTCTGTCTAGCTGGGGACAAATCATGCAACAATTAACAAACCAAAGATTGACAACATTATTTCTTTTAACTGAACTATTAAGGAAGCATGTTATAATTATAAGGTAAAAAATGAGGGACCTTAGATTTTTTCTTTCAACTTAAATGCTTCAAAGGGTTCTTTTTAGACAATTAATCCATAGGAGTTGCTAGAGGAATGACAGGACGCATAATTCAGTAGCAATCATTGATCTATACATTAGACAGGAATCCCAATGCTGTAGGGGCTAGAGCAAATTACACATATTTCCCCAGCAACACCACACAGGCATAGAACATGCATTAAAGCAGGCCCGGATCTGACATCACACTTCTCCATTTACTGCTTGTGGATGTCAGGCTAGTTGCTTTAGTCTCAGTGTCTCAGTCTTCCCAGGTGCAATGGGGAAGAGAATTGGTCCTCTGTAGAGGTGTTAGGGTGGTTCATAAAATAATGTATGTAAAACACTTAGCCTGGTGGATACTGAACACTCAAAAATAGTACCTAGTACTAACTTTTGGAAGTAATACCATTTTTCAATTGCACAGATTGAATCAGACCAATAAAATGATGAATTGATCACTTTACCTACCCTTTTCTGCTAAAACTCTGCCTACATCAACTCTATTCACACAGACATAGCTTCAACCAACCCATCAGCGGCACAGTTCTTAGGCATAAACTGGTCTAAACAGAGTGAACAATGGTTACAATTTAGGCAGAATTGATTGGGCCCCAGTCACCTGGAAAAAACGGTGCCCTTGAACATTCCAGAACAAAGGAAAGGCAAGGGAGTTAGTTATGGAGGTCAACTACGTTCATTGCCCAGGGCGTTTTGTGCAGCTATGGAATCATCTTCATAACAAACCTGGGTATCACTACCAGAGCCAGTTTACAAGTGAGAGAACTGAGTCACGAGAGGTATATTGCTTTACGTCACACAGTTATTGATGGACTAGTTAGAATTTCACCCCGGGTGTATAAGCCTGAACCCATTGGTCCATTTCTACTTCCCTGCATGGCTTCTTTAAAGGGAAATACAAAAGGAAGTATGTGGACTACTGGGGTCTGAGCTGACTCAGCCCAATATATGGACACAGTCTCTACAGATTAATCTCCAAAGCCTCCCTTCTTATAGATCTGAGTTTGCTGAGGGTACTTCAGGAGTCATTGTGGGGTAGGGACTGCCATTGTGGTGGCCATGAAGCCCAACTTTTCCTTCAACCCTGATCCATTCTATTGCCTCTGCTGGACTTTAGTGTCAGCCTGCCGTATGAAACGTAGGGTCCATCTGCTTCTTAAAATGTTTGAAAGCCACCGTGTGTTGGGAGCAAGCCCCTCAATGTCTGGCCATAAACTGGCCCCAAAACTGGCCATAAATAAAATCTCTGCAGCAATGTAACATGTCCATAATGGCCATAACGCACAAGCTGGAAGATTGTGGGTTTACGGGAATGAGGGCAAGGAACACCTGGCCCACCCAGGGCGGAAACCGCTTAAAGGCATTCTTAAGCCACAAACAAAAGCATGAGCGATCTGTGCCTTAAGGGCATGTTCCTGCTGCAATTAATTCGGCCCATCCCTTCGTTTCCCTCAAGGGATACTTTTAGTTAATTTAATATCTATAGAAACAATGCTAATGATTGCTGTTAATAAATATGTGGGTAAATCTCTGTTCGGGGCTCTCAGCTCTGAAGGCTGTGAGACTCCTGATTTCCCACTTCACACCTCTATATTTCTGTGTGTGTGTCTTTAATTCCTCTAGCACCACTGGGTTAAGGTCTCCCCGACCGAGCTGGTCTTGGCACCATGCTTACCCTGACATGAAAGTTGTGATTTCACAAAGTGCTTCCCAATTCATGTTCTCATTTTGATAGCCACAGTGACTCTGAAAGGTAGATGCCTATCAATATTATAAATTTTGATTTTATAGATGAGCAAACTGAGGCTCTGAGAGGATTAAGATGCGGTTATTACCTCTCCTGTGCTAGGCCTTTTACCTTAATAACCTCATTTCATCCTCATTTCCACCACAGGCTACATATACAGCTCATCCATTTATTCTTTCAACAAGTGTCTGTTGAAGAACTCTAAAGATATAAGCAGTGACCCAAACAGACAGATCAAGTTCTGCATTCATGGAGCTTACATCAATGTGGTTTATTCCCATTTTACAACCAAGGAAGCTGGAGCCCAGAGAGGTTAAGTCACACGGGTGTTAGGTAATGCCAGACTCCAAGCTGAATGGTGTTTGGATACTTTGCTGCTGCTTGCACTCCCTTCCAGTGGAAAGGTAATGGGGAAGACCTAACTGCACTCACATTCAAAAGCAGGGTGGATCTAGGGAGAGAAAAGTGAGAGCAATGGTGTTCTTGAAGATGAAAGCGTTGCTGACCCTTCCTGCCCTGGTGCCCCGGAATCTTAGAAGAACAATAGAGACCAAGTCAGGACAGCAGCTGTGCGCCAAGTCAGCATTTCCTTGTTGATCCCGCTCAGGGGAGTTCTGAAGTTCTGAATTCTGGATTTTTTAGGACAATTTATTTCCTGAAATGGCCCTAACTCAGGGGTGAGGGAGGCACAGGGAGTTTGTGTGTGTGTGTGTGTGTGTGTGTGTGTTGGGGGTGAAACCATTGGTGCTTCTTTTATTCCCGTTAATTTCCTCTCCTTCCTTCAAGATGCCCCTTATTGTATAGTGCATTTCCTTTTCCAACGTGCCCTCTGTCCTACCTGCCTGGAAGCACTCAGCATTCCCTAGCAGCCCACATCTGGCCCTGTAGCCTGGCCTGCTGCAGTGCTTCACTGCCTGGATTCAAAACCCCAAACATTCTGGGTTGGGGCCATCGTTTCTTTTAAATACAACTGGAATGTTTTTTGGAGTTATTACAATTTTCAAGATACATAGGGTAATACTCAGGGATAAATATTCTTATGATTCTCTGATTTTGTGTGGGTCTTAATCAACTCAGGCTGCCATAACAAAATTTATAGACTGGATGGCATAAACAAGAGGAATGTATTTCTCACAATTCTGGAGGCTGGGAAGTCTGAGATTACGGTGCTAGCAGGATCAGGTTCTGGTGAGGGCCCTCTTCCTGGCTTGCAGATGGCTGCCTTCCTACTGTGCCCCTACAAGGTGGAGAGAGAGAGCCAGCAAGCTCTCTGGGGTCTCTTCTAATAAGGGCACTAAGCCTCATTTAAACCTAATTAGATCCCAAAAGCCTCATCTCCAGATACTGTTATATTTGTGGTTAGGGCTTCAACACAGGAATTTGAGGGGGATAAAATTCAGCCCATAGCAGTGTGATTTATTAAATGAGGGAGTAAAACCTATTTTTTTAAAAAAACTATATTATGAAATATATTTTAAGAGATTATTCCCATTTTAATTAATTTAAAAATTATTTGTTTTGTTTCTTGTCAGTAAAAATAAACAATGTTGGATAAAATTTTAGATGTCAACTTAGAACTGTTTGAGGGATGTAGCTTTCAACATTATTTTAGAGAGTATGGAGCAAAGAGTTTGTAAATCACTGTTTTAAAAACCAGAATCAAACCCTTCCATTGGACAACCTCTAATCCAGTGCTATAGAAATTGTGTATCCTGGCCGGGCACGGTGGCTCATGCCGTAATCTCAGCACTTTGGAAGGCCAAGGCGGGCAGATCGCCTGAGGTCAGGAGTTTGACGCCAGCCTGGCTAACATGATGAAACCCCATCTCTACTAAAAATACAAAAATTAGCTGGGCATGGTGGCACACGCCTGTAGTCCCAGCTTCTCAGGAGTAGCTGAGGCAGGAGAATCCCTTGAACCCGGGAGGTGAAGGTTGCAGTGAGCCGAGATCATGCCACTGCATTCCAGCCTGGGCGACAGAGTGACAGTCCGTCTCCAAAAAAGAGAAAGTGTGTATCCCATTAGGTGTTCCATGAGAGAAGTCTCTGTTTAAACAGAGCTCTGTGGGACTGGTCAGTATCGCATGTCCAAACTGGGAGAGTCATTTAACCCGAAACTTCATCTACCCTTTTGCTGTTTTTTAACATGGCCCAGACACTTAACAGTTACAGGCTCATGTGGAGAGTGTGGGGAGTCCTGGCCAAAGATTTTTGTGTGCATTATTTAACTCACACTCGCACACACACACACACACACCACACACATGATGTATGTTGTGATGGGCTATGGCCAGGCCAGCTGTAGGCACATAGATACAGTGAGAGCAAGAACATGGCTCTGTGTCAACAGGAATTTCATGTAAAGGGGTTGATCTCTGAGTGCCAATGTGGCCTCTCTCCTAGCCTGCAGAAGAGTGGGTGCAGAGCTTGAGGGTTGGGTGGGTAAATGTTTAACAACTGTCTCTTTGGGAAGAAAAGGTCCTGATTTGTGATGTCTGTCAACTTCTGTGGTGTCACTATTTTTGTCATGGATGAGTTCAAGCTTCCAACTTGAGGTCAACTGGCTTGTAAAATTCCTGCAAGTTTAACAGTTGGCTTTTGCAAACAGACAGGGGCTGACCTAGGCATATCACTTTTTAAGGCTTGTGACTGGGTAGTTTTCTCCTCCTAGGGGCAGCTGAGACCACTGCAATTCACTTCCCTCTGTATGGAACAGAGAGGGACACCACAGCCCAGCCCACTTCCTGTGCCCTTACTCCTCTGTGCTTTGTGTCTTGCTTGTTTCTGTTGTGGCAATGAGCTGAAGTCACTTCAACTATCCTCCAGTATTCAAACCTGGATTAGTCCTTATGGTGTGGCCTTCCACATTATTATCCCCATTTCCTCAGGAAGAAACTGAGATTCAGCATGTTTAAAATTCTTGGAAGCAGGGCCTGGTGCAGTGGCATTTGCCTATAATCCCGGCTACTTGGAAGGCTGAGGTGGGAAGATCCCCTGAGCCCAGGATTTCCAGGCTGCAGTGAGCTATGATTGCACCACTGTGCTTTAGCCTGGGTGACAGAACGAGACTCCGTTTCTTAAAAAAAAAAAAAAAAAAAAAAAAGATTCTTAGAAGTAGAATGTAAACCAAGTTCTCCTGAATTCTAAATCCTAAGCATTTCCTATTATATCACGTGGCCTCTTCCCAGAAGTGTCACTGGGTTAGAGTGAGAACTGTGTTACATGAAGACAGTAAGCAACAGACAAACAGTGTGCCAGGGACACTGTGAGGAGCCTTCCATTTAGAACCAAAAACACCGTGATCCAAGGATGCTAATGGAATATGGCTCCACCGCATGTGGGGCTCCTGGTATTTCAAAGGGAAAGACAGCTGTGGTCACACTAGACTCCCCTGCCCACAAACCTCTAAAGGCTCTGCCACTTATCCAATGAAGTGAAAGTGTTTTTACTATTACTAAGTTGGTGCAAAAGTAATTGCGGTTTTTGCCATTAATACATTTTGATAGTCACCCTGACTCATCTCCATATATTCTAACTCTGAGCTTTTGCAGATGTTATTGCCTAAGGGAGGGAGGAACACTGTGATTTTTAATTTTATGTGTCAATTTGGTTAGGCCTTTGTATCCAGATATTTGGTCAAA
The DNA here is from genome assembly GCF_000001405.40 of Homo sapiens. Classification (NCBI taxonomy): domain Eukaryota; kingdom Metazoa; phylum Chordata; class Mammalia; order Primates; family Hominidae; genus Homo; species Homo sapiens. Next base: position 130,920,707 of record NC_000008.11, read on the forward strand.
CACCAGGCTAGATGTTGCTGGGAAGGTGTTTTTTTAGGTGAGATGAACATTTAAATCAGTAGACTGAGTAAATCAGATTACCCTCCACAATGTGTGTGGGCTTTACACAGTTGAAGGCCTTAAGAGAAAAATTACTGCTGTTCCCCAAGGAAGATGAAATTCTGAATCCAGCCTGCTTTTGGACTCAAGCTACAATATCAACTCTTCCCTGGATCTCCAGCCTGCTGGTCCACCCTGCAGATTTTAGACTTAACTAGCCTCCACAATTTTGTGAACCAATTTCTTAAAACAAATTTTTATAAGTAATACACACCCTGTTGGTTCTGTTTCTCCAGAGAACCCTAACACAAACACCTTCCTGTCATCTCTACCTGTCAATACTTTTCCTTTTTGAAATAACATTTTCTTTTCTAGTTCTATTAGTTATACATGATTATTCCCAAATATTAAAAAATATAGTAAAGAATAAAGAAGAAAATTAAAACTACTCAATTTCATCACAGAGCTTTATGTCCTTTCTTTTTATAAAAATAGATGTATTAAGAAGTGGAGGTTCCCATTCCAGCAGGGGTAGCTAAAAATAAATAAAAAATTAAAAAAGCTGAAGTTGGTTTAAATATGTGTGCATGTGTGTATGTGTGTATTCTACTATGTATACTTTAAATGCATGAGCATTTTTCATGCCATTGAATATTAATGTAAACCATGATGTTTAATGGTTATCCATTTTTCTTTTTCTTTTCTTTTTTTTTTTTTTTTTTGAGACAGAGTTTTGCTCTTATTGCCCCGGCTAGGGTAGTGCAATGGCATGATCTTGGCTCACCACAACCTCTGCCTCCCGGGTTCCAGCAATTCTCCTGCCTCAGCCTCCCTAGTAGCTGGGATTACAGGCACGCACCACCATGCCTGGCTAATTTTGTATTTTTAGTAGAGATGGGGTTTCTCCATGTTGGTCAGACTGGTCTCGAACTCCCGATCTCAGGTGATCTGCCTGCCTTGGCCTCCCAAAGTGCTGGGATTACAGGTGTGAGCCACTGCACCTGGTCGTTACCCATTTTTCTATTTTTTACATATGCCAGAATTTATATAATCATTTCCGTACCTTTGAACATTTATGGCATCAGATGGTGCTGTGGTTTGAATATGTCCCACATATTTCATGTATTAGAAAGTCTCCAAGTGGCAGTATTGAAAGGGGGCTTTTAAGAGGTGATTGGATCATAAGGGATCTGCCCTTATGAATGAATGATTCCATTCACAGATTAATGGATTCATGGGTTAATGGATTAGTGGGTTATCATGGCAGTGGAACTGGTGGATTAATAAGGAGAGGAAGAGGCTTGAGCCAGCACATTAGCTCACTCAACCCCTCATCATAAGATGCCCTGTGCCTCCTTGCGCTTTCACAGCGAGTCTCCAGCAGCAGTAAGTCTCTCACTAGATATGGTCCCTCAGCCTTGGACTTCTCAGCCTCTAGAACTATAAGAAATAAATTCCCTTTCTTTTTTTTTTTTTTTTTTTAATTGATCATTCTTGGGTGTTTCTCACAGAGGGGGATTTGGCAGGGTCACAGGACAATAGTGGAGGGAAGGTCAGCAGATAAACAAGTGAACAAAGGTCTCTGGTTTTCCTAGGCAGAGGACCCTGCGGCCTTCCGCAGTGTTTGTGTCCCTGGGTACTTGAGATTAGGGAGTGGTGATGACTCTTAACGAGCATGCTGCCTTCAAGCATCTGTTTAACAAAGCACATCTTGCACCGCCCTTAATCTGTTTAACCCTGAGTGGACACAGCACATGTTTCAGAGAGCACAGGGTTGGGGGTAAGGTCACAGATCAACAGGATCCCAAGGCAGAAGAATTTTTCTTAGTACAGAACAAAATGAAAAGTCTCCCATGTCTACCTCTTTCTACACAGACACGGCAACCATCCGATTTCTCAATCTTTTCCCCACCTTCCCCCCTTTCTATTCCACAAAACCGCCATTGTCATCATGGCCCGTTCTCAATGAGCTGTTGGGTACACCTCGCAGACGGGGTGGTGGCCGGGCAGATAAATTCCCTTTCTTTAGGCATAGTCTGTTTCAAATATTCTGTCAGTAAGCAACAGAAAACGGGCTAATAAAGATGAACATGATTCAGAGCCTTTGCTATGTCACTTACAAGCTGTGTGTCATTGGTCAGAAGATGTTTTTATTCTATCAGAGCTTGAGTTTCATTTGGAAATTGTTCTTCACAGAGTTTTGGTATTTGTGAAGTAATTCAGGTAGATTATTTAGTATAGTGCCTGGCACATGGCAAACATTCTATCAATATTAGTTTATCAACAATTATTTCTAGATATATTCAATTTTCATTATTACAAATAATTTTGCTAAAAATAAAAATTTCTGTCCATGTACTGAACATCACTCTAATTGAAGCAGGCTTATGAGTGCTGAATTTAATGACATTTTGGAACAGAGTGAGACAAGGGATTTTTGGGGGAAATAAAGAAAGGGAAAGAGAGAGAGAGAAAGAGAGAAAAGAAAAGAGGGAGAAGAAGTGACGAAGGGAAGGAAGGAATAGACAGAAAAAAATAGAAAAAAATAAAATGTAACAAAGAGAGAAATAAAAAGGAAAGGAGGCTGGGAGGCAGGTTTAGGCATTCTTGCCTTCAGTAAAAACAATATAATTTCTGTTTTTCGTTTCTTGTCCTGCCATATTGCTTGGCAGGGTGACCCTGCCACAAGGATTAAGACCTTTACTCTGATTAACTGTTGGGGACAAACCAGTTACTACTTGGCATTCTGCTGTCATTCCTATGACTTTTTTAGCAATTGCACTGAAAAGACCAAGCTCTGCAATTTTCATTAAGATTAATCAAGAACAACTTTTGCAGATCATTAATAAACATTGCATATGACAGAGCCCAGTGTCAGCCCTGGCATCTTCTCAACGATCAGGACTCCCCAAAACAGACATAGAATATGTGAAGAGAAGCCACCTGGAGCCACTTTTCAATCTATGTAATAGAATCTATTATATAAACCTATTTTAATTAATTTAATTTTATGAACAGACATGCATGAGATGACATTAAGTGTTTCATTGGAAATAAAATTACATTCAATCTCTTTTTTGCCATTCATCTAGCTAATATCATGTTTCTAAAATTAAGTATTTTTGGTGGATTGAATTTACTATGAGGCTGTTTTGATTAGGGCTTATTATCTTGTTATTCTTAGATGTTTATTGACTGACATTTTCCTCTTTCAATATCAGTTCTGCTAAAGTATTAGAAATGTACCAATGTATGTAGGATCTCCTAAACTATATGTTGATCCTTTGGGTATTGATGGCAAATTTCAGGCATCAGTAGCAATTGCACAAATCTGGAGTTGGGAGGTGGGCTACCATGATGACTAAGATAGACGGCTTTGAAGTCAGATGATTCCAGAATTGGTCCCCTTGTGCTGCCACTGACTAGTCATGTGATCTAGGTGGAGGTAATTATACAACCTCTGTTAGCTTGTATGGCAGAGGCACCTGACAGCCATAACTGAAGCATACCCTGAGGGTGACCCTATGGTCTAAGAAGAGCGTTAGTTTGGAGTTCCAAGCTAAGGAATCTGAGAGTGGCCAACATGGAGATCCACTGCTTATCCATGAAGAACAGCCAAACCTCTGGCTCATTCCCCTGGCACACAGGCTGTAAGGGGACTGACGCCCTTTGCTTTGGATGAAATGGGGGTTGCTAGGTAGAGAGCACTAAGTAAAAATGCTGTATAAACAGCATACTTTTTACAAATGGTAGTTGTCTTCTTGTGCAGGGTGCCACCACTAGACCACCCCATATGTAATTTCCCCCTGTAAACCCTATGTCTTATTTGCTGTCTCTAGGTCTCATCTTCAGCCTGAGACACCGTACCATCCCTACTGGATGCAATAGGGGTCCAGCACTACACAGCTCCAATTTTCTCATTGGTAAAGTAGGAGCCCACTTCCAGACCTTCCATTAGTTAGGACAAACCTGTCTAGCTATATTGTTTGTTGTTTGCATCCATTCTCATTGTTGCTCTAAACTAGTCTGATTTGTCCATGCTGCAGACATACTTAGTTCTTCAGTATTTGGCCTATCACCCCGCCTATCTTCTAGAATTTTTATGAGGACTTAATGAGCCAATACATGCAAGACATTTATCTCAGTATCTGGGATATAGTTAGTGTTTAAGAAACTCAAGCGTCCGGGCACGGTGGCTCACACCTGTAATCCCAGCACTTTGGGAGGCTGAGACAGGTGGATCACAAGGTCAGGAGATAGAAACACAGTGAAACCCAGTCTCTACTAAAAATACAAAAAAAAAAAAAAAATTAGCTGGGCCTGGTGGCATGCGCCTGTAGTCCCAGCTACTGGGGAGGCTGAGGCAGGAGAATTGCTTGAATCCGGGAGGTGGGGGTTGCAATGAGCCAAGATCGCGCCACTGCACTCCAGCCCGGGTGAGCAGAGTGAGACTCTGTCTCAAAAACAAAACAAAAAACAAAACAAAACAAACAAAAAGAAACTCAAACTGCTATCATTATTTTATGGGCATAGAATAGAAGCCATGGTAAAACAATAGGTTTCTGTAACTCAACTGCATCAAATTTTCCAGGACCCAAACTCAGCCTCCCTTGCAATATTCTATTAAAAATATTTCCATAGTGATAACATGCATGCTACCTATTTGAATTTTCCTATTTGAAATTGGGATCTTATTATCCTCATTTTGCAGACGAGGCCATGGAGGCTATAAGTTAAGTCACCCACCCATCATTACAGACCTAATTACAGGAAGAGGCAGGAAACAGGGTAGGTCTGTTGCTGCCTGTCAAGGGCCCCCCAACCCATCCCACTCACTCAGCATATTTTCTATGTCACCTTACAGTACAATAGGCACTCTTTCAGGGAAGCTTTGTCACAATCACATCCAGCAATGAATTATAATTTTAATAAAATGGAATCCTGACTGGAATTCTTGGAGTAGTCAATTGAAAATTAGTTTAATGTCATGATAAATGTTTGGTTTAATTAAAATTTGTATGTCACATATTGTCTGTTGGGTGACTCTTGGAACTCAGCTTTGATGTGTTATCATCCCATCCTTTCTATTTCACAGCTGCTGCTCTATTTCAGATCCTTACTTCTCTCCCCTGGATTAGTATGAGAATATCCCCAAACCAGTTTCCTTCCCTTTGGCCTCTGCTCCTCCATTCCAGTGTCAAGGGGAGAGAGAGTTATCCCTCTCCACAGTCATCTTCCTGACATCCAGATCTGACCATGTCACTTCCCTACTTTAAGAGTCAGTGACTTTTCATTGCCTGAGGGATAAAGCCCCAGCGTATCGTACCCTAACCCTATTGTTTTAATTTAGAATTGTGGTAATCACCAAGGTCAGCTTCAATGCTTAACACACACACATGCACATACATACAAACACATATAAACACACACATATATACCACACAGGTACATACATTTACACTCATACATACATATGTACACACATACACTAATGCACACATACATGTGGCTTTTGCCATTCTTAACAGCTAGCATGACTCATTGTTCAAGCCTTTGTTTCCAGGAAAAAAAAAAAAACCTTTGGTTCTTGGTTTAAAAGGCTACTGTGCAAACAGCTCAGTAAAAGGCAAATGACAGGGAAAAAGGTTTCCCTCATACTCGTACTTTTGATTGACTTGACTCTTGCCCACTTTGCATTTAAAAAATATTTTTTATTTTATTTTTTGTACATTGACAGGTAAAATTGTATATATTTGTTGCATACCACACGAAGATTTGAAACATATATACATTGTGGAATCTAGCTAATTAACACATGTATTACCTCACAGTTATCATTTTTATGGTGAGAACACATGACATCCAGTCTCTTACCATTTTTCAAGAATAAAATATATTGTCAACTATAGTCACCAAGATGTATAATAGGTCTTTTGAATTTATTTCTCCTATCTAATTGAAATTTTGTATCTTTTGATTAACATCTCCTCAACCACACTCCAACCACCCCTAGACCCTGATAATCACCACCTCTACTTCTATGGGTTAGCTTCTATAGCTTCCACATAGGAGTGAGATCACGAGGTATTTATCTACCTGTGCTTAGCTTATATTTTTTAACATAATGTCCACGTTCATCTATATTATTGAAAATGCCAGGATTTCCTTCTTTATGGTGTAATAGTATTCCATTACATATATATATATATATATATACACACACCACATTTTTCTTTATCCATTTCATCCATTGATGGACATTCAGGTTGATTGCATATCTTGGCTATGGTAAATAATGCTGCAATAAACATGGGAATGCAGATATTTCTTCAACATACAGATTTCATTTCCTTTGCATAACTACTCAGTAGTGGAATTATTAGACATATGGTAGTTCTATTTTTTAAGTTTCTGAAGAACTGCCACTGTTTTAAATAATGACTGTATTAATTTACATTTCCACCGGCAGTGTTCAAAGTTTCCTTTCCACCACCTCCTGGTCAATACTTGTTATCTCTTGACTTTTTGATAGCAGCTATTCTAATAGGTGTGAAGTGATATCTCATTGTGGTTTTTATTTGCATTTCCCTGATGATTAGTGATGTTTAACTTTTTAAAAAATATACCTGTTGGCTTGTATACCTTCTTTTGAGAAATGTATATTCAGGTCCTTTGCCCATTTTAAAATCAGGTGATTGATTTTCTTGCTATTGAGTTGTTGGAATTTCTTATATATTTTGGATTTTAACCTTTCATCAGAAGTATAGTTTACAAGTATTTTCTCCCATTCTGTAGTTTAGGTTCACTATCTTAATCGTTTCTTTCGTTATGCAGAAAGTTTTTAGTTTTTCAGATAGTTTGCTGTTAATATATAGAAATGCTACTTATTTTTGTATGTGGATTTTATATCCTGCAACTTTACTAAATTTGTTTAATTCTAACCATTTTTTTTTTGGTGGAGTCTTTAGGGTTTTCTCTATATAAAATCATGTCATCTGCAAACAGAAACAATTTAACTTGTTCCTTTCCAATTTAGATGCCTTTTAATTCTTTCTCTTGTTTGACCGCTCTAGCTGGGACCTCCAGTACCTATATTGAATAGAAGTGGCAAGAGTGGACATCCCTGTCTTTTTTCAGATCTTAGAGGAAAAGATTGCAACTTTTTATTGTTTAAAAAATTTGTTTTAATGACAGGGCCTGCTCTGTTGCCCAGGCTGGTGTGCAGTGGCACAATCATAACTCACTGCAGCCTGAAACTCCTGGTCTCAAGGACTCCTCCCACCTCAGCCCTCTGAGTAGTTACGGGATTACCAGTGCCACTATGTCCAGCTTGGGGGAGGTCAATTTGAAGAACCAAAGCAGTCACCTGTGGCTGCCGAAGAGAATACAGTGGTGCTAACACAGCAACCTCAAATTCCTGGGCTCAAGTGATCTTCCCTCCTCAGCCTCCCAAGTAGCTAGGACTATAGGCATGTGCAACCACACCCACATAATTTTTAAATATTTTGTGGAAATGAGATCTTTCTATTATTGCTCAGGCTAGTCTCATACTCCTGACCTCAAGCTATCCTCCCACCTTGGCCTCACAATGTGTTGGGATTACAGGTGTGAGCTGCTGCACTTGGCCTAACTTTTTCTTATTGAGTATGATATTAGCCCTGGGTTTGTCATATACATGGCCTTTATTATTTTGAGGTACATTCTTTCTCTAATTAATTGAGAATTTTCATCATGAAAGGATGTTGGATTTTTTCAAATGCTTTTTCTGCATCTATTGAAATGATCATGTGGTTTTGTCCTTTATTCTGTCATTGTGATGTATCACAGTTATTGATCCATGTATGTTGAACCATCCATGCATCCTGGGATGAATCCTACTTGAGCATGGTGAATGATCCCTTTAATGTGCTGTTGAATTTGTTTTTCTAGAATTTTATTGCATATTTTTCTTTATCAGGAATAAAATCAGGAATATTTTTGTAATTAATCAGGAATATTCTGTAATTTTCTTTTTTCTAGTGTCTTTGTCTGGCTTTGGTCTCTGGATGATGCTAGCCTCATAAAATGAGGGTGGAAACAGTTTTCCCTCTTCAATTTTTTGGAAGAGTTTGAAAAGAATTGATATTCTTCTTTAAATTTTGATAGAATTCACAGTGAAACCATCAGGTCCTGGGCCTTTTTTTAGATGAGAGACTTTGTATTACTGACTCAATCTCCTTACTTGCTATTGGTCTATTAAGATTTTCTATTTCTTCATAATTCAGTTCTGGTAGATTGCATGCATCAAATGAATTTATTCATTTTATTTTATTTGTTTTTTTCTTAATTAGTCCAGCAATAGGTCTTTCAACTTTATCTTTTCAAAAAAAATCAACTCTTGGTTTTGTTTATTTTTTCTAGTCTATTTCTGTCCTGATTTTTATTATTTTCTTTCTTCTACTAACTTTGGACTTAGTTTGTTCTTGTTTTTCTAGTCCCTTGAGGTGCAATGTTAGGTTGTTTATTTGAGATCCTCTTTTTTGATGCAGGTGTTTATTATTGTAAACTTCCCTTATATAACTGCCTTTGCTGTATCCCATAAGTTTGTTGTTTTCCAATTTTGTCTCAAGAAATTTTAAAATTTTCCTTTAAGTTCCTTCATTGATCCATTGGTTGTCCAGGAGCATGTTGTTTAATTTCAATGTATTTGTGAATTTTGTGAAGTTCCTCCTGTTATTAATTTCTAGTGTTATACCCTTGTGGTCAGAAAATATACTTTATATGATTTGAATCTTCTTAAATTTGTTAAGATTTGTTTATGTCCTAACATATGAGCTATCCTCGAGAATCTTTCATGTGAAATTGAGAATAATGTATATTCTGCAGCTATTGAATGAAATGTTCTATATATGTCTATTAGGTCCACTTATTTGAGAGGATAGCTTAAGTCTGATGTTTCCTTATTGATTTCCTATGTGGATAATCTGTGTACTGCTGAAACTGGGATGTTGAAGTCCTCTACTATAGTTATAATATAGTATTATCTTTCCCTTCATATCTATTAATATTTGCCTTGTATTTTTAGGTACTTTGATGTTGGGTGCAGATAAATTTACAATGTTATATCCACTTGCTGAATCATCCCTTTATCATTACATAATGACTTTCTTTGTTCATTTTCATAGTTATTAATGTAAAGTGTATTTTATCTTGCATAAGTATAGGTATTCCTGCTTTCTTTTGTTTTTTATTTGCAGGTAATACCTTTTCTATCCTTCACTTTCAATCTATGTGTGTCCTACAGGTAAAGTGAGCCTTTGTAAGCAGCATATAGTTGAGTCTTGTTTTTCATCCATTAAGGCACTCTACATTTTTTGATTCTAGAATTTAATGCATTTACATTACATGTAGAGACTTGTTAATTGTTTTCTAGTTGTTTTGTAGATCTTGTGTTACTTCTTCCTTTCCTTTTGTCTTCCTCTGAGGTTAAGTGATTTTCACTAGTGTTATATTTGGATTCCTTCTTCTACATTTTTTTTTTTTTTGAGATGGAGTCTCGTTCTGTCACCCAGGCTGGAGTGCAGTGGCACAATCTCAGCTCACTGCAAGCTCCATATCCCAAGTTCACGCCATTCTCCTGCCTCAGCCTCTCAAGTAGCTGGGACTACAGGCACCTGCCACGAAGCCTGGCTAATTTTTTGTATTTTTGGTAGAGACAGGGTTTCACCGTGTTAACCAGGATGGTGTCGATCCCCTGACCTCACGATCCACCCACCTCAGCCTCCCAAAGTGCTGGGATTACAGGTGTGAGCCACCGCGCCCAGCCTCTTGCTTCTATTTTTTGTGTATTTACTATAGGTTTTTGCTTTGTGGTTACCATGAGGCTTACAAAAACATCTCATATTCATAACAGGTTATTTTAAGCTGATGGCAACTTAACTTTGGTCACACACACACACCCTACTGTATATTTTTAATCCACTTCTCTCCAGCATTTTCTATTTTTATATCAATATTTACATTTTAATATTGTATATTTCTTAACAAATTAATGTGGGTATTATCATTTGTAGTAGTTTTGTTTTTTTATCCTACATTACAAAGATATAAGTAATTTACATCTTTTTCCAAGTTTGAAAAGTTTTCTGCTACTATTTTTTAAAATAAGCTTTCTACCCTTTTATCTTTCTGTTCTCCTTCTAAAACCCACAGGACTTGAATATTTGCTCTTTTGGAGTTGTCCCATAAATCCTGTATTACTATAATATTAGAATATTCTGAATTTTACTTTGTACTTATTTTTACCAGTGAGTTGTACTTTCAAATGTTTTTATGATACTCATTAGCATCCTTTTCTTTCAGCTAGAACTTCCTTTAGCGTTTCTTATAAGACAAGTCTGGTGGTGATGAATTCCCTCAGCTTTTGTTTGTCTGGAAAAGTCTTAATCTCCCTTCATTTCTAAAGGACAGTTTTGCTAGGTATAGTATTTTTGTCTGGCAGGTTTCTCATTTCCCTTCAGCACTTTGAATATGTCTCCCACTTTCTCCTAGCCTGTAAGGTTTCTGCTGAGGATTCTGATGTTAACCATATTGGGACTCCTATATATGGTATTTGCTTCTTATTGTTGTTGTTGCTTTCAGGATCTTCTTTTTGTCTTTGATTTTAATAGTTTGATTATTATGTTTCTTTGGCTATTCTTATTTGGGTTGAATCTGATTGGAGATCTTTGACTTTCATGTACCTGGATATTTACACCTTTTTCCAAGTTTGGAATGTTTCCTGCTACTATTTGTTTAAATAAGCTTTCTACCCCTTTATCTTATTTTTCTCCTTCTAAAGCCCCCATGACTTGAATATTTGCTCTTTTGATGTTGTCCTATAAATCTTGTAAGCTTTCTTTATACTTCTTTATTCTTTTTTCTTCTTTGACTGTATATTTTCAAATAACCTGTGTTGGTGTTCACAATTTCTTTCTTCTGCCTGAGAAATTCTGCTGTTGATGTTCTCTATTGCAGTTTTCATTTTGGTTATTATATTTTTTGGCTCCAGATTTCTTTTTAAAAATTATTTTCAATCACTCCATTAAGTTTCTTGTTCTGGTCACTTATTATTTTCCTCATTTTATTAATTTTTTTTTGCATTTTCTTCATGTTTGCTGGGATTCCTTAAAATAGTTATTTTGAAATATTTGGCAGGTAGTTCACACATCTTCATTTCTTTAGGTTCAGTCACTGGTACCTTATTTTATCTCTTAGTGATGTCATATTTCCCTGATGATTTTTGACCTTCATCATTGTGCCTCAATCCCTGCTCAGTTGAATAAGTAAGTCCTTATTATAGTCTTCACAGACTGGATTTTCCTGGGAAAGCACTACGGCAGGTGTGGTACTGGGGCATGCCAGAAGCCTGGGGCAGCTGCAGCCAGAGTGACATTGCTAGAAACATGGTATCTACTACATGGGTATTACTTCTGGGTGGGCCAGAAGCCTAGGACCACTGAGGCTTTCCCATTGCTAAGGGATGTCCAGAGCCCAGGTCCACTAATGTCAACCTAATAGTGGTGTGTGCCTGAGATCAGACTGGCCAAGCAAGCCTGTAGCCTTGAGCTGTGTGGTCCTATCTGCCATCGGGGCGTGTGTAGAGGCTTAGTCTGTGGGTACCAGCCTGGTATATGGGATCATGAGGGTCTGCCTAGTGCTGGGTTTTACTGTGGCAGGCCCAGTGTTGGGGTCCAAGTCAAAGTCCTATGCCCACTTCCTTCTCTTTTCCCCAAATGGATGGTATATTTTTCTGCACTGTGCTGCTTGGGATGGGGGAAGGATGATATGGGTAATATAATATAAATTTGTCCTGCCTACTCCATTTAATGTGCCTTTTATTATTATTGTGCTACAGCTGAGTATTATGACATCTCACCTGATTTCCTTAGCTCTTTTGAAGCTATTTTCACATATGAATACTTGCTCAAATTGATGTTTCTGTTAGAGAATAATCACAAGAGAGTCCTATTTCATTAACTGGCTTTACTACTCCTCACCCTCTTTGAAACCTGCCAATGCACTAACTAGCAGTGGACGACCCTGGCCTTTCGTGATATTGGCACCCTATCCTACCCATATCTATGGTTGTAGAGGATTTCTATCACATGTTTGGAATGATCAGTGAGTAAGAGACTAGGGTCATTTTGAGTGTTGGTTTGCCATTTGCACAAAAATTATAGATCTCACCTAAACAAGGAAATTATTGGAGTTGTTAGGTACAGTGACTAAAAATCCAAATGCCATCTTACCAACAGAGCACTGGCCCCTTGTTGTCTTTCTGCACTCTGGGGATTGATGGTATCCTAACTTTGAGAAAATGCCAGAAATAGGGACAAGGAGAGCTGCTGAAAGGGAAAGACAAAACCTCAAACAGGGGTCCATTTCTGACAGCAAATAAAGAGGGTCAACACGAAATTTGGGGACACCAGTAAACAAATGTTATATTAACATATAACATTATGATATATGCAATATAATATTATGAACATTTCCAGTCTTTATGGCTTCTATCAAGTTTTCAAATTGGAACAAGCAACTTTGCAGCTGAATAAAAAATTCCATCTTGTGTAAGCAGTAATTGGTTAAGATTATTAACTTTTTGATAAAGCTATGTAACTGGCATTTTCTTCTAAACACATTAAGGTGCAAATATTGTTCACCAGCCATTCCTCAGAGTGAAATATTTGGCAGTAAGACTGGAAACTATAGAAGTCTGAGCCAATTGCAACCAAGGTTTATCTAATTCCAGGGCTCCTATTAATTCCTTTTTAGCATGCTTTCTTGCTAACTAGAATAATTAATACTGGACCTCATGTTACTTAGATTAGAATCAAGGAGTTGTTTGGATATCAACAGATTTTGATTCATACAGTTTGAAAAAGACTTTGAATCATTTCTCACTGTTCAATTTCAAAACTCCAGAAAGGAGATCTTAAATTCAATAAAATGATCAGGAAGAATAAGGTCCTCTCCAGAAAGAGAAATAATAATGCTCTAAGTATCTTAAAGTATTTGATTATAGATGCTCATTTATTTTCCAATGTTATCTCTGTAACATATCTTTTACTTAAGGCTAAGATACAAATCCTTATGGAAAGTCTGTAGAAAGTTTTGCTGCTTAAACTCTGATGTTTATGTGGCTATAAATCACAGATTTTCAGAACTGGTGGAGACTTCAAAGTTGTCTGATCTGATTTTTTCATTTTGTAGGCAATAAATTTAATTGTTCCCCTAAAGGACACCCATGTACAAAGACCTCCAGGTGACATGTTTATCACTGTATTTCTAGGGCTTAGCCCAGTTCCTGACACATAGTGGAGCTCAATAAACATTTGTTGATGGGTTTACTGATTGACAGAATAAGGCTCACACACCTAATTAGTTGTAGAGATCTCTGATCTTCTGGGTGTCAGTCTGTGTTAGTCTGTTCTTGCATTGCTATAAAGAACTACCTGAGACTGGGTAATTTATAAAGAAAAAAGGTTTAATTAACAAGTAGTTCCACGGGCTGTACAGGAAGCATGGCTGCGAGGCCACAGGAAACTTACAATCATGGCAGAAGGTAAAGGGGAAGCAGGCACATCTTACATAACAGAGAAGGAGGAAGAGAGCAAAGAAGGAGGTGCTACACACTTATAAACAACCAGCTCTCATGAGAACTCACTCACTATCATGACAACAGCAATGGGGAAATCCACCCCCATGATCCAATTACCTCCCATTAGGCCCCTCCTCCAACACTGAGGATTACAATTTGACATGAGATTTGGGTGGGAACACAAATCCGAACCATATCGCAGTCCCATTGTCCCCCTTTACACCAGTTAAAGTATTATTACAATTCATCCTAGTTTTCAGGGAAAAACTCTCAAGTGTCCAAATTAGCAGTTAAAAAACATCTGCAGCCTTTTCCATTAACCAAAACCCAAACAAAAGGGAACTCTGTGTTGGAACCCATAGATTCCTCTCTCCATAGTTCCTAAAGTGGAGTACTTCCGCATCTCTACAGAAGACAGGGAGATAGTAGAGAGGACATCTTGGGTCTCTTTATCTACCTACCTACTTGGTATTAGGGACAGTAAAGGGTTTGGTTTCCATCATACACTTCACAGAAAAGTACCATAAATTCTCATCCCACTTGTACATCTCCCGATTCCATTTTTTTGGCTTTATGGGAGACTTTCAGATAAATCCCTTAAATGAGGCATAAGGCCTCTGAAATTGTTACTCAAAATTTTTTCTTTCCATAGGATCAATGACATAAGAAGACTGTGACAACTGGATATTTTTCTTGAGATATGATAAAGCTCTACATGTGCCTTTCCAGAGGTAGGCTGCTGTCACTATGGACACATGCCTTCTGCTGATGGAAAGGTACTAAAAAGATTTTGGAAATTCCTAGTCTCTTTGCCCTGTGCTGGAATGGTAATCCAGCTGTCTTCGAAGAGGCTTGGATGCATGCAGAATTACTCTGGATCCACTTTGATCATCAAGCTGGCCAGCCCAGCCTAATGTAGTCTGGGGCGGTAGCCTAATGTAGGGCAGGAAAGCTTGGCCAGATAATGCTTAAAATTCTATTAAGAGATGGCGTAAAGGGAGAAAGAAGGTTTTTAGAGTGCTTTTGTCTCCTGCTCCTCAGATTCCTTCTCTTCTGAAAGAATAAAAATATGATGCTACCCAGACAAGGAAAGAATCCCAAATTTTGACGTTAAGACACCCAGAACCATGACCTCTGTGTCCCTCCTGACAGTCCACCTCCCTGTGCCTGGTCTGGTGAGTTCCTGCTGCTCCTTTTTGCAAGACAATGTGCTACAGCAACTGCACACCCTACTCAACTGTTTGCAGAAGACAGCAAAGGCCCTGCAGTTTACAGACAGCACTCCACTTGAAGACTGTTGAGTGACCATCTTTGCTACACAGCTTTCATTTAGAGGCTGTACGCCTATTGCCCACTGCCTTCTTTCAACCAAACGTGGTTTTTCCTCATGGTAGCTTCTGGGAGAATATGACGTTTGCTAGTTTGTTTCCTTTGTGAAAACTGGGTTGTCTGTGGAAATATCTTTTACTGCAGGTGGGAAAACTTCATGTGAAAAGTTCATATCTGTGAAGCTACATTTTGAGAAACTCTCTATTATACTGATTTTTCCATGGTATGCTCTGATTCCACCTTTAAAATCTCTCTAAAGACAGTGGTTTTCAAGGCTGGCTGTACCTTTGTCTCATGGAAGAAGCTTACAAACAGCCCATGGTCTTCCCTAGATCAATTAAGTCTGAGTTTTTGAGGGTGTTAGTCACCCAAGCACTGACATGTGTGTGTGTGTGTGTGTGTGTGTGTGTGTGTGTGTATTTCTGCCTATGCATCCTCTTGTTACTGCTTTTGCTGTGGCTTTGTGAGGACGTGACACTTAGAGGCTCTGCAACCAGTTTGGACCTCAAGGGGAGTGCTGACAATACTAAGATTCTGTCTGAAAGCCACACACAGCCTAGTTCCAGAGTCCTCAACCCCAATAATTCCTTCCCCCTTGATCCATCATCTGTTTGTCAGATATGCTGAATAAAACCAAAAGCACTTGCCACACATCCATGAAGCCAACCCTGGTGGCAGCCTTCTAGTAATTTCCTATTGGCCATAGGATAAAGTGCAACCTCTTAACATGACTGAGAAGGTCATATGGGCTCTGGCTGCTGCCAGCCTACAGTCCATCTGTCACTACTCTTTCCACCCCAGGCTTCACAGTAGCCATTGCAGCACATCCTGGTTTCTGTACATGTCCATCCTCTCTTGAAAACTCTCCCCTCCACTTCCAAGATCCTGTCAATGTCCACCCACCTTTCAGTCAACAGCTTAGACATTTCTATTCCGGAAAGCCTTCCCCAACATCCTACGTTGAATTAACTTCCTCCTCTATTTTCCCCAAGCACTTGGATTTGATTTATCACAAAGCTTATTGTTCTGCATTGAAATTTTTTATTCATTCATTCATTCTTTCATTCATCTCTCTCTCTGCACTGTAACATCCCTGAAGGTAAGGACTATGCTCATCTTGTTCCTTGCTGCATCTCCACAAGGGCATTTGTAATACAAACTTGTAGCACAAATAATTAAAAGTGAGGTAAACTTAGAAAACAATGATGCTAACAGGTTCATTGGTTTATATGGGAGAACTAAGGGGCACACAGTTTTTGTGAAATAAGTCAAAAGGTTCTGCCTTTCACCATACATATGATTTACCACAAAGGGTAGGTGAAGTGGCCTGTGATCGTGCACATTGAAGACCCAGGTAACATGATGGGGATCACAAATTACCTGATGGTTTTGATCATGCTGAGACCCATTTCAACACAGCAGTGGGCATGGTCCTGGCGGGGCTCAGGAAGTCCAGACACGCAGTAGTAGCAGTCCCCCAGGATTTTAATACGAAGGCAGTGATGCTCCTGGAAGGAACAGGATAAGAGGGAAAGGTCTATGTCAGCAGAAGGATCAGTTCTTCAGAAAGGCTTGAGAAAGAGGCGAGCAGGGTTAGGTGGTCTGCAACTTGGGGTAAGGAGAACCTACCTTTGAAATATACTTCTACCTGTCTTTCTAAAATATTTGAGGTGTAACCTAAATGGGGGTTTGAAGGACCCAGAGGTGGAATGGAATCATAAAGAAATTAGGTTTTGAGCTCAAAAGCTACATGGTTATATCCAAGCTTTGCTATATACTAGCTCTATGGTCTGCACACCTGTCACTTGGTCAGGCCTGACAGAGTGCTCATAGTATCTCCTACAAATTCAGCCCCAAGCAATGTCTCTCTTCTCAAAAACAGCTGTGAATTAACAGCTTTCATCAGTCTTTAGCTTAATAGTAAGCACTTAAAAATGTACATCACTTAGGAATTCCTATTACTTCAACTCTATAAAGTTCCTTTCCAGCAAGGACATTTGCACTTTATGAGGAGGAACTAAGTCTTCTTATATATCCTTTTATTCGTTTATTAATTTATATGTTTGTTCATTGAAAAAATTAAAAATCAATTGGGCACCTATAATAAGGCAAACATTGTCCCTAACCCAAAGATGACTAATAATAGCTCCTATTATGCACTATAAATAAAACAGAGTTAATCCTCACAACAACCCTCTAAGGTGGGTTGTTTTTTATCTCCATTTCACCGGTGAGAAGTAGTTGTTAGTTTGGTGGATTCCCAATCTTAAAGACACAACTCTTACAAAATTTCAAAGAACAACAAGCATTAAGAAAATAATGCATGCTTTTATATTGGATAGGAAGCAGCTAGATGTTATAGGTTCTAGTAGAAAGAGAACTTAAGGTAGTATAGCATGGGGAGCCAAGGGCACTGGTTTACGAGTCACACTGCACAGGATCAAATCTCAGATACTGCCTCTGTCTTTTCTGTGAGTCTTTGGGTAAACTACCTAACCTCTGGCCTTCAGGTGCCTCATCTATCAAATGGGGATAATCATAGGGCCTGTCCCCTTGTGCCACTATGAGGGTTAAGTGAGATGGTGCAAGTGAAAGCTCAGTACAGGGCCTGGCAGATGGGGCACTCAATTAATATTGCCTCTTTCTATGAGGAAGAGTTGGACTCCAGGCCTAGCTCCTTCACATATCTGTTTTTCATCATGGACAAGTGACATATCCTCTTGGTTTCCTTGGGCAGCTTGTTGGGGCTGAATGACCTCTGAGATGCCTTCTAGATCTGAAGTCCTAGAGGCTTATGGTTCTATGGCTGTGTGGGAAAAGGAGGGCCCCAGAGCTGGAGAAGGGGAGTTATTGATAAAAAGTACCCACTGAGAGACCAACAGTACTGTTGATGCCCTTGTAGTAGCAAGCTGTAAAGCACTGTGTTGGTTTCCCAATCTCACCAGGAGTTGGACATTATGTTTGGGTAATGGATAAGTAAATATACTATCCCAAGAAAAACAAATATTAGACAGGGAAAAGAGAATCAGAACTGTCTCTGGTACTTTCCCGTCAGATTTCTGGAGCCTTGTCAACCTTCCCAAATGGGCCCAGATGCAATCTTCAGAACTCTGACAGCATGTACAGCCATCCCAGGATTATTTTTAGGGGATCTGGGCTCCTGTCTATTGGCTGCTTCAATGCAGCTAATTTTGCAACACAGCTGACAATTAGGTCTGATTCATTAAATAAAAGAAGCTTAAGGCCTTCAGTTGTTTCTTCTAAGACCTTGAGGGTGTCAGGATCAGAATGGAACTTAGAAAGTTTCTTGTTCTTTGGTGCTAGCAGTGCCCAGATTTGTGGAGTCAGTGGGACTGTTATGGAAAAAGAAATCAGAGGGTTTAGAGATGTTGTAGGGTACATTTTTTTTTTTTGTCAAGAAAGTATGAACAATCCATCAACAAACACCAAAAACAGCAACCCAAATACTATCTACTATCCCCATCACTTATAAAAGCAAATATATTTTTAACACCAGAACTACTGGAAAGACATATCTTCAGAATAAAGGCAAGGTTTTCTTTTTACCTAAATAAATTTAACATTATGAAAACTCACTACATTGCTTTTATCATTTTTAAAATCTCATGCCAAGTTTAAAATTTCCAATTTTTGTGTATGAAGGAGAATTTGAGAACCAGTGTTCCAAAATCTTACTCTGATTTTGCAGATCCGAACACTGAGACTGGAAGGCAGGGATTGGTGACTTCATCTGCAAATGGTCTTTTGGGGCATCGGGTTGGTATGAGAGACTTATGCGAAAGAAAGCCTGGTACCATCAAAATCAGATGCATGGATTGGCCTGTTGCCTGTTTGCTACAGGGAGGGATGAGGGAAAGGGGCATAACAAAAATTACTTTGGTCTAAGAATCTGACATCTGCATTCCAGAGAAATTTACCAGCTGTTTGACCTTGGATAAGACACTGAAGCCACTGTATGTGGGTTTCAATTCCTCATATGTGACAAGTGCCAAAATAATCTATCTTGTCCTTAATACACAACAGAGTAAGCTTGGCCATTACTTAACAATGACAATGACAACTGACACCTGGAAGTAGCCTTCTCAATGTTCAACATGCTGCTCCTTATCTTTTTTCGTTGAGCTTCACAATAAAACTCTGAACATGGCAGAGCAGGTAAAGTCACGTCTGTTTTACAGATACAGAAATCTCAGTGGAGAGAGGGGAAGCTTCCTGTGCTACAGAGGAGCTAGCTAACAGTAACAACCTGGGCTGGATGTCACCCTCACCAACTCTGAATCTGTGATCTTTCCCTGAAAACAGAGGTGAAAGCACTTTGGCAAAAATCTAAGTGGGGACAGGAGCTAATAGTCATTGAGCATGTACTATGTGCCAGGCAATGTACTAAATGCATTACACCTATCTCAGTCTTCAGGACCACTTTCTAAGTCACGTGTCATCTTACGGATGGGAACAGCAGGCTTGAGGGAAAGGCCACACGGCAAGTAAGAGGCAGAAGAAGAATTCAAACCCATGTTTGTCTGATTGTGGGGCTCCATGCTCTCTCTTGGCAAAACTGCAGGAATTATGGCAAAGTCCAGAATGGTAGGTCTCCTGACAAAAGTGTGTTTTAGAAGGAGATTGTGTAAAATAGTTTATTACTCGTCTGAGGCAGACATTGGATAATGATGTGATGATGTTCACGTCCAGGGTTTGTTATTCTTCCAACAAAATGTGGAGCTGGTAGCCTCCTTGAAACTCTTTGGATCCCAAATACATGGTTGTATATACGCATATATATTATATAAAATTATTTTATACAAAAAAATAAAATGTATGTAATATATATAATACATTAAAGGCCTGGATTCTTATCTGTCAAGGTCTGTCAATTTGCAGACACATTTTTCTGATCAAATACTATGAGCTGTCAGATGACTTGACAGTAATATCTGAATAACTTATTTGTACCAGAAACTACCTTGAAAAGATCACATAAAGGAAGACAGACTGCTTTGGAAAAAAATATTCAAAAAGAAAAATAAAGTAGGGTGAGGATCTTCTTGAAAATTTTATTGAGTTGGCCTTATTGCAATCCTTTCCTCTTGTCTTGATGACTTTGACATTATCAAAATCTTGGAAAATTCCCAAGAGTTTATGAAACTGCACATACAGACAATAGACAAAAATTAGGAGATGAATGCACCAAATTATCAAAGATGGTTATATTGTTCACAGGGTAGAATCACAGGGATGTATACTTTGCATTGTGTACATCTTTGATGTTTGAATTTTATGTAATGAACATGTATAACTTTAATAAGCAGAAAAACTCAATACAAATGAAAAAGACTCTCAAAGCAAAAACATTAGTGCTATCAGTGTACTTTTCTAAAAAGTTAGAAATCCCAAAAAACTTTATAGTATTTTATCTAATTGTAATCACGTAAGTAGTACGTGAATATATTGTCCTAGTAAAAATGAAACTGTAGATAAGGTTGAAGTTCCCTAGGATGGCCTCTTCTCGTCAGACACACAGCACCCTGGAAGCCTGGTCTTCCTGCCCTCTCCGTGGAGGCTGCTATGCATTCACATGTGATTTTCCCTTGCCAGATTCTGAGCATCCTGAGGGGAAGGACTGGTTTTGTCTTTTCAGTCTTGCGCAGTACCTGAAAAAGTACCCTTTCTCTTTCTCTGGGTCAGCAGGGTTTACTGTGACACCAGAAATGCACCTTAATCACATCTGCCAATGGCCTTTGGATGGCCGTTTTTGTTCATCTTGGCATCTTTGATAAAAAATATCAGAACCATAATAGGAAATGGAATAGCTATGTGTAACTGATACCAACCACCACTGATGCAACAATAAAAGGAAATGGTATACATGTTTTCCCCCAGTCCCTAGCCCTCCAGCTAAAACCAACCCTCCTATTAGGAGGATCCCTCAGTTTCCACTTCCTCCTCCGCCCCCGTCAGTCTCCTAGCTAGTAGCTGTTCAGTAGCTGAAATTTATACTAAGGTTGCTTGACAAGTCCCTGCCTGTCTTTCTAGCCTCATCTCCACCACTTCCTACCCTGCACTTTATCCTCTAGCAATCTCTTCTGGTTTCTTCACAAATACAGAGTAACATCTTTATGCTTGTTTTCTCCTCTGCATAAAATATCCTGCTCTGATTTCTTTGCCTTGCTAATTAGTGTATAAATTATGTATAATAAAATCACCTTCTTGACAAATTCAAACCCATGTCTGTCTGACTGTGGGGCTTCATGCCCTCTCTCTACAAAACTGTAATAATAAAACAACCACCATAATAAAAATATAAATCAGCTATGTAATCCCCCAAATCACCCCACCCCATGCTCCATTGCTATCCATATGCTTACTCCATTCCCAGCCCTCCTTGCAGCTACTTATCTGTTTTCTGCCTCTGTAATTGTACCTTTTATAGGATGTCTTGTAAATGGAGTCATAAAATACCTAGCATTTTGTATCTGGTTTCTTTCACTTGGCATACTGCACTTGAGATTCATTGGTGTTGCACGTAAGAGTGGATAATCCTATTTTTATTGCTGAACAGTATTCTATTGTATTATTTATATCATTTTTAAGACTCAGCTTAAGAGTCACTTTCTTCAAGAAGTCTTCTCTCATCTAAAGGTCATGTGTTACCTCTGTGTTTCCATGGCCCCCAGACTTACCTTCCTCATAACACATGGCACATTTTACATTCCTTACCTATTAATGAATACCTAACTAGACTTAATTCCAGGAAGGGAGGAGGTGTGTTTTCATCATTCTCATATTCCTAACACATAGCAGCATGTACAATACCTAGTAGGTGCTTAAATGCAAGTATTAATGTATTTCCCATAGAGTGAGGCAGCCTTAACAGAGGACATTTTGATGCTCTAAAAATGAACTCCCACCGATGTGGTCTTATTTAATTCTCATTACAGCTCTGTGAAGTTGGCACTAACATACACACTTTACACAGCAGGAAATTAAGATGTCTATTTGAACCCAAAGCCCACTCTGAAGTACAGCGTGATAATGATATTACTTCGTAACTCAAGTGGCTTTAGGACTATGAATCTGTGTTTTGATAGCAAATGTCCATCTCCTTTAATCTGTTTTCTAGCTTAGCTCTGATCAAGACAGCTGGAAAATGAAGGTACTGTCTTGTTGGCTAAAAACAAAGCTCTTAAGTTAGGTTGATCAAGATGGTGGTGGGATGGCCCAGCAGATTACTGGTTTTTGAGAACATGCTAATTCATCCCAGATGGCCAGGGTTGGCTGGGAAACTGCAGGCCATCATTACTGCATGCATGAGCACTGAAGCTGCAGCTGGATGGCACCTGGCCACGTGCAAGGGGAAGCAATGATAGGGGCGTGGAAAGCAGATAAAAAGGACTGGGGTTTGATTGTCACTCAACCAGCCGTCTCTCAATTGAGAAAATTAATCTGACAAACCTCCTGCATGAGACCTGTAAATAGCTAACATCAGTCCCCAGAATGTGAGAGGGTCAGGGTCCATGCCTAGGGACAGGATGCAGAATGGTAATGACATTGGGGAAGAAGGCTGAATCCTTCTCTTTCCTTATTCCATATGCAGTCCCTCACTCCTGCAAAAGACGAGGAGGAAATTAAATTCAACTCACATGGGCCAGTCGATCAAATCTGGCAAAGAGCTCGTTGAGCATCCTGACCAGCTCCTGAGCAGACAAGGTCGTGGAGAGGTTGGTAAATCCTTTAACATCTGCAAAAAGAATACTAAACACAGGGAAGAGGGTGGGGGTGGGGGGAGGAAGTATATTAATATTTTAGTCCATCTTGGGATACACATCAACACCATCCCAGCAGATAAACTGTCTTTGTGGTCTGAGATTTTAGCTCTTGCTGCCATGAGAGTCAGGAGGAATGTCTCAGTATTTAATAAATATCTCAGCAGAGAGTCCACTCAGGAGCTCAGGAAGGACAAGGGGACAACAGGAAGCCCTTTTTTCCTGTGCAGGGCTGTGTAGAGTGGGCAATGCAAACAATCCAAAAGAATTTGTCACCATGAAGATATCAATTTCTTGTGAAAAGCAAGATGAAACTTTATGAATTATCTCCATATTTTCACAATGAACAGCAATGCACATGCAATGAACACAGAGTAAAATGGTCACAAGGGGCAGGGGCAGAACCGAAAACCTCATCATCTTGAACCCAATGACAGGTACCGTACCCAAAATGGCAGGTAAATAGGCATTTCTCAAAAATTATGACAATAGGTGGCAAATCTGGGAGACCTCAGGCAGAATAATTAATTTCCCAATACTCTCACATTACTAAAGATTTCAGTTAGGTGAGGTCTTGTTCTATGTATATGGCCTGGTATAAGGGACAGGGCAGCTTCCCAAAGCCTTCTAAAAGCCAGGTTACTCTCTTGGTTAAGCCATCCAGTTACTCTGTGGGGCAAGCATAGTTCTCTCCATTCAGCCCATGAGGAAACTGAGGCTCAGAGATGCAAGGAGACTTGCCCAGCATCTCACTAGTGGCACATGGCATAGCTGGGATTGTCCATTTGGTTGAATTGCACTGAGGGATATTGCTCCAATTATCTTACCATGTCATCTCAGGGACCTCTGAAAGGAAAGATAGGACACAAAACAGGATACCATATTTGATCATTTCTCATTTTTCATCCTCTCTGAAAGTGAGATGTGTCTTACAATTGATCACTTTAGCTGTGTCGAGCTTTTTACATCTTTTCTTAGTGTTGCCTAAAATAATGACAAGTCTTACAATCAGCCTATGAGTGTAATTTAGTTTTAATGAAATAGGTAATTGGGCTAGAAGACATCGTGGAATGTGTTGACTTACATCAGTCACCACATTTATTCAATAATTCTTAAAATTCATCTCCTTTACAAACCCTTTTAAGAATTTGACATAGACTATGGATTATCTCTCCCAAAAATGTACGAGCATTCAAAATTTTGCACCTCACTTAAAGGGATTTTTACCTTCCGCAAAGTCCATTCATGAAATCATTAGGAATCCTTAGATCTATTGCTTTAGTTAATTATTGAATGGCTCATTCTTTCAGCAAATATTTATATATTTACTATGTGTTCAGCTAGGCACTGGACTAGAAAGTTAGATTAAATGATATATAAGACCTAGTGCCTTTCCTCAAGATGCTGAGTCTGAGGAATGGAGCTGGAAAGACAAAAAGAAAAATGGAAACAGTGCAGGGTGATGATCACTGTGATTGAAGGACATATTGGGGGGTGACCAGCCACAGAGGGATCAGGAGTCTCCCAGTAGAGAAAAGTCTCAGCTGGTTCTTGAAGAATGTGATGAGCGAAGTGATTGGGAGGATGGATGCTCTGAGCAGAGAGAACAGTACATTCTAGGGTCTGGTGGAAGAATAAGTGTATGTATCAAGGTTCTGCAGTAATTCAAGGGCAGCCAGTCAGAAGGTATCACTGAGCAAGGAGGCTAGAAAGAAGAGAGAGATGAGGTCAGAAATACAGGTGGGGCAATGATGGAGAAGGGGCTGGTAAGCCAGGATGAAGAATGTAGACTTTGTCCTGAAAGTGATGGAAAGCTAGTGAATGGGATTTAAGCATGGACATGATGCCAATAGATTTTCAGTTTACTAAGCTACCTTTGGCAGAGTGACTATACTGCCATTGTCTTCTACAGTTCCGTGGTGGCAGAACATATGGTCATATGCACAGAATTTGAGTCTAGATAGATCTGGGTTCAAATCTTAGCTCACCACTTAGGAATTCTATGACCTTGGGCAACTTCCTGAACTTCTGTAAGCCCTAGCTCTGTAAACTGGAGATAACTGGCATACTTGCCTCATTAGTGGGTAGTGTTTAGCACATCACCTGGCAATTGCCAGCATAGTAAATGTTCCTTAAACGTGTTAGCTTTTGTTATCATCATTTTACAAAATTATACTATAATTGCATGTTATATTTGAGAGAGAAAGAGAAGAGAGAGGTAACAGAGGTAGAAAATAATATGGCCATTCATTTGATTATGTATTACTTGTAGCTAAAAGCATTCCTAACTGTTGATGAAGCCTGAACTGCCAGGCAGCAGCAACACTTACAGAGTATTCACTGTGGACTTGGTAATGCTCTGAGAGCCCTACATGTATTCACTCATTTATTCCATGTAACTTATGAGGGAGAACCTATCATGTTCTTCTCCATTTTATGGAACTGAGGCCTACGTATCTTGCCTATAATCATGAAGAGCTAGAATTTGAACCAGGAAGCCTGGCTCTGGCATCCATCCTCTTTATTGCTCAGCTATGCTATTTTTGAAGAAAGAAAAGTCATTGCTATGACAGGTGGGAAGTGGACAGGCTCTTAGATCACTTGGTTTAACACATTCCCTTTATGAATCCATAAGCCCAAAGCTACTAGTATCCATCTGTCTATGGCAAGAATGGTTTACCAATTTATTTATTCATTCAACAGCTTATTAATTAAATGACTACTATACACCAGGCAGTGGAGATAAAGTAGTGAGCAGATGATAGCATCATCCCAGCCTTTATAAAGCTCACAGCCTATTGAAAGAACAAATGGATTCCCTGAGAGCTAAGGTCATAAAAGTTTCAGATGTCTTCAGTGTTCCAATATCATCAAACTTCTCCAGGTCTTTCGATCCCACCATACATTATGCACCTGTATCTTTGTACATGCTATGCCTGCTCCCTGGTATAGATTTTTCCCCCTTTTGCTACCTGTTAAAATCTGACTTGTCCTTCAGAGCCCCACTCAGGTGTTAAAATCATGTTAAGAGTCTATACCCCTCTGGAGACTTCCCCAAGCATAGCCAGTTATCCCCAACTCAAGCTTCTCGCCCTGTTGGTGCCCCTCTCTGTCATAACACTTAACTCTCAATAGCACAATCATATGTGGCTAAGTGTGCTCCATCTATTAGCTGAAGAACAAGAATGAAGTCACCTCTGCATCCCACCTGCCCAGCACACAGTTGGCCCTATTACATGTTTCCTTAGTCCAATCAACAGAAACATTCAGAATTAAGTCCTCCTTCCTCAGAGCATGGTCATGGCCCCCAGTGGCATCTCATGAAATTGTTAGAAATGTAGACTCTCAAGCCACCTCTCCAGACCCACTGTACCACAATCTGCTTTAACTGAGCCGTAGATGATTTGTGTGCACATTTAAGACTCAGAAGCACTGGTTTAAGTCATAGTTGTACAATAAGGATTTATTGAATAAAAGACCAGAAGCAGAAACCAGGGCCCTGGTTCTCATTCCATTGCTTGTTCTGCCACCTCCAGGTGCTGAGCTCAGATCATCAAGTCTTTTGATTCTTGGCATAATTTGTAGCTTTCCAGGATGAATATACCAAGGGGGCCATAGTAATTTTCAACTCTAATTTAGCCAACTTTTAGCCAAATAAATTGTTTATTTGGCTAAAAATAAGTCATGTTACCTAATAGTCACTCTTCAAATAGAATCCCCAAGGAAGCTTTTGCGGAGTTCAATAGAATCATTAGGAACGTGGTCCCTGTGTAGACTCCTCTCACTAACTAAGTTTCAGATGTGTTCGGTGTTCCAATATCATAACTGTGTGTTCTTGGGAAAGTTACTTAACCTCTCTGAGCTTCCATTTTCCTTGATAATACAGCAAAGGTCATTAAAGCTACTCTGTAGGACTACCATAAGAAGACAACTTGTAAATCATTGCATAATTCTCAATAAATGAAGGGTATATAACCTCTTTGGGAAGTTTTTACGAATCTGGAAGTGCTTAACTGCCATGCGGATGGATCTAGAAAGTCATCAAGTTCTCTAGCTCCATTCAATTGCATTTTGCTTGTTCGTGAAACTCTAGTCTACAGGACAGATGTAGTGATCACACATGTTGACAGGGCTGGCTGGAAATTAACAGCCAGTCAAGAAAGTGAACAGACTGAGCAAGACTCTAAAAACGAGGATTTTTTTGATCCTTGACAATTGGTCACTAAAATATCTACCATGGCATAGGGAGAGATAAAGACAAACATGTCTCCCAGACAGACCCACAAAATGTATGTCAGCAAATGTGCAAATGTACATGAAATGGAATTGGCAGGGCCAATAGGAAATGGGAAAAAGAACCATGACAGAGAAGGATGACTGTCCACCAGATCCATGCCTCTATTTGCATAGTCAATCCACCTGTCACTAGGAAAAGCCATTGAGCCAGAGGCACTGTTCCCAGCCCACTTTGTTTCTAGGTGGGCACCTGGAATTGATTCTCCCTAATGGAATCTGAACAGAAATGACATACGTCATTTTCTGGTTAAGGTGGAAAAAAAAGTGGGTGTGAGTACTCTGCTTCCCCTTCCAATAACCAAATGCTGGGAACTTTGAGGCCCAAGGGATGGTAGTTACAAAACAAAGGAGCCTTTGTTCCTGAATCACCCACTGACCAGTAATATCAGCAGTGAACACTTGCATGAATAAACTTGATTGAGTTAAAAATCACTGAAATTGAAAGGGTATTTGAAAGAGCAGATAGCATTACCCTAATGAATACAAGAAGTGTCTTAAGTATCTGGGGGAAAAACAGGAAAGATCAATACAATCGGGTAGGTGGGATGGAGAGCGTGAATGACTTCCAGTAAAAAGCTGGTGGCCAGGTGGATCCTCAGGTGAACCTGGAGAAGTCTCAGAGGTTGATAGCTGAAGTCAATTTGAGCGTTCAAAGAGTCCAGCTTTTAGATTGGGAAACGGAGGCCCACAGGGATGAGGTGATGCAGTCGAAGTCTTGCCAAGGGTGTGGCTACCCCAGCCCACGTGGGCACACGAATGCCCCCAAGCATGGCGCCTTTAAGCATACCCTTTCCTGATGAAGGTAAACAGTGGTATGAAATGTAAGTCAAGACTTAGATGTGTACAGCACTTTTTTAGGAAAGAGTCTTCAAAATTAAAAAAAAAAAAAAAAAAAAGCCAAGGGAGAAAAAATAATGCACCAGGCAGTTTACCATGAAGAGGGTGACGGGCTTGGAAATGATTTCAAAAATGCTCCCAACACCGCAGCGGGGTTGCTTTGGGGGCTGGGGAAGCGGGTGGAGCAGCCAGTTGGCTTTGTTCTCCGACTTGGGCTAGGGACCGTCCTCCTCTGCTTTCAAGGCTCCGGTCTTATTTTAGCACCCTGCAGCCTCGCAGTGGGCAGGAGACGCCCCGCCGCCCCGAGCTGAGTTCATCTTCCCGAAACCCCCGGAGCCGCGGGCATCTCACCACGCTGCTCTGAGAATAGCCCGGGAGCAACAGGGCCGGCGGCTGGTTTCTGCATCAATTCTCCTCCCCCTAGTAACGGCTCTGAAAACGCGGAGACACGGAGAGCAGAAAACGAAATTTTAATGTACTGTGGCGTGAACTTCTGGAAAAGGGTCTCCAGCACAAGAACTCAGTTCAATGACTTAAAATAAATGGGCGGGGTTGGAGGGGTGGGGGCAGAAGAAACTAGCTGCTTAAGAGTAACGGGAGCACTGAAGAAGGATTCCTGCAGAAAGCGAGCCGCCGAACATGCTGTTTATTGCACTTAAGGCACCTGAGCATGTTGGTGTGGACGCGCTGGCTTGTTGAATTTTCCTTATTTTTCTTTTTAAAGGTATTTTTCCCTCCTTCTTTCTCCATGGTGACAGGTACTTTCATCATATGCCACATATTTTATTTATAAATTTATATGATTTGTATATATTTATAGATGAGTATGTAATTAAATATTTATTTTTTCCCCAAATATTCACGCAATTTCTGCTTTCTCTGGATCTGCATTCGTGGTCAAGCCATTTTGCCACCAGGGAAGGAATATGGAACACCACCTATGATTCTCTGCATGGACCGTGGCTCTGCCTTCACTTCTGCTGACCCCTTTGCTCAGAATTCATGTATTTGTGTTTTTCACTTGGCTGACTTCGTCTCAAATAAAGCCAAGAAGAATCATCATCTCTTCCAGGAAGGTTTCTCTACCTATCTCCCTGTCCCGCCCTCCACCTCCTTGCCCCAGGTTTTCCTCCTTTTATGATCTCTTGGCATTTGTGGCCTGCTTAATAATCAAACCCCATATTCTATTATGATTAATAGGTTCCTATTGTCTTAGAACTAGTATTGAAGAGTTCTTATTATGTGTGGGACCAATTCCTAGATCTGGGGCGCATCTCTTCCTGGAATTGCTGTTTGACAAAGGGCTGTTTTGCAAACTCAAGCATCTAAATCAGTGTAGCTCAATTCTTGGACAAGACCCTGGGAATGACCTATCCTGCTATGCCCGCTGAAGGGTTGTGTTAGAATCATGATCTCTACTGAATTTTAAAACGCGTGTTCCTGCATGCCAGGAGTAGAACACCTACAGATGCTGCTAAGTGCAAAATTGTCCTCTATCCTGCTGACATTAGGAGGAAAGGAACTATGAGAATAGGTTTGTCACTTTTGAAGTTGCTTAATGTAAGGACTCTGACTCTATGTTTGGGAAAGTTTTACCTTATGATATTTGGTGGGTGGGAGATACAGTTCCACTGTATAAGCTGAAAATGCCAGAGACTTGCTTTCCAGGCACTTAAAGAAAATGACTGGGCTCAGCCAATCAGACCCATCTGCTCCAGGCTTTAACTTGAGATGCAAAGAAGCAGCAGGAGCAGGAAGTCAGGGCAGAGCAAAGACAGCAATGTCAGTTTCTGGGGCTGCAGGAGGAATTGCAGTGGTGGCCGTGTCAGGGTTTGGGGGCTGGTTTGGGGACAGGGAATTGCAGTGGTGGCTGTGTCAGGGTTTGGGGGCTGGTTTGGGGACAGGGTTGATTGCACAAGCAATGGACTGGTCAGAGACAGTGGCAGTGGCCTCCTAACTGGCCTAAGTGCTCTGGCTTGATTTTGCCTATGCCTTTCACTCTGTGGCCTTGCTTCATTCTGGCCCATTTCCCTCATGTACTTCTCCATTCTTCCCTAACTATTCTGTAATCCATGACATAACCTTTCAATACGTTTATTATTATTATTTTTTGAGATAGAGTCTTGCTCTGTTGCCAGGCTGGAGTTCAGTGGTGCGATCTCAGTTCACTGCAACCTCCACCTCCCGGGTTCAAGCAATTCTCCTGCCTTAGTCTCCTGAGTAGCTGGGACTACAGGCATGCACCACCATACTCAGCTAATTTTTGTATTTTTGGTAGAGATGGGGTTTCACCTTGTTGGCCAGGATGGTCTCGATCTCTTGACCTCGTGATCCGCCCACCTTGGCCTCCCAAAGTGCTGGGATTACAGGCGCGAGCGACCGTGCCCGGCCAGTACATTTCTTTTAAATCAGTCATGGTTGGATTCTTTTGACTGAAACTAGGAAACATGTCTGAAATGAACTACAATGTACCGAATGCTCTACTACTTGCTTAACTCTGCCTGTTTTATATTTTGTATTAATATTCACTTATATGATCCACATAAAACTCTGCAAAGTGGCTAAGAAGATGCTTATTTTACAGGGAAGAATTTTGAGATTCAGGTAAATAAATTTCCCAAGATCACAAACAAGGAATAGGCAGAATTGGGATTTTAAAGCTTGTGTGCCTCACCATGGAGTTCACCCTTTGATTTTCAGTACATGCCATGTTGTCCAGTGTTGTGCTGGGCACATAGAGGGCACTGATGCATGGATGGGGGAGTAAGTGGGAAGATACATGGATGGATGGATAGATGGATGGGTGGATGGATAGATGGATGGTTGGCCAAAAATAAGTTTGCAAAGGAAAATAAACTGTCATCCTCTTTGTACTGTTTTAAACACACTTATGAGTAATATAAGGAGGGGATGTATGTGATCACACCTGAAACCCCCAGATTACATTCTGGGATTATTTTTCTTATCATAGTCTAAAAGGTGTTTGCCTTTCCCACTCAAAATGTAAAGACAGACACGCCTACTGTAGGAGAGCTAGGCAGTAAGTCAACCAGCAAATATAATTTTATCTGTGACATTCTTCTCTAGCCTTAATTTGGAAATGTAGAACTCTCTGATGAATAATCACTAGGTAATGAATTAATCAACCAGATGAGGAAAGGTGCTGACATTCAAGCAGACGGAAGTCACGGAAGTGCAATGAGAGCACCCAAACACACATGGATCATGCAAGAGCCGGGGCAAGGGTGTTGTGTTTCTCACCTGACGTTCTCATAGCGATGGATGTAGATCCGATGGAACTGGTGCTGCAGGTGCTCATCTTCCACATTGGTCATGTCGTTGATCATTTCCAGGACAACAAACCGGGGGAGCACAGAAAGCACGAGCCGCTCCTGGAACAAATGAAGAGGGACGGTCCTGTTAGGCTGACCAGCGAGTCTCAGATGGGAGGGTGGAGGGTGGAGAAGTCATGGGGCTTTTGGATGAACTCCCTTTGGGATTGCTAATTTCATACCATTCTATGAATACAACAAATATTTATTGAGTACTTATTATTTGCCAGGCACTCTGCTGGTGTTGGATATATAGTGGTGAACCAAATGGATGTGGTTCTGACTCTGGTGGAGCTTACATTCTAATAAGGAAGATACATTAAGTATTACATACCCAAAGATACCTACACACATTTACAAAATGTGATGAATGCCATGCAAAAACAGGTCATGATGAGAGAGTACAATGGTTGATGACAGCGATGCATATCAGGGATTAAGAATGGCCTTACCAAGGAACTGATATTTAAAATTGAGACCTGAAAATTTGGAAGGAGTCTGTCCTGTGTAGTGCAATGAGAAATCCAGGAATTAAAAATAATAACTACAAATATCCTGAGGCAGAAATGAGCAATGGTGTGGCTGGAGGGTGGTGATAGCAATGAGGTTGGAGGTGTAGCTAGATCTTGCAGGTGAGCATACAATGTTTGTGTTTAATTCCAACTACAACTGAAAGCCACTAAATGGTACTAAGCAGCAGAGTGACATAATTGGATTTATGTTTTAAAAGATCACTTTGGCTGGGATTTGGAGAATGTGTTCTGGGGAGGAGCCAAGGCTGGAGGCAGAGGGACCAGGTGGGGGAAGCTCCTGGAGTGTCCAGGTGAGATAAGATTCATAGAACTGGCAACCGAGATGGCAGGAAAGAAAAAGGGTGTGCCCACCATGATAGCTAGTTTTGACTTTAGTTGCCTGGGAGAGTGAGCTACACTTACAGAAACAGCGAACATACAAAAGAAACCAGGCTTACAAGGCACTAGCTCTTTATCAAAGATGAGAGGAAGTGAGACGCACGCAGCCTGAAAGTGGGTTCCTAACACCAAACAATAATATTTCTATTGTGATCACCACTGTAGACAAAAGGAAAGTAATGGGTTAACTAGCAACATGAATTAAATTCTAAAAAGTCTTTGTGTTGTGGAAACTAGGCAAGAGGCTGGCTTCTGACACATGGTTTACTTGGTTACGTGGTTTACTGTGATAGATGAAGTTTAATACTTTTAGTTGAATAATAGAAAATAGGGTAATTATCATTGATATGATAATAATAGGTCATGTGGAATTATCTAGTTGAGGCATATCACTATAGAGAGATAAAATTTTTCTTGGTCTATGGTTTACTATAGTGTCAAACAGTTTAAGACAGGCACGTTCTAATCATCACAGTTCCTCATATCTTTGTAGTTATTTATGGGTATTAAGCATTGTCACCATTCATTCTTTCATGTGTTTCTCTCGAAACCCTGACAATCAGCTTGCAGAAATAATCATTTTCATATAATGGACAGAATGAGTCCAGGAGAGATTAAGTTACTTGCACAACCTGAACAGTTAATCAAGCGGCAGTTGCAGGGTACGGTCCTTTCCCTTGTTATTCCTAGCTGGGATTCTTGGTGAGATGGGAAAAGTCTTGGATTGAGTCTGATGAAGAAGTTTAGATTCCAACTCTATCATTGGATATCCATTAGGTAAACTATCTCATCTTTCTGTGCCTTAGTTCCCTAATTTGGCAAATATTAATAGCAATAATATCATCTACTTCAAAGAGTTGCTGTGAGAATTCAATGCAATAAAATATGTGAGGGGCCTGGCATCAAGTCCTTCTCCCTCCTCTCACCTCTACTTCACTCTGCCTCTCATGCAAAAGGCTTTATTAATGAAATGCCCATTGAATGACATATGATGAAGCCCTTTCTTCTCTTGAGTGCTATCCCATCACGGGACTAAGAGGCATGCTTTCTGCAAATGCCCCAACATCATGTCCATTTTGTGTTCATTTGTGCTATTTGTCAACTTCCCAGGTACTTGTGGCCCTGCTCTCTCAATTGCTGCTGGGTGGGAGTAGGTGCTAATTACAGCTGTGAGGGGCACTAGTGCTCTGTCAATGGCTGGGGATGTTTAATTAAGATGCCACTGCATCTGCACTTGTAAGTGATAGAGCTGTAATACACAATCCACACACACTCCAGGACCCCACGGTCAGTTTGTAAAAGTGTTTGATTGCAAATCATCCTTACACTAGTGTTGTATTACAGTGATGTTTTAATAACCAGAGTGAGAAAAATGGAAGAACTTATGTTAGGAAGAGAATGGCACAGGAGATAAAAAGGTGGTGATGCAGCACATATAATGATCCAA
Source organism: Homo sapiens (assembly GCF_000001405.40). NCBI lineage: Eukaryota > Metazoa > Chordata > Mammalia > Primates > Hominidae > Homo > Homo sapiens. The sequence goes on from NC_000008.11 coordinate 130,954,297, forward strand.
GTGTAGGGAAGAAATGGGAACTGAAGAGAGACACAAGAAAGCTATTCATTCACAGGACCTAGTTAGGAAGATGTTCCTCCCTGAAATTCAAGTCCATGGACATATTTATAAGGCTATCCCATGGATTCTGTGATCTGACCATTCATCAGTATGTTTTGAAGGTTCATAAAAGTGCAGCTGCCCTGACCCCACCCACACCTACTGAATTGGACTCTGAGAAAAATGGTCAAGAGGGTGGAGTTTTTAAAAACTCCTTAGGTTTTTGGGATACTCAGGTAGGATTGAGAAATTCTGGCCTATCCTGTGGCAAGCACTACTAAGCACTTTATTATACTCAACCTTTACTATAGCTCCATAAAACAGATTATGTTCCAAATAAAACAAACACATGGTTATAGTAAACTGATTACCTAGCAACATGAGCACCTAGATCATAAATAGCAAAGAATTGAAACCAAATTCTCCTGATTCCCAAAATAGCTCTAACAACTGCACTTCCTACAAAATGTATTCTAATCACTTCTTATCTGATCCACATGGCTCTTAGAAAATTGTAAATTAAGGCAGCACGTGGGATATTCCTATGATTGGAGCTAACAGTATGCAACAAAGCCTCCGAGGAGGAAAGAACCATTGTTCATTAAGGAAGATGAGGGACGAGTTTCTAAGGAGGGTTCCTGAAAAATGTGTGAGGGTTCAAACATTTATTTATTTATTCATCTAACAAATATTTATTGAGAACATACTACATGTCAGCTCAGTTCTAGATATGGGAGATATATAGATACATAGAGAGTAAGACAGCCAAGATTCAAGAGGGAGACTTTATAGGTAGAGACTGACAGGCTCCTGGAATGGCATGGAAAGATACGCATTCTTACTTCAGAGCTACCATCTAGTTGGCTCTGAAGCAACTACTGTGGGCCAGGGACTGAGTTAAGAGCTTCATATATAATTTCATATAACATTCAACATAACTCCATGGCAGAAATAACTCATTGTAGATGAACAACTGAGAAAATGAAGTCTCGGAGAAGTAGTTTCTCAAGGTTATACAGCAAAGAAGGGCCAGTATCTAGTCTATCAGACCCCAGAGCCAGTTGGAAGCTTCCCCTTCACCTTATCAGAAAGCTGTTCCTAAAAAAATCCCTCCAAGCCCCATTTTCAGAAATTGAAAATGTAATTACCACTGCAATTAGTGGTGCACAATTATGTCTACAGTTAAACAAAACATACACATGATACTCAATGATTACTTAATTGAATCCTTAATGCAAACAAATAAAAATAAAACAGAATAGTACAGTTAAAATAAATCAATGGAAATATGTCAAATGGTGCCAAAAATTGTTGCTACCATACATTATGCAAACTAAAAACATTTTTTAAATGAAAAATTAAGAAACTTTACAACTGCAATCTAAGATGACCCATAGTGGGTTTCCTTTTGTGGAACTCAGCTACTTTTCAGACACATGGACTCTGCATCAGATTTTCTGATGCAAAGAAATGCCTAGGGAAGCAGTTATTAAATGCAACTCATCTGAAGTTAAATGTGTAGAGCCAGGCCGAGTGTGGTTGCTCAGGCCTGTAATCCCAGCACTTTGGGAGACTGAGCTGGGAAGAATGCTTGAGCACAGGAGTTTGAGACTAGCTTGGGCAACATGTCAAGACCTCATTGCTACCAAAAATTTAATAATTAGCCAGGCATGGTGGCATGTGCCTATAGTCCCAGATACTTGGGAGGCTGAGGTGGGAGGATCGTTTGAACCAGGGAGGTCGAGACTGCAGTGAGCTGTGTTTGTGCCACGGCACTCCAGCCTGGTCAACAGAGAAAGACCCTGCCTCAAAAAAACAAACAAACAAACAAAAAAATCTGTGGAACTAGATTTGTATTTTTGAATGGAAAAGTCCAGCTCTCCTTGGTTAACCCTTGTTTTCTTCTCCCAACCCTGACACACTGTAGGATCCTATAGTGAGAGATAGTCTTGTCTATCCTCACATCCTCTATTCTGAGCAGGAGATTATGGGCTATTTATTGTGTTAAACTGAGCACAGGTCACTACAATGCGTGCTACTGTTCTTCTGTCCTTAAATATCCTTTCTCCATTGTCATTTCCTGTGGTTTGCACATGGACTCCTACTCATCTTCAAATTTGAGGGTAAATCTCATTTCCGTGGTGAAGGGGATTAGTCACTACCTCCAAAAGCATGTCCCTTTGCTCAGATCTTTCTCACAGCATTTATTACACCACATGGCACCTGTTTGCTTATATACCAGTTGGTAAACTCGGAGCTCTTTGCGTTCATCTTTTTGTATCCAAGGCCCAGAATAATGCCTTGTGGTATGGTTTGGCAAATCTCATCTTAAATTGTACTCCCATAATTCTCACGTGTTGTGGGAGGGACCTGGTGGGAGATAATTGAATCACAGGGGTAGTTTCTTCCTTACTGTTCTCATGGTAGTGAATAAGTCTCACTAGATTTGATGGTTTGATAAGGAAAAATCCTTTCACTTGGCTCTCATTCTCTCTTTGCCTGCTGCCATTCATGTAAGATGGGATGTGCTCCTCCTTGCTTTCTGCCATGATTGTGAGGCTTCCCCAGCCATGTGGAAATGTAAGTCCAATTAAAACCCTTTTTCCTGTATAAATTACCCAGTCTTGGGTATATCTTTACTAGTAGCGTGAAAACAGACGAATACAATAAATTGGTACCGGGACTGGGGCGTTGCTGAAAAGATACCCCAAAATGTGGAAGCAACTTTGGAACTGGGTAACAGGCAGAGGTTGGAACAGTCTGGAGGGCTCAGAAGAAGACATGAAAAGGTGGGAAAGTTTGGAACTCCCTAGAGACTTGTTGAATGGCTTTGACCATAATGCTGATAATGACATGGACAATAAGGTCCTGGCTGAGATGGTCTCAGATGGAGATCAGGAACTTGTTGGGAACTGGAGCAAAGGTGACTCTTGTTGTGTTTTAGCAAAGAGACTGGTGGCATTTTGCTGCTGTCCTAGAGATTTGTGGAAATTTGAACTTGAGAGAAATGATTTAGGGTATCTAAGGGAAGAAATTTTTAAGCAGAAAAGCATTCAAGAGATGACTTGGGTGCTGTTGAAGGCATTCAGTTTTATAAGGGAAGCAGAGCATAAAAGTTTGGAAAATTTGCAACTTGACGATGTGATAGAAAAGAAAAAACAATTTTCTGAGGAGAAATTCAAGCTGCCTGCAGAAATTTGCATAAGTAACGAGGAGCTGAATGTTAATCCCCAGGACAATGGGGAAAATGTCTCCAGGGCATGTCACAGGTCTTCATGGCAGCTCCTCCCATCACAGACCCAGAGGCCTAGGAAAAAATGGTTTAATGGGCCAGGCCCAGGGTCCCCATACTGTGTGCAGCCTAGGGACTTGGTGCCCTGTGTCCCAGCAGCTCTAGATGTGGCTGAAAGGGGTCAATGTAGAGCTCAGGCCGTGGTTTCAGAGGGTGCAAGCCCCAAGTCTTGGCAGCTTCCACATGGTGTTGAGCCTGCGATTACATAGAAGTTAAGAATTGGGGTTTGGGAACCTCTGCCTTCTGGATTTCAGAAGATGTATGGAAATACCTGGATGCTCAGACAGAAGTTTGTTACAGGGATGGGACATTCATGGAGAACCTCTGCTAGGGCAGTGCAGAAGGGAAATGTGGGGTCAGAGGCCCAACACAGAGTCCCTACTGGGGCACCATCTAGTGGAGCTGTGAGAAGAGGGCCACCGTCCTCCAGACCCCAGAATGGTAGATCTACCAATAGTTTGCACCATTCTCCTGGATGTCTTTGGGTTACGACATGTGGGAAAAGTGATGCTTAGTGAGCAACATAATCCCTTGGGAGGACCCAGGACATACCCCAACGCCCACAAAAAATATGTGAATAAATCTATTTGTTCATAAATGATGCTTTATAAGCAAGTGGGTAGTAAAAAGAGAGAGTTTCAGACATTAAAACAGCCCAGTTTGTAAATAATTGTAGAAAATTGAATGCATAAGCAACAATGAATGCATCCCACTTTCTTGAGGTCTTTATGCAAAAGTTACCCTCTCGTGGAGACCTCCCCTTATGCCCATATCTCAGTGGTCACATGCTCCTGGCCTCTCATTTCATGTGCTCTGCATTAGCCTCTTCTCACGCTGCTAATGAAGACGTATCTGAGACTGGGTAATAATAAAGGAAAGAGGTTTAATGGATTCACAGTTCCACATGGCTGGGAGCTCTCACAATCACGGCAGAAGACAAAGGAAGAGCAAAAGGACATCTTCCATGGCAGCAGGCAAGAGAGGCTTGTGCAGGGGAACTCATGTTTATAGAACCATCAGATCTCATGAGAATTATTCACTAACAGGAGAACAGTATGGGGGAAACTGCCCCTATGATTTAGTTATTTCCACCTGGCCCTGCCCTTGACATGTGAGGATTATTACAATTCAAGGTGAGATTTGGGTGGGGAAACAGCCAAACCATATCACACTCTTTTCCTGTTTTATTTATTTTTTCTTTCTTAGGACTCAATATTTTTTAATTTTCTATATATTTTATTAACTTATCTTGTTTATTGTCTATCTATTTCACTTAAATATAAGCTTTATGATGATATACCTTTTGTCTCTTTTGTTCAGTTCAATAATCCCAGCACCTAGAATAACACCTGGTTTATATAGGGCCTCAATATATATTTGTTGTAGGATTTCTGTAATTACGAACTTGATTTAACTGATCCTTGTCTTTTCAGTCCACTGTTCTACAAGTAATAATTGTGAAGTGAGAGAGTGTATAATATTGTACAGTTGAAAATTAAACCCTTATTGTATTACCGGTTTTTAAAATATTAAACTATATTAAAGTATATATTGACATGCATTAACATGCTCTCTATTTGAATAGATTTATGGAAGGTTTGAAACTGTCTTATGGAAGACATTGGAATTGTCTACCTTTGATTTAGTAATTACAATGTTGACTTTGCCACCAGAAATGTTCATATGGTTTTCTCGGTTACAGGAAAAATGGGTGAGTATAGATACCCAATTTACACATTCTTCATTTAATCTTCCTCATTATTGAAAATTTACCTTAGTGTAACATTTAACAGAAAATAAAGTAGCTATGAAGCTGTGATTCATAATTCCTGTAACTGTTTCTAGTGCCAAGCACAGCAATAGATAGAGAACATTGGTGAACAGACCAAGCAAGACATGAAGGCTGCATGGTCTGGCAGGATAGTTGAGGTAGTAATCAAATAAGCATAGTAATAATTATACAATTACATCTGTAACAAGTTATGTGAAAGAGACACAAATGGTTCATCGAGAGTCCAGAGTGAAAGGATTAACTTAGATGAACAGTTAATTGAAGGGTGTGTATGCAAGCATGTACAAATGTGTTTATGTGTGTGCTAATGGTTGTGGAATACCATTCTAACAGAAGAGAGCAGTATGTGCAAAGGCCTGATTGAAGAGGGCACAGCATGTTTGAGAAACCAAAAGAAGGATCATGGCTAGCATCCAGCCAAGTGCAGTGGAGTAGAGTGGCGTGAGGGTATGGAGACATGCTGGGCCTTGCTGGGTGTTTATCTCGAGAGTTACCAGAAGCAACTAAAGTGTTTGGCTTGGAGATCAGAGAAATGATCACATTTAGATTTTTTTCAACATCATTCCAACTGAAATACAGAAAAGAGTAGATTCAATGAAATGGTTAATATAGAGGGAAGGAAGAATGAAAGGAATTAAATGGTTAATGTAATCATCCAGGCAGGAGGTGAAGGAAACTTAGACCAAATTCATGGCAGTGGAGATGGAGAAACATGGGCACATGGGAGGGAGACTTGTAGGAATTGGGACTGTGAAAGAGGGAAAGAGGGGTATCAAGAGGACTCCTGGGTTTCTGGACTTGTAAAGGATGGAACCTTGGATCTACCTGAATAGACTTCCCATAGGCAGGTATTAATATTTACTCTGGACTGGGAAAGAAAAATGACCCAAGCATGTACTGCTTAACTTTCTTACTTCTGTCCATGTAGACATCATTAATTGACTTGAACACTGGCTCTTGCTCAGCCTCCAAAAACAGCACTGGCAGGCATCACTAATTGAATGGAATTAACAAAGGAAATGAAACCTATTTATCCTGGGAATATCATTATGAAGCAAATCCAGGTCCTTGCTTGACCTTATGATTTCAGCATGTCTTACTTTAGGTTGCACAGAGCAAGAGGGTTTCTGCAGCCACCTAGGCACAGGCGAGAATGATACAATCAGAAAAAGAGCCTGGAAATGGTCAGAATGGGAGTGGACAGGACAACTACATTGTCTTGCAATAAAAACAGAGCATGGATGGGCTAGTGCCAGAAGATACAGCAACAACACTAAAGTAGATTGAATACAAACAGGGGAAAATTCAAGCAGGGGAAAGGGGAGATTCTATCAGTGAACAAATCTGGGATGGGACAATGGCCCAGGAGTAAATGAATGTGAAATGGGAAGACTGTGGTGATCATATATGATCATATGTCCAGTGTCTTCTTGGAGGATATGAATCTGTATTCTCATAGGCAGGCCAATCCCATAGATTGCCTGACTTAGTTTTGGTTTTAACATACCTCTTAGTCTCTATTATGCCACTTACCGAATTTAAACCCTGCTGTTCTTAGGAGAAATTCCAAACCCCTTATAATACCTACTGACCACTGTTTGGGATTCCAGTCACTCTTTCCCTTCCCTCTCATTTTTGGCAAAAAGCACAAAGGAGGCCTTTTACTTCCTTAAAATCTCCAATCACTTTCTTTCTTATTTATTTTTTTGAGACGGAGTCTCACTCTGTCACCCAGGCTGGAATGCAGTGGCGAGATCTTGGTTCACTGCAACCTCTGCCTCTGGGTTCAAGCAATTCTCCTGCCTCAGCCTTCTGAGTAGCTGGGATTACAGGTGCCTGCCACCACTCCTGGCTAATTTTTTGTATTTTTAGTAGAGACGGGGTTTCATCATGCTGGCCAGGCTAGTCTTGAACTCCTGACCTCAAGTGATCCACCCACCTCGGTCTCCCAAAGCGCTGGAATTACAGGTGTGAGCTACTGTCTAATCACTTTCTTCATAAATCTTCATAAATCTCTTCATAAATCTCTTTATGAAGAGATTTATGAGTCTTTATGAGTCTTCATAAATCTCTCCCCAGTTGTTCACAGCTCCGAATCATCCTTCATAGTTCTGCTTTAAAGTTGCTTAATGTTCTTTCCTTTGAGAGGTCTATGTACTGTTGCCCTGCAACACAGAATCTTTTTATCCTTCCACTTCCCTTCTTGTAATGCTCATCACACATGTTTAGTTGTCTGGTTCCCCTAACAAGACTACAGATGCTTGGAAGACAGTGATTCTGTCTTCTTTGTTCACTCAGGATCCTCAGCAACTTCCTCAGTGCTTGAGAGTAGCAGGTTCTAAGTAAATATTTCTCGAGCAAACTTGTGAACATACAGAAGGCAGCGGCTGTATCCAGCTCATGGATGCATTTTCTGCAGTGACCAGTAATGTTCCTGGTAGAGAACATTGGGCAAATAGTTTCTAGGATCATTTGAGCCCAGGAGTTCAAGGCTGCAGCGAGCTATGATCATGCCACCGTACTCCAGCCTGGGCAACAGAGTGAGACTCTGTCTCTAAAAAGAAAACAACATTATTAAATAGTCTTTAAGTGCCAACACTCATTAGATCCTCAAGTCATCGATGCTTTCATGGGACACTTTGAAAATAAAATTTTACTGGTAAAATTCTCAAGCACCCAGGCTTGCCAGCCTCCAGCCAGTTGTGCTACTGGCAATCATCCCAGCTCCTCCCTCTGTAAAGCATTTTCTGCAAGACATGGGAGTTTGCCTGGAGTCTGCTAATAAAAGCCCATTTTCAACACTTTTGTTTCCCTCACATTTGTTCACTGCCTGAGAAACATCATTTAAATTCCCTGAAAACACACTCTGAAATAAAATAGGAAAGTTTGCTCTTTAATACGATTCCCAACTCCTGCTGGGGCGCAATATATCCTTTTCTGGCTTTGGGGATCAGAAGTACCAGCTTCTCTCCTGGAGCCAGACTGTGGCCCTGGGTGGCCTTTGTGCTCACATTCTGCACATCTTTTTCTCCCTGAGTTTTTCCATTTGCATGAAAAGAGACCCTGGATTGATTCAAAGTCCATTAGTGGCTCCTGTCTGGATTCCCCTCTCATCTCACATAACATACTCTATTCAAGTCGTCAAAATGGTTTTACAGGCATCAATTGCTACAGTGCACCCTGAGGGGAAGTCAAGGTGAAAACAGTGAGGGATTCAGGATCTTTATTTTATGCAAATGCTTATAGCAGTGAAGATAAAGGTATCAGCGCAGCCCTGTGAATCAGACAGCACTTTTGGGCTTACACATAGCAGCAGTGTTTCTGAACAGCTTCAGGAAGAGCTTGCCACTTTCAGGCTCTCACAAATGGAGAGACTTCTTATTAATCTCTTTCTCTCCACTGCAGGCAAAGTGGCATTAACTGGAGCCAAGTTCCAGGCACTGGGGAGAGACTTGTTCTGGAGTTACAAAAAATATCTTATTGTTGTTGATCACACATTACGTAGCACACCAAGTGCTTCCTATTTATTGTCTAATTAAAACCTCACATTAATCGTAAGAGGGAATATGATGCTATTTTCATTCCATTATACGTATGAAGATACTGAAAATCAAAGAGTTTAAGTAAATCAGGCAACTCAGAGTCACGCATTTGGTAAGTGCGTAGTGAAGACCCAAGCCCGTGTTTTTCTTTCTTTTTTTTTTTTTTTTTCTGAAACTTGGATCATAGTTCACCCATTTAATCATTTACTTACTAAGTCCAGGAGTAAGTGGCTTAGTCCTTGGCAGGAAGAATCAGCAGAAAAGAAAAACAGACATGGTGTTCACTTTTGCAGAACCATTGTTCTAAAAGCAGCAAACAAACCCTGTAGTGAAGTTTAAGGGGAGTTTGTGGCTGCTTTAGCAAAATGGTCAATGAAGAAATTTTCAAGGGAGTGATGTTTAACTGGTACCTGAAGGACAGAAGGAGCTAGACCTGTGGAGAGCTAGGGAAGGGTGTTTCAGACACAGGGGAACAGTCAATACTGAGGCTATGGTATGCTGTCTTTTATTAAATTAAATCATTTATGTATTCAACAAATTTTTTATTGAGATCCTACTTAAGACAATGTACTGTATTAGACGCTATAAATTTAGAGTTGAACAAGGCAGACATGATCCTCTACTTCATGGGGGGTTTAGTCCCCAAGATGACAGGAGAGGGGGAGAGATGATAGTCATGGTATCAGAGAGGTCCAGCAGTAGTTTGATGAATACTACAACAGTAAGTCAGGAGCAGGCCCATGCTAGAGATGTGGGAAGGCAACTCAGTTACTTAGGATTGATTGGCTGTTCTATCAGCAGCAGGTGAGACCCTGGGAAGGTTTTAGATAGCTGAGAACAGAAAGGAGGAAAAGCTGGGCTTCTGCATGGTTTATCATCCACACTCAGAGCAAGACAGAGACCAAGTGTCAGAAAGATTATGGAGACTAAAAACTAGAAATAAGAAATTCTAGAAATAAGAAATAAGACGTGCTTATCACTAAAATAAAGGCTTTCCACCCCAATGTTTTAGACTGTGAGGTTACTCAGATGGGTCATACATTCCTTTGATCATGCTAGATCTGTACCTGGGATGCCTTCTCTAACTGGTCTGCTGAAGTGACACTACCTCCATGAAGTTCCCCCAAGTCCTCGTACGTCATGTAGACCTGCATCCTTCTGCCTCACTGAAACCTGCATCAACCTTTAAATCATCACCTGTACCACCTTAGTGTGGTAGACGCTCTCTTGGCTGACATCCATTTAATCAACTCTCTGTCTTAATTGATTTACTGGACTAACCCACTCTCTTCAATCACTCTCTTACACATGTCAGTGGATCAGGCCACTGCAGGGTGAAAGGTTCCCAGATGGTAAACAGATTTATAAATACCTACAGCTTCTATTCTATCTGTAGCCCCATGCTGAACAGAAATCACTGAGCTTGTCCTCAAACCCAGCTATGTTAGTTTTATCATCTGTTAGTGTATTTATGTGATTTAATTAAATATTAAATAAAAGACTAAGTAAATAGGAAAAGAGAGATGCCCTTTGCATGATAATGAAATCAAATACTTTGGGAAGACTTTGTAATGCTGAGCAGCTAAAACAATGACACTAAATTAGATGTCGGCAAGATAGCTGTAAACATCTGTGAAAAAAATTATAAAAATCTGGAAGTCACTCTGATAATTTTGAAAGTACTTTTAAATTCTCAGTACATTTTAAGGAACTAGAAATATTAACTAATGCACTTTGGCTATGGTCTCTGTAAGAAACAATAGATCAACACTAAAAAAATGCTTTCCACAGTAGTTGAACTAACTTACATTTCTACCAACAATCTATGACAATATATGAGCATTCCCTTTTCTGCACAGTCTCACCAGCATCTATTATGTTTTCACTTTTTAATAATAGCCATTCTTACTCGTGTGAGATAGTGTCTCATTGTGGTTTTGTATTGCATTTCTCTGGTGATTAGTGATGCTGAGCATTTTTTCATAGGTTTGTTGGCCTCTCGTATGTCTTCTTTTGAGAGGTGTCTGTTCATGTCCTTTGCCCACTTTTTAAAGGGTTATTTGGTTTATGCTTGTGGGTTTGTTTACATTCTTATAGATTCTGGATATTAGATCTTTGTCAGATGCATAGTTTGTGAATATTTCATTCTGTAGAAATGGATTTCTTTCATTTTTTACTCTGTTGATAGTTTATTTTGCTGTATAGAAGCTCTTTAGTTTAATTAGGTCCCACCTGTCAACTTTTGCTTTTGTTGCAATTGCTTTTGAGCATTCAGTCATAAGTTCTTGGCCAAGGCTGAAATCTAGAATGGTATTAAACATTGAGTGCACATGGGCACAAAGATGGAAATAATAGACACTAGGGACTCCAAAAGGGAGGATGGAGGGGGAAACGTGTGAAAAACTACCTGTTGGGTACTATGCTCACTGACTGGGTGACAAGATCAGTCATTCCCCAAACCTCAGCATCACATGATATACCAATGCAACAAACCTGTACATGTACCCCTGAATCTAAAATAAAAGTTGAAAATAAAATAAAATAAATAAACCTGTGGTATGTGCCTACATCATCAGGCTACATCATGAGAGTCACACATTCAACCTCATTAAGTAATGTTATGTTCTTACAACATACTAATAGCTGCTCTACTTACTAGCAATGTGTATGCCCATGAACCCACATTCAAACTTGATATTATCAGAATATTTGATTTCTGATAATCATTTGAATGTAAAATGGAAATTTACAGAAGTTTTTTTAAAAATGGCTCAGCATTATTTCAAAAGAATAGATAATAAATTTATCATTTTATGTTTAAGTTACAAATAAAAGGTTTATGTATAATTTTTCATAATTCTTCATTTTAGTTTGCTTTTTCAATTAACCAAGCAACAGCCCATACAGACTATTTCAGCTAAAAGGAAATTTGCAATTTCTGTTTGAATGTCTGTCATCCTCCCTAGAATGTGAAATATTTGAGACCAAGATGTTTTCTCTACCTCCAGAACCCAACACAAGCTTAGTAAAAAAGAAGTGGCTGTATTTGTCTGGACTCCTTTGGTCATCAAGATACTCATATTTTCCTCAGTATTCACCTGAAGCAAAATCATGCTTGATCATTAGTAAACTGGGATGACTTATGGAATCTAAGGGTGAAACTGAGGCTGGACTTTGGGAACAAAAGAGTCTGCATGACTCATCATGACACCCTTAAACTTGGATCTCTGCTTCTCCTGAAGGCTAGCTTCCTCATCCCCTCTCACTTCTCAGCCACTAAGACCTCTGGATCCTTGCACCTTATGTCTATGCATTTGGAGGAAACTTGTTCAGTTTCAGTCTTAACATGTCTGAATAAGAACTCTGCATGGGTCAAACAATGACTCCTGCCTAACGTACATGATTGAGGTGCAGGGCCATGAGAATAAGCATATTTATTATGGGGGTCACTGTTAAGAGTGGGGTGGGTTAGGTGCAGAGGGAAGAAGGGAAGTCCCAGAAAAATGAAGGGCAGGGCAGGAAATAAATTGGTACAATAAGGCTGCCAATGCATGTTTGTAGAAGGAACAGATGAATCAAAGGCAAATACCTAACCCAGACCAGCATCAAGTATCTAACCCTAAAAGGGGGGAAGCAAAGCAAGGAACCTGAAGTGATGGTAAGTGACAGCAAGCGGCAGCATAGTAGAGGAATAATGCACATGATCCTGAAGCTAGGCTCTGGGTTTGAACCCTACCTCTGCCCCTCTCCAGCTCTGACTTGGGACAACCTGCTGAACCCCTCTGTACCAGTTGCGTCCTGTGTGAATTGCAGATGATAATAATAACATCTATTTTATAGGGTTGGTGTGGGATTAAATCAGTTAATATTTATAAAAGAATTAGATAGCATCTAGCACATTGTAACCACAACCCAAATGTTTGTTAAATTTACTGGCAAGCCTGCTCTATTTTAATCATTGTTTTTGAACTTTAATTGTATATTGGTGCTAAAGCTTTCACTCTTAGAAAAAAGGAATTACCCAGAAAATATAGGGGAAATGAATAGACCTCATATGTGAAAAGACAATTGTGCTACACAGTGAAAACTGTTAATAATTTGAAAAAAAATTAAAAATTTTTGTTGCCAAAATCTTGACTCTGGCATTTGGGTTTATATATTAAAGGGTTTTTTATGGAATTTTCACCCATAAATGTTTCTAAAAGCCAATTGTGAGCATAGCATTGCAGAAGCTGTTGCTTAATTGGCTCCTGAAGTCATATTCTGTAGGTTCACTTCAGACTGATTCAGCAAGGAGGGTGGAAGTCTGGATAACATTCATGTCTATTTGTTAGTGGTCTAAGACCCTAGGAATTTTGGTTCTGCTCAGAAATATTAAGACTGCAGTGTTCTCGTGTCAAGCAAGCTTGAGCTGAATCCCAGCTAAGCTCAGCAACTCGCTTGCTCTGTAACTGTGATAACTTATATTGTTCCTTTGAGCTTTGGTTTCTTCATCTACAGAGTGAGAACAATACCTGTCTCCCAGGATTGTTTAGACTAAATGACAAAGCTCCTTATGAAAATGCTCCTTATAAAGGTGATTAGAAAATAGCAGTGGCCATCAGATATGTTTTAATTCTTCCCAGTGCTCAACTCACAGGCCATGGTCTGCATTACTCTATAGTCTATATTCCATGGATATGGTATGTGATTTAAAGAATGAGTCACAAAATTCAGGTATTCAGGTTTCATATTTTGTTGTTTTTTTTTCTTTTTATGTTTTTAAGGAGTGAAGATTTTCTCAGATGCCTTTATTAGCAGTTCTAAAATACATCAAACTGGGAACTTTGGGACAAAGCTCTTTCCTGATTTGTTCAATCATTGCTAGATGCTCACTCTGTGCCAGGAGACCCCAATGCATAAGGCAGGCCAAGGCCACACTTCACAGACAGAAGCTCAGGTTCTGTAAGTTAGTTGTGGGAACTCAGGCAAGTTACTTAACCTCTCCAAACCTCATTGTCCTCATCTGTAAAATAATAATAGCTCCCTTGTGAGATTATTGAACACAGTGTGATATGTTCTTGTAACATGCTTAGTGGCAGTGACATGCCATGGGCATGGGCAGGTGGGGGAGAGAGAATGAAGAGTGGTCTGTACTAGATGCAGGCAATAAGAGGGACCGTGGTCTGTAGAGAATTTAAAATCATAAAAAAAATGACTAAAAGTTATTCTGCTTTTTTTTTTTTTTGAGACAGGGTCTCGCTCTGTCACCCAGGCTGGAGTGCAGTGGCGCATCTCCGCTCACTGCAAGCTCTGCCTTCTGGGTTCACGCCATTCTCCTGACTCAGCCTCCTGAGTAGCTGGGACTACAGGCGCCCACCACCATGCCTGGCTAACTTTTGGTATTTTTTTAGTAGAGACGGGGTTCCACCGTGTTAGCCAGAAGGGTCTCGATCTCCTGACCTCGTGATCTGCCTGCCTCGGCCTCCCAAAGTGCTGGGATTACAGGCGTGAGCCACCGCACCCGGCCAGTTATTCTGCTTTTTATCATCACTATTCCTTGGCAGTTTTAAACAATGGCAGTGAAAAAAACAGTCTTTGCTCCCAGGTGACTGCTTGATAGATGGTGTGGCATCATGCACATCCTCTGTGGCTCTCCACCCTACTCCAGTGATTAGCTCTTCTCATGTAGAATAACCCACGATCAGTTTAACCTTAAGTAATGCTTAGGACATCAGCGGTATTCTTTAGCTGAGGTCTTAGTCTGATATAGCAACAATTCTAACATTATGAAATAAAGAGGAAGGCACTTTTTTCTTTGATAATAAAATGATAAACACTTGGGGAAAATGCTGAGGTCTCCTGAAAGGTATTTAGTCAAATGTGAGGAATAAAGAACACATTTGCAAGCCCAGAAGACATTAGACACTGAATCTACTGCTAAGTAGCCCCCTTTGGAAAAAATCTTTCTCTTAACCACATCTTAGGGCTTAAAGACTTCAAAGTCTTTTTAGAGAGTGCCAAAACATCTTTTTACAGGAGTTTCGCTACTTCTATCAAGACGCAGAAAACACTGCTAAGCATTGTGTCATTAAGGACTGTGTGAAGGTTAACTTTATGTGTCAACCCTCTGGGCCATGGTGCACAGATATTAGATTATATGTTATTCTGGATGTTTCTGTGAAGGTGATTTTGGACAAGATTAACATTTAAATTGATGGACTTTGAGGAAAGCAGATTGTCCTTCATAATATGGGTGGTCCAATCAGTTTTAGGCCTAAATAGAGAAAAAAAAGCTGACCTCTCCCAAGCAGAAAGGAATTCTGCAGCAGATGGCATTTTGATTTGAACTGCAACATTGGCTCTTTCCTCAGTTTCCAGTCTGATGGCTGTAGAATTTGAATTGCAGATTCTGGACATGCTAGCCTCCATAACTGAATGCACCAATTCCTTAAAATAAAGCTCTCTTTCTTTTTCTCTCTATCTACACATTCTCTTGGCTCTGTTTCTCTGTGGAACCCTGACTAATATACATAGTATAGTTATTATCATTGCTGTTGTTACTGTAGCTATTGTTATTATTAACTACACTTGTAGCTCCCATCATTTTGTCATGTGAAGACCCTGTATTGAGTTTCTCAGAACTTCCCAAATGTGTTCCTGGCCACAATGATTTGCCAAAAATAGATTGTAACCTGGGTGTGCAGCTCTTGGGGCTGCCAGAGTCTTCAGGTCAGTCACCTCTAACCATGAGCAGCATCTTTATTTAGCCCTAGAGCAAATCTTAACCCTTCTTATGTATGTAATGATGTGGACAAAGGTGGAAGAGACTGCTTCTTATGCATCATCTCCGCCCCTGCCAACAGGGAACAGATAAGGAAACTGAGGCTCAGAGAAGATTAGGGACTTGCCTAAGATCACACAACAAGTGAGTAGTGGGACCAGGATTTTATTAGGGTCATTATCTCTGAGCTTTATTGATGCAGTGTCTTTTCCTCTTAATTTTTGTATCTTAATATATTTTGTTCATTTATCTTATGTTCTGCATTAAATTATAACTATAGGGTCCTTTCTGCAGGGACAATGACACCTTTGTGAGTTTCTGAATAGTCCCTGGCTCAGCTATGCATGTGCTTTCAACCTAATCTGCCTACATCCATGCAGCTTTGCAGGATTAACTCAGTTGCCTGCTCCCTAGATCAGCAGTCCCCAGTTCCTGGGCCATGGACTGGTACTGGTCCACGGCCTGTTAGGAACTGGGCTGCACAGCAGGAGGTAAGCAGTGGGCAAGCCGACAAGGCTTCATCTGTATTTACAGCCACTCCCCATTGCTCACATTACCACCTGAGCTCTGCCTCCTGTCAGATCGGTGGCAGCATTAGATTCTCATAGGAGCGCAAACCCTATGGTGAACCGTGCATGTGAGGGTGTAGGTTGCGTGCTTCTTATGGGAATGTAATGCCTGATGATTTATCACTGTCTCTCATCACCCCCAAGATGGGACTGTCTAGTTGCAGGGAAACAAGCCCAGGGCTCCCACTGATTCTACATTATGGTGACTCATATAATTATTTCATTACATATTACAATGTAATAATAGAAATAAAGCGCATAATAAATGTAATGCACTGGAATCATTCCCAAACCATCCCCCTCCACCCTGGTGTGTGGAAAAATTGTCTTTAGAGAAACTGGTCCCTGGTGCCAAAAAGGTTGGGAACTGCTGCCCTAGATGATATTGTGTTGGTTCCACTAGTTGGAATTCACCAACTCTGGTGGAAAGCCATTGGGGGTGTTTCCTCATTGTTTCTTTTTTAGGTCACTCTCACTTCTGGTTGCAGAATGGCTTATAGAAAAGCAAGAATGAAAACAGACCCGTTAGGTTATTCTGAGTATCCAGTGAGGTTATTCTGAGTGTCCAATGAGAAATGACAGGGACCTGGAACATGGTGGCAGGGAGAGAGGTGAATGGCTTTTAG
This sequence comes from Homo sapiens, assembly GCF_000001405.40. Lineage (NCBI taxonomy): Eukaryota > Metazoa > Chordata > Mammalia > Primates > Hominidae > Homo > Homo sapiens. The sequence continues at coordinate 130,970,920 of NC_000008.11, forward strand.
ATCTACTTTTGCTATGGTGTGACAGATTGGCTATGAGGGATGGATGAAAGAAAGACATTCGGGATAATTTTTGTGAAGACTTGGCACGTAGAAAGGATTCAATAACATTAGGTACTGATGTTATTAATATGCTCTCTGAAGTCAAAGGCTAGTGAATCTTACACCTCTTTAGGTTTAGCACAAGTCTGGTATACAGTAGGAGCCCAATAAACCCTTGCTTGCTGAATATCTCTGGTGTGTTACTGTGTTAACAAGTGGTCATTGTCATGTTAATTATTGTATGTTAATAACAAGCTCCTGGTGATAGAGTTAGACATCACCTGTATTTGGTACTCTTGCTTAGATTATTTATAAGTCAAAGTATTATTCCCAGTTACAGAAGCCCTGCTGAGAAGGAACCTCTTACAAGAGGGTTAAGTGTGAATTAAGGATACTGAACATGATATTGATACACATAGAGAACCCAATGTTATTTGTATATTACTGCAGAACTTACAGTTCTGTGTTTTCTCATTCCCATGTCTCTATAATCACAATTTTAAAAGGGGTTCATTGCTCATCATAATATCATTCATTTATCTATTGAGATAATCATTCATTAAATATTTTTTCAAACTCTCAAAATGATGCAATTTACTGAAGAAAAGGTTACTACTCTTACAGAGCTTCAGGCAAGTCAATAAGGATAACTGAGTGTGATAAATGCAGTGATGGATGGAAGGTTAAAGACAGTGCAAGCCCAATTAAGGATGTCTAGTCTCAGGGAAGGCTTCCTGGAAGAGGTGATATGTGAGCTGAGTTTTGGAGCACAAGCAGACTTTAGCTAGATGGATAAGAGTGACAATGGTTTTAAGTAGAAGAAATTGTATGAGTGAAGCAATGATGATATGACAAAGATGATGTATTCATGGAGCTTCAAATAGTTGGATGTGGAATTAGGCAAGGGCCAGATTATAAAGAGGCTTGTGTACTAAGCTGGGGAATATCAACTTCATCTTGAAAGCTACTGGGGGCTACTGAAGGATCTCTTCTTATTTGAAGTACAATTTACATAGAGAATAATGTACATATCACAGGTTTACAGCTCTATGAATTTTCATAAAGTAAAACCACTCTCATAAACAGAATCTACCTAGAAGCAGACCATAATAGAACCCTAGAAGCCTCTTGTGTCCTCATACAATCACCACTCTTACAAGGAGGAGGGAATACATTATTTCAATAATAAAGCAAAAGCCCAAGAGAGAATAGCAATCATTTTGACAAAACCATTACCAACCATACTTTTATTGAGCACTTACTATGTGTCAAGCCCTGTACATGAATCATTTAGTTCTCACAACAACTGATGAGGTAGCTGTGAGATTTCAGTGTATATAGGTCAATACAGAAAAATATATGTCCACAGTCTGCTGTCATCTCTCATCATGTGTGTTTTGCTAAACCTTAATGTTCCAGTTGTCAACAGGGCTGGGATCAATTTGCAACACATACACATACAGACAATGAAACAGATCAAACTTAGACCTTGATTCATTTGCTTTGTAAGGAAAAAACAATTTGCAAGGTAATAATAATAAAGCCAGAAATAGGACAACATTTAAAAAACTTAAAAAGACCCAAAATATCTATTTTGGAATAGCTTCCCGAGTCTGAAAAATGGTATTTCTTAAATGATCAAGGCAACCAAAGTAGGGTACTTTGATATTCTCTTAGGGCCAGCTTATATTTATAAACCTGTTTTGTTCATTTAAAATGAATATTCTTTCCTGGCGGTCATTTAGGAAACCGCACGAATGAAGCCCAACACATTTGCCACCCTGGTCTTATGCTACCTGTGAGAAGAAAGTAATTTTATTCTGGAGTATGACAGGCTAGGTTTCAGTACATTTTCTAGCTGAGTGACCTTCCTTCAGCATCAGTTTTTTTTTCCCCCAAACCATCTGGGATAAGGAGATAAGCATCAGTTTTTTTTTTAATCTGTAAAATGGGAACGATAATTAGCCTCTCATGGAGTGGCTCATGTGAAAATGACAACTAGAGTCACTAACATAAGTGGGAGCTAAATCCTTCTCCACATTTATTTTCTTTTACACTTTAAACCCTTAACATGAAACAGAAAAAAAGGCTAATACTAGTGCATTTACTTTCATCCCTTGCCTCTTTGACAAGTCACAACTATCTACAGTATCTACAATAAAATTCTCCCTTTTCCTATAAGCCTGTAGGTACGTGTGTTTTTTGTCCAGTTGTATCCTGTAGAGTTTTGGGAAGGGAGTCACAGACAACCCAAACTTACTAAATGTGGTAGATTGCTTGCACATATGTGCATAATAATTCCTTTTGGCTAATGCCTTACATGTTGATTCTTGGCTTAGTCATGCTACTTGCCTTGACCAATGGGACAACAGCAAATGTGGCATAAACAGAATCTTCAAAATTGTTTGTACATTAGGGCTTATGTTTTCTTTTGCAATGCTTGGAACCGTGAGACAACTATATGAATGTACCTGCACTAGCTTGCTGGAGGATGAGAGGGCACATGGTGAAGAATTAGATGCCCTGGTCCACAGTCTTCCAAAATACTAGGCATGTGAGTGAGGCTGCCCTATACCATCCAGCAGCCAGAGTCAGCAGAGCTGATCAGACCAGAACTCTCCAGCCAACACACATTTGTGAGCTAAGTAAATGGTGATTGCTTTAAGCCACTACATTCTGGTGTTACTTTTTTACAGAGCAAAAGATAATTGATACAATGAATTAACACATATGGAAAGACAGGATGGTTGATTAGGCTACATGACTAGGAAGGAGGGCTAACGGCTTCTGAGTGCTCCTGTTGTGTGTGGCTGTTGTCACCTAGCTTACCTCATGTGATCCTCACAGCTACTCAATGGAGCAAAAAAGCATATTTTATAGCTAAGAAAATAAATCCAGAGAGATACTATATATCATTCAAGGACATATCACAAAGTGGGAATTAGTATCTTGTTTTATAGTTCTGAGTATATTGACTCAGAAATGAAGAAATTTGCTCAAGAGACTCAACAATGCAGATGACAGAACCAGATTTGAAAACTTGGTAAGCTTGACACACAAGCCAATACTCTTTTGAATACTCTTGATAATATGTGTATACAAAGTGCTTCCAAAGCTGTCTCTCTGTCTGTAGAGTAGACTAGCAACCTATCCAACAAAGCACCCTTCGTTTGTGTGGCCCATTATCCCTTGATGGGTTTTCCACCTCCCTAACTTCTGAGCTTTATTATCAAGAATGGCAGCCTTTGCTGGCTCCTGTCTTGGATGAGGGACAGATGCCCTGTGCCCGGGATGCTTTCTCTTGGGGGCCTGAATCCTGAAGAATCAAAATTACTTACAAGCTAATGGCTCTAGCTAGAGACACTAGAGACTGATGAGATCCAGCTGGAATGGGGCATAAAGGACTGTGGTGGGCATGGTAGCCAAGACCTCCACATCTCTTCCAAGCACAGCCAGTGCAGTATTTTTTAAATTGGAGTTTGTGACACATTTGTGAGCTTGAAATCAAATTTAGTGGATCATACCCAGCAGGCAAAAATGAAATAGAAGAAAATAGAAAATATCAGACTGTAATAACTATAAAGGTAAGTTTTTTTGTGAAGATTTCATTTGTTTTATATATGCCTGTATGCCTTTGTGTACTAAATCATCAAGTAAAATGAACTTCTTACTGGGAGTTGCAGTTGAAAAAATAAAAAGGCCATGAGTATTCCTTCCTGAATAGGTGAGGCTGGAAAGCTAATGATTTAATTTCCCAGAATCCTTGCAGCTCTGGATGTTGCTTGAGTTTTGCCAGTTAGATGCACCCCTGCAAGATTTAAAACGTGAAGGTTAAAAGGAGAGCATTCTTAGCTACTTCTGCTTTTCATTCCTGGCAACCACAGTTACGGAGATAATGGATTTTTAAATAGCAGCCCTCCAGTGTCTAGTCACAAGTTTTGTGGCTGTTCAGAAGGTGGCTATTGTCCACATATTGCCAGGGTGTATCTAGAAGGCGACATACCTCTGGAGCTAACAGCAGTGGCAATGGTGGTTTTCTGACCTATGCCCTTTATAATAAATGGGAAGCTGCTTCACCAGGTTCAGAAGAGAAGCTTCGATCTATCAAGAGAGAATTTCACCCACCTCCGAGGCCCATGGGCAAGAACAGTGCTGTCCTCTTGTTTAATCGTGGGAGAGGTGAGAGGAGAAGGAAGGCATTTTATAATTTAATCAACACTCTCAAAAATCCTTTCTAAAATTCATCAGGCCCTTAGAAATTATGTACACCCTGGAAGTTCTTCTGACCATATATTTGCAAATATTGCACCACATATCTCTCTACCATCCCACTCCATACCCAAAGAACATGCGTACTTGACTCTGTTTGACTATTCAATTCAATTCCCTTCAATAAACAGTAGTCATGCTGACATGTGACAGGCTCTGAATGTGCTGCTGGGAGTTAAATATGTCACCATCCTGAAGAACACACAGTCTGTGGGGAATGCAGGAGCAAGAAACTCCCAACCACAAAACAAGGTCCATTGTAGAAGCAAGAACCTTGAACTCTGGGGACACTAAGAGTGACACGGGGGATGGGGAAAGGGTACCAGTTGGTGTCAGTCCCTAAATTAGTTAAACCACAAGCATTTATTTCAAATAAGTGTCACAGTGATTCAGTGAGGCAGGCTGGATTATTCCAATGTAATAGATAAGAAAGCTGAAGCACGTAAAGTTACATTCTTTGCTCAATTTTATACAGCTAATGAGATGCAAAGCTGGTGTTCCAAACCAGGCCTGTCTAACTCTATTGTCTATGTAGCCATTAAGTTGTCTATAAATACAGTTAACAGTCTCTCAGAAATTCTTCTGCTGAAAGAATTCTAACATTGAAAGATCAGAAGTCACAGATAGATTGGGGTGTTGTTAGCTATTGGACAATTCCCAGTGACACTGCCCGCAATTCTGAAAATTACTTTTATACTATAGTAACTTCAAAATCCCTTAAAATGCATGCTATAATTTGTGATGGGGGCAGGATATTTTATAAAAGCTACTAAAATATTACTTCAGTATGCTAAAAAAAACCACCACCTATCTTTTGGAAAACTGCAAATGGTGGTGTGGAAAAGACCTTTACATTGTAAGTTTCCTCACCACCCCTCCAAGAACATTCTGTCTACTCCAAGGGGATAGCAGTAGTGATTGATCCAGGTTTTGTGGGTCCTGAGACTTAAATAACTTGGGGGTGGGGTAAGAGAATACTCTTTAAGAAAAACTGTGAAAATCATAACTGCGAACTTGCTAGGGCCCCTCTGAAGGCCTTAGAAGGGGCTTGCGAGTGAAGGCCTTTGAAGCTTAACCATCATTGGCTTGATGATAAGGGCACTTGTGATAAAGCAAACTGTATTTCATTATTGTAGGTGTCGGAAGATGCTAACACCTTGGATAACTACCTAACCCATGACTGCATGTGGACAGATAAAGCAAATTATTGCCTATTTCAAGTATTAATATGCGACAGTTTCCATAGATACCTGATTATCCCTATGCCATAATACATGCTTCAGAGGTTATTTGAACACCATCATCTACATAGCGAATTCTTAGTTTCTAATTCAATTTTTATAATTCTGAAGTCATTTCTTATTCATTGATATATATTTTATGCACTCATCTACTGAAATTTAAAAAATATTGAATTTATATTTTATCTTGATGTGGAACTGAGCTTTTCACATTTATTCAAGAAGATCATATTTTAATATCAATTGGAGGAGCTAATTTGGAAGTTGAAAGATAATTAAAATTCAAATAAGAAGCCCTTTGCTTGCAGCATTCTCAGGAGATTATATATCCTCCTCAAATATGATATTTAAAAAATTTTAAAAATAATTTACATTTGTAGTGTGTTTACAGTTAAAAATTACCTTTACATGGAGCTCATTTTATATCAAAACAACCTTGGTAGGAATTATTAAAATGGTTTTACAAGTGAGGAGACTGAAGCTCAGAGATTACCTTGCTCAAGGCCAACCTGTCCCATCGCGCAGGACATCAACCCTGTATTCTGCTTCTGCTGCATCTCAGCTATCAAGAAAACATGACCATCCAGGCCAGTGCTCCGAAACAGAAATTGATCAGAGGCTGGAAGTCTCCACCCCTTTACTACTATATCTCCTCACATTGCCTGGAGAAACTGCCCGGGTCGGGTGTGAGCGCATGGTGTTTGCAACCTCCTCCTCAGAGCCTTTAATAAATGGAATTGTCACTTTTCACACCAGCATTTAACTGTAAGCTTGTGTCAATTTTCTGCTCATGAGAAGAACAATGATCAATCCAACCTTTCTTACTTATACTCGAAAAACAGAAAATATCAGAATCAACAGAGCTTACTTGGACAATACTTGTAATACTCATTCATTCAGTGGGTCTCTTGTTTTTTGAATCATCCATAAGGTGTAATCCAACCTTCTTTGCTTTTTTCCTCTTTTCATACTCCAAACATCTCTATTGGTTTCTCCCTTTACTTATTTAAAATCAATTCAGTCTCTGGTAGTCTGAGGATTTTGCTTTCTGTGGAATGTATATATTTCACAATTAAAGAAAATGCCTAAAGGAGAGAAGCAATAAATATGGACTACACCACTGCCAGTGAGAGCTCTTATTGGGCACCTACTATGTTTCAAGATTTGCACATGAATTATGTGATTTAATCCTCATAACAATTAATGAGATAGGGATATTTATTACCACTATTCCACAGATGTGTAAATTGAGGCACAGAGAGGTTAGGTACTTGTCCTAGGACACACAGCAAGTAAGTGGCAGCACCCAGATGTGCACACAGGCATCTGGATTCATTAGTGAATTCTCCTTTTCAGGCTCTGTGTTGCAGAATCTGATTTAGAGTTCATCCTTTTCTTGGGTGCAGTGGATCACATGGGGCTGACTCTCGAGTCATAATCTTTTCCATGATTCCATCTAATCTATTGTGAAATATCTTCCACTACTCATTCATGCATCTGACAAACTGTTCTTCAGCAAACGTGTAGTAAGGAATGAGTTAGTGGCAGGCCCTGTGCTCTGCACTGGGGAGAGCAGTGGAGAAGCTTCACTCTGCCTTCACCATGCTTGCAGTCTGCTTGGCTGAGAAACTGAAAATGACTATAATGAAATATTAATTACATTACCATAGAAGTCAGCACAAGGCATCATATGTCCCTTGCATATTCCAAAGAGATTCTGGAATAATTGTGTGAAAACTAAAATGCTTTGAGCTGTTGGGGAATCAGGGGTTGTAAAGATGAAATATTTACATCCCTGTAATTAATATACAAAAGACATGGCTCCCATAAATCTAAATTGCAAATTCAGTTGGACAGTGAGAATGAAGAAAGAAGAGTTAATGGATTATAGAGTTCAACAAGAACATTCTCTGTTGGATATGAAAATTCATCAAAAACTAGCCTCTAATTTACTAAAGAGAGAAGAAAATGATTCTTCAATATCTGTTGATAATAATCACATATTTGGGGAAAGAGAAATGCTCATTGGAAATGTTCCTTAAGTTAATTATTACTTTACTCATTTGATACAGTGTTAGTGAATGTTTAAATATCAGGATAGATATTATAGGGGGAAAATCACAATTCCTCCATGGATCAAGGAACTTGTAATCCAGCAGAGGAGATATGAAGACATGACATATATAACTCTAAGACTAAGTTGGAAACTGCCAAGCTTACCAAACTCTAGTTTGTTACAAAAAAATTCTATTTAAAAATCTCCTCTTGTTTTTAATTCCGGCACCTAACTCAGGACTTGGTCCACAGTATGTATTCTATAATGCAGTAACCTAATTAGATTTTGATAAGATGTATTTGACTATCACCAAAGCTCTGAAGAGAACTCTTGAGTGGAAGACTCTAAGAAAAAAGTCAATTAGTATAGAATTTTGATTGGATTTTAATGCCTTTGCTGAGTCCTGAATAATGAAGTGATCAAACAAGCGTACTAGATGGCCCCTGGACCAAGCTGTGCCTGAAGCCTGCTTAGAAATAGAACTTAGGTCTAATGCTGGTTGGGGCGGAAGACAGTCTACCATGGAATAAGTAATGTTCTATGATTATTAGCAGTTTTCTCATACTTGGTGGGTAGGAAAGGAGAAAGCTGGAGCCTTTAGAATACTTTGGAAGAGCTACAAGAGCATAAAATCCCATGTGAGAAGGGCAAAGGGAGCTCCCTGAAGAACGCACTATCCTCAGTCTAGTCAGGACATATCACTGTGGGTGGGAGCCTTCATTGGAAGCTGGCACCTTCATGGGCTACTGGGTCTTTTCCTCTGGGTAGCTTTAGTGTGTGTTGAACTATATCTTTTCCCTATATTAAGACAACTCATCTGATTTCCCCACATCACTATGTGTATTCCTGTTGATCACATTACAGTCCTGTTGTGACAATTGTACACCTGCCCCTGGATATTCAGTAACATGAGGCAATATGTTCTTCTTATTGCTAGAACCAATATGAGTTGAGTTTCCTGTCATTTGAGGCTAAAGGAGCGTGCCCATGTGGAAGGGAGGGCTAGGGCCCTCCCAGTGGAGAGAGGGGTAGATTGTGAAGAGCATCCCATGTTGAAGGACATCGTAGCATAATAATTGGTTATATGGGCTCTGGAGAAGACTGTTTAGGTCTGAGTACCAGGTGTACAACTTACTAGCTGTTATTTAGCCTCTATGTTTTTCAAATTCCTCATCTATAAAATGGAGGTAAAAAATTCACCCACTTCATAGGATTTATCTGAGGATTGAATGAAGTAATCTATGTGAAGTACAGAACCTCACACATAGTAAATGCTATATCAGAGCCAGTCACTGTTACTTCCATCCAGGCAATGTTTAAGGAGGGGAGAGAGGTAAGAAATGGGTCTGACTTCATTCTAACAGCAATAGGAAGTTGTATTAGTATCCTAAGCTGGCATAAAAAATTACCACACAATTTGGTGGTTTAAAACAATAGAAATGTATTCTCCTACAGTTTTGGAGGTCAGAAGTCTGAAAGGAAGGTATTGTCAGGGTTGGATTTTTTTCTGGGGCCCTGATGGAGAAACTGTCCCATGTCACTCTCCTGGCTTCTTGTGGCTGCCAGCAGTCCTTGCAGATGCCTCGCTCCAACCTCTGCCTCTGTCTTCATGTGGTGCTCTTTTGTGCGTTTCCTGCTCCTGCCTCTGGGATTCTCTGTGTTCTCTTCTTATAAGGATACCAGTGATATTGAATTAAGGCCCACCCTAATCAAGTGTGATTGCATCTTGAATAAATCTGTAAAGATCCTATTTCCAAGTAAGATCACATTTTGAGGTTCGGGGGAACATGCATTTTAGGGGGACACTATTCAACCCAGTACAGAAGTCATAGAGATGACCTAACTAGTTTTAGATTTTAGAAGGATCACTCTGGCTGCAGCCTGGAGAATGAATTGCAGGGAACCAAAGGGTTGTTACAGTGATGCAGGAGAGAAATGGAGAAGGAAGTAGGGTTAGAAACGTTGGAAAAAAATGTGGAAAAAAGATGGATGAGAAAGAGAATTAACTGCTCATAATTATTACTGCATGTCAGGGAAAATGGAGAGGACGGGTAGTGTGAGCTTGAAGAGTTGGTGGACAAGTGGTGCTGTTTGTTCACTAAGATAGGAAATACTGCAAGGGCAAATGTTTTGGGAAGGAAAGATCAATACTTGTTGAGCAAATGAAGGATGAAATAATGGTTTTGCCCTATGCCAGATTTCCTTTTGCTTTGACGGCATAGTTCTCAGCCTCTGTCTCAACTTTCTAGATTCCAATGGCCGATCAAGAGTAGTGTCAAGGTTTTTAAAAGATAAACTTGGAATTTTGGACTTTTCATAAATAATTTACAGAATAGCACTGCATCACAGTGGCCTCCCTACCCCACTTAAGTGATTCACTAGCCTATCTACTGTGAAAGGCTGTCAACAGTATACACTAAACACTCATAGCTAGCTGGTTCTTTCAAGTCTACCCCCCACGTCTGCTAGCTGTGTCCTATCTTTCTTTACCAAGAGGCAGTAATGTTTGTTTCCAAATCTGTTCATGATAAGCAAGCTTTCGTTTCTATGAAAAATGAGTTGAATACTACACTATACTCAAAACTTTCATTCTAAAAACATTGCTTTCAAATGAGGTGTGGGCAAGACATTTGCAAAAGATTAGAAGGAAAAAAATTCTAGGATGGTTTTACACCAAGATAGCTGAGATAGTGCCGTTAAATTATTTTACCTCTTTTATAGCCAATCTATTTTGGGTGTGACTCATGCAAAATAGTAAATGTAGAATTCTGGTCAACTGACCCATACTCAAGTCCCACTAAAATAAGCTATTTTAGGCATGGGTTATTTAAAAAATACTTATTTTATTTTTCTCCTGCTCTATTTTACTGCCACTCTTGAAAAGTGCCTTCAACTGTATCAAGGCAACAGAGCATGTCTTCTCTTCAGCATTTTATAGTTAGGCTATATTAGGTTTCCAATTTCAATTTCTTTAGTCAAAATTATCTGCACAGACTTTCAAGATAAAAAGCCCCCACAGAGTTCTTCAGTGGCTCCTGCAGCTCCTCCAGGCTGGATCAAAGGTGTTGAGGTCCCTGATGGTGATTGATTTCTGCTTTCTGGATGGCCTCAGTATGCAAATTATAATTGCACATGAGCATAGGGTCATGAACTGTCTTTGAATCAAGGGTAGCATTAAAAATTTGTATTGCTTGTGGATGCCAAATTTGAATAAGAACACAAATAACAAGAAGAAAAACTGTTGTTACTAGAATCAGAATACCTTCTACTTTGAAACTTAGGATATGGCCTGGGTGATCCAACAGTTCAAGGATCAGCCATGACCCTCAGCTCTCATCTATTGAGGCCCCACTATGTCAGCCAATGGGTCAGATGCTTTCTATATACTGCTTGATTTTCTTACAACCAGCTTGAGATCTAGGGATTATTATCTTCGACAGATGTTGAATCTAAGGTTGGTGTACACACAGTCACCCAGATATAGACTTAGAGCTAGGAATCAAATACAGGTTTGTTTTTCTTCAAAGCCTTCACTTCTTCCGTCATGCCAGAAAATGCAAATAATGCGCTAGGAAGATTGCAAAGAACCAGGCAGCCAGATGGAACACAAGAGCTGGTGTCCTACCCACATCGGGTAAACACAGTTCTTTGAATGAAGTCAATTGTTACAGGGAGATCAGAGGCCATTAACGCTGGTACTGTGCTTGCCACTCAAAACCTTCCTGGCAATTGAAGGGAAGCATGGTGCTAACCCTGATATAAAACAGAATGTGATAAACTCATGTTAACAAAAATGTCTTAGTGCCAAAAAGAAAGAAATAACTTACAACAGGAAACATTAGAGGATGCTTCATAAGGGGGGCGGGGCATCTGAGCATCAGATTGGGGCGTTGGTGAAATTTTCACAGAAATAGCCCTAACATTTGTAGAATTCTTTACAGCTGAAATAACACTTTTTCAGGCATTATGTTATTTGTCTCTCAAAACACTCCTGTGGGTTAGGGAAGGAATTATCATTTCTAATTGAGAGATGAGGAAACTCACATACAAAATGGTTTGACAACTTGCTCAGAGTCACACTAGCAAGTTAGAAATAGAAATGGGACAAGCATCTAGGTCAATACTGTCCAATAGAAATACAATGTGAACCACATATATAATTTAAAAATTCCATAAAAAATTAGCCAGAAACAGTTGAAATTCATTGTTAATTGTATATTCTAGTTAACCAAATATATTCCAAATATCATTTCAATGTATAATCAACATTCAATTAGTTTGTAAAAAGTCATTAATGAGATATTTTGCATTTCTTCTTTTTTTGGATTGTCTTTAACATCTGGTGTGTATTGTACATGCACAGCATGTCTCATTTTAAAACAGGCACGTTGCAGATGCTAAATATACACAGAGGGCTAGTACCATACTGGACAGAGTAGAGATTTTCTGACTTCTAGCCCAGTGTCTTTCTGCTCTGCTGAACTGCCTCACAAATATATGCAGAGTGGGAGTGGAACATCTCATCCTAATGGAGCAATAGTGGCATGTCATTTAGTTTCCTGGCAGGACATAGCTGGTACCTCAAAAGGGATAATAAAAGAGAGTTACTGAAAAATTAAGGTACTCAACAATGGATGGTAAAGCACCCCAAGGTTAGGAAGGGCAGGCAGCTACAAACACCCATGGAATCTGGCAAATCCTTTACTCTAAGCGAGGGCTGCCTAATAGGAACTGTGGCTTTTGGTAGATAAATGCAGCCACTGTAAATCTACAATCCAGCAGGGTAGGATATGGGAAGATAAATGTATGGACGTCTCTGTCCTCCCACACTCTAGTTCACATCCAGTGCCTCCCATTGGCCGAACCCAACAAGAAGCCAGAGGGTAATGAGTCTGTTGATGAGATCCATAAAGGCCACACTCCAGGGGCAGAGAGAATGGCAGAGAAGCAGAGAGGGAGGGAGACAGATAGGGAACGACCAGCAAGAAATCCAAGGCATAGACGTGCGGGGCATCTTTGCTGGGCTGTGTGAAGTGTTGGAGTACAAAGTGAGAGGTAGCAAGTGACATGATTGGAATGTCACGCTGGGGACAGGTGGTGAATGGGCTGTGATGCAGGGTAAATGAAATTGGGTGGGTTCTATGGGCAGTAGCAATCCTGGGGCTTTCTCACATTTAGTGTGAGGTCTTATATAATCCAAATTAGGCACTAAGAAGATGATCCTGACAGGTGTAATACTCTGTGCTGGGGTTTTGAGATGTGAGTTAGTCATACACCTCCCTTCTCAAATGAACCAACTGAGAAATAGATATGGAAGACAGACAGGAATCGACCAAATCAAATCATTCAATCAAAGCAGCCACTTTATTATTGGCAAATGAATGGGAGACTTGGCTGCAAAGGAAGCAGACATGAGCTTCCTATTTTTTCTTTCTGCTCTATAGCCACAGTTCCTCAGCCAGAGGCAGAGTAGCTGGCTACTGTGGGCTCACTGCATCAGTGGAATCCCTGCAGGGAGGACAGCAGCCTGAATGTCTGGGCTTCCTATCAGGGGTAGGGGACAGGAGCCTGCATGGGTGGGCTCCCTGTGAAGAGGACAAGAGCTTGCATGGGCGGGCTCCCTGTGTGGGACAGAGGAGACTGCATGAGTGGGCTCTCTGTGGGGAGGACAGGAGCCTGCATGAGTGGGCTCCCTGTGGGGAGGAGAGGAGACTGCATGAGTGGGCTCCCTGTGGGGTAGACTGCCTGTGGGGAGGAAGCACATTCTTACCCGACAGAAAGGTCTGGAGAATGTATATACAATGACTTCTAACATATGAATACTGCTCTCTGGAAAAGAGAAACCAATGGATTCCTGCCTCACCATCTCAACATCAGCTAGAGAAGGACAAGAATAGGTGAAAGAAAGCAGTGGCTTTGGCTTCATGCCCTGCAGAGCTCAGTAAGTTTGTTTAGTTTTTTTTTTTTTTTAATTTCATAGATCGTAAGGAAAGTGGAGAAAAGGGAAATAGATTTATTTTTCAAGAAGAATGTTAAGGTGAGTGACTACAGGTGGCTAGATTAGTATACACTGGTTAGTAACTGGTTAACATCAATTAGAAAGCTATTTTGTGAGAGGACTTAAACCAGGCAGTGCTAGTAAAGGAAATATAGAAAAAAATGTGTGCATATATGGTGAAAATAGCACCCACAGTGATAGGGACCATGGTTGATGTGAAAGGATCAGGTACAAGCGTGTATCACAGAGAAAGAGGAGTACTTTTTGGGGGAATGGGAGGATCATGAACAGGCCGAGCTGGTGATATATGTGGGACATGCTGATGAGGCTATCAAGCTGGTGCTGGTGGTGGGCATCTGGATCTCAGAAAAGAATGTAATGTTAGAGATGCTGATGTGGGAACAATCCGGAAGTGAAGGTTGAAGCCATGATACAGCACCAAAAGAGAACCAAGACATGAACAAAAAAGAAGGGGTCAAGGAGAGGCCCTTGAAGGATGCCTACCTTTAAGTGTTTGGAGGAGGAAGAGGGATATGTGAAGGAAACAGGAATCTGAAAGACTGGAAAGAAAATCAAGTTCCCCCTAGTAAAATTAAGAGAGGAGAGTGCTTCAAGGAAAGGGGGTTGGGGGGTGACTCAGCAATGCCAAGTGCTGTGAAAATCAAGGATACGAGGAGGCAAAAATAAGGCAAGGGTATAGCAGAATATATAAAGAGATTAATTCCATACAGAAATGTATGAATGAAACTCTCATGGAGGTGACATTTGAGCTGAGTTTTGAAGGATTGATAAGGTGCAGGGATGAAAGGAAAGTTACACCAGGTAGGGAAAAAGGTGTAAACAAAGGCATGAGTGTAGAGGGTAAGAAGAATGTGTAAGAAACAGTGAATATTTCAGTATAAACTAAAGAATAATGAATATGAAAGATGTTGATAACAGATAAGGCTGAACATGATGGGTGGTCAGTGGGTGGCTTTGAATGTAAGGAATGAAGAATAACAGAAAATGACTTGGAAGTAAGAGGTTTTTGGAGTATAATGAGAAGACCCATCTAGTTGGAGCAGAAAGAATAAAGATTCCAAGGTTCTACCACTTTTAGGTCAACCTTGATTCTCTGAATGAATTAACAATGACAAAGCTCTACTGTACTAATCAATATTATTTTTAACTTTAAAAAGTCCCCAAGATGTTAAAAGGTACCAAAATGAATCAAACTAATCAACTCAGAACTCAGTAGGAAACCCAGTTTTCTCAATCTACTGTCCGAACCACCAGTTTACACCAGTATTGTCTAACAAAGATATTTAAGTTTAACAGAATTGCTTTAATACAGCTAAAACATCTGCTGCATTTAAAAATAATCTTCCTGCTGCTGCAACATATGGTATCATCAGAAACTTTATTCCAGTGCCCCCAGAGCTTCTGAGACACCTCGAAATGCCATGATTACCATAAGGAGGTTTATACAATTCTCCAAGCTGCAAGAAAAACAATTAATTCATTTTAATATTTAAAATAAATATGGGCCATTTGCATCATTTGGGAGAAGCAGCAGAATTATGAAAACTACTAAATTAGAATCTAACTCCCTAAAGAAAGATGCTTCAAGATGTAGCTTCCAGATGGAAAATTCCCCTAACAAGTCAGCTTAAGATGTATGCTTAGCCTGTCCCAGTCTCTCCTGAATTGGGTAAAAGTGCTCTTCCCACTTAGTTTTCTAATGGAGGGCACAATGGGCACAGGTATCTTTATTTTTACGCAAAGGAGTTATTTTAATATTCATATAGGTAGAAGTGAAGCTAGGAGCCAAAGTTTGAATTCAATAGAACTAGTTAAATAAATATTACTCAGAAGATCCTACATTTCAGCCACTATGCTAGATAAAAACCAGAGACTCCATTGAATTATGTAGAGTAGCTGCCTTTAACTAGTCTTTAGAGATTGTGGAGAGAGAGAGAAGCACAGAGTAGTATATGTAATAAAGTGGGATGCATTCTTTAATAGACTTAACTATCATGACATGCAGCGAGTACAAGAAAACAATTTCAACTCTACCTGGGAGACAAAAGCAAGCCTCCTGGAGAAAGGAATGCTGAGGCAGAAGAGTAGAGACACATTAGGAGGGAGGTGGATTTCCCAGAACTATTAATACATGGCACAGGCTGGTGAAATAGCAGTTTGGGGAAAGAGACATGCAATGATTGAGATCCAGTGTGGCATGCTGTTAACACAGATCTGTCAAAGAATTTCTTCACTTTGGTGTACACAGCACTTTGAATAATGCCTGGTGCATAGTTAACACTCAGGAAATATATATCTGTTATTGAATGGAAAGCAGTAATATTCCACTTAAGAGGTTCACAATTTGCTGCAGGATATCAGAGAAAACCTAGTGTCCAGCATTGCTGTCCTTTAATAGGTCATACGTATCTTGTCATCGGTATCTTTGCTAATTTCTTTCTTCCCTCTCTTCTAATAATTAAAGTCATACTCATCCTCCAGGTCCAATTCAGAGTAAAGACAGTCTTATTGGGCTCTCTCTCTACAGAATGAATGGGTGAATAGATAGATGAATAAATGAATGAATGATCATGGGAATTCTCATAAATCCTTCTGACAAACCACTTTCTCTCTTCCTTTAAGATTTTTGCATGTGTTTTTTGCTCTTTATGGTGTACCCTTTACTGCTTCTCCACTGAGCTGAATCCTATTCACATGTCAGCTCAGGTAAAATTTTTTTTCGATAGCCTTCTGCAAGCCTCCAGGTTAGGTTTGACCCATACACTATTGCCATACATGTCTGTGTAGTCATTCAGCTTCTTCTACACCTGGTAAACTCTTTAAGGCCAGGATCTGATTGCTAGTCAGCATTATATTCCCATTGCTCAGCAGAGCTCCTGACACATAATAAACCCTCCATAAAGAAATTAATTCACGGTTGAACAAATTAAATAATTATTTTTTTTTGTATCCTACCATGAGATAAAAATCATGAGTGCTTGAAAAATCCCACAAAACCCAGTCATTTCTGTTGAATATAACCTATTTGATTCTTAATTTATAATTGCAAAATATTACTATCAATCTTATTTAGGATCATTATCCAAGGAAAAGGTATCTGCTGTCGCTTAGGTTCTTACAGCATCTCCTTCACAGGGTATAGAATTTTTAACAATTATGGCATTATAATTAGTTCTGATAAGAGGAAAATGGGAATTCATTTGTCAATGACACATGATATTTTAAAAGATATGAATGGGACCTAACGATGATTCTGGTTGCTATGCACTTAAGGAGAGCCATCATCCTGATTTACCTCCATATAAATAACCCTAAGTTATTACAACTGAGCCAAGTCAATCCATAATAAATTCTCACATGAGTCCTCTTGGGACTGAACTATGTTGACTGATTCATATAAATCATTACACACAATAATGCTAATAGAAACTCTTCACTGACTTGCAAGGGCATCTCACACAAAGTAATTCTAACCATTAAGGAGACTTTTCAGGAAGGATGTTATTATTCCCATGCCATTGATGGGCAAACTAAGACTCAGAGCTTGCTCAAGCTCACTAAAATAGTAAGTAAGTAAAAATTACTAATCCAGGGCAATCTCATTTGAAAGCCTATGTTTTTTCTGCCAGACTACACTGTCCGTCTATTACTGAGGAAGTTCTCAAGGATAATGGAAACCTGAAGCAGAGATCAGATGCCAGTGGAAAGTAACTTTAGCACTGATGATGTGGAGTCAGCTATCTCAGACAATACCCTTGGGTAAATAAAGGGTGGTCAACATGCCACAAACTTCTTATCATAGTTGTGAACACAGGACTAAAAGAAGCCTACACAGTATTTTACTTAATCCTAGGAACAAAGAACCTTCCACAAAAGATAGCCTTTTCTTGTATTTTATCCAAGAAATCAATGAAACTGACTTATATGTTTGTATTGCTTTCTACATAGTATCTCATTTGAGGCAAATATAATGCAGAAGAGAAAGATATTGGCCCATGTATAAAAAAGGAACCTATGGTGGAAAGTTAAGTAGCTTAGGTGGCCCAACTAGGAAGTAATAAGAGCCATGACCCAAACTCTAGTGGTCTTTTCACTAAATTCTAGTTGTCACTTTCTCTTACCTCTGTATATTATTATTTTCTTCCTCCTTCTGCAAACTTAAAAAAAATAAAGATTAGAGAGAATGGTGGATGATTCCTCCACAATTTTAGATTATTAGATCACAGTGATTCCAAGACACCCAGCTTGAAGGATGAGAAAAGAAGCAAAAAGTCTTATGGAGATGGTAAGGCAATATTTTTTAGTGTCTCCAATATATCATAAACACGAAATAAGAGGCATCCCATACAACTCACCCACAATTTCAGCTCTTGTTGTGACAAAGCATTAAGAACAGTTGAATAAATTATTAATATGGCAGCATTCTCTGAATTGGCACAGATCCCATGGAAAGAGTGACATGCCAGTCTGGCAACTGATCTGTTTTGCACACGAACATAATACAGTAGTCCTGGGAGATACTCATGTTTATTGTACAAGGTGTCTTCTTTCTTAAAGTTATTTTTCTTAATTATTCCAAGGGCTATTCAGAGAAACTACTATGAGGTTCCAGAATTATTTTAGGCAATAACATAGAAATTCCTTATTCTGAATTTTGTAAAGTCAAAGTAAGATCTGAAAACTCAGTAGTTTCCTCTGCCCTGGGAGACAGCAGATGGCAGTGGGAGTTCAGTCCTGTCAGGTAGGCCCTACCTGTCTGTCTCATCCATTAGAGTCACACGGACCTGGCTTCACTTACTTCAAAGATCCCTGACTTCCTGGTGATTTGATGCAAATTAATCATGAAGAAAATGTTGAGTCTTTCTCTGCTACTTTCTTTATGATTTTTGCAAACTATTATTGCCTAAAGTCTTAAATAAGAAATGTGCTGTATTATAAATAATAAGACATAACTTTAAGAAAAAGGGCTTAGTTAAAAAAAGGTCTAGGATTGTAGAGATAATATATCTACAAGCATAAAATTTCCAAGAGCATATATACTTAGGATGCTACAAGTTGATGCTAAAATCAGTTTTCAACACATACTTGATATTCCTCCTGGAAAATTGTGTTCAGAACAAAGGTATTCATGGACTTAAAATATATAAATATCTTTAATAGGGACAAATCTTTATTCTTTGAAAGTAAATTTAATTTTGGAGAAATATATTATTTGAGGCCAAAGCTACTTTTAAGTTCTTATAACATCCACCCAATCAGGATGTCCAAAAAATTCTTTTATCTTAACCTCTCCAAATTGGAACACATTATTGCCCCCTGCAATCCAACTTCTTTTCCTACTGTATCCCTTATTTTGATGTTGGCATCATGTCGACAGGACTTTTTTGTGTACATCTCTTCTAAAAATCAGGTTGTGGTTTTAGAGACTAGACATGTGTAAGATTCTTCCATGCGCTTACTCTAATTTGAATTGGTAAACAGAAAAAAAATGTCTGAAATAACACATTTACAGTTTAAAAGAAAGAGGGTCAAAGATAGGCATGCCGATGATTTTGAGGAATCATGACCTTGTTCACAAACACAGATGTCAGTGAAAGGTGTCAGAAAATAAATTTGTGACTGTAACCTCTTTATTTCTTATGGGGAACGATGAATTGAGTGTGGAGAATAAGACCAACCCATTTTGACCTGTAAGTCTAACACAACTATTTCAGACTCTGGAATCCTGTGACATAAACTTTAAGAGAACACTTTTAAGTCAGGACGTGTTTGGGAGTAAAACAGTAGCTCCATATAATTTAGAGACTGGCTAGGTGATAACTAAAACACACAGCCTTGTCAGTTGGTACCTGTCTTTGGTTCTCTGTCTCCAGGCGCAGCCTGGCCTCCACACACCTCCGAGTCTCCAGGAAAGCTTGGCGCTGGGCCCGGTCTGACAGGTAACTGATGAAGATTCCAGCTGTGTTCATACACATGAATAGCACTGCCTGGGCCACAACCTAAAATAAACACAGTCTGGTCAGGCGCTTAAAACAAAAGCTATTTACAAGCAACAATAAAATACACAAATAAATATGAATTTCCAAGGTAAATCCTAATGTAGTAATCCATATGTTTAATCGCATGTTTGTAGAGCTATGCCCTTCATTCAGATCTTGAGGCAAATGTCATCCCTTTGGAGAGGGCTTCTTTCACCACTTTCTCCAATTTAAGGCTTCTTTCTCCCC
This sequence comes from Homo sapiens, assembly GCF_000001405.40. Taxonomy (NCBI): domain Eukaryota; kingdom Metazoa; phylum Chordata; class Mammalia; order Primates; family Hominidae; genus Homo; species Homo sapiens. The sequence goes on from NC_000008.11 coordinate 130,990,771, forward strand.
AGGTTTAGACTGGAGTCTTCATGGGAAACCTGCTGTGAAAAAGAGGGAATCTGGTTGGCTTCTTCACTCCACCTTATCTGTCTCCCCTTCACCAGCAAAAGCCTCTGGCTTTTAAGGGGCTGGAGAATCTGGTGGGAATAAAAAGAAGAGACTAATAAGAAACAGGAAAGGAATCCATTGAATACCTTTGCCTTCGAATACATTGACTACTATATTTAGACTCTGGTGTTCTCGGGTCTTCTTGGATAGAATCCAAGTCTTGTTTCTAACTCAAGAAAAGAAACACGTTTTTCTATTGCTTTTCATCTCCACTTCCATTATTCTATTTCTAGGCATCAAAATATGCTTCCTGGACTCTTAAATTGGGCTTCCTACTTTTTCATTTGCCCCCCTTCTAACTACTGTTCAGTCAAGAAAAGTAGACAGATTCTTGAAAAGGGGTCAACACATGGAATAATTTCATACACAAAGTATGAATTTCTTTATTTTCATGGCTTTAGCCTGAGAACAGGTCACAGCTCATGCAGTGTGTGGTAGCTATAACTCCAGTAGAAAATGCAGGTGGCTTAAAGAAGCAAAGAACAGAGTTCCAGACCACTGTAGCTTCCAGAAGGTGGGAGGAGAATTCCAAAAAGAAAAGAACCCGGTGAAAGAAAACCTAAAATTGTTTTATAACCTCTTATCTGAACCACATATGCATAGGGAAGACAGTAAGCAATTGAGTTAAGGATAAAATAACTGAACTGATATTTGAACTGCAGTCCAAAAGACAGACTTTCTTTTGATTTCAATCAAGTTAATTACCTGCTAAAGTGAAACGGAACAAAACAAAAATCACTATTTCCAGGGGAATGTAAGATAATTCAGTCTTAACCATAGAGCATTCACAATGCCCAGAACATAGCACAGAATTATGTGACATAAAAATAAACATTAAAATGTGACTCAATCTCAAGAGAAAAGATAGTCAACAGACATCTATTCTAATCTGACCCAGATGTTGGAATCAGCAGGTCGAGATTATAATAGTTCTTACAACTTTGCTCAGTGACATTCTAGCAGTGAATGAAATTCACTGAAAGTAAATATTTTAGCAGTGAATGAAAAGATAAGAAATAAGAAAAGAAATAGAAACCTCAAAAAAGGAAAATTTCAGAACTGAAAAAGAAAATATCTGAACCAACTGGATATTAACAGCAGAACATAGATGACGGAAGAATCAGTAAATTTGGAAATAGGCCAATAGAATATAACCATTTTGAAAAAATTACTAATAATTATTTAATAATATATATTAATAAATAAAAATATATTTTATATACTTTTTTGAATGGAGTCTCACTCCATCACCCAGGCTGGAGTGCAGTAGTGTGATACTGGTTCACTGCAACCTCTGCCTCTGGGGTTCAAGTGATTCTCCTGCCTCAGCCTCCTGAGTAGCTGGGATTACAGGTGTGTACTACCATGCCCAGCTAATTTTTGTATTTTTAGTAGAGATGGGGTTTCACCATGTTGGCCAGGCTGGTAGGTCTCAAACTCCTGACCTCAAGTGATCTATCCACCTTGACCTCTGAAAGTGCTGGGATTACATACATGAGCAACTGTATCTGGCATATATATATATATATATATATATATATATATATATATATATATATATTTGAGATAGGGTCTCACTCTGTCACCCAGGCAGGAGTGCAGTAGCACAATCTTGGCTCACTGCAACCTCTGCCTCCCAGATTCAAGCAATTCTCCTGCCTCAGCCTCCCGAGTAGCTGGGATTACAGGTGTTTACCACCGCATGTGGCTAATTTTTGTATTTTTAGTAGAGATGAGATTTTCCTATGTTGGCCAGGCTGGTCTTGACATCCTGACCTCAGGTGATCTGCCTGCCTGGGCCTCCCAAAGTGCTGGGATTACATGTGTGAGCCACCACGGACAGCCAAAAAAAAATTTTTAAATGATTTATGAAAAGGTTTTAGTAGTTCGTGTGACAACATTGAAGGGCCTAACATACATATAATTGGATTCTCAGAAGGAAAGGAAGGAGAGAATGGGGCTAAACTAATTTGTTTAAAGATATAATGCAATTCTTATAAATTTTATAAAGATACATATTTACACGTTCAATAATCTTAGCAAACCCTACATAGGTTAACTGTGAACAAAACTATTCCTGGGCACATCATAATCCAAATGCTAAAAAAACAAAATCTTGAAAACAGTCAGATAAAAATGTTACATATAGGAGACATATTCTTCAGTTATGATAAAGATTTTCACATTAGATAAAAAGAAATATTATATGTCCTATTTGTAAAATATAGTCCTAAAATATATTGATATAAAAATTTGGAAGTGAAAACAAAATAAAGCTGGCTTTGTTGTATAAATGCCAGACTAAAGATAATTTTTTGAAAAGGGCATTACTAGAGATAAGTAGGGTCACTATACAATAATAAAGGGTTTAATACATCAGAAATACATAAAAATTCTGAACATCTACACATTTAATAGCACAGCCTCAAAGTATACACTGCAAAATAAGATAAAAGTCTATGTAATTATTTATAAATCTATAGTCACAGTGGTCTCTTTTAAAACAATTTTCAGCAGTTTATATACCAAACAGATTAAAAAGTCAGCAAAGATAGAGATAATCTGGAAAGCTCATATGATTAACAACCGTGAAATGAAACATTGATATGGTTTGGCTGTGTCCCTACCAAAATCTCATCTTGAATTGTAGCTCCCATAATTCTGAGGTGTAGTGGGAGGGATCCAGTGGGATAAAATTAAATCATGGCTATGGTTTCCCCCATACTGTTCTCATGGTAGTGAATAAGTCTTAAGGTATCTGATGGTTTTATGAGAGATTTCTTCTTTCACTTGGCTTTCATTCTGTCTTGCCTGCCACCATGTAAGACATGCCTTTCTCCTTCTGCCATGATTGTGAGGCCTCCCCAGCCACGTGGAACTCTGAGTCCATTAATCCTCTTTTCTTTATAAATTACCCAGTCTCAGGTATGTCTTTATCAACCTCATGAAAACGGACTAATACAAACATGCTATTCAATAATTAGATAGTAGAAATTCTTTTAAGGCACATATTGAAAATTTGTAAAATATCATCTTAGGATAGGACTTGAAGTTAGCCTCAGCAAATTTTGAAAACCAGGTTTCATCTCCTGTTACAGTGTTTCAAAGAAATGCTTCAGGATCTTGATCCTACTTGTTTAAAATGTCCACTGAAAGCTCTGCTTTTGTCTGCAGCTGATTTGGGCACATGGATTTTGATACCCATCACGTAGAGTTTGATCAACTTTCATTGTTCAGCCAGAATTGTGTAAGCTGAACTAATTAAGATGTCAATGATATTGGCTATTGTTTCTGCCGTTAATAGTTGGTCCTCTTCAGTTAGGACATGGACACAATTAACTTTTTCTTCACAGATTGATGTGGATTGTCTGCCCTGTGGGCTTTACATCTTCAACATCATCTCATCCTTTCTTAAAATGAGTGATCCATTTGTAAACTGCCAATTTCTCTGGGGCATTCTTTCTATGAACTTTTGTAAAGCACCAGTGATTTCACCATTCTTCCACCAAAGCTTCCCCATCAATTTGACGTTTGTCCTTACTTCAATTTTAGCAGAATTCATGTTGCTCTGATAGGGGTTCTTTTGTAACTGATATCTTATCCTTTTTAGTATCTCAAGTTGAATCCTATTTAGACACATTGCCACATTTGTATAAGTTTATTTTGGTGCAAAAAGTTTTGAAATCCATATTATCTTACCATAAACCCATCATTTAAATCCAGTTAAATAAACAACTGTGAGGAATCACTGATCCTGTGGAGTCAAGTGGGCATGAACATTTTGAAAAATCTCTCGTATTGCTTAGTTTGACTTCAGTTGTTTTTAAATTTTATATCATTGGAATCACATTTTTTACTAAACATTATTTTCTTTATTCATTTTGATGCATACATTGATAGTTCCTTTATTTTTACTGCTAAATAGTACTTAATACACCACAAAATATTTATCTGTTCCACCACTCATGGACATTCTGATTATTTCCACTCCCATTCTCTTGTGGAAAATGCTGCTCTGAACATTGTGGGCATGTTCCTGGGGCACATGTGCAAAGGTGACTCTGGGGTGTGGAGTGGGAATACTCAGTGCTAACCTGGTGGATACAGAATGGTCTCCCATTATGATTTTAATGTCAATTTCCCAGATTACTAACATTTCACACTGGCTAGGTTGTGGGGAAAATAGTCACTCTTATACCTAGTTGGTGAAATGTGTGAATCTGGCAATATCTGTAAAAATTGACAATATTTCTACTCATGAGTTCAGTAACCCTAATTCTGTAGACTTATTTCATAAATATGACCATCCATGTGCAAAGATCAAAGGATATAATAAGATCTTTTACAATAATAAATAATTAGAAATAACTTAAATGACCCTAAACAGAGGATTGGTCATATTGTAAATCCATCCAGTTGAAAAGTGGGCTTGGGAGAAGGAAAGAACTAACATGTACTATCATTTTTAAATGCACAGACACACTCAATAAGTTATTGGGTAATGCTGGGGACAGAAACTGAAGTCTGGGTTTTTAAACTCTACCTTTTTGGTTTTTGTATATGTGCATGTAGTGTACCTATTATAATATAATACATTGTTAAAATAGTAAAATGAAGACTTCCCATCATGACAGTGAGGATCGTTTGATCCTCTTCAAGACCATTTTGTACTTTTCCTCACTTACTCATTTTGCTCTAACCAATCTGATTTCTGTTACTTTCCATTCCTTCATTAGATTTTTATCATTTCTGGGACATTCAAATGTCATCTCCTCTTCTTCGAACACTACTCTCCATACTTCTTGCCTTGCTGATTCTTCTTATCCTTCTGTTCTTGGCTTTATTATAGTTTTCTCGGATAGACACTCCCTGATCACTATATCAAAGTAGGATTTCCCTGCTATACTTTATTCCTGCACCCTGTGAATTTATCACAAATTGTAATTATATATTATTTGCTTGCTTGGTTACTTGATGCCTATCTGCCGCACTGGATTGTGAGTTCTAATAATACAGAGATGATGTTTGTTTTAGCCATTAATGGACAACTAGCATCCAGCACAGTAAATAAATGCTCAGCATAGTGTCAATTAATTGCTCAGCACTTAATAAGTTCTAGATATTTGATAAATAAATACATGAATGGGTGAATAGCTTTCCTATGTACCAGTAATTATCATTTATAAAATATGCCAGAACAATGATCTTACAATAGCATTGGTAAGATAAAACACCAAAACTATTCTTAAGCAATACTAACAAATGCATGAGAGCTAGAAAAGAAAAAAAGTACATGACTTTACAAAAGATAAAGAAGAGAGGTATTTCTGTTAAAAATGCTATTATTAACTATGTTAATAGTTATAATATGTAACTATATATATGCATGACTTAAGATGATTTACAGCTTTAATATTATTACAATCAAAATCCCATATGGAATTTTTATTTGGGACTTGAAAGATGATTTAAAAGTATATCTGAAAGAACACATGAGTTAGACTATCAAATAAATTTTTAACAAAAGAGATTAGAGGGGGGTCTTGACCAACCAGAAGGTAACATGTAGTATAATGCTATGATAATTAAAACTGTCACAGCAGAGAAAAACCCAACTGCAAAACTAATGGAATAAAGTAGACTATGCTGTATAGAAACAGACAATAAAAATTGTAAAAAGTTTGTACATGATACATGTAGCTCAAAGATCAAAGGTTTAAAGGGAAAGAAAATTTTCCCAAAAAAGATAATTGGTCAACTACAGGGGAAAAAAATGGACTGATAGTCACCTCATATTATATGCAAAAATAAATGCCAATGGATTAGAGCTAAATGTGGAAAATGAAACTATAAAAAGGGGGAAAAATAAAGGGGAATACTGCTCTAATCTAAGCAGAAAAATGTGAGCAAAGTCTCAAATTAAAGAAAACTGGTTCTTATTAACAAAACCAATCTGATACCTTGCTGATATGAAGGAACTTTACTGTAATATTTATGAGAAGAAAATTGGCAACATGTTGCAAAATTTGACTCATTTCTTTTGACCCACTGACCCAACCTCTAGAAATCTGTCTTTAGGAGATCATCAGACAGAACATTAGAAACTTCTGTTAGGGAATATTCATTGTAGCTTTATTCATGAAAAATTTATAAATGGAAACTGCATATTTTTAACAGTAAGAGAAATGGCTGAATAAATTGTGGTCTGTGTAAACAAAAAGAATGTAAAATTGCATTTAAAATACTTAATGACATTAGCAAATCTCTGATGAATTAAGTAAAATGTAATATTTTAAACTGCACTTAACATACAAATCTATAAATTCAATGTGATTCTAATGCTTAAAATATGAAGAAATATATATATACATATACATATATACATATACATATATAAATAAAAATAAGTACGTAAGTCTGCACGCACTTGTGTAAATATGTGTGTATCTGTGTGTGTACTGAAATAGGAAGAATAAGTTATTCAAACAAACTCAGTTGTGGAGATCTAACAAGGCAGTACAAACCCTAAGGTGTCAAGATCTACACTTAGACAGGTGACCCTAGCATTTGGGGCTTCTTCCTTCCTGGGAGCATTTGCAGATTCCAAAAGAGATGACTGAGAGTCTGAGAAGCAGAGCAGGATGTTCAAAACTTATGCAGCCAGTAGAACAAATCCTGAGGTCTGGAACCAATGAGAAAAAAACAATGCAGAAAAGACCATCCAGATAGAGTCTCCTGATATTGGCCAGTAACTGACCTCACAAATAACTTTAAAAATAAGTGTTTGGGTTTTAGTATCTAGTAATTATCTAAAAATGCCTGAACTGTTCAATTATTACTATTATTAATTTTTACTAAATGTTTTGATGGAAATACCACTCCATTGTGGCAGTAGCAGATTGGTAGTTCCATGAAGGGTTAAATGCATATGGTGATGACCATCTCAGATTGGTTGTGCTTTGTAATCCCTCCAACCTACGGCTCTACCTGGATCCCTCGGGTCCCATCCTATCTGTAAGCCACCTCTGACCCAGAGTTGATGTGCTAGGTGTGATATACTTGAGAAATATTTATTAATCATTTTTTCCTGCCCTTATGCATCTGTAAACTACATTTGAAAAGCCTTCCTAACCCCTCACTTCTATTAATTAATCCATTTGAAATTATTTATGGAACGAGTTCTATGTGTCAGGCAGTTTTATAAACTGGCAGTGTACAAAGCAGATAATGTCCTGCTGTCATTCTAGTGGTGGGAGATGGGCAATAAACAAGCAAGCCAAGGAATATTTAACACATGGTGGTGGTGGTGGTATGAGAGTGTGATAAATGCCATAAATAATAATACAGCAGCATAAGTAGGATGGAAAGTGATGGCACAGGAATAAGACTGCTAATTTAAAGGGAGTTCAGAGAAGGCCTCTCTGATAAGAAGACATTTGAGCAATGACCTGAAAGAAGTGAGGGAGTCATCCTCATTTGGGAAGAGCATTCCAGGCACAGAAAAGTTCCAAGGTTCTGAGGCAGGAGAAGCAAGAACCCACTTCAGCCCAGCATGCGGCCCACTGTGGCTGGAGCAGAGAGCCTTGTGGGAGCCTGGGGAAGAGCTTTCAGAAGCAGACTCTGAAAGGTCTCAAAGGGCCAGACCATGGAGGGTCTTGAAGCTTTTCTCTCCATGAGATGGGAAGGCCCTGCAAAGTTCTTAGCACTTGGAAACATGACCTACCATCTGTGTTTCAAGAGTCACTTGGGCGACTGGGAAGAAAACAGACAGTAGTGCAGCAAGGACAGTCAGGGAGACAAGTTAGAGGCTGCTTCCAAGAGTCTCCTTGAAAAGAGATTTTGACATGGACCACAGTGGTAATTATGCAGGTGATGAGATAGGGCCACACCCTGAATGTATTCCAAGGGAAGAGACAACAGGATTTGCTGGTGGATTTTTTGTGGACTACATAGAAAAGAGAAGAGACAAAGATGATTCTCAGCAAGTTCTAGTTAAAAAAAATGCGGATCCTTTGGCCATACTGAGACCCACTGAATACAAATATCCAGGGATGTGATCTTGGAGAACTTTATTTTTAGGAAGCTCCCAAGTCGATCTGCTGCGGTGGGTCCATAGACTGGCATGAAGAAATCTCTGAGTCATGTCAATGACCTGATGATCACGTATAACCCTGAACTTTGATATCCTTTTTATATGTCCATCAACCTTACTCAATCTGAACTCCCCCAGGGCAGAGCTTGTGTCCACCGTCTCTTATCTCCTAGCACAGGGCCTAGCATCCCAGTGCTTCATACACTTGGTGAATCTAACTGAGTTGACACAATAACATGAGTGAATTCCAATTGCCCACCTCTTTGGTCCAGTTTTGTGATCACCGGAAAGTGGAAAGTTGTCACTCTGAGGTGAGAAGTCCTCTATGAATTCTTCTGGAACAGGAAGAAGATTCCCTCCTCACTTTCCCCTTCTCGTTCCCCCAACCCCAGGAGTGGAAAGGTTCTCCATGAAGCTTGGGTGATAGAGACAGCATGGGCACTGCTGTTTGATGCCAGGGAGTTCAAAGTTGGAAGCACTCACAGAGCCAGCTTCCCCATTGATATAGGATTTGTGTTTTAAGGGCCTAACTCCCCAGAGTGGAGGTGGGAAAGGGGGATATCTCCCTGGGGTGTCCTGAGGGGCCCGTCCTCTCCACTCTGCACTCACTGTGTGTTTTCTGGTGCCACAGGAAGTTGCACTATATTTTCTTCATAGCACACTTTGTACAAGGAACATCCCCACAGTCTGCAGCCCAAGCTGTTGAAGGCTAGAAAGGCCTGCTTTATTCAGAGCGGAAAGAAGATACTTCCACCTATTTCTGGATCTCCCCGAAGCACCCACTCAAGTGTGATTGTGTGCGTGGAAAGACCAGCTCTGGGAAAGTGATCCCTGGATCTGGGCCTTGAGTTCATTTTCTTTTAAACATTTAGACAGAAAATAAAGGAACGATGTGTTGCAATCCAGTACTGATTTGCATTTGGATATTTTCCAATACTTTCTTTTGTGGATCTTTTACCCTGGTTTGTCCTTAGGACTGATGTTTCATCATAAATTTTGGAGAATGTTAAAACTGAAATTGGGAGACTAAATAATAACAAGTATGACTTACTTTAATTGAGTTTATATTAAGTGCAGAACACTTTACAAAGTCCCTTTCATACATGTTCATATTTAATTTCAGTGAGGAAGGAGCCATTATTATGTTTATTTCACATATGTGGGAGCTTGGGATCAGAGAAGTTAAGGAACATCTCTAAAGTTAAACAGCTCCACAGTGGTAGGCCTGGGAATTGGGTACAGGAGGGTGGGGTCTAAGCAAGACCTGGCTAGGATCTGATGGAGACCTTTGATATTCAGAGAAAACAAAGCCCACTCAGGAGACAGGGGTATAATTTAGTAAATAAATACTGGACAAGGCAGGACACAGGTTTAATATTTTGCCACAATGTGCTGGGTGTATGGGAAAAATGTAGGTAAAGGTCTCATATATGCAGGTAAACGAGCCTGGCTGAAGAAGTGTTGGCCTCATTCTCTAATAGCTAGCTAGCATTTGTTGAGCAGAACACTTAATATGTGCCAGGAATCATCCAAAGTGCCTTGCATATTTTAATTCATTTAGTCTTCACAATAGCCCAATATGGTAGACACTATAACATGAGCATTCTGTAGATGCCGGAACTGAAGCTCGAAGTTTAGTCATTTGCTTGAGATAATGAATGACGCAAGTGGTAAAGCTGAGGTGTGATCCCTGGTAATGGGAGCCAGAGCCTGAATTATAACAGCTGTGCTCACCAACCCCATGGCTGAGTCTCTGCTGGACTAACACAACGACAGTTCACCCCATCAACAAATCCAGGCTCGCCACATGCACCCTAGGATTCGGCCATTTTTACAGATCAGTTCTTGAGCCTGGTAAAGGGAAAAGAGACAACACGCACCTTGGGAAGGAGGTGCGCGTTGTCTGCAGGCCTTTCCAGCACAGTCTAGAAGACCAGGTTGGCTTCCAGGTGGCTCTAGGAAATAAAAGAGCCACCTAAGGCAGGGAAAGGGTCTTCAAATGCATCGTAAAAAATAGTTACTTCATTCAGTTAAGACGTTCATGGAGCATTTCACTGTGAACTAGGTCCCATTCCTGTCTAGGGCCTGTATGTTTATCCCTTCCCTCACAAAGGTGTTCTCAAGCACACCATAATATCTCTATCTTTAAATGGAAAAGCTAAGGCCCTGAGAGTAATTTGCCCAAAGCCAAGTAGCTTAAAAAATTCTGGAGCGGTGATTACCACCTGGGCTATTCCGCCTCAAAGCCTGAGGACGAGGAGTGAGGGAGAAAACCTGGAAGGAGATTAGACGCTCTCCACAGCTCTCAGGGGTGTCTGGAATCTGCAGTAGGTGGGCGTCCTGAGAGAGTGGGTGGGGAAGCTTCCTACTAAACGCCTTTGCACCTGCCAGATGCTGGAGCTTTTGTCATCAGAGACCTGGGTTTGCATTCCTCAGCTCCACCACCTGCTAGCCATGTGAGTTTAGGCAAGTCACTTTATGTCTCGATGAGCCTCAACTTTCTGATCTGACCAATGGGAATAAACCCTTGCCTCATACAAGTGAGGTTAATACTATATATACGTGTGTGTATATCTAATATATATACATACTATATATACAAATATTATATATTATATATATCTAATATATACACATACTATATATACAAATATTTTATATATATACATTATATATATATACTGTATATGAATATGTCTAGCAGATCACAAATGCCCAATAAATGCTAGATATATATGGAAATATGAGGCCATCTATTTTTCCAAAGTCTAGTTTATGGTGTAATTTTTTTCTATTTTATTTCTGGATAAATGATGCACCATGGATGTTCTTCCTCCAGGTTAAGAAATATCCCAGAGGACCATGAAGTATTAAAGTCTTCTATATTTACGGTGCTTTACAAAGAACATTTATGTCCATTATTTACTCTGCAGGGAAAAGAGTAGAGGGGGTGCTTAGGGATCAGACAGAGTGGCCTTCAGTCCTGTTGCTGCCATTTACCTCCAGGGGGACTGTAGGAAGTCCTTATCCTCACTACGGGAGTGGATACTCAAAGTGTGATTTGCTGTGCTACGCATAGAGCTTAACAGTTTAGCTTAGTGGCTAAGAATTTGGGCTTCTAATAATGCCATTTACTTGTTATGTAAACTTGGCTCAGTTAATCAACTTTTTTGGCCCCCAAATTTTCTTACCTGGAAACAGGAATACCTTCCTCAAAATGTTGGATAATCAATGAAATTAGCAGAAGACCTGTAACACAATCATTACTCAATATGTATTGACTGTGGTTGCAGTTATTGTCATTATTATTGTTTTCATTGTCTATATGTCACTACAGTGACCCACTGAAGGGATTTAACAGGTAAGTGACTTGGTCGGGTATGTGTTATAGAAAGGCCACTTGAGGAACAGTTATCGCGAAGGTTAAACTCTTTAAGGATTCAGTGAAGAAAGGGATAAAAGAGGAAGAAAATCTATAGGAGTAGCTGCAGAGATAAGAGGAAGGACAAACAGTTCCCACCAACATCCTCTGCCAGGGTCGTGGGCTTTTCCCACAGCTGTTGGCTCTGTGGCCATGCTTCCTGCCTGCCCTTTATAAATAGTACACACTGAATTGGAGAAAGAATTATAAATAGTTCATAGTGAAGCTTAAAAAATAACATAGCAATAAAGTAGTAAACTTAAGTAAAAATCTAAGAAAAGGTAAAAAAAAAAATGAGGCCTCCTGAACTCAGCTAAAAAAGTAAATAAAAGTAAAATAAATAAAAGAGTAAAACTGAATGATGAAAAACCTCTATTAACAACTTGAATTCCAAGAATAATATCCTGAGAAATTACAAAGTAAGAAGGGGAAAAAAACAGTCATTTCAAATGATAACAGAAAGAATTTTGAAAAATAGAATGAAAAGAAAAAGAACAGGGATATAAGGTTTTTAAAAAAATGAATTTAAAAAACTAAGGCTGGGCACGGTGGCTCACGCCTGCATCCCAGCACTTTGGATGGCCAAGGCAGGTGCATCACCTGAGGTCAGGAGTTCAAGACCACCCTGGTCAACATGGCAAAACCCCATCTCTACTAAAAATAAAAAAATTAGCCGGGCATGGTGGTGGATGCCTATAATCCCAGCTACTTGGGAGGTGGAGGCAGGAGAATTGCTTGAACCCAGGAGGTAGAGGTTGCAGTGAGCTAGTGAGCTGAGATCGCACCATTGCACTCCAGCCTGGGCAACAAGAGTGAAACACCATCACACACACACACACACACACACACACACACACAAACATTAAGGAAGAAGTAAAAATGTTAAAGGCTAAAAGTAAGGCCCATAATTGAGAAAAAATAAAAGAAGTGATTACAACATTTAAAAATAGGTAAAAATGATGAAGGAATTTTTGCACAAATTTTAAAGTTAAATTATGCTAATGCAAAGTAGTTTAAGATATCAACATATTCAAAATGTCTATTTATTGTATTCAGAGAAGTGGACAAAACAAGTAGCCATAATTATTCCAGGAGTGTTTTGCAGCCTGACTTAATTCTACCATTTAGAAATCCTGCCAACCTCTTCAGAAGGGGACTTGGGGGAACGTCTGTTTACACACTCCAGCTGTTTTCCAGATCCTGTGCTTTAGCCTTTACACATGCTATTTTATGGACAGTCCTGCTTGGGCTTATTAGCTCCATTTCACAGAAAAGAAAATTGAGGCTCAGCGAGGTTAAATAATAGAGCTAGTAAGTGGTACTAGGGTGATTGACTGTCTTGGTTTGACTGGGACACAGGGCTTTATTTTAAAACCTGGAGAGTTCTGGGAAGACAAGGAGGAGTTTTATCCACACTTTTCTCCTAGGGTCCACAGATTATGGGTGAGCTAAGAATAATTACATTTTTAAAGAAGTGTGGGAGAAGAAGGAGGAGGTGGAGGAGGAGAAGAGGAAGAGGAGGGGGAGGGAAATTAACTATGTGGTTGGCTAAGCCTCAAATATTTACTTATTTACTGCCTGGCTCTTTGCAAATAAAAACAAACAACAACAACAGCAACAAGACTTGTTGAGCCTTTCCTCCCCCACCATGCTGGAGTAACTGCAGAGAAAAAAAGGTTTCCTTTTGGTCTTCACAGTTATCGGGAAAGGGTGGGGGAAGATTTGCAAGAGTGAAGTCCTTGAGCAGGTGAGAGGGTGGATGTAGTCTAGTGTACCATGGAGGGATTAGGTTTACACGAGCAAAGAACAGGCAAAGTAAGTAGGTACAGGGCAGGGCATTTGCAGCAAGCCTGAACTTCACAGTGTAGCATACAGGTTGCCTGTGATCTGCCTCCCAACACCCTCCCCAGCTTTATCTTTCTTTGTTCTGCCCCTGGAAGTCTCACATGTACCTCCCATTCCCACTCCACCTCCCATGCTTTTTTGTTGAAGCCATACCATTTTTCTGGCATGCTCTTTCTGCAGCTTCCTCCTCATCTGTCTGACAATCATCTATTTAATTCATGGAGGTCAAGCCTCATCTTGGTCAATCACTCTTTTCTTTTTTGATCTCTCGACCTGTACTCTGTATAGGCATCTACTATTGCCCTTAAATGTTGGTGATCAGGCTCACCCATTATGAACTCTGTTAGCCCCAGTGCTTTGCACAGTGCTCGCATTTATTCATCACGGTGCTGCTTCTTATTCATCTGTAGAGTAATCAAATATTTACTGAGTGCCTCCTATAGGTCAAGCAGTGTGCTAGGGTTATACGTATGTGGACCAAACAAACACATATCCTGCCCTCTTGGAGCTTACAGACTAATAATATGCAGTCCTTCTAGGGGAGAGACTAAAGGGCTGTGAGCCAGGCAGCCTTCTCTTAGGGAAGGCCTCTGCTAAATTAGATTCTCATGGACACTCACAGGGTTGAAGGGAAGTGCACTTCTTCCCCCCTCAACTGGCTGGGATCATTCTGTGGTTTAGGGCTTTCAGAGTTTGGAAGTCAGAATTTAACTCCAAAACTCCACCTCTGAGAGCCTCTGAGTCTATTTTAGTTTTTAACTTACTGGTGACCTATTATATACTGTGTGCCAGACACTACCCCTGGCTCAGGGATACAGAACAAGTCTCTGTCCCCCTAGATCTCATATTCCAGTGAAATTACAGTCTCTTCACATGCAAAAGAAAAAATAAATCCTTATCACCTAAAGTTACTGAGAGCATAAAATGAAGCAGAACTTGTCAAATCATTATTAAAGGAATTGGAACTTAGCAGTCAGTGCATGAGGATTCTTCCTGGGTGGCTATAAAGGCTAAACGAGGCCATTGGAAGCGCTGTCTACAAAATACTTAGTATTTGCCTGATACACAGTAAATATCCCAAAATGGCAGCCACTAGTACTGCCGTCCTCATACAGGCTGCCTCCATACTAAAGCACTGGGCAGAGACTATGAATGAGCCTTTGGGATTTGGTGCTTTCCCTCTCCTCTCTGGTTCCCTCTCCTGACTCTTATTTCTTCCCTGTGTACTTCCAGGCTTCTAGTCACACAGGATAACTTGGAGTTAACTGGACCAACTTTGCTGGCTATTCTCCTTTGGCCTCTAAAAAACTGCCCTTCTGTGTCCCACTCTTTGCCCAGAAAAGTTGTTATCTCTGGACTGTATCTATCAAGTTTCTTCATCTTTAGTTTCCATTTGGGCTTTGCCATGGCTAGCCGAAGAGGAAGACAGAAAAATCAGGAACGAGAGAGAGCAAGATCTGGGGCAATTGCTTATCCTGCTGTGCTGGAGTTTGTGCAATTACTGTATTCCTCTACTGTAGAGGAGCTCTTGTGAGGGCCTGGTGATACCATCCCTCCCCTTGCCCCTTCAGGCCCATAGGAGTGGAAACAGCTTCCTCTGCAGCTAGTCCATGGGTGCTTCATCAAGCCTTGTGGCTCCCTTAATCCCATCTCAAAACTTTGCTTCAGCTTACTTCATTTACTCTTTTGAATGTTTCCTGCTGGAACCCTGAATAATACATGAACCACACCTTGGTGTTTGCACATTTGGTTCCCTTTTCCTTAAATGTCTCCCTGCTCCCACTCCAAATTCTCTCTCTCTCTCTCTTTCTCTCTCTCTGTCACACACACACACGCACACACACACAACTACTTCCTCAGCATGCTTCACAATGCACAAGAAGCAGCTTCTCTTTCCCTGAAAGCCCCCTATCTTTTAGGCTGTCCCCCTCTCACATTTCCTGCCAGCAAACTGTTATCATACTGCTCTATAGCTCCTGTCAGTTCTTGGGTCTTGTCTGTGTTTTCCTGTGGGCAGGAGTTACTGCCATCCATTGATGTATTCCTGTAGTTGACACACAGCAGTCATTCAGTAAATCTTTGTTGACAGGACGCTCCTGTGGTTGTCTGTAGGAGCCGCTGGGAGATTCAGCAGGAGAGGCACTGAAGAGGCACCAGTGACCTCTGTGTGCTTGTGGCTCAAGGGAAAAAATCATATGCCCTTATCAAGAGAATGATTTCCTGGGCAGTGGGGCTTTTTCAAGTTTATTTACTCTGGCAATGATGAGATTTTTCCCCATGACTTACTATTATTAATAAAGGATCTACTACCTAAAAAGTCTATCTAAACATGGCAGGATTCTAGACCTTAGTTTTTTTCCATTTGCATATGGAACATGAAATCTTAGGAAGCTTACATTTTCACAGTCACAATCCCTGGTGGCTTAGCGGACAGATCACTGCCTGGGTCACCAACAATGCTGGGCAACATTGATAAAAAGGGAAGGAGTGGCAGGAAACACAAATAACAAGAGGTTCTCTCACCAATCCTGTTTAGATCTCCATGAGAAATGTCAGAACTGAGGGTTTCCAAAAGACCTGTAATAATTTCCTCAGAAAGGCATGGGTGAGTGCCAAGGCCAGATGACAACGTTTCCATGGAGGCTTTGTTCTCAAACAGAGGATTTCAGTTTCTTGATGATATCAATCTTTTAGAGCCATTCATGACTTATCTGCAATGGATGTATATGATTCTTTGCTTATTATACCAAAGAAGAGAGGAAAAAGATATCATGTCCAAAGGAGATAAAATCCCAAATGAAGATAAACCATCTGGCAAACAGTAGGCACACAATAATGAATGAATGTTTTTTACAAACAGTAAAAAAGAAAATCTTATGCAGATGTGTTATCTTTATTAAATTCATTGATTAAACTCTTTTAGTTAAAAAAAGCACATAGTACTGAATTAACTTTTTATGAATACTAATTACTCAGGGAGGAAATAAGAAGACTATATGAACTATGTCAGGATCCCATGCATGGTTTTTGTTAGGCAAAATTTGCAAGTACTAGATCTCCCAGACTCCCAGCACCATTTCCAAGGTGAAAGAGGTAGGTCCTACCTCCTTATTAGTGATCTCAGATGGGGACTATTTTACCTGCAAGGAGACATCTGACAATGCCTGAAGAGGTTTTTGGTTGTCACATCTAGAGAGAGCATGTGCTACTGGCATATATAGTAGTGGAGGCCATAGAGGCTGCCAAACAACCTACACTGCACAAGACAATATTCTCTCCCCCACCAAAAAAATTATCTAGCTCTAAATATCAATAGTTTGAAGACTGAGAAACCTCCTAGAGCTTAGCAGTCACCAGCATACAGTAGATGCCCAGTAAATTATTGCTAGATAAATGAGAGGTGTGCAGCTTCATTTACAAATCTGTTTTGTTTGCAAAATACAGCAATTATCTTTCAAACATTTACAAATTTCTAATCCTGTGATAGGGATTTATTTTCTTTTTGTATATGTGACTTTACAGCTATCCATTGAACTGCACACTGAGGGTACAAATATGATCATGATAGATGATCTCCCTGCCCTCAAGTAGTTCAGGTCTGGTGAGGAAGGCAGACAATTAGACATGCACTTACTGCATAGAGGAATGAGTGCTAGGACAGAGGTACACTGAGACAATTGATACCTGTCACATGAACAGCTGATTTTATTGAATATCTACTGTGTCATAGGCATTGCTACCCATTAAATTCACATAGTCAGCCAATGAGGTAGGTGCTACTATTATTATTAGGGTGACCATATAATTTATTGTCCAATCAGAATGGTTTTGACAATGAAAGGGCTGTTTGTAGTAATTCTGTTAGGGTCAGAGGTCTAAACCTCATTTTTCATAAGAAAATAGGGATGCAACGTCACCCTAATCCCCAGTTTATATATGAGGATGCTGAAGCAAAGACAAGTTAAGTAACTTGCTTCAGCTCACCCCTCCAAACAAATTTGGAGCCCAGCAAGTCAGGCTTCAGAGACTTATATGGTTTGGCTTTGTGTCCCTGCCCAAATCCAACCTCGAATGGTAATAATCCCCATGTGTCAAGAGTGGGACCAGATGGAGGTAATTGAAACAATGGGGCAGTTTCACCCATGCTATTCTTGGGATAATCAGTCAGTTCTCATGAGATCTGATGGTTTTATAAGCGTCTGGCATGTCCCCTGCTGGCACTCATTCTCTCTTCTGCTGCCCTGTGAAGAAGTGCCTTACACTATAATTGTAAGTTTCCTGAGGCCTCTCCAGCCAGCCATGTGGAACTGTGAGTCAATTAAGCCTCTTTTCTTTATAAATTACCCAGTCTTGGGTATTTCTTCATAGTAGTGTGAGAACAGACTAATACAATAAATTGGTACCAGGAGTGGTGTGCTGCTATAAGAGTACTCAAAAATGTGGACGTGACTTTGGAACTGGGTTACAGGCAGAGGTTGGAAAAGTTTGGAGGGCTCAGAAGAAGACAGGAAAATGTGGAAAAGTTTGGAACTTCCTAGACACTTGTTGAATGGCTTTGACCAAAATTCTGATAGTGATATGGACAATGAAGTCCAGGATGAGGTGGTCTCAGATGTAGATGAGAAACATCTTTGGAACTGGAGCAATGGTGACCCTTGCTATGTTTTGGCAAGGAGATTGGCTGCATTTTGCCCCTGCCCTAGAGATCTGTGGAACTTTGAACTTGAGAGAGATGATTTAGGGTAACTAGTGGAAGAAATTTCTAAGCGGCAAAAGGTTCAAGAGAAAGCAGAGCATAAAAGTTCACAAAATTTGCAACGTGACAATGCAAGAGGAAAGAAAAATCCATTTTCTGGAGAGAAATTCGAGCCAGCTGGAGAAATTTGCATAAGTAACGAGGAGCTGAATGTCAATCACCAAGACAATGGGGAAAATGTCTGCAGGGCATGTCAGAGACCTTCACAGCAGCCTCCCTACCCCATCACAGGCCTGGAGGCCCAGGAGGAACAAATGGTTTCCTGGGGTAGGCCAAGGGCCCCCCTGCTGCTCTGTGCAGCCTCAGGACTTGGCGCTCTGAGCCCCAGTCATGGCTAAAAGGGGCCAACATCAGCTTGGGCCATTGCTTGAGAGAGTGACCAGGTGGAGGTATTTGAATCATGGGGTGGTTTCCCCCTTTTCCCCATCCTATTCTCATGATAGTGAGTGAGTCCTCAGGACATCTGATGGTTTTATAAGCATCTGGCATTTCCCCTGCTGGCACTCATTCTATCTTCTGCCACCCTGTGAAGAGGTGTCTTCCACCATGATTGTAAATTTCCTGAGACCTCACCAGGTATGCAGAACTGTGAGCCAATTAAACCTATTTTCTTTATAAATTACCCAATCTTGGGCATTTCTTCATATCAGCATGAGAATGGACTAACACAAAGACTGCGCTTTTAAGCACTAACTATACTATGCTGTAAAGATAATGCATTAGAGTAGAATCTGTAGATGGTAGGGAATCCAGGAAGGCTCCCTCGAGGAGGTAACATTTAAGTTGATTCATGAATAATGTATAGAAGTTAGGCAAGCAAGGATGGGGAAAGTGTTTTAAAGAAGCAATGGGTAGAAAGTCAAGAAAATGCGGGAAGCATTTGGGGAGGTAAAAAAGTGCCCAGAATTGCTGGAGAATAGGATGGTAAGGTTGGAGTGGCTGCACATGGTTGGGGAAGCAAGGAGAGAGCCAAGAGATTACCATACCTAAATGCCTCACATTATAGTGCCATTATCTCCTTAAATCCTCATCCCAATCCTGCAAAGTATGACTGCATTGTTTTGTATGAAAAAGAAAGACAGCTTAGATAGCTCACCTAACTTGCCCAAGAATTACATATTTACAATGGAGCTGAGAGTATGGATTCCAAAATCCATTTCATGTCAATATGTCCAATTCTGAACCTCACAATATATGGACTTTCTTATTTTAGGAGGTCACAAACACTTCCTTGAACATTCGAGCTAGAGATGTCACCACCAAATAATTCTTATTAGTATCAATGTTAATAAATTGAGTGTTATGGGGAGATGCTGCTTCTAGGGGATCATGTGCATAATAAAATCCAACTATTATTTGCAAGGAAAACAAAGAACCAGGTTCAGAGTTCTGTCAAATCTGCATAGGGTTTTGGAGGAAGTTTCTCTCTTTGAATTTGAGTTGTACAAAGTAACATATTATAATGCAGTGGAATGTTCACATCTGTGTCTTTAGTTTGTATGCCATTTTAATTAAATATTTGGGGAGAGAAAGAGAAAGAGAGAAAAAAGAGAGAGAGAAAAACAGATACACAAATAAGGGAAGAAAAATGAAGGTAAGTAAAAGGAAGCAAAAGGGAGAGGAAAGGAGGAAATAAAGCACTTTAAATAATTCCAGCAATGCTGTCTGTTCATGAGCATTTGACATGGAGTGAGAAGATGAGGATCTATAGTGTCTCAAGCTGTGGCCGCCAATAGCGTGCTCACTCCACTGGACTCAGTGTGTCACTAGGTTTAAAGTTACATCTCTTTCATAATCATGCTACCTAAATACAAGCCAACTGCTTTATCTGGAGTTCAACCATACAGAAAGGAAATTTGGCTATCCTGGACTTGCTGAAATATGATACATCCATTTACTGATTTTTGTGGGCATTTGAGAGAGTTTTTAAAAGCATGATTTTTACTCAGCTGTTGGTTTTAAAACCTAACCCCAGTGAAGCAGTGATTCCAAGGAAGTTAGGTTTCACCTAAGTTACAAAATAGAATATGCATCACAATCCAGTCATAACACATGAAACAGATGTAGAAGTGAGCAAAAGAGGTATACCTTGGAAAATCCAGTCTTCTGTGCCTCGAATCTAGGATAGACGCATGCAGCCCCTGGCAGAGTAGTTAGCAATGAAAGGTGCATATTAAAAGTTTATTGAATGAAAAAAAAAAAAAGAATTAATGACCCATGAGTTGCTGGCTGTCAGAAAAGAATCAGGTATACTTTCTGAGAAGGCTCCTCATGTGGACACAGGGACATTTTCAACATTGCTGTGGAAATAAAGTCTATAAATATTCACAGATAGGCAAATTAGATATGTTTTGAAGACCAGAGTGAATACCGATTCAATTCTCTCCCCTCTTTATGTAGGGCCTGCCAAGCATTGCATCTAGAGTGCTTTATGGATGGGACCTGAAAGAATCAAGTGACTCTTTCCCCTGCTGGATGGACCTGGGCCAGCAGGTCACTGCCAAAGCTGCCCTTCTCACCACATTCTCAGTGCCTGACCCCCAGAGGATGGGACAGCAAGGGCTCTGCTTTAACAACATTTAAGAGTGTTTCTTCTAAGGCTAGCTGTAATCATCTAAAAGTGGAGGTGACAGTATGGGCCTGGGGTAGGTTTGTTATAGCTTTGGGGAGTGATGTGTATTGAAGGACCTGGCTTGGGGAGAATACTGTAGGTTCCTCCAGGTGTTGTGTCGGACAAAGGGACCTCCCTTACAGCAGATGGGGTGCAAGAATTGGCATAAAACCGTGGGATCCTCTGGTTCCAACACTGACTCTACCCCCCAGAAGCTGATGCCCAGGTAGAATGCAGGAGCACCCTGGTGAGGGTGCAGCTGAAGAGCCATCTTGCAGTCAATACTCCCTGAGGATGGGTTGTCACCCTCCAGGACATAGTGGACACACTAAATCAAAGGCCTCTAAATGGTGCTGTGTCCCTGATAGGTAGAATACATGAGTCAGGGGAACAAGGGGGTAGAGGCAGGAGTGGCCCCAATTACCATCACTCCCAGGAACCCATTTGGGGAGCCTGGCATCTCAGAACCAGAAACTCTGCATTTTGTTGCTTTAGAGTTCCAGGTTGCCAAAACTGAATGTTTTCATCAGGTGACAGAGCAAGAGTCCCACTGAACTCTAAACCATGACTTTCACCTGAGCATGTTGGGTTCTTCATGTCAAGTGACCAACAGACAAGAAGAATCACCATCTGGAATGGGTTCTTCTATGGCCTGAGGAAGTCATGGTGACCAGAGGCTCAGAGCACTCAGAGGTTAGAGTCTGGGTCACACCACCAGGTAAACCACAAGACCAGCAGAGGTACTAGTGGAGTGTGAGGGGAATCTAGAATAATGTACATCGGTTGGTGCCCCCAAGACTCAACTGCAGCAAAAGGGACTGTAATTTGTCCCACTAATCTTCCTTTTTTAAATTTCCCCAAAGAAGAGAAACCTACCAGGATCATAGAGGAACAGCTCTCAGAAACAGTATGAAGAAGTGGATCCTAGAGGTACAAGGGGTGCACCGTGGTGGATCCTGTGATGAGCCATCGGGTCTCCATTCAGGAAAGATGGACTTGTCCTCCTAGGATTGCTTCTGGCAGACAGTCCTCAGCTGCCAGTCTCCTTTGAGGATTACCTCAGCTAAAGAGGGTCTTCTCATCCAAGGTCATGCTCCAAAACTGATCAACATGGAGGCATAAAGGATCATAATGGAACTCATAATGGAACTCAGAACATCCTGGGAAGGTCATCCCAGCTTCAGAACTCTCCGAAGTGTTGACTGTGGTCTCTGTTGAAATTGCGTCACAGCTCAACTTGTCTATTTCTGCTTCCAACTTTTCTCCTCCGTGGGTACTGATCCCAACCGAATCCCTAATAAGCTTCCTACAAACTTATCTCCTTCTCAGAGTCTGCTTCTCAGAAGACCTAACTTTGAACAACTAACAAATGTGCATTACCCTCACTAATGCAGTTGAATGAATGAATTTGTCAAATAAACCTAATCAATGGATTTAATTAGTTTGTACCATCTAGGTTATTAGGTTAATGTTGATAATGACTACCCATATATAATTTCCTCCCTCATTCATTCACTTTATAAGCATTTATTGAGTCCCAAGTATGACTGAGGCATTTAGATTCCAGTGACAAATAAGACAAATTAGGCCCCTTCCCAATGGGACATCCTGTGGAGACTTTCATTTAAATTAAGTAGTCAGGGGAAAACCTCTGGGGATGAAATATTTAGATAAAACCTGACAAATGAAGAGGAGTGGACCAAGAAAAGACCCAGGCAACAATTATTCTGGGCAGAAGGAGAGCAGGGAGGGTGATCCTACAGTGCCGTAGGGTAAGGGAAGGAGGAAGGGAAGAGGTCACTTTATGACCAAGCTTAAATTTAGGTCTGAAGCTCCCGGGTTGAGCCACTTCAAGCTCATGGTAAAAACCGATATAGAGTTCTTCAGAAAATAATTTTTCTACCAGTGTATCTCTGCCACAAGACCCCCTCCCCCAGTGATTTGCAAAACACAGAATTACCTTTTCCTTGCCAACTTCCCCCACCATCTCCTCCTCCATAGCAGATGGCAGTGTCAAGGAGGTAGTGTCAGCAGTTCCTAAGGAAGTTTTTGGTGTGAGCATGAAGGGTGTGTGGTGTAATGTGATGGTTACTATGGCAATTTTTATTGGGTAATTGGGTTTGAAGAAGCATTTTGATTCATCATTAGTTACTGAGCGAAAAATAGCAACTTGCCAAGGGCTTGTTTTCTCTTAAAATGCATCTGTTGTTCAGGGTTGATAAAGTACAGTATGCACCAAAAGTTGGAACATTTTCCCAAGTCACCTAAGTCTTGATCCTAACTCCTTCAGAGAAGTCCATTATATATTCTGTTATACTTTACCAAAAAAGTGTGTTTATTGTTGCAAAGGAATCTCACATTAGCCTAAGAAAAATGAAAAAATGGTTTGTTAAGTACAAATTGAGTAGCCCCACTCATAAAGAAGGTGACTTCACATGAAATAACTTTACAAAGTTTCTCAACTGTATTATTTTACAAGCTGAGACCAATCAAGTGGTCTCCCAATACTCCTTTTCTCTGATGAGTATAGAGAATAGAGTGGCTTAAAATTGGTGATCTAGCTAAAGAGAGGCATCAGTTAACCTCTACAGCAGGGAATAAGCATAAGCAAATCTATTAACAAGCATTTAGTTTACCCTTGCTTTTTCAAATTTACTCATTTCACGTTTCAATCAAATAAAATGTTCTTCCGAAATTTATGTACATGGTGATTATGAGTAAGTGCAATGGGTTTTGGTCTATAATGCTGAGTTATATACCTTGTGACACATTAGGTAGTAAAAATATAATGGAAGCTAGTAACATAAAATATCTTTAGCCCATGGTGATTCATACCTAACACCATCCTGTTCACAATTTTTAAAAATAAATATGCTTATTTTAGATTTAAATCCTAATTCTGCCACTTAACACAGCTAAGCCTATTTTACCATTTTTTTTAAAGCAGGATAATTGATAACTACCTTCCAGTATTAACACAGGATAAAATGAGGCCACACAGGGAAAAGCCTCACCATAGTGCTTGCAATTCTAGCCTAGTAGTTCAAAGATCTGTTTTTGGGATTTGAATCCCAGCTCTGCCTTTTACTAGTTGTGAGAACACAGGGAATCTACTTACCCCCTCTAAACTTCAGACTTCTCATATGTTAAATGGGAATGGTAATGGGACTTACTTCATAGGTTGTTGTGACTGAGTGACATAATTACATAGACCCCTTGGCATATAATAGCACTTAATACTATTAGCTGTTACTATCAATGGTAATTTCTTTCTTTTTCTCATCTATACCATCTGTTCTTTTAATGTGGGATTATGTGTCATAGTTAATTCTTCTGAACTTCACGGTTATTGTGACAATGTCATTTATTGTACAAAATGGGACGTATTTCAGAGAGAAAGGAGACAGGCATAAATGTGGAGTATTCTGGGCACACTAAGGTCTTACCCAGGGCACATGCTATTGGGTTAGACATAGGCCTCTAAGATAAGTCTTCAAACTATATTTTTGGAAAATTGATTGATAAAGAGCAGTTTCTTCAATTTGGTGAGAGCAGGAACAACTCTAGGCTCTGAGGATATGTCAGTCATCAAAATAGAAGAAATCTCTCACTTGCCTTATGGAGAGACAGAAAATAAACAAAGAAAAAATAACATTTTATTTGCCTTGATGAAAAGTGCTATGGAGAAAAATAAAGCTGATTAAAAGGAGAAACAAATTATAGAAGAAGGGAGTTTCCATTTTAGGTGGAGTAGCCAGGGAAGGTATCTCTGATGAGGTTATATTTACGCAGAGACCCCAAATGGTGAGCGCACTATGCAGGTATCCAAAGGAGTAATGAGGAGTACAGATTCCATTATCAACAAACATTTGCAGCAATTGCCTTCATAAATCTGAATGGTGCAAATAAAGGGTGGTAGAGAAGATATAAACAAATCAACTTTTACAGAGACTTTAAAAACTCAGTCCAGAAAGGCTTATTGTCTTCCCTTTAATTTTGGCTATTTTATCTCTAAACAATTCATAGCTTTATCCAGCTGTTACTACTCTAAAAATAGTAGTTAAATGTATTATTTTTCTCCTTGGTATCTAGTGATTTATTTAAAAAAATTATCTTATTTTTTATAATGACAAGTCAGTATGGGAGTTATTATATCCACGTCTAGGTGTGAAACGTGAGGCTCAGAGAGGTAAAACAACTTCTCTACGCACATAGCTAGGTAGAGAGGGCTGGACCCAAACTCAGACCCAAATCTGATGATTCCAAATGCTCCTTTTCTGAAGACTCTATTTTTAATCCTAACACCTAGAGAGGAAGCCTGTGTCTACCTAAGAATGACAGCAAACATCAATACACAGTTATTGATGGAAATCCATTTCTTCATTCATCATTTGATTAATACTTCCTGAGTACCTACTACATGTCAGGCATTTCTGTAGACCCTGGGGATGTCAGTGAGAAATGGACATGATCTCCAAACTATGTGCCTGCTTTGCTAGCAGGAGCAAATAACTTAAATAAATAAATTATCTGGAGTGATAGAAGGTAAAAAGTAATTTAAAACAATAGAGCAGTTAAAGGGGAGAGTAACATGGGGTTGGGGTGGGAATGCAGTATGGTGGGGGGAGGTTACAATTTTAAATAAGAGGCTGGGCATGGTGGCTCACACTTGCAATCCCAGCACTTTGGGAGGCCAAGAAAAAGGATCACTTGAGGCCAGAATTTGAGACAAGTCTAGGCAATAGAGTAAGTAAAAAGAATTAGCTAGGCATGGTAGCACACGACCATAGTCCCAGCTACTCAGGAGGCTGAGGTGGGAGGATTGCTTAAGCCCAGGAGATTGAGTCCTCAGTGAGCTATGATTGCACTACTGCACTCTAGCCTGGGTGATCAATCGAGACCCCATCTCTCTCTTTTAAAAAATAAAAAAAGAATGTCACAGGAGGAGCTCTCACTGATTGGGTCACTTTTGTGTCAAAGCTTGAGTGAGTCTTGCAGATCTCTGAGGAAAGGATAATTCAGGCAGAGGGAATAGCCAGTGGTAAGGCCAAGATGGTACATTTAAGGGACTCCTGGGAGAGAGGTGAGGCTGGAGCAGAGTGAGAAAGAGAGAGAGAGTATGTGGAGACAGGGATGAAGAAGGTGTAGGGCCAGAGGCAGGTCTTTGGACCATTGTAGGGACACTGGCTCGACCCGGCATGAGATGAGGAGTCCTTCTAGGTTTGGAGCAGAGGACAGGCCTGACTTCTGTTCAAGAGTTATCCCCCAAAAGCCATTGGCCCATCTGCTAAAATTGACAGAACACAAACTAGCAGACAGGCTGCCTCCTGAACTCTTCCTGAAGTTTCTTTAGCCCTAAGAGTAACTCTCCTATTCCTATCTAGGATGTTGGAGAAAGAACTCGTGCTTTGATTAGAAGGTGACTTTGGTGGCCTTGAGGACCACTCCAACTTGGAATGTCCATTGGAATGTACATGATTTTTTTTTTTTTTTGAGATGGAGTCTCACTTTGTCACTAAGGCTGGAGTGCAGCGGCATGATCTCGGTTCACTGCAACCTTTGCATCCCAGGTTCAAGTGATTCTCATACCTCAGCCTCCCTAGTAGCTGGGACTACAGGCATGTGCCACCACGCCCGGCTAATTTGTGTATTTTTAGTAGAGACGGGCTTTCGCCATGTTGGCCATGCTGGTCTCGAACTTTTGATCTCAGGTGATCCACCCGCCTTGGTCTCCTAAAGTGCTGGGATGACAGGCATGAGCCACCACACCGGGCTGGAATGTCCATGATTCTAAAGTCAGAGCAGGCAGCAGTCGGAGCTAGATGGCTGGAGACATTCAAATTTGGACTCTTTACTCCTATCCTAAGTCCTTGTCTCCACACATTGGCTTGTGAATTTAAGTACAGGAAATATGCTTACATAACTACTCTTTATGGTATGGGATGGGAAAAGCTAGGAAGCCAGAGAGCACTGGGTGCTAGATGCATTAGGAAAAGCCCCCCATCTACTCCCCACCCCCACACTCTGCATGGGCAGCCACCAGTCAGGGGCTGTGCTCACTGATATCCACCACCCCTGAATATGTCCCCACCACCTGCAAGGGGCCGACGATGGAGCCTACTAGCAATCACTGCATCTTTGGTTTACTGGTCACAGCATGTTAACATTTAGCTTCCTTTTCCCCCTCAGAGTTTTAAAAATGATGGCAGAGAAGTATGCCATGTAAGAGAAAAAAAAAAAATCCCACTAGGAGATGAGCAGACCAGGTTAGCAGCCTGCTCAGCTCTTGGAAGTTAAGAAACCTTTCGGACCCTTGTTTCCTTATCTGATAAGCACCAACATCTGATACATCAAATATCAGAAAACTTTAAAATATAAATTGTATTACAAATGCCGAGTATAAACATTTTATGTTTTATTGTATTACAAATGCCGAGTATAAACATTAATGTTACGGGTAATTGAGGGAGTTTGTCATTTGGAATAAGTGTTGGTTTAAGGGAAAGAAGTGGGCTTTGAAGTACTTACCCTTCTTCAATATTTCATATAAAATAATGACTCAATGTAGTTCTGATACTGTCTTCTTTAGCAATTATTATTTTTCAAAGCTCAAAGAGAACCCTCAAAGAAAGAGAGGTAGTTCTTTCCCCTCCTTTTGTTAAAATACACTACCTTGAAGGAATAATGCTCGTATTCAACTTTATTTTTTTCAGTTTTCAGTTGCATGGTTTGGAAATATCAGTTTAAAATATCAAAGACATGCATTTCAATTAATCATGCTTCTTTCTTGTGCTTTGTCACAGTCTGCTGCTAACTTTTTCATAGGTTGGCCACACTACCCTCCCCAGGGGTTCTGTTCATTCATTCAATAAAATTTCCATGAAGCATGTGTTGTGTGCTAGGCATTGTTCTCAAGAGTGGAGATGTGACAGTAAATTAGAGAATCAAGATCACAGCCATCATGATGCTTTCCCTGCAAGCTGCACAATGACAGGTAACACTTACAGGCTTGGCACCACTCTGAGACTTTACCTGCATTGTCTCTGTTTATGCTCACTCCTATATAAGACACATGCTGTAATTATCCCATTTTATAGATGAAGGAATTGAGGCTTATGGAAGTTTAGTGATTTGCCAGGTCATACAGCTAATGAGTGATGGTGTCAGAATTCAAGCCAGGTACTCTGTCTCCACAGCATGTGTTCTCACTCATTCTGCCAAACCATCTTCTTCCATTTGAGAGGAAATATAGGAGTGTTAATCTCCTGGAGATTAACATATAAGGAAGGGCATGGTTAGGAGGAGGTTAGGCCTCCATGTCTATCAGTGGAGGTCTATTTTTGTTGTTATCTCTAAATCTTACCCAGTTCACCTGCCACCTCCATGGTGAAGTCTTCCTCAATGTTCTCAGAAATAATGACACTTTCATTTTAGCTCAAAACACTACAGAAATGCCAGGGACTCTTGTGAAGGTGATGAGGAGGGAGGAGAAAGAGGAATATGATGGTATGAAATTGACGGTATTGTTGGTATTAATGAAAATGATGAGCTGGTGTATATTAGGCAATCTTGGCCTTTAGCATTGCACAAATAGGGTAGCTAACTATATCAGGTCAACAACAAATGTTTTCTACAAGTAGAGTTGCCACATAAGCAACAAAATGAGATAAATTATGTTTAATAAAATTTGTGTTTGCTTCTTTAATGATACCATCTATTTAAAGGCTGTGGAAGCCACAAGTATTTTTACCAGAACATCAGCTATTAAAAGAAGAACATCATTCTGGCACAGTGATTTTGTGTAGGATCATTGGAGTTACAATTTGGCAGATTCTTTGGGTCATCTTCTCTTGATATGATTCCTGTTAAGCTGCTGGTACTGGAAACATTTTAGCTTCAATTTTTAGCCTTACCTAGGATTTGAGCCAGATAGAAACAGGCCAGAAGTCTGGTAGAAGCACTAACTTGAATCTTAATCCAACCCAGGTATATCTCACCTTCTTGGACATACACATCCTATTGCCATACATACAAGCCTTTAGCACCAGCCTTGGGTATTCTCATTTATACATTTACTCTTAGATAAATACTTAACAAACATGGGATGCTGAGACTACTCAGGTGAGCAAGCATACCTGACTCACTCCCTATCTTCATTGCTCTTACTATCTGCTGGGAAAACCAGAAAACACATGGAACAAATTCTCTCTCTCTCTCTCTCTCTCTCTCTCTCTCTCTCTCTCTGTCTGTCTCTCTCTCTCTCTCTCTCTCTCTCTCAATAAGGGAGTGTTTTTCAAGAAAATTGCGGGTGTTTTGAAAATGAAATGGAATTGAGTTGTGACTTAAGAGAGAGCAGAGGAAGCGTCCCTGAGAAAGGTTCCTTGAGCTGAGAATGAGGGAAGAACATCTTGGGCAAAGGAAGAACAGAAACTTAGACAGCTGAGGGGTAGAAGATGGCATAGGTCTTTCAAAGAACTGAATGAAAAATATTGTGGAAGGAGAACAAGATGAAGATTACCACTACCTGAGGGAGAGCAGTCAGATCTAAGAGGTAGATCCCAGGAAAGAATTTGTCCTCTGTCTTAAGATCAATAAGGAGCTATTGGCAGTTACTGAAGATTCTAAGCCATCATCATAAAAAAATTGCACCCTGGTAACACTGTGGAAAATAGATTAGAAGGGGGCAAAAGTGGATGTAGTGAGGCTACTGTGATTCAGGTGAGGACCAGTATCTTCTGCTCTAGAGTGGAAGGAGAAGACACGGATTGGATGCACTTGAGGACATTCAGCAGGCAAACTTGCAATGGACTGGCCATGGGACAGTGAGAGGGAGAATTGTTGGGGATGCCTTCTGAGCTTTCTGTCTTGGGCAACTGCAAAGATGAAATAGAGAATGCTGAATTCATTGAGATCAAGAACCAGGAGGAGGACAAAGTTAGGGACATAGTTTGATGTAAATATCCAACATTCCTTTCTGAGATTTGGAAGATTTATTGGACTTCTCTACTTTTTAGAGTCCAATTATTCTACATCTTACCAATTATTTATAACTTCAAGAGTCAGAATCATAAGCTGCAAATTAGAGAAGACCTTTAAAATAGTTTAGTCCAGCTCCTTCTTCTTTTCCCCAAATCCCTGATGATGGGCATCTGGCTTCTGCTAAGCACCCTCGGGGACTACTTTCTAATCTCACAAGGCCTGGTGCACTTTCAAAGAGTTACAAGTAGGAAGGTATCAGTTTCTTCCCTTGGGAAATAGTCCCACTAGTCTTCTCCAGCAATAATTGTTGCCTGGTATTTATTATGTGCTATAAATTATACATCAGATGACATGACATCTGATCTAGGTCTTTCTGTTTCTCAAATCTCAAATATGGAGCAAAGCAAAACAAAGCACCCATAAAATGTAAATGGCTCTATTTGTCTTAGGTGATTAAACAGATAAGTATAAGATAGAAGAATTGCAATTACAATGTTATCTCAAAAAATAGTTAATGTTAATTTATTGGATGATACAGCATGAGTATATTTTGCAGCCAATATTGATTAGAAATTATATTAGATATTGGTAAAGGAGAACTAAAACAAAAGTAGAGTATTTTCTATCACTTAAAAAAAATCTAGCAATGAGCAGTCTAGGGCTGGCATGGTGCCTAGTCGTATCATCAGCGTTCTTGGATTCTTATTTCTTTGTGGCCCACCAACCTTCTGTATGGCTTCCATCTCTCCTCATAGTCCAAGATGGCTGTTGGAGCTGTCATGACATCTGTCTACCAGGTAGAAAGATGGCTAAAGGATGTAGGGTGGGTGAAAAAAATGTGGGTCTCCCAGAGGGATCAGACACCTTTTAAACGCTTCTCCAAATCCTCTAGTAATGCAACTGGGCACATTACCTCCCAAAATAAAGTTTGGTTCTATATGTGATATGGTTTGGCTGTGTACCCACTCAAATCTCATCTTGAATTGTAGTTCCCATAATCCTCACACATTGTGGGAGGGAACTGGTGGGAGGTAATTTAATCATGGGAGCAGTTACCTTCATGATGTTCTCGTGATAGTGAGTGAGTTCTCACGAGATCTGATGGTTTTATAAGGGGCTTTTCCCTCTTTTGCTTGGCACTTCTCCTTGCTGCTGCCATGTGAAGAAGGACATGTTTGCTTCCCCTTCTGCTATGCTTGTAAGTTTTCTGAGGCCTCCCCAGCGATGCTGAACTGTGAGTCAATTAAGTCTCCTTCCTTTATAAATTACCCAGTCTCAGGTATGTCCTTATAGCTGTGTGAGAACAGACTAATACAACAAGTGTGTCCTCAAATGGCTTATCATTTTCAAACATATGCAAAAACAATTTAGGGTAATTCAGAATTATGTGGGCAACTAAGTTTGGATTACTTTCAGGAATATAAGTAGGAAAGAAAGGAATTTATTTTTGTTAGTAGGGATCTGGGTAAAAATAAATGCTTGGTCTGCGTATTTTGATATATTATGTAATGATTCTTTTCTTTTTCCATTTGGTGTGCACACCAATCTGTTTTTTTTATTATTATTATACTTTAAGTTCTGGGGTACATTTGCACAACGTGCAGTTTTGCTACATAGGTATACACATGCCATGGTGGTTTGCTGCACCCATCAACCCGTCATCTACATTAGGTAATTCTTCTAAAGCTATCCCTCCCCTACCCTCCACCCCCAGGCAGGCCCCAGTGTGTGATGTTACCCTCCCTGTGTCCATGTGTTCTCATTGCTCAACTCCCACTTATGAATGAGAACATACAGTGTTTGGTTTTCTGTTCTTGTGTTAGTTTGCTGAGAATGAAGGTTTCCAGCTTCATCCATGTCCCTGTAAAGGACATGAACTCATCCTTTTTTATGGTTGTATAGTATTCCATGGTGTATATGTGCCAAATTTTCTTTATCCAGTCTATCATTGATGGGCATTTGGATTGGTCTTAAAGAAAGATGGTGAACTATGAAGTCATCAGAACTTTATATTATTTGATGTCTATATTTTCCCCATAAATGCTAGTTTTACTTCTGTCACAGGCAGCAAGTGCCGGCCAGGTAAAAGAATGAACCATTTCTCAAGTTTCTTAGTGGAAAGGATGAAACCCATTAAAGTATAAAACCCATTGCAGCTCTCAGCAGGGCCAACACAAGAGGCAGTCCATGTAACAACAGATAAACTTTTCTTTCTTGTGTTTGTATTCTGGTAATGTAAGTGGCTCCAGGGTAGAACACATGTATTATTTGACTGCTTCCCTCAAGTCTAGCACATAGTAGATGGTGGAATGATGGAAGGAATATGAATTACTAAATGTAAATATACATTTATTTAAATGACCACTCAGCATGTACAGGGTGGTGATGGTGAGAGTCAGTGGGAACCCATGCATGTTTGGAGCCAAATTAACTTCAGTTCAAATCCTCACTTGGCCACACACAATCGGAATGACTCTAGCTAGGTTAAACTCTCTAATCCTCAACTTCTTCATTTTCAAACTGGAGGTTGCAATCCTGCAATATTATGCAGGAATACCATTAAGAGTGGACAGGATGTGTGCAAACCATATAATGCAGATTCAGATATGGTAGGTGTGTAGGAAGTGCTAGATATCACAGCCATTGCCCTGTGCCTAAGCTACTCTGAAACAAAAGAGACCCTTCTGCCCTGATGCCCATGGACACTGGAATCAACACCAATAAATTATTGCCACATATGAGCGTGTTCTTTTACCTTACTCTCCTTTTAGGAACATCTAAGTTAAGTCCTCAACAGCTAAAGACCTAGGAGTGGGTTTATAAAGTGGTAGTTCTGAAACATTTTTTGGTGGAAGCTTGGCAGTGCCTTGGTAGGTCACAGAGCAGAAGATGGCAGTGCTGCAGGAGGAGAGGCAGACTGTATCTTCCCTCCTTGCCCAACACACAGTGCCACTTTCATAAGTTTTATATTTTAGTGCTTAGTCTAGTTTGAAAAAGGAGCTGCCACTATTCTAAAAATCTTTTGTTCGTCCTATTTGTTGGAAGAAATTTGATATTTATCTTACTACATATTTCCTAGCAATTTTATTGACAATGGATTAGTTTTGCTGTCATTTAATGGTTGTTTGATATTGAGATAAGTTCCCAGTTTGAAATCTGCACATGTGCATGAGATATGCCCAAGGAGATCAATTTTATTAACTAGATTTTAAAAGGATACTTTTAGGCTTTTTTATATCCAAATTACCTCGAACCCATGGCTAGTTGGGTCTTTTTTGTAGGATGTTGAAGAAAAATTTGTATAGACCTTCCACAAAATTAAGAAGGACTTTACATAAGGAAAGACTTCAGTGTGGAAAGCTCTAAGAAGACATACCAGCATTTAGAGCAACATGGCTTCTCTTCCTTATAAGAGTGTTCTAGATACAGGGCAAAGAGGTGATTGCTAATGATTGCTATTTTTGTCCATGAGTGGACATCCTCTCATCCTGCAGTGTAGTTCTTGTTTCTAGTGTGCAATGCTCATTATTGCCAGCAATGGCCCAGGGCACCATTTGTTTCATCCACTGTTCAGGTGATTCATGAGTGGAGTCACCTTGTGGACCACTGTCGCGTGTTTGGCAGTTTCACGCCAATGACAGAACAAGACAGCTTGCTATTGCGTGACATCATCAGACACAACTGTGTTATAGGAATAATTAATAATAATAATAATAATACAGCCCAGTGTTTGTTTACTGCTGTATATTGGTTCAAAATGTTTTCTTATTCATTAGCTCATTTACTGATAAAGGAGCTACTTTATTCTCATCTTGTTATGGATGCAGTGACTAACCTATAGCAGGATTAAGTGAGTTCCTTCAGGCTACCTTATCTATTTCCTGGGGTCCATAGACAAGGAAGATGAATGTGCCAAAGTCGGGCTCCAGGTTGTGACTATTCAGGCTGTGTAAATGTCCAATTCAATCATGGCTCGGTAATACTTTCACAAAATGGCTGTTGATTACAGTAACATGCACATTGTGGAAATGAGAGATAGGCAAGTGCCATGAAGTCACTAATTATATAGTCAAAGTACACAATTGTTTGTCAATTAATTATCACAATTACTAGTCCGTTCGAAACAAATTCAATGACTGAATGACTAAAATGACACACAAATTTGCAACTGATGGTGCCAATGTAATTAAACCACTAGGAGAAATTAAATATTAAATACCATCTAGGGAGTGATTCTTTCAGTATTTGCTAAATCATTACTCATAATTCTCTTCTTAAGAATCTCAGAGGTCAAAGACCTCAACAAGTTATGTGTTCTATAAGAATTGTCATTATCTGATCTTGGGAGGCAAATAAATGGGGAAAGCATACCAATCCCCACATGCACATTCATTATAACTCATGGAATAAAATTTTTGAGAGCTGTAAGGAAACTCAGAAATCATTTCATAGTCATAGAATTTTAGAGCTATCAGAAACTCATTTTGAAGCCAAGACAGGCTGAGTGGCTTGAAGAAAGTTGCACTGTTTTGTATGTAAAATCTGAGGTGGGTCTTTTGATGACCCTTTATTCAGGTGTTGTTTTCAATACAGTGTGCTTATCCCCTTGGCTCTATCTATGATAGTGATAACTATCATGATAAACATTGCTACTATTTGCAAGGTACATTTCATTTTTCTTTTTCTTTATTAATCTTATTGCCTCTGAAATGAGCATAGTTATTGAGATAAAGTGGCCTTAAAGAAGCATCAAATCTAGAGGGCAGCTTTGGAATCAGATAGCTGTGGATGAAATCTCGTATTCATCATATGACCAAAGGGAAATGCTGTAACAACTCTGTGTTCAGCATCCTCAACTATAAAAAGGGAAACAGCAATACTGATGCGAATATGATTGTTCAGGCATTTACTCAACAAGCTTCTGATATGAGATTCCCGCGTGATGTGCCAGTGTCCATTCCGGTGATATACAAAAGGACAGACCCTGCTCTCAAAGAGCACGTTGTTTAACAGTAGAGACAAATAAATAAAACATAATTCCAATCTTACCTGCTAACATGAATTCTTCCTGTAGATATTAAGAATAATTTCCTCATCTCAGGTCTAGTCAGGATTTTCCTTTTAAATAGAAATGAGTGCAAGCTGAATGCCTAGAGCACACAATTTCAGGAATTATTCCTTCGCAGGGTTGCACAAGTGCAGGGTCAGCCCCTGAGAACAAGTGCTTCTTGTAAGCTTTGTACCCTGGATGCCTCACTTTTCTCAACTAATCATGGCCCCACATCAAACCTGCTTTAAAAGTCCTTAACTCAGTTTGAAATCATTCACTTATTTAGGTGATTATTTGATGGATGACTGTCTATAACTCTAGATTATAATCTCTTTAATAGCAGGATCCTGGATTCTTTTCCTCACCACAGCACCCCTACTGCCTGCATGCAGCACACTGTGGTACTCCATAAATATTCGCCATATGAGGCTAAATGAAAGCATGCATTAATGAATGATGGAAGAATGTTGCTATGGTCTGAATGTTTGTGTCCCTCCAAAATACACATGTTAAAATGCTAACCCTAAGGTGATGGAATTAAGAGGTGGGAGGTGAATGTGTCATGAGGGTGGAGCCTTCATGAATGGGATTAGTGTCTAGAAAAAAGGCCTCAGAGAGCTGCCTTGTCTCTTTCATCCTGCAAGGACACAGTCGGAAGATGGCCATGTGAACCAGGAAGCAGGCCCTCACCAGGCACCAAATCTACTGGTGCTTAGATTTTGAGCTTCCCAGCCTCCAGAACTATGAGAAATAAATGTTTTTTTTTGTTTGTTTGTTACAAGTCAGTCAGTTATGGTATATTGCTATGGAAGCCTGAATGTTCAATAATATAAGTGAATTAGAGGACAGGGATCTAAATCTACCTGGTGGAGTAGCAGGGACCCACTGAAGAGAAGGTGGGGTCTGTGCCAAACTCCAAAGCCTTTCCCACAAATTATGATCTGCAGACTGCAAGCATCCATTACCTGGCAACTTGTCAGAAACACAGAACCTAGGGTCCTCCTCCTAAATCCAAATTTTGTCAAGATCTCCAAGTGATTCCTATTCACATTAAAGTTGGAGAAGCACTGGTCTAAAAGATGCAGGGG
Organism: Homo sapiens; assembly: GCF_000001405.40. NCBI lineage: Eukaryota > Metazoa > Chordata > Mammalia > Primates > Hominidae > Homo > Homo sapiens. Next base: position 131,026,712 of record NC_000008.11, read on the forward strand.
TTAAGCCAGGTGAAGCCCAGAAACTGTCAGCTTAGGGCAGAGAACTCATTGAAAAAGGGTGATTGTTTTAAAACTTAAATTATAAAATCAAATGAAATGTATTACCTGATTCCTCTTTACCAGGTTCTGATTTAAATACTCCATGTGTATTATTTCATCTCTTCAACAACCTCCTGAGCTATTATTATTATTCCCATTTTACAGCTGAAGAAAGTGAGGTGCAGAAAGATTGAGGCTCTTGTCAGTGTTATAAAATGAAAAAATTGCAGATCAATCCCAGGCAGTCTGAATCCACATCCTGTGCTATGAACTCTATGCTTTTTTCTTTCCTTGGGAAGTGTGTTAAGTTTGGCATATAGCAATCTCCAATACAGTTCTGTCTCATTGAGAGTCATGCTTGAAGGACTGCTCATTTTTTTGTCAAATTCTGCTTATCTCTCTGCCCCTCCTTTCCTTAAACACCTAACATGAGCTTAGATTATCAAAGTCAAACAAACACAATTCTCCATTTAAACACACCCCACTTATTCTTAAGCAGGTACTTGTCCCGGAGAAGGGGTACAGAAGGAATTCCAGGAAGTGGTGACACTTGAATATTGCCAGGCAAGGAAGGTAAACAATTGTCCTAGAAAACACACACAGGCAGAAGCCAGCATGGAATATGAAGAAAACTGGTGATGAGGTTCAACAGTAGAACTTACCCAGTGAAGTGAAGTGGTGAGAATGCTAGCATATGGGAGAAGCTCCCACTGGGGAGTGTTGGGGTGGTTCAGCGGAGCATGGGGTGGCTTGATGAATCTTGGGGGTGGGGCTGCACTAGAACAGAAAGAGCAGGATAGAGAGCTGTGGACAGACCCCAGCAATGGAAGACTAAACCATCAGAATTTCATGTAGATATCAGACGGGATGGAGTCAATTGTTACTTGTTGGGGTTGGGCTGCCTCAATGGAGGTATCCAGTAGGTCTCCAGATTGCCAGGTCTTAAGCTTAGCAGATAAAACTGGGGTAGAGATACAGGGTTAGGAGTTAGCAGCACAAAGATACATACTTGCTGACTGAGGGAGGGATTTGATTATCCAGGGAGTGGTGTGGAGTGAGATAATGTGAAGTCATATAGGACGGAAACTTCAGGAGCCCCAACATTGAAGAGGTGAATTGAAAAACAAGACCTGGAGGAACCTGAGAAAGAAGAGTATGTAACCAGCACTACACTATGCTGTAGAGACTTAACAGTGACCCAGATGCCACCCCAGACTTTGTGAAGCTCACAGCCCAGCTGGTGAGAGAGATGTGGAAGCCAATAGCACTGCAAAATGAGGCAGGATAAATGGGCAGGTAAAGGGCCATGCCCTCAGAGGAGGAATATCTAACTGGGTCAGGAGTGTTGAACTATCCTTCTTTTAGACATGAAGAAATTTTGGCCCAAAGAAGCTGAAGCCAAAGTTGCTGTGAAAAACCCATAGCAAAAACAGGAGGAGAATTTGTGTTTTCTATGTTTTTAAGGAAATATACTTACATGGTTTCAAAAATATCTTTCATTGTCCATTGGCACAGCTTCTCTCTGGCTGAGATGGCTTGGGCAGGGCCCAAAGAGCTGCGTATCATGTCATAATTCACCTGGCAAGAGCCAAGGGCAATATATCTCTCATAAATAGAAAAGAGGAGACTTTGTAGTCACTGCACATTGACCACTTGGGGCCATGAACTCATTCTCAAATGAACTACCCGCCTCCAATAGGCTGGGAAGGCTCACCCGATGAATGAGGGTGTGGGAGATTTGACTTTAGAAGAAAACCAGCTTGCTCTTAGTGATTTTTTTTCTTGAACTAATTAGCAGAAAAAAAAAAAGAACTAAAAAGACTCATGACCGTTTTTGGGACTTTATAAAGACAGTTTTAGTTAATTGCTTTGAGTTCCATTCTCTAAAATCTGACTTTGGTTTGCTTTTTAGAAGTCTGTAGATAAACTGGTCCAGTTAGGGTACAATATGGTCTTTATGTGACAGGTTTTAAGCTGTAGGAAACAGTGGACTAAGCACCTATCCATTTTTTACGCTTAGGAAAGTCAACCTGCTTTGTCCGATATCTTCCCCTAAGGAGTGAGGCCTACCAGCCCCTCGGGTATGGAGTACCAGGAGTCAAGTGGAAGTGTGGGAGTACCTCCTGCCCCCAGCTGTACCTGTATGTACCCAGATGGTGAGCACCCACCAGAAGGGGGCACCACTGAGACGTCAAGCCCAGGAAGTGATTTCCAGTGTGCTTGCACAGCAGGTTGTGGGTTGCACAGCAGCAAGTGAGAGGCAGGGCAAATGAGTGAAGCTGCATCTGTATTTACAGCCACTCCCCATCGCTTGCATTACCGCCTGAGCTCTGCCTCCTGTCAGATCAGTTGCCAGTGGTGGCATTAGATTCTCATAGGAGTTCAAACCCTATTGTGAACTGCACATGCGCGAGATCTAGACTGCAAGCTCCTTATGAGAATGTGATGCTTGATGATCTGTCACTGTCTCCCATCATCCCCAGATGGGACCATCTAGCTGCAGGAAAACATTATGGTGTGACTTGTACAATAATTTCATTATATATTACAACGTAATAATAACAGAGATAAAATACACATAAATGTAAAGCTCTTGGATCCTCCCAAAATCATCCCCCACCCATGTCTGTGGAAAAATTATCTTCCATGAAACCATTCCTTGGTGCCAAAAAGGTTGGGGACTGCAGCTATAAAAGCAAAGAACTCCAGAGCTGGGTATAGAGATTCAGAGCCAGGATGCTGAAGAACAAAGAGGGAAGAGAACAAGAGGGTGATGTATTTGCTAGCAATTGGACTCTATTTTGAGTAGATGGGCCTGATCCATTTAAAGTGTTTGATAATCGACAAATACCCATGAATAATTCAGGCCCATAACTTTTGTCTTAACTTAAATGATCTGGATAATTACTTGAATTTTTCTTCACGTTATCTAATATGTACATGTATATGAATATGTATAGCAAAAACTCAGCTGCAGCTTTCTGCTCAAAGTGCTTCAAGGGATAATTTCTGGTGTACTTTTGCTGTATTGACAGAGAGACTGATTTCTCTTCTCTTGCCAGTTTTTCATTCCCTGTTGATGATTCTGTAATGATGTGTGTGTGTGGGTGGGGGTGGAGTAGGGGGTGGCTAGGGGAAGGAAGGAAATGGTCATCTACTATTCATTCATTCCATTCATTTAAAATATGATATTCAGAGCCATCCATGTGCCAGATGCTATGCTAGCTGCTAGAGACACAAAGATGGATAAGATACAATTCTTGACCTCAAGGGGCTCATAGTCTGGTGGGCATGTGAGAACGTTATGACATTGCTCTGATAGAGGAAAACACGGGATGTGGAAATGTACCAAGGAAAGTGACTTTGAGCCTTGCCTACACTTACTGTCTACCCATGTTTGTGTGGGGATGGGTTGCCTAGAGTCTCAGGGCAGCTCTTCAGTTTTCAGCTGGAGTCACTCTGAGCACAGAGTGACTATGAGTTCCCAGAGCTGCACATGCTCCCTCCTGTCATGTCTCCAGGTCACCAGCCTTGTGACAAATTCAGTTTGTGATAAGGTGATGCTCAGACAACTGATGACTTGGCCCATCCCAGGGTCCTTTTGCACGCTCTTCTTTTCTTCACCAGGGAGGAAGATCCATACCCTTCCACTATTTCTTCTGGAGTCTGACCTTTCCTTTCATGTAACTTCTAAAAGAAATCCACTGCAGCTTTGATGTTTCATACTTTAGAGGTCTGTAGTAAAAAGAGTCCAAGTCTTGCATTTGTGTAAAATATTTACTGAATCCCTGAATCCTGTGCTCCAGATGTGTTCTAAGAGTCAGGTGTGAACCTCCAGCCAAACCTCTGCAGTGGAGTCACAAATTCCCTACCCAAATCCATCCAAGCATCAGCTCCATTACATCAATAACCTTATCTCTTTAGTACCTAGCTGTGTTCTAGGACATAAAACCCAGCAGGCAGTCAACAAATATTTGGGGGAAAAGTTTATCTATTCAATAGTTATTCCACCTTTCATTCTAATGCAATCCTGATCTTTTAAAGCCCAGCAAAATCATTTTTTGGCCATCCTTTCTTGCTGATAGAACTAATTATGTCGCCTGAAATACAAGGAGGTCTTATTGGGCAGAGATCCCAGGGGAGCTCCTCAAAGGGGCACAAATTCAGTTGGCTTATGCCCTTTTACCATTTTGGCCTCTTGCCCTTTGTCTTCTACTTTTCCATGCCTGCAAAGCAACCATGATGACATGAGATGCAGCCAATGACTTTCAACTGACCTTGAAGAAAAGCTGTGCAACAATCCATCAGGGATATAATAAAGGATTCCCTCTATAGGAATATATATGTATATATCTCCCTACATAGGATATTCCTATATATCTATAGGAATAGATATATAGATCACTATATAGGAATCTCCTTGATTACATCCCTGATGGATTGTTGCACAGCTTCTCCTTGGGGAATGCCCAATGGCAAGGAGCTCATCATCTCAAAAAGCAGCTCCCTGGGCAGGTCTGTTTGTTATCAAACTTTACCTTTTTGTGAATCAGAATTTCTCCTGCTTTAATGGCTATCCATTGGTCTTAATTCCATTCCACAGGAGACACACAGAAAATAACCAGTCTCTTTGTCATGGCAGAACCCCAAATATTTAAAGGCAGTCACCATATTCTTTCTATATCCCTTCTATGTTCAGGCCTTCCAGAGGTATTCTTCCTTGTTTTGTTTTTTGTTTTTGGTCCTTGTTATGGCTTGAATATGCCCCTCATAAAGCATGTGTTGGAAACTTAATCCCAAACGTTACAGTGGGGCCTAATGAGAGGTGTTTAGATCCTGAGGGCTTTACCTTCATGAAAGGATTAATGTTGATTTTAAAAGTGTTTGAGGCCTTGAGTTCAATCTCTTGCTCTTTTATGCCCATGTGATACCTTCTGCCATCTTACATTGCAACAAAAAACCTTCACCAGATATGGTCCCTCAGTCTTGGAATTCCTGGTCTCCAAAACCAGAAGCCAAATAAATTTCTGATTTTTTTTTAAAATAAATTACACAGTCTCAGGTTTTGTTATAGCAGCATAAGATGGGTTCTGTTAGATTTTTTTTTTGTGCTCTTATTTCTTCTCCCTATATTCTGAGTCAAAGAAATACATGTACTTTGATAATGCATTCTCTAACCCTTAGTAGTTTCTATTTTATAAGCAATCTTGTGCATTCAGCGTGTAATCACACACACATACATACACACAAATGAAGAAAAGATTCTGAAACGGTTTACTCCAGTCAACTGAAAAATCAGCTGACATAGAATGAGGATGTGTTGTTTACAAAATGAAGTGGTTATAGTTTTTTGTTTTTATGTGAAATTTTTACACTGGCACTGTAGATGGAAACGGCAGTTGTAAAAACATTACTCATTTAACAAGAAACCCCAAGACATTAATGTGATTTACTTTCATATCCGGCTTATGTCTTCACCATGTATAACTTTATCATTCCCTAATTTGGGGGAAGTTTGTGCTTCAAAGACATTTTGCAATTAGTAGCACTTGAGCTTGGATATATAAAGCAGGAAACAGAGTGAAAGGGATAGAAAACCCCAGTAGCTATAAAGTACAAAGTATTTCATATATTAAAATATATGATCTAGTTAAATGAAATTCAGATATCAAATTCTACACATGCACATTCAGAGTCCAGTGCATAGAGATCAAAGAAACAAGCAAACATAGGTTTATCTGACAACACCTTGTCAGATAAGCTCTGTTCCTTTATCGAGAAGGTAGTGGCATAGTGGCATTTGCTGGTAGGTGGCTTTTATGCCTACCAGAATGTGCCTGGGCCTCCTGTGGAATGTCTGGCATCTCCATAGTTAATTAATCTATTCTGCATTCTTCCTCTCCCCCACAGGGCTGACTGTAAAAAATCTTGCAGGGAGAAAATCTGGCTTCCGAAGCACTGCTTAAGTGACCTGACTTCTTAAAATAGTCCTTCATAAACAAAACTCACATGATATAATTTGAGTGTGTAAATCCAATTACATTTCCTGGGGAAGTGCAGGGAAGATTATACTAGCTTTCCCTGCTCTGTTGTGGCTGGCTGAAGCAGCATTCCTCGACTAAGTCCCCACAAAAATCCTGGGAAGAAAATTCTTTATATAACTCACTCTTTTGCCAACTGAGGTTCAAACCTATGTATCACAGAAATTTTGCAACCTTCAATACTGCCACTAATCTTCATGTTCTGTTACTTTAATTCTGCCCCAAAGAGAAAACCAAGAACACACTTCAGAAGTGATAAGTCAAGTGAACTGCTATGTTGTCCAGCTGCATATTCTGAGTCTACTGGTCTCCCAGAGAATCAATATTGTACCTATTTGGTGCTGAGAGGAAAGGTTTAAGATGAATGTTGCAAGTGTCTCCTATGTTTTGGAAATAAACACATGTAGAATCAACTTAAATAGACACACTTGTGAAATGAATAAATTAGCATCTTAAGAAATATTTAGACAACAGTAAAATGTCACATCAGCATGATTGTAGTAGTGTCCTCTGATTAAATGTTGCTAGCAGCACTGAATATGGAATAAACTCTTTTTAAAAATATTTCATTTTTTTGCTTGGTTTCACTCATTTCTGATGAGCTCTTAAAATGTCATCAATCATCAAAGTGTAAATATGACTAATGCATTTGTCCTACTTAGCATGACATTGTAGCAGCTGCTCTAGAAGCAAAGTCCTCCCAATCTTCCCAGTTCTAATCTAATTATGCTCTGACCTGCTGATAACAGTCAGGTGATATTACCAGATATGAAGGAAAACAAATTCATAATTCAATCTTGCAAAGCACACACTACACAATCATTTTACAACTCTCTAAATACAGAGACAACAAGCCTATTTGCAACTCCAGGGCAAAGATGTCTACAGGCCAGAGCTGAAGGGATTTAATTGGTCATTTCAGCAGTCATTAAGATATCCTTTGTAAAGCCCATTCTCCACCAACACACATACACAAAAGCACACACACACACATACACATGAAGAAGAAAGAAAGAAAAGAAAAATAGAAAGAAAGAAAAAGGAGACTCTCTGGGTATCTTTTACAAGTAAGAGAGAATAATATTTCCATTTCTCGGTGTTCAGAGGAATCTCTTGGGAAGGTTGACACTCAAATCGGCTTTTGAAAGGCATTTTTCTCAGACATGCTGGAAAGCCGACATTATTTTTTTAAAGCCTATATGAATTTCCTAAAGAAAAATGTACAGAAATGGAGATATTTGGGGTTTTAAGAAATGCACACCATAACTAGTGAGGTGCATTAAATTGGATTCCAGTCATACTCATTTAATGGATATTTATGTCTCTCAAATGAGTACGTACCTTGATACCAACTACCAAATTGGAATGATTTATATTACATGCCATTTGTTGTACATTAAGTAGTCACAGGATTCCCTTTATTTGATTTGAGATAGCTACAAAGAACCTTAGACTTAGACAAAGAACATATAATATCTTATGTTTAAACTGTATAAATGATGGGAGAGAAGTTGGTAATTTTATTATATTTATTTTATCTTTACTGTGAAGTCAGTCCTTCATTTAAGTGGTCAGAAATGTGTATTTAAGTCACATAGAAAGTCAGCTCCCCTCCTGAACCCAACTTACTCATACTATACACCACTATCTTATCCAGCACAAAGAAAAAAAAATTTCCCCTAAAGGATTTCTTAAAGGCCAAATGTTAGGCTAAATGTCCCTCATTGTAAGTCAAGTTTAACAATCATTCTTTAGCATTTTTCTGGCTCTAGTCTCTCCTGTTTGATAGGATGTTGAAAGGTAGGAAAGAAAATGTTGCATGAGGAATTTAAATCTGACAGCATGACCTTGAGCACTAAGTAACCTGGATTTGCATATCTGACTGCCTTTGATTGTACAGTTATCTTGGAGAAATCATCTCCACTCTGACAAGTCCGCTTATCTATCTCACCAAGAGGCACAGAAAACTAATTAGCCACTAGCTGTAATATTTTAGAATCCCCAAGAGGGAACCATAATGCAGCGATCTTTCTGGTTAAATATTGCTGCCTCTCAGTTTTCCAGTAACTAAATGATTTCCACCATCTTATCACTAATGAGCTAAAGTATGAGAATGAGATGAGTTTCAAATGTAAGATAGCTCATATTATTGTCACCAGCAATTAAAATAGAGTAAAATGCTAACTATAGCAATAGCATTTAGAATTTCTCTACCTTGTGAAAGAACCTAGCAAATATAATCTTATCATCAATCCTTTATTTATACATATAACATCATTTTGTAATGAATTTCCTGGTGGATAAATCGAATTGGTGATACAAACAATTGGTTTATGATGTGGAAAAAATAAACCAGTGTCTTAGGAAAATCTGGACAAGGTATTCCTATCATTGGTTTGAGGCTTATTTAACTTGGATTGGGTGCGGTTTCATAAGAAAGAAACGATTGTAGCCCTAGTGCTACCTATAGCTGAGCTAAGTCAGAGTGAAATAAAAGGAACCCTTCAAACTGGGTTTTGAGCCTTCTGAAAGTTTCTCGGTCTTTCCGATGCCACTCCAGATGCAGAAAACATATGGGTGATTATGTCTGCTCTAGACAATAATCTCTTTGTTGGGTGGGAAGTCAATGTTTGTAGTGTGTTAATTGAGTAGAGAAAACATAAACCATCTCTTTGCTGATGGCAGGGAATTTCCTGAGTGGCCCCTTTTAGGTTCCATTTTGTATCCACAGTGGAAAGCAAATGGTGATTCAATAAACACAGGGCTTTGTCTCTTCATATAGGGTGTCTGCAGAGATTTTCAGTGTGGTTGCTACCCTGTCAAGTCACAGATGTCATTTCCTTCAGGGTAGAAAGAGGGAAAGCAGATTCTCATAGCTTAGATTAAAGGAAGGCAATCATTGGCTCATTTGTTCCTTTCAAAAATGACATTTTCAGTGAAGTGAAACAGCTGCCAAGGTGTGCTAACTCTATACTCCCATTTTCGTTTCCTAAATCCTGAAAATGCTAAGTTAAACATTAGCTATCCTCCTAAAGAGAATGAAGATTAATGTGGAGAAAGATGCTATTCCAGTGTTTATGGCTTTTAGTTGACAGATTTGTATCTAGCTAAGCAGAATGATGAGCTAGCTACAATGAGCCTATGCCCAGCAATTCACTCATTTTTCTCTCATAATTTCCCTTTGGCTTCTTCGTTAAATGTTTATTTAACTCTCTTAAGTAGTAAAAGAAGTACTCCTCAGTCTTTAATAGTTTCAAATGCTTACATGTTTAGAAGGATAATCACTAAAGGGTTTCTGAAGAATAATTGGCATCAGAGTCAGGGTTTGAATTCTGTCCTCCACTTGCCAGGTTCCTGATCCTCAGGGTATCACTGTAAAGTTTCTAGGATTCTGTCATTTTTTTCTCTGAAATGAAAATGAAGGATGATACCATCTATTTTTCATCATTAGATATGATGATGCACATAAGGGTGCTTAGTTACATGTAAAATACTGTGCAAAGTAAAGGATTATTATTGTTTTTGATTTCTTTAGAAGATGTTTACGTGTAAGACTGCGTTACACACATATGATGTGTATGTGTGTGTGTGTATAGAAAGCTTTCACCAACACAACATCAGGGCACTTGGATATTTTATAATATTTCCTATATGATGAATTGTCTTCTTCATTCAGTGACTGTTTGTTGAGTACCTGCTATATGTCTGGCATTTTTCTACAGGCCGAGGATAAAATGCTATTTATGATAGACAACATCCTTGCCCTTATGGTGTTTACATTCTTGTGAGGGTGTGGGGAGAAACATAGTAGATATAAACAAATAAGATAATTTCAGATAGCAGATGTGCTCTGGAGAAAATGAAACAAGTCGTTTACTAGAGAAAGTAGCATTTGAGAGTCTGGAACAATGAGAATGTGCCAGTCTTATAAAGACTTGGGAAAAGTTGCTCTAGGTAGCAGGTGAAAAGACCCAGAATTAGGAAGAGCTTGGAATATGGCAAAAATGAATAGCATATTTGGAGCCTAATGAAGAGAATACAAGAGAAGAGAAGAGAGGGAAATATGGTTGGAGAGAGAAGAAGCAACTAGCTCAGAGAATCAAGCATGCTGTGGTAAGAAGTTAGGATTTTACTCGAGTTGCTATAAGAAGTGTTTAGCAGGTTTTGAGCATTCCTTATGTGTTACCAGACATGGAAAACTAAATAGTACCTATTCAAAAATCACAGATTCTTATAAAAAGCGATTTATTCTCTACTTCGTCCATCTGCGCGATCTAGGAAAGACTCTTAAGCCAATAGAGGGCGCCAAAGGACCTTTAAAAGCCCTTTCAGCACTGAAGTGAGGGGAGAGCGCTCTGGTTGTTCTTTTAGAGTTTTGGTAAAAGGTGACTCAACCTATGAAATCGTAGTTTATCTGTAATTCTTACCCAAACAAAAAATTGAATGAGCTTAGTTTACATGCATCAGGACCTTGGATTTCACAGTGGAGAATTGTTTATGATGAGATGAGGGTGGGAAGACATTTGGGGGTTATTTTTAATCTTCTCCCATCTGGTAGTATTTGAGTAGAATATAAAACAAATATGGAGCCAAAATTTACTTTCTGGATTCACTTGGCAAGAAAAATATATCTATACTTAGAACTTTGAAAACACTCATAATTTGCCACTTAGGATGTGTTATTCTAAATACTATTCCAAACTTACTTATTAAGTTTTCTAGTTGTGTGTACTGAGAAAGGCTATTGCGTGAAAAGTAGTGGGTTATAATACATGGAATTTCTTATACATGATCAGATAGCTATGCTTTATCGTGAAAACAACTCATAGTGAGTTAGATGAAAAAAAGAGAAGGCAAAGAGAAGGAAAAAGAAGGAGGAAGGGGAGGAAGACAGGGAAGAAAAGATCTGCTAATGTCTATGTATACAACAAAGAAAAATAAAAAAGAGAATGAGAGAGCTTGGAAGAAAGTAGATTTAGATGTACTGGCATGTAGATCTTCATGTAAACAGGATTGAGAAATAGTTAATACCAAAGAATTTGACTTCCACTTCCCAGATTGAGACTTATTTGTTATATGTAGATATGAAGGTTCATGGTGACTGTGATAAAACACTCATTATTGTCTTTAATAAGAAAAAGTTCAGTCAATCAACCCTTACTCAGAGTCTCTCATCTCTCCATTTCATGCTTGATAATCACAGGCATGTAATTTATAAACTCTTTGCTTTACCCAGAGAGACTTCAGAAAGCACTGTAAAAGCAGCCAACCAGATAAGTCACCTGAGCAAAGGAATATAGAACCATTGGAGAAGAGACAGGATCCCACATTGACCAGAAGTCCAGGAGGCCAGTGATGGGTGAAGCACTCTAACAGTGCTGGCAATCTAAACATCATGAACAATTTTCAGTGGGGTCGTGCCTGTTTATTCTAAGCATCATCTATTCAAATTCGACCATAAGGAAGAGGAGTTTTAAGCTTCTAATACAGCAAAAATGATACAGAGGCTAACGACAGAGCAGGCCCATACAAAGCAGCCCCCTGACCATGCATCTCACACCAGCCATCTGTTTGAAAACACTTCACTTGACATGTTTCCCTCATTTTTGAGAAACCCCCAAAGTCACTCTCCTGTTACCTACCATACATTTTGCAAAGACAGTGCCATGCCATTAATTAGCTATTGGTTCTAGTAAATTTAAACAATAGAAACATTGTCTACTTTCTCATCCATAGACAATGTGAACTTTGTTCACATAAGCATATCCATATTTAAGGGGAAGAATAGAAAAAAAAGGAGGAGAAAGGAGGGAAAGATACCTAAAGAACAAGATTCCACCTAAATATAATATTTAAAGCATCTACATCAAAATGCCCTTTTCCAATTAATCAAAACTTGCATTCTTTGCCACCCCCAATTACTGAGGTTGGTTTATTCAAAGCACTGGGGTCGCATCGTGTCATGAGAGAAGATATCATGTTTGGTCACCAAGGCAATAAAAAATTCCCGAGAAAACCATGTGTCATAGGATTGTTTGAAGGATTGGATGACATAACACGTACAGTACTCAGCACTGACAATCAGTATGTGTTTAACAAATGTATGTTCCTTTGAGAACTGAGGGTTTGTGGCTTAGAGATACGGAAAAACCCAACTCTGAAGCCCAGAGCCTGCTACAACACCCTGCTGCGACTCTCCTGAGGAGAGATGTTAAGGAATGGGTCACCTTCTAAATCTGGATGCTTCTCCTCCCCTTCTGTCTCCTGCTCCGGAGACTGCAGACCCTGAGGGAGGGGAATGAGGAGCAGAAAGCAGACTTTCTTAGCTGATGTCAGAGTAGAATTACTCATAGAATCAGAGTAGAAGGGTAGAGTTGGTAGAAACTTTTAGAGGTCATTTAGTTCCACTTTAAGAAGAGATTGCATTCCGCTAACACTCAAGACCTCCTAGGTACAAGGCACTGTGCCAGACTGAAGGCGGAGACTTAAAGAGAGTGAGGCAACCCTGGCTCTCTGGAAGCTATATGATCAATAACCCGGGGAAGTTAGAGGGGAAACAAATGCAAGGCAGGCAGGAGTTACCTGGTTGATGGAAATGACCGCCAGCCGGGGTATGACCACTTGGAGGATGACCTGCAGCAGCGAGGTGCCCAGGCCGGCCAGGATGGCCCAGGTGAGCGGCAGCGGCAGCATACTGTAGGTGGCGAAGAGCGTGAAGAGCACGTAGCCTATGCCGTCGCCCAGGAGCCCGTAGCCGAGGCCTGCTGCCAGGATCTGGGTGGTCATGGCCACCCAGGTGACCACGCCGCTGTACTGCAGGTACGTGTGGGAGGTGGTGTCCTTCCTGACCACCACCAGGGCGCAGATCACTACCTCAATGCCGGTGAAGAAGCCCAGCAGGATGCCCTTGAGCGGGTCCATGGGGGCCGAGGCCAGGCTCAAGTGTAGGACCAAGAGAGTGAGTTTGGTCAGCACGTCCAGCACGTTCATCACCACTTCCGATTTGCGCCTTTGGCCCAAGAAATAGCGCTGGTAGAGGCGTTCCAAATCCCGAGATTTGAAGGAGTTGCGCAGGGTGGGGAAAATGACCCCTCGGTAGCTATAGCCCCCATTAAGAAAGAAATCCGAGTTGCTAGGGGCACAGTCAAGGTGCAGGAAGCCCAGGTCGCCCCCGCCTCCGCTGCCGCTGGCACTGCCGCTCCCGCTGCGTTCCGGGAAGACTTTGGTGCCGCAGGTGCTGTGCGCTCGCTCTCCCGGGCCCAGCGAGTAGAGGGGCAGCGCCGAGTCGCCTGACAGCTGCGGCGCGTGGTGGTTGGGGCCGCCGCCCGCAGGGTCCGAGGCTTTGCCCGAGCCTCCACTCCCGCTGCCGCTGCCTCCCCGGTGCCCGTGAATGAAGCGCTGCTCCGTGATGTGTCGCACCGCCGTCTGCCACAGCAGCCGCTGCGGCCGGGAGGCGCTCCTGCCGTCGCCGGCCGGGGGCGTCGGGTGGATGGTGTAGAGTTCCTCGCTGCCTGTAAGGCAGCGCACATCGGAGAGCTCCATGGCTCTGGGCCGCAGGGAAGGAGGCCCAGAACCTTGGGGAGGCAGCCGGAGGAGGGGTTCCTAAAGACTCAAAGGCGGCCTGGTAGGAGCTTGGCAAGGATCCTTTTTATCCTAGGCTGCCCCGTTGCAGGAGCCCTGCGCTAGGGCTCCCTGTAGGTCGGGTCATACTGTGCCCAGGGGCAAAGGGCACCTGGAAGATCGCGGCGGACCTCGGCGTCCTTGCGTGCTGCTCTCCCGCCAGCCGGCGCAGCTTGGGTACGCAGCGGCAGTGGCTATTTGTCCTCAGGAGCCGCAGCGCTGTGAGCCACGCAGCCCCTTCCTGGGCTCAGGCTCCTTGGTTGATTCTAGGCTCAGCGTTTTGGCGCAGCCTTTGCTCTCCAAGAGACGCCTAAGCGCCTGGGCGCCGTGCTTCTGCTGCGCGTCGGGCGGGTCCTGGCTGCTGCACTGGGCTTTGGACGCCCACTGCTCCGCGGCTGCAGGGGGCCTGGCCGGCGGTGACCGGCGGCAGCGATGGGTGCGAAGTTAGCAGATGTGGCTGGAATCATCGCCCTTCGGAGAACTCCATTGCGCCGGGATGGGGAGCAGGGGCGGAGCTGGGGGCGGGGGCAAAGAAGGAGGAGGAGGGGGTCACGGTGAGGTGGCGGGGCGCCCCGCGACAGGGTTGGAGAGGTGGTAGCCTCGGCGCTAACAATTCACCAAATAGTTAATTTGGAGGAAGGGGTATGCTGAGGCTCCCTCCTAGGCTCTTTCCTAGTTCGGGAGCAAGGACTGACAGCGCAGCGCTGGCTCTGGCCAGAAGCATCCCTCCCGGAGGGGGTGTGGGGACTCTCGCTCCAGGGTCCCAGCCTGAGCTATAAGACGAGGTCAACGCTTTCAGCTGTGCTTTCGAAGGGTCGCAGCACACAGTTCTCATCCCCTTTATTTCGTTCTTTGGAGTCCATTTGGCTCGGAGCTAGGAGGATCAGGAGAGGCGGGGGAAGGAAAAAGTGGTGAGGGCTCCAAAGCCAAGAGCTCCGAGAACGAAGAGAAGCCGCCGGTGCGGATATCTGAGGCTGAGAACCGAAGCTTGGCGGATGAGGCGAAGGTTTGGAGGAGAAGGGAGGCCCGAGGCCGCGTGGAAGTCGACAGAGACGCCTCTGGATCTAGGGAAGCGCCGCCGCGTGCCACCCTGGAGCTCTGAAACGCACCGCGGGCGCCAGGCGACTGGGAGAAATTTGGAGACCTGTCAGAGTGGTCAGACACCCGCGGTGACTTAAACCCGCCCCCGCGCCAAGCCACGCCCCCGGAACCGGGCCGGGGGTGGCGGAGGGACCTGCCATCCAGATCTGGCCAGGACGCCCCAGGTCTTGTAGGCAGAGGCACGCGCGGGCCGGCGTGGGAGAGGACCACTGAGGGCTAGGGCCGGCGGGCGCCCCCGGCCTTCCCTGGGCGCACTGCGATC
This sequence comes from Homo sapiens, assembly GCF_000001405.40. Lineage (NCBI taxonomy): Eukaryota > Metazoa > Chordata > Mammalia > Primates > Hominidae > Homo > Homo sapiens. The sequence continues at coordinate 131,041,775 of NC_000008.11, forward strand.
CAGCGTTCCAGCTGGCCGCGCCAGCCGGTTCCTCCGCTGTTCTTTTTTAGGCATTGGCTCTTGTCCTCTGCAGGTGCGGAGCCAGGACTCGTAGGCCGCTTTGCGCACGGACTCGGAGAGCCCAGCGCGACGGAATACAGGGTTTCCTTTTCGCCCTTCCTACCCGTGCGTCTTTTGGCAAAGCCAACTTTCGGGCTAAACGCAAAATCCCCCAAGAGGCCGCAATCATAGAGGCAGTCAGTTTCCTACAGGAGCCTCTTTACTACCTCGATCCGAAGGGGGTGGAGGGTACGGGACATCAAAATGGGGACGTCCCCTGCCTGCCTCGCACACTAAGTTTCTCCGCTTACAATAGGGTCGAGGAGGCGGACGTGGAGAAAGGCATGTCCAGGGGCCCCGCCTCGCCCTAGCCCAGGTTTCCCGCCCGCCCAGACTCAGCCGAGCGCTAGCGGACAAAGCCTGCGGCGGAGCTTGCGGCGGACCAAGTCGCTGAGCGGTGGGAGCTTAGTGCCGGTGCTAATGACAGATGAGCCGCGTCCCGGGGTGCAGGGTCTGCAGGGCAAACGCGGCCGCCGCAGTCCCGCAGCCGGATGCAGGTGGAGGAGCGGTGGTGGTCACCACCTCCTCCACCAAGACTGCGGCTGCAGCCAGTGGAGCCCGGGCCCAGAGCACAGTCAGCTGATGGCCAATGACGTCAGGCCCTGGGCGCGTTCGCGGCTCCCCGTGGCGTCCCATGAAAGCCCAAATGACCGCCTTGCCTTGCCGCCCCCTCAGTCCCTCCTGAGCAAGAAGAGAAGCTCCCTTCCCTCCTGCCTGTCCTAAGGAAAAATAATTTCGATACCCCCACCCCCAACCACATACACTGTCTCCAGGGTTATTTCTGTCGGCCGTGTCCCAGAAACGCGGGGTTTAATTCTTTGCTTTTTAATTCCTGTTTTTCTCCCCACGCATTTCGGCTTCGGGTTAAACCCAAAACGGGCCACCTGCCTTGCACACAGAATTCCAGAAGGAAGAGAAAAGAATCCTCTAATATTCCCCCCAATCCCTAACCAGTAGATTTCTAGAATTTCGTTCACTCCCTGGAAAAGACTTCTTTAATTTCAATCCTTTTAAGTTGTATTCTACCATCCCCCAAGAAAGCCAAAATGAAACGCTCAACTTTAAATAGATAGACGGCTGATTCTATTTTTAACTCTGCTTGTAGATGAATTAATCTGTTAACATTAAAGATCTCCCAGAATAGTTGGCCTATCCCATGGGCCTGGAAGTTAAGGGTAAAAGTACCTCAAACAACTCTGTGTTACAGTTATCTAGCCCTTAATGAAATAACCCCTGCAATTACATTCCTGTCAAAGAAATGCTTCTTGCTTCTTCCTTCCTGAATTTCTTGGACTCATCAGCCTCACCCTACTGGAACTCGGGTGGGTAATGAGTCTCTTAACTTGAGATGGGAACCCAGACGGAGCACAGCTGGGAAGGCTGTCCTATAGACCCTATGCCAGAATGTGTGGGTAGCTGTGTCCTCTCTCTGCGGGCATTGCCCGAAGGCATCTGTGCTAATGACCATATTAGCAAACTTGGCAATGGAAGGCATCACTTTATTTTCTCACTTCTTTCTCCTTGGGGCCCTAAGGACTCAGCCTGAATAAATGAGGGGCTGGATGCAGTTGGAACTTTCCTATGAAAATCTTTCTCCAACCTGGACAGCTCCCAGGATGATTTATTCAGCAGCAAAAGGAGGCGGGCCAAGGAGGGGGAGATTGGACCCAATCAGATAAAATGACTCAGGCTGATGAATGAACACAGCATGCTACAGAAAGAAACTCAATTTCATGAACTCAGAGGTTGAAGCTAATGCATCAGGGAGAACACATCACATCTGTTCAACTGACTGAACGCTTCATGGCTGGAAGGGTGTTACCGTAGATTGTTTTAAAATAAGAACATGGATGACACAATTAGATTCCGATGTTCTTCTTGTTGGGATGACATAGTGCCATTCAGCCCAAGAAGCATTCTGTTTTTGAATGAAAGCATTGGTTCAACACAAATATTTAGAAGCTTTTTGGAATATGCAAACCACCAAATGATTAAGAGCCACTTAAAACAAGAGAAGTCGGCTGGGGGCGGTGGCTCACGCCTGTAATCCCAGCACTTCGGGAGGCCGAGGCCGGCGGATCACGAGGTCAAGAGAATGAGACCATCCTGGCCAACATGGTGAAACCCCCTATCTCCTAAAAATACAAAAACTAGCTAGGTGTGGTGGCGCATGCCTGTAATCCCAGCTACTCGGGAGGCTGAGGTAAGAGAATCACCTCAACTCGGGAGGCAGAGGTTGCAGTGAACCGAGATCACGCCATTGCACTCCAGCGTGGGCGACAAGAGTGAAACTCCGTCAAAGAAAGAAAGAAGAAGAAAGAAAGAAAGAAAGAGAGTGAAAGGGAAAAAATCAAGAGAAGTCCACACATTCTTTTGAAGCTATGATAGATCTTTCATAATGCTTTCATTTATCCTCTGCATATTTATTAAGGCAGGGTCTCTACTGTGATCTGAGGACAGCGTTTTAACAATTCAGTGTCTTTTTGCACACAACTTCCTCCTCTTCCCCTGTATTCCTCCCTGAATATACTTGCTTACCTCATCCTTCAAAGTTTGAGCAATGTTGTCTCTGCATGAGAACTTTCCTGATATCCCCATTGAGAACTAATGACTTCCTTCTCTGTTTAATAGTCTGTTATGGGTACTTTTGGTATGGTCCCTTATACAGGGACTAGCCATTGGCGTATGTATCTGTCACTCCTCCCCATGAAACAGTGAGCTCCCTGAAGCGAAAAACTGATTTTCCTTGGGCCCATATCCCCCAACTTCTAGCAACTATAATTTACATAGAGATAATAAGATAATAATAATGTTAGCCACGATTTAGCACCTACTAGGTGTCAGCTCTTTCTTAAGATTTTTTACAAATGTCCCATTTAATCATTCTAGTAATTATGTGAATTAGGTCCTTCTCTATTTTATTATTTCCATCTTACTGACTAGGATACTGAGTACCGAGGCTTCATGTGGCTAAGTACCTTGCCCAGGATCTCGTGGTTAAATCCAATGCTTAAAGTTGTATTGCAGGAATCTGACATCCACATGCTCAATAAAAATGCTGTCATAAGCAGTCAGTAACTGATAGAAATAAAAATGTCACTTTTTTGAGTTTTCAAAGGCAAAGTAAATAAGAAACTTCTGAGACATTTAGACTTTGAGAAATCTGTTAGGATGAGCCTGAATCGCAGATGAAGGTAGTAGAACTCTTTATTGTTTGAATGGAGGGCCTACTAATTCTGTTTCTGTTCAAAACTTAGACACTATTTCTATAATTTATAGAAAAAAACCAGACTTTCACAATTGAGTTTAACGAAAATACTTAACTTGGTGTAATTTATTTCATTTAGGTAGTTGTGGTGGTGGGGGAAATATCCTATTGTTTCACTGGAAAATAACTTATTTGTTTAGTGATGTTGCTACATACCATTGGCCACATTTACAGTAGATATGTTTAAGAAAAGGAAATTTGTTTTCTCCCTTGATGTACCTTTGACTTCCTAGGTTGATTATATTAATATATGAATTTAAATTTTTTAAGAGCCATAACCTTTGCTAAGTACGCATAGAAACTCTGACACTTACTGAAGACATATAAAATATTCACATGTAAAAGAAAAGATGGACTCAGTTCAGGAAGGGGACATGAAACCAGAGAGATCCTGTTTCCAAAGGGAAGGAGGGTGTTTGTGACAAAGCAGCTTCCAAAGTAGAAAATCCTTAAAGGAATATTACATGCCTGCCTTGCCTGGAAGAATTACTCTTAGGAAATATCAAAAGTATCAGCTGCTTTGACAGCACTCCAGGAAATGTCAATGTCTTAGATACATAGGGATCATCTTTGAAAAGTTCTATGAATTAAAAACTTTGCACTCACATTTCATCTGGAATGCAGTACAATACACAATAGAATACAGAAGATGTCTATGTTACTTTTATCTTATATTTTCTCTGCCTTGAAAAATACAGGAAAAAATGTTTGTAGACATTTTGGATCTTCACAGGAACTAGTTTAAATTAGATTCTGGTGCCTGGAAGGAGAAGAGTGTCTCATCAGTGGGAAAACAATTCTGAGACAAGAAAGGCATAGCTCATCCATCAGGCAGTCAGAAGAAGAAAACTGCAAGGGAGATAGACTTAAATATTTTCTTCTTAAAAGATGATTCTCTTGATGCTGGTTTAACTAGAGGATGAGCTAACTATGACATCAGTAATTAAGACTTTACTTACTGAAGTCCTAAAATAAAAAGAACACATACACACACACACACACACACACACTCACACACACCATGAGAGAAATGATTAGTAACATAAGGTAATGAAAAGCAGTAATGAAAGCAAAGAAAAAGTGGGTTTCCAGCTAGTGCAGTCGTGTCACTAAATCTTCTTTTGGCTATGCATTTTAATTTGGTACCTATATGAAGTCTTGGGGCAAAAAATGAGCAGACCCATTGGGAAATAAAGCAGATAATTTTCCCTTATCCTCTTAAAAAAATCTATCTGATGGCTATTTTAATATCACAGACTTATTTTTAAAAATATTTCACTCTATTACTGTTTTCTCCATGTGGGCTATTGATGTTTATGTTGACTAAGCTAGCACTTTTTAGACATTATAATGCAAATACATTTATATAGTCGCATTGATATCATTGCATATATTAATCTTAATTCATTAATTTAGCATAAAAAATATCTCTTTCCCTTTCAGAATCAATGTATTTCTGTTTCTGCACAGTTGGTGAGACATTTAACCCACATCCTTCTTGGGACTTTCACCTGTACCCTCCTAATCCCAGGAAGATGCTATAGTTCTAGGTGCTAATGCAGTGCCAGATGTGTGTGGGGGATGCCCTCATGCATGTGCTTGTCTTCTGGTCTTTGACTGTTCATTCACAAAGGTCACCACTTAGGCTTTTGTTGGTCCTACCCATGTGGTCCTATCCTGTGGGTCCAGCAGCATTCTGCATTGCTTTTGTTCAACAAGTAGACAGGTGAACCTTTGTACAGGTCTGCCCATGATCCCATTTACTTGACATAGCACATTGTCCTTCTACTTTAGGATGCTGTGCCTTCTCCAGGATATACCAAAAAGCCATTATTTAGGATGCACAGACTCTTCACCCAACCCCACCAGTTGCAGAGAACTGCTTTCTAGTCTAGTGAGAATCCTTGTTTTTTGAGCATATCTGACTTTTCCTGCCTTCTTCTGTTTTTCCTTGTTCCTTGTAACTTCTTGTACCTCTAAAACCTTTAAGTTTTCTTTTGGGATACATTTTTGGAAAAATAAAAACTGGAAAGATGGAAAGAATAGTTTGTCTCTGCTACTCCTTTCTTGAAGCGATTGACAGAAAAATTGAATGAGGGAATGGAAAAAGGGGCATACACAGTAAATCTCATGAATTAATACTTGAAAGTGGCATCCACATATACTAAATGTATGAAATGTATGAAATCCTCCTAGATCAGTTTTTTTCCACACTGTGGGTTCCAACTGACTTGTGGGGTTGTGAAATCAATGTAGTTGGTCAAACTGGTATTTAAAAAATAAATAAGTAAAACAGTAAAACACAACCATAGTGATAAATATTGTTTTGTTATGGTATACAAAGGCATTTTTTGGTATAAAACAAATCCTTTCCCCCTGAAGTGAAGAACTGAAGAAAATTAGACAAAATTTCAGAAAAATACTTTATCAAAATCTTTGGACTTACGATGTTTTATCTCTGTGACCTTGAACAAGTTATGTAACCGTTTTGAACTTTCACAATATGGTGGAAAAGTAAAATTTTGCCAAATTTTATGTAGATCAAAGGTAATTCATGCAAAGCACTTGGTACAATGCATCACACGTGGGAAACATTCAGTATGTATGCACTCACCTCATTCCACATTCTCAATAAACAAGACTTACTGAATACCAACAAAATAGTTCTCAACTTTCTTCTGTTTCACTCCACTGCTGCACTCCTGTTTTCGTATTTTGACCACCATCCTCCCTCACCTAGATGATTTCAGTAGACACTGAATCTCTTAGCTGTAGTTTGCCTCCTTTCTTCAGCTGCTGTGATCAGTCTAAATTAAAAATATTATCATGCTACTCTTTTTCTTAATAGTGGAAAAAATACACATAAGACGTAAGACTGACCCTCCCACCAATTTCCAAGTGTGCAGTTCAATATTGTCCACAACATCCACATTGTTGTACAACAGGTCCCCAGAATCCCCTCTCAGCCCTGCATGATTGAAATTTTATACCTATCAAAGAACAACCCTCCCCTCTCCCTCCACCTAGCTGATCATGTCACTCTCTTGCTTTGAATTTTGTGATAACTCTGCTTTACCCTCAAATGCCTTAAAATAGAAGGCAAACATCTCCAGGACTGGCTATTTTTTCTCTCTCCAGCCCCATCTTTCACTTCTACCCCTCTTGCTCTTAGTGCTTCAACCACACTTAACTTCATTTAGTTCCCCAAAGGTGTCCTGTTCTCTTACTGTTTCCTTTGCCTGGAGTCTTTGTATGCATCTTTTTGCTCTTAGCATGGATGTCACCTTCTCTAAGAAACTTCCCTTAGCCTCCTATGTCTGTTAGATGTCTGTATAAGTTAGAAATGCTTTCGGCTACCGTTAATGAGAAAACTATAAGAGTGGCTTAAACAAATAGGAGTTTGTTTTTCTTACACAGCAAGAAGCATGGATGTAGGGATTTGCTGGTGGATCAGGATTCCAGTTATATCGGGGGCTTTGTGCTGGCAACTCAAGAGTAACTTTGACCTTTCCTCATGGTCACAAGATGGTTGCAACTTCTCTAAACATTCATTCACTCTCACAAGGGTAGTAATACAGCCAGGAGTTCCCCCTGAATACCTCCTTCTTATCAGAAGTGAAAAATGTCTTTCCAGAAACTCGTAGAAGACTTCCACATATATCTCATTGGCCAGAACTGTAACCTATGCTTACCCTTAAGCCGGGTCCTGAGGCAGCCTTCCTAGGGATCAAGAGATCTGATAAAAAGAAGCATGTCATGGCTGATTCTTGGACAGGCAACAGGTTTATTTTTATATTACCTACTAGCTCTTTTCTTAGCAAACTGTACATCTCTATCTCAGCCCTAACAAGTCACCTCCCCTTTGTTTGTCTTAGTAGCCAAACTGCAAGATGATTCCCAATGATCCCATACCTCTTGGTATTCATGCCCATATATATTTGCCTTCAATGATGTGTTCAAATTAGTCTGTGTTGCTGACATAGTGCAACATAAATGGTGGCACATTACTCCCAGTGCTAAGTCATAAGGACATTGTGGCATATGATTTACTCTTCTTGGAGTGCCCACTTTTGGGGAAGCCAGCCACCATGTTGGATATTTAGGTTGCCACATGTAGCAAGAAACTGAGGCCCCATACCGATAGCCAGCAAATAACTGATACTTCCTTCCAGCAGCCATTGGTCAATTATCTTGAAAGTAAATTTTCCAGTCACAGTCAAGCCTTCAGTTGACTGCAGTTCTAGCTAAGAGCTTGACTGAAACATCATGAGACATGCTGAGCCAAAATCACCCAATTAACCTACTCTTAAATTTCTGACCCATATACACGGTGAGATAATTAATGTTTATTGTTTTAAGCCCCTAAGTTTTGGGGCTATTTGTTATGCAGCAATAGGTAGCTAATATACTATCTGACTGTCCAGTAGGTTTTAAGTTTTTTTGAAAGAAAAAGCAAAAAAAAAAAGGCTTGTAATGGTGGCTCATGCCTGTAATCCCAGCATTTTGGGAGGCCAAAGCAGGAGGATTGCTTGAACTCAGGAGTCTGAGCAACATGACAAAATCCCATTGCTACAAAAAATAAAAAAATTAGCCAGGTGTAGTGGCATGCACCTGTAATACCAGTTACTCAGGAGGCTGAGGTAGAAGGATTGCTTAACCCAAGGAGGTTGAGAAGGCTGCAGTGAGCCATAATCACGCCACTGTACTCCAGCCTAGGTGACAGGGTAAGAATCTGTCTCAAACAAACAAACAAAACAGCAAAACAAGACCAAAGTAATGAGCTTCAGTTACACACTAGTAAGAATGACAGAAAAGCATTTCTTTGTTTTTAATTCATTATACATAGAGATAATTATATAATTCATTATAAAGAAGAAGTGTTGTGTGGTTTCAATGATCATTTTTATTTTAATAGAGTAATGAGTGACTTGGGGCAGGAGCCAGCATGTAAAAGTGATAATATCACTTCTTTGTTTAAAATTGTTAACTTGCTTCCTGTTGGAGTTAGTAATATTTTACACTTACAATTAATTAATTACTTAATGGTCAAATGAATGTTCATTAATTAGTTTACGTGCACATGGATGCATGCTGTGGATATAGCAGGAGAAGAGATTTTCACCAGACTTTGAATGATAAATAGGCACTAAAGTGCAAGTATTAGCTAAGAAGCAAAGGTGGAAAGGACAAGCTGCCCTTCACTGTTGCTTGGTGTTCTCTTTGTCTAGAGTGCTTTTCTGGATCATTGCTTAGCTGCCATTTTGTGGTGTCACTCAGAAGTCACCTCAGAGAAGTGATCCTTGACCATTGCATTTAAGTTCCTTGCTCCCAGAATTTTCCAAACAAACTTGTTTATTTCCTGTATAGCACATCTTACAATCTGCAATTATCTTACTTAGTTGTTAGCTTTTTTTTTTTTTTTGTCTTCTCTGATTAGAGTGTAAGCTCTTCCAAGACAAGCACCATTCTCTCTTATTTGTCATTCTTTCCCCAGTGCTTGGTAACAGCAGAAGCTCAGTAAACAGTTTTTAATGAATGAGTAAAAAATGACCCAGTCTTGATAACTAACTAACTGAATAATGACTCTGATGTTGGCTAACCATAGAAGCAGAGTTAGCCAGATTAGGAGAAAATTTATACTTATGAGCTAGACCAGAGCAAACAAAATAAGGAAATGAGAGCCTACATCATTGGGAATGTTTCACTGGGCTCTAATTGAGATGCTTCTTCATTGAGTGATCCCTCCTAAGGAAAATGAGACCAGGAATTTAGGCACCTACTATTTATCAGGTGTAGTGCTAGTACTTCACCTGCATTATCTGATTTTATCCTTATAAGAACCGTAGGAAGATACTTTGAATGCATTTGGATGTATCTGGTGTAACTTCCCCACTTAGATCTGAGACGGTTGGACTCTAACTTTTCTCCAAAGACCAGGAGACTATTGACTAGTAACATTTTTGGCTACAAGTTGCAGTATATCTGAATAACTAGCTTAACTAGATGGTTGTTTAGTTTTCTCTAGGTAGGTGGTTGCAAGCAGAGTCAGAGTCTCGAAGGTACTTGGGTGGTAATTTTTATGGGTCTCGTGGTCTTAAGATGGCTACTGTAGGACAAGTCATCACATCTGCATTCAAGTCAGGAAGGAAGGGATGAGGGCAGCACTCTGCCTTCCAGCCTTGAACATCTATCCTGTTTTCATTAGGAAGTAAAAGCTTTTCCCCAAGCCACCTCCTTGGCAGACTCTACTTAGATGTCATTGGAACTGGAACACATGACCATGTAAAACTGCAAGGGAAGCTGCAGAAATGAGAAACAGGATTGATGTGACTGTTTTACCCTTCCAGGTTGACAATGGTGATAAGAGAAATCTATTTGGGACTATAGTTCAGGCAAAGAGAAGAACCAATGTTCAGGTAACAGTTAAACTGTGTTGCAAAAAATCCAGAAACATAAAAACCAAAAACACCCTTTAATTTTCCTTATAGCTCAGTCAAATTATGTATGTGACTGCAAACAGATTTAAAGTGCTCAAATATTTGAAACTTTTCAAAGTGAGCCATATCTATTTTCCTGTGTTGACAATTAATACAACATATAAAATAGGAGATATCAAATAGGAGAGGCTGGTCCCTTTCTTTTCTCCTGGCCTGCTCAGTCTCCCATTTTATTGTATATTCCTCACTAGCAAATATATTAAAAGAAAGATAGCAACAAACACAAACACCATTATCTCTTTGCCCCTTCAATTACTATTCTTGTGCTTTAGTCTTTTAAAAACTTGCCAGTCTTGCTAGACATCCAGAGAACTCTCAGATCTACTGTGTTCGTGTTAACTTTAGTTGGTAAAAGAAGAGGTGGAGGAAAAGAGGTAGCCTGGAAGAGGAGAGAAAAGGAGAGAGGAAAGAAATAAAGAAAGGAAGAGGGAAAGAGAAGGAGAGAGGAAGGGGATGGGGGGATAAAAGTTGGAGCAGGTTTTGAAAAGACCAAGATATAAAAGGGGAAGAGGAAGGAAGAACGGAAGAAACGACTGAGAAAGGCAAAAGAGTGAGAAGGAAGGATGGTACCGTGCAGTTACTCAGTGTGAACCCTGCGCTTTCAAATTCTTTATTGTATTTAATCTGCACAGCAATCCTGCAGGGTAGATATCATTCTTCCCACAATACAGTTGAGGAAAGCAAGCCTCGTGAAGCTCACGCAGTGATTTATTTGGATGATTCAAGAATGGGATCCAGTAACAGCAGAAGCTTTAAAGTTGGTGTGCCTGCCTCCAAATCCCAGGAGAAAGGACACAAGAGACACCAGAAGGTCTGATGAAAACGAATTGAAGGCTGGGAGGAGTCAGGCCAGGAAAGAAAGAATAGGGAGGGATGAGACAGAATAGCCCAAGGTCTGATCCAAGGGACATCTGGTGCTCTTTTGTCTTCATTAAAGCTGTGGTGATTCTTTAATGACTGTGCATACTATTCATCAGATTGATTAATTAGGTTTGAGTGTACTTCTTACAAATCCCAGGAAGGTTGCCAATAAATAGAGTTCATGGCATAGAACCCAGAAGGAGGTCATCTAAGACAGAGCAGAGTTCTTTGGCTTGGTGAGGCTGATGGATCCAAGGCAGGATTTGGTCATGAGTTCTCCATGTGCCCAGAGCCTAAGTTCCCAACTAAACTTATCTAAGAGTTTCCATGGTAAGATGACTTGGAGTGAAGTGATGGCCCTGAATGGGGGTTCCAACATAGGAAGCCCCTTTTCTCCAGGCCCTCAAATTGACAAAGGACCACAAATTTACCATTTGACATTATATCTCCATGAGGTTGTCTAAAAAAATATTCTGTTGATGTGATCTGGTAAAATACAGGAAGTGCCCAGATGAAAACTTGAAGAATGGTGGTGAACTGCTTGGGAGAGATTCCAGGAGAGAATTGCAAATGCCATTTAAGAAATGAAAGGATGCAGCACCCTTGATGGTACAGATAGAAGATGATATTTTCTGGAAAATATGGATACCGATGTTGAGAAGTTATTCTAAAGAGGATCACTTCAAAAGTTTCAGGACTGTATCTCCCAATTTCTCTTACATTTTCCTTTTTACATGTATCCAAGTGTAATATATGATAAAATCTTTATTTGGTTATACCTAAAAAGCTTTTAAAATATGTAGAAAGTTAAAATTCAAAGTGATAAAACATTGCTTCATAGTTTAGTAGAATTTTCAATTTTTTAGTAATGTATAAAATAGTGATGTCGTATTCTAAGAAATACAGTATGTTGTGGTTATAACTAAGCCTTAATTTATGGAAGGAAGAAATGTGGAGACTCATACCCTTTAATTTGATAGGTGAGGTAACAGAGAAGATAAAAGAGTTTCCCACAATCATGACACCAGCTAGAGGCAAAGTTAACACTGGAACCCAGGTCTACTCATTGCAGGACGGGTAAATTGATGTGAGTGGGGTGAACACAGTCGAGGAGTGAGATCTGGCTTTGAATCCTGACTTTTCCCCTTGACAGCTCTGTGACCTTGGCCATGTCACTTAACTTCCCTCCGCTTCAATGTCTTCATCTACAAACCAGGAATAATAGTATATATCACAAAATGTATCTAAGATACAAATGAGACACTGTGAAGTCCTTGGCACAGGTAAGCATTCATTCTCTAGTGGATCAGAGTGCTACTATGAAGCTGCTAACAGTTTCTTTTTAGGCATTATTTTTTTGGGGAAAGGCTAACTTTTTCCTTCCTTCCTTCTTTCCTCTTTCCCTCCTTCCTTCCTTCCCTCCCTCTCTCCCTTTTTTCTTTCTTCTCCCCATTCTATCCCTCCATCTGTTCCTTTCTCTGTATGTTATTCAGAAAAAATACTTTATACAGACTTGTTTCTTCAAAGGTAAAGCAAACTCCTACCTATACTAGAATGGGGGAGTTTAGGGGGGCAAGATGGATTTGTGTAACAATGTCAAGCTGAATCTTTGCAAGAATATTCCGGTCTGGCTGGAGAAGGATACTAGTACTAGTAAATATGGTATCTGTGTGTGCATGTGTGTATAAGAGAGAGAAGAGAAGAGAAGAGAAGAGAAGAGAAGAGAAGAGAAGAGAAGAGAAGAGAAGAGAAAGAGAGAGAGAGAGGGACAGAGAATTAAGTAGAATTATGCATGCATCTAGATGTCTAATGTGTATAAGGTGTTGCTACTATTATTATTATGGCCCTGTTGCTATTAATTATCAGAGGTACAGAAAATGAAATTCAGAAATATTAAGTGACTTGTCCAATATCACTAACTATCTACTGGTGGGTCCTAGATTTTACTTTAGATAAAGGTGAAGAAGCTGCTACACAGAAATGGCCCTTAATGCTAACTCTAATATAATATAACTGCCAAGAGAGCAGAGCACCAGCCAAATCATCTCTATCCTGAACACCTGGTAGATGGCACTGATGACTATAGGACTTTAAGCTCAGGTGACATTTTGGAATGAATTGTTGCATATTGTGTGTATTCCTGCTCACTTGTTTGTGTGTGTGTATGTATGCACACATGTGCAGACTTTTCTTCTCCATCACAGTTAGCTCTTGGAATGTATTTGTTCTCATGAAAATTCTAGCTAACTGGGCAACTGAGCACTTTATGGGAAATCAGAAAATGAGCCTTCGAGAATTGTTTAGCCAGATCTTTAAACAAGAGAAAAAGACTGACAAAGTTGGGGCAAGCTGCAAATTAAAACTAGAACACCACACAAGCTCTGGCACTTCATTCATTAGCGTCCAAAGCGTTTGTTCACTGTCACCAATTAGTCACTAAAAGACTGAATGAGTCCTGTATACACCACAGCTTACTATCACCTTAGAAAGCATTTAAGCCAAATATCCAGATAAAAACTGCGGTTGGTTAAGTGTTTTAAAGTGCACAGAGTTCTTCAGTATTCTTTTTGTTCTTTATTCATTCATTTATTCACCACTCATTTCACTATTCAAACATAACAAAGAAACCAATTAGAACTATGACTACCACTAAAGTACTTTCTGAAGAAGGAGACTCCTGAACATTGGGGGGCTCTTGTTCTACTGGGTACTTTGCCCATTTGAATGTTTAAGTTTAAGGGTTAGAGAATTGAAGGAGTTCTGTATAAATTTGTGGCTCGAGGAATTTTGGAGGTCAGAGTAAAGACTAAAATAATTGGGGACTAAAATGGTTTCTAGGCAAGTGAGCCCTTGGTCCTTGGTCTTCATTAGATTTCCCCAAACACACAAAATATTCAATATGGGTAAACTTAAAGAAATTTGTTAAAGTTGGAGTTTAATTTTTGCATCTAAATCTGTTACATATAATAGAGATGATACATGTGGATCCTATGGCTGAGGGTCAGAGGGACTACAGGTGTATAAGCCTCTGGGAATTAATTGAGAGTGAGGGAGATGTGCTATTTATTATATCTGTTCACAAACATTATTTTGTTCTGGAAACATGGTAAGATTTAGCTTCTCCCTTCTCTGAAATTTGGCGTGGCCCTGTTTCTTTGAAGGGCAATGAAATATGAACAGAAGCATCATGTGTCACCTCCTGGAGAAGCTGTGTGAGCCTGTGTGCAGCGGTCCATCTTCCCTTGCCACTGTGGCACTGTCTGAGGAATCAGGCATCAAAAAGGAGCCTCTGTCTTCTTCAGTCCCTGAGAACAACAAAGAGCAGATTCCCCCTCAAACCTTGGTTAAACAGGTTACATGAGTAAGAAATAATTCTTATTTGTATCAAGCCATTGAGATTTGTTATTATGAAATGGCCCATCTTACCTTGACTAACTCTGGAAATTTGAACCTCACAGTGGGTGTCAGTTATGTCCACATCTTCAGCATCGAGGGACTCCAGTTGACATGAGGGTTGCTCAATAAACATTCTTGGACCCCTGCTTGTTCCAGGTTATGTTGGAGTCTGGCGTGAAAATATGGCATTGTGTCTGTTCTCAAGGGGTGTATAATAGACAGGGTGAGACAAACCATAGTGGCTATACACTGAGCATGCTGTCCCTGGTGCTTAGTGTGTCGTTGGACTACAGGCAAAGGGCATAGTCACCACACTGGAAATATCAGGGAAGTTCCCATCGAGAAGTATTGCTTGAGCTAGTTGATACTCAAGTGAAAGTGAGATAAGGCAAGAAGAAGGTAGAGGGTATTTCAATTAAAGGGAACACCAGTGAGAGGCACAGACTCACTGCACTTCACTACAGCTGCTCAACAAGGATACAACATGTCTTTGCACTCCCTCGAGCGAGTCGAGATTTTCCTCTCATTTCTTAGGCTATGCCCTTGATGCATTTACTGAACCATACATGCCTTTCAAGTACCCATGCTGTATGTAAAGCCTATGGTGGTAAATAAAACAAACAATAGTCTCACTTTCATGGAGCTTATATTCTAAAGGAGAAAGATGGGGGGAAACATATAAAGTAAAGAGGAAAATCTTGACTCATTTGAGGGACTGCAAAGATGTATTGTATTTGTGTCAAGCAGCTGAAGTGACGTTAGAGAGGTAGCCATGCCTCCTGGGTGGCTGTGTTAGGGACTTTGAATTTCATTTGGCATATCATGGGATGGCACTGAAAGACTTTTGTTGTGTGGAATCCTCACAGCCATCCTGTGAAGCAAGTATTATTCCCTAATATACAGGAATACACGGAGGTTCAAAGAGGGCAAATGAAATGTGTTGACTCCACACAAGTACTAAGCAGTCAGTAGAGACTGGAATATCGTCCTCTAACTTTTCAATTTCTCATCTCTTTTTTTCTCTTTCTTGGGACACTATGGCCATGATGACCTATATTCCTCCTGCCACTCTTCAAGGTCTCCTATTAGGACTTTAGTGCTTGCCCTTGCCTGTGACTTTTCACGGGGTTCCAAGATCTTCCACAGACTGCCTTTATTTTGTCATGTGATCTCCCTAAAATGACCTCTCTGGAAGCACCCTAGCTGAAGTGCCTCCTCACCCCAATTCTCCCCGTTATCCTTGTTTCCAGTTATATATTTTTCTTCATAAAGCTTATTGCCTTCTGAAAGTTTTCTTTGTCACATATTTAGATGTTTTCCCCCTGTCTTTCTCCTTTAGAATATAAGCTCCATGAAAGCTAGACGGTTGTTTGTTTTTATTGACCTCCATAGACTTTGCACCCAGAGTAGGTACTTGAAAGGAATGAATGGTCTGATAAGTGGGTCAAGGGCATAGCCTAAGAAAACAGCCTTATACATGATGCCAAAGGTTAGGGTGAAGCTGGTATGAACCAAGAAAGATATCTGCGGATGATTTTATCTGTATTGGGGCCTTTTCAATTCCTATATGTCACACAGCTTTAGTATTGAAAAGTTCAAGCTAAGAAGTTCCCTTTCAAAAACAAAAGCAAAACAAGCAAGGAAAATAAATCCACCAAAACAATCATGGAAGGTTATGTGTTCAGCAAAGATCCTTCTTTGAATCTATCAGATATCTACTGAGCACTGAATACACACCAAACAACCCTGAGGATGCAAAGATAAATAATGCCATCTCTCTCTCTGCTCATGTTACCTAAAGCTTGTACCATTTTATGCCATTATTTAATTTTCTTGAGTTTCAATGATAATCCAAATAACATTTTATATTGGGGAAAATGTACAGTTTCTGAGAAAAATATTCCAAATCAATTGAGTGACTTGTGGAAATAAATCAAACATAACATTCTAGAATTTTAAAGTTATGCAGCCTCATATATAATTTCAGCTCATTTGTTTGGTTTATAAATGAAAAACTGGATCACAGATCTTAAGTGACATGCCTAAAGCCATGTGTAAGATTGAGAAATTTAGTTTTTTCTGTTTTAGAGGTTTTCCTAGGCAGAAAATTAAGAATTTAAACAAGAAAGAAATTGGAGGAGATGTCTTCCAGGCAAAGAAATATATAATCGTTTTTAAGAGACTGATGACATTTGTAATGAATCATGATTTCCACTTGATAATTGCTCTACCAAACAAAAGCCACCAGTTGAATTATGTTGAACTCTTTATCATCTGACAAGAGCTGTGGAATATGAATGAGCTTTATGTCTACTAATCTGCTTCTGAGGTGTTACTTGGATGCAGTTGTACCTTAATTATTTCAACCTGCATATCTAATGTTCTGTTGACTCATGTTCACCTTTAAATTTAAAAGCTCAGATTTGTCCTTGATAAGTAAAATTTCCACACTACTTGGACAAGGGTTCAGGAGACAGAGCTGTATTCCACTGCATCACGGACAAGACCACTTGAAACACCAGGGCATATTGATTTGAATCTGATTACAATCCCTTCAGAATGCCAGCACACCTGCTGTGCTAATACTAAATTTGCAAGTATCTTATGAACATAGACTCTTGCCTTTCTCTTCACTGAGGCTGAAGAATGTTCCTCTAAGCCAGCATTTTCCAGACAGTGGTTGGAAGTGGGTGGCGAGGATGCCTTTGTGTTTTTATCCTGAGAAGATGATATTGATGAATCCCATTGTCTGTTGACTTCACCGACTCATAGGAGTTTTTAGGTGAAGAGTGGGGACTGATGGCTGAGGTCAAGTGAGGCCACTGCACGCAACGACCAGAATAAGCAATATCTGGCTATTCTTATTAGACTGTGAATTGTGAAACTTAGCTAGGGGAGCCTCAGTCATGAAGCACTATTCTGCCCTTTGTGGACCACATGTCTGCAGAGTGTAGGAAGTTTATGTTCCAGATGCCCTGGGAGCATGGCCTGTAGCCTAGGTTGTGGGAGTGGTGGAAAATCTGGAAGGCAGCTTCTTCAAGGACTAGAAGCCACAACTTCAGGGGCCAGCCCAGAGGCTCAGTCTTCACAATACTGGATCCTTCTGTTCTATCTGTGGTTGCTATGCTCTTCTAGTGATAGTTCTTTTATCTTCTTTCTGTCCAAACTAGCTGTAGAGGATAATCACTTTAGCAACTCACATGTTTTCAGATGAGAATTTCTTCATTGTTTTGAAATATTTTTTATAAAAATGGTTGATTGCATTTGAAATCTATTTACATTATGGCAAGAAATGTACTTATTACTTTCATCAACTAAAGGAGAAAAAGATCTTCTGGATTCTGTAAATTTAATTTCAGCTATTGCAAATATTGAAGGGTTTTAAAAATAGATTTACATTTTATTATCACCTACCTGAACAAAGGCAGTTTTCAGTTGTGGTAACCATTAAAAACTTTGAAAAGGGCTTCATCTAAAAATATCAATTAGAAATTGTATGTGGCCAATTCAAGCATAAAATCCAGTATAAAATAGAAGTTATCATAGAAGTAAGTTCAAGTTACCTATTACAATTTTGATGGCATTTTATTTGGATGTTTTATAGAAGTTTAATATTTAATATCCTCTGCATTACTTTGTATTTTGTCTGTTCTTATCATCATTATGTTTTATAAAGATTTCTTGAATTACTGGTATAATATGGAATAATAGTATGATATTTTATATTGTCATAAAAATCTTTTAGTATACTGTTTTGCACTATACTAAATAATACTTTTACAATTCCCTATTGTAATTTTAATAATTCTTGTTATAAGTGATTTATAGTTTGTTTTAACTGAAAACTCTCACTTATACAATAATCTGGTGATTGTTTTCTGTCTTTGTGAAGATGAGGATGAGTAAGCAGTGAGGTTGAGTCTTGCCTGCATTCATGCAAAATGTAACTGGTCACTCTCTTTTGCTTTCTGCTCTTGTGCTTTGCAGATCTGTGCAAAGCTTCTCAAGAATAGAGGACACTCCATCCAAACCAGAAAATTAAGATGTTGGTTATAATAAATATGATTTCCATTGTTATCATAATTATTTTAAGAAAATGAATAATCTCAGAAATCCATACAAGTACTCATTGTAAAATGTTATTAAACATTACAACAGAGGGAATGAGAAGATAATCCTTCTATGGGTAGAGGATGTTTTGCTTTGTGGAATACCTGGCTGATAGGAAAAAGTGCTTCATTGTCTCAGGAGAGAGTAGAAAAAGGTACATGATCCAGGAAACTATAAAGTAATGCACTCAGGAGAAAAATAATACCAGCGTATGCATAACTCACAGTTTTTAAGCCATATAAGGCTGGAGTAAAATTAAGGTTATTATAATAGCCTGCTATAACCATTCTCCAGTTTTGTCCCATTACTATTGTGAGACATTTTGCCATAGTCAGCCTCAAATCTGTCTGCATTTATTTTCAACTCCATCATCTCTTCTTCAGTACAAGCTAAGCTAGCTTCTTCATTGGTCTCCTTGCATTCTTCTGGTAGCTTCCTGTTGCTTTTATGGAAGCAATTCCATAAATTTGCCTGTATGGACTCCATGGCCTCCTTTGAGCCATCCTCTGTCTAGCTCTCCATCTTCACCTGGCCCTGAGCAACATCTTCAACATCTTTCTTTCTTTTCTTTTTGTTTTTTTTTTTGATGGAGTCTTGCTCTGTCACCCAGGCTACAGTGCAGTGCTGTGATCTTGGCTCACTGCAAGCTCTGTTTCATGGGTTCAAGCAATTCTCCAGCCTCAGCCTTTCAAGTAGCTGGGACTACAGGCATTCGCCACCGCGTCTGGCTAATTTTTGTATTTTTAGTAGACACAGGGTTTTGCCATGTTGGCCAGGCTGGTCTCGAACTCCTGAACTCAGGTGATCTGCCCATCTCGGCCTCCCAAAGTGCTGGGATTACAAGCGTGAGCCACCACACCCAGCCAGCAACTTCTTTCATCACATCTTCTAAGCACGTTCTCCACATAACCAATGGGCCTCTGCCCACCGCTGCTCGTACGTCTGTATTTTCCTCCTCCATTCTCTTGACCTCCATAACCCCTTTTTATCCTTAATATTTCTACTTCATTCTTATACACTTAGTGAATCTTTCCCTGACACCCTTATTTGGCGAATAGCTCCTGTCACAGGATTTGAAAAGACGACATAAACTTTGACATAAACTTATGAAGAACTTTTTTCTTGGTTGTGCTTTTCAAATTTATGATTTTTCATTTACTTGGTGATTGTTTGATTAATGTCTGCTTTCTTCATCAAACCATTTACACTCTATGAAAAAGGACTATGTCATTTTTTTGCTCACCACTGTGATCCCAGGACCCAATATGGAGTCTGATCCAGTGTAAGTGCTTAGTACACATCAGGTGCTATTTGTTATTAATCATTACGTAGTGAACCTAGCTGATGCACTTCTGATGAGCTGCTTAGCATTGGTCACTTGCTCTTTTCCCAAATTTGGTTCCTGCCATTTCTGCAGCAGCAAACCTGGCTAAGGCCCCCATCATCTGTGTCCTGCCACTGCCTCTTCTGGGGACAAGAGTCAGGCTTCAGCAGTGGCCTCCATGGAGCCCCCAGTGCTGAGAACTGTGGCAGCAGCAGACCTTGTCTGACCCCAGCAGACCCACAAGGCTCCAGCTTCCCAAGAGGCTGTCTGTAGGGTTCAGGCAACATAGCCAAGGACTATGGAGGAGTTCACATCCTATGGGGTGAACTTGGACCAGTGAGACACAGAGACGCCAAAGAGCTGGCGGAGAAATTGCTCATTCTTCCCTCTGAGGCAGTGAAACACACTAGTTCCATTCCAGTTTTCCAGGGACATGTCCCATGACCAATATATTTTTGTCTGAAACTTGGAACAGTTTAGTCTTGCCAAGCTTGTGTTTTTCCTTCTTCCTTCTCTGTCTTCCCTTTGGTTCCTTTCTCTTGTGGCCAGGCATTGTATTCAGACATTAAGATTTGCCTCAGTCTATTTTCCAGGAAACTCAGGCTTAGATAATTTTCCTTATTGTTTTAAATATTATCATATTCTTCCCTAGGGACATCAACCTAAGCATTCAGAAAACATTGGACCTCATTCATGAATTTATTAGCTAAAGATTTATTGAAGCAATACTAGGAGACAGATTTTGTTCCAGGCCTCTTAGTTAGCAAAATACAGAGAAAGTTATTCCTAAACTTCAGCAGGTCACTTTTAAGGTGAGGTAAGAGGAAGTGGACCTGTAAACCAGCAATGTGAGGATTATTGTATGTGTTCAATAAATAAGTAACCAGTAACTTTTTCAGGAGGGTTTTCCCATGGGATGTTCACATGTAAGATGAATCCTAAAGGAGGAGGTGGGCTTTTTCCAAAGCCTAAGGTGGGTCAGAGAGAAGGAGCGTAGGGAGACTCTCCAGGTAGAGGGAGGAACAGACATGTATGTATGAAAGAGAGGAAGATCATGGCACATCCAGGGTAACTGCAAGAGTTTCCTTGGAAATGAAGTTGGGGAGGACTTTGGGCTCAAAGCCACAAAGAAACATCACCTTTATATTGTGGTCTGGGAATTACATTTCTGAGAAACACTGTCAAGAAGGTCCAGAATAAAATGAAGAAAATGACGGAGGGGGCCCGGTGTAAATAAGCTTTGTTTATTTATTCCCTGCTTCAATTTTTTAGAAGGATTTCAGGCACTCTGAACTGCCTGCATTCTGAAACAGGAAGATTGAGAGTTGATATAATCATAAAACATGGCATTTTAGATCAGGCAGGACATGCAGAGAGGCTGCTGTTTCCAGAAACTCTGAGAGTTAAGTGGTAGATACAGCATAGTTGATACCCAAATTAGGTCTGTTTTTGATACCTCCTTCTTCTGCAGGGCACAAGCATTTTCAATAATAATTGTGTAATGGAATGAATATATTTTATGAATAAACTAAAATTCTTACTTCGCAAATGAAAATATTTCATTTTGGATTTCACACTGCGTGATTGTTTGACATTTTATTTTATTTATTTATTTATTTTTTAAATTATTTTATTTTATTTTATTTTATTTTATTTTATTATTATTATACTTTAAGTTTTAGGGTACATGTGCACAATGTGCAGGTTAGTTACATATGTATACATGTGCCATGCTGGTGCGCTGCACCCACTAACTCGTCATCTAGCATTAGGTATATCTCCCAACGCTATCCCTCCCCCCTCCCCCCACCCCACAACAGTCCCCAGAGTGTGATGTTCCCCTTCCTGTGTCCATGTGATCTCACTGTTCAGTTCCCACCTATGAGTGAGAATATGCAGTGTTTGGTTTTTTGTTCTTGCGATAGTTTACTGAGAATGATGATTTCCAATTTCATCCATGTCCCTACAAAGGACATGAACTCATCATTTTTTATGGCTGCATAGTATTCCATGATGTATATGTGCCACATTTTCTTAATCCAGTCTATCATTGTTGGACATTTGGGTTGGTTCCAAGTCTTTGCTATTGTGAATAATGCCACAATAAACATACGTGTGCATGTCTTTATAGCAGCATGATTTATAGTCCTTTGAGTATATACCCAGTAATGGGATTGCTGGGTCAAATGGTATTTCTAGTTCTAGATCCCTGAGGAATCGCCACACTGACTTCCACAATGGTTGAACTAGTTTACAGTCCCACCAACAGTGTAGAAGTGTTCCTATTTCTACACATCCTCTCCATCACCTGTTGTTTCCTGACTTTTTAATGATTGCCATTCTAACTGGTGTGAGATGGTATCTCATTGTGGTTTTGATTTGCATTTCTCTGATGGCCAGTGATGATGAGCATTTTTTCATGTATTTTTTGGCTGCATAAATGTCTTCTTTTGAGAAGTGTCTGTTCATGTCCTTCGCCCACTTTTTGATGGGATTGTTTGTTTTTTTCTTGTAAATTTGTTGGAGTTCATTGTAGATTCTGGAAATTAGCCCTTTGTCAGATGAGTAGGTTGCGAAAATTTTCTCCCATTTTGTAGGTTGCCTGTTCACTCTGATGGTAGTTTCTTTTGCTGTGCAGAAGCTCTTTAGTTTAATTAGATCCCATTTGTCAATTTTGGCTTTTGTTGCCATTGCTTTTGGTATTTTAGACATGAAGTCCTTGCCCATGCCTATGTCCTGAGTGGTAATGCCTAGGTGTTCTTCTAGGGTTTATATGGTTTTAGGTCTAACGTTTAAGTCTTTAATCCATCTTGAATTGATTTTTGTATAAGGTGTAAGGAAGGGATCCAGTTTCAGCTTTCTACATATGGCTAGCCAGTTTTCCCAGCACCATTTATTAAATAGGGAATCCTTTCCCCATTGCTTGTTTTTGTCAGGTTTGTCAAAGATCAGAGAGTTGTAGATATGTGGCGTTATTTCTGAGGGCTCTGTTCTGTTCCATTGATCTATATCTCTGTTTTGGTACCAGTACCATGCTGTTTTGGTTACTGTAGCCTTGTAGTATAGTTTGAAGTCAGGTAGTGTGATGCCTCCAGCTTTGTTCTTTTGGCTTAGGATTGACTTGGCAATGCGGGCTCTTTTTTGGTTCCATATGAACTTTAAAGTAGTTTTTTCCAATTCTGTGAAGAAAGGCATTGGTAGCTTGATGGGGATGGCATTGAATCTGTAAATTACCTTGGGCAGTATGGCCATTTTCACGATACTGATTCTTCCTACGCATGAGCATGGAATGTTCTTCCATTTGTTTGTATCCTCTTTTATTTCATTGAGCAGTGGTTTGTAGTTCTCCTTGAAGAGGTCCTTCACATGCCTTGTAAGTTGGATTCCTAGGTATTTTATTCTCTTTCAAGCAATTGTGAATGGAAGTTCACTCATGATTTGGCTCTCTGTTTGTCTGTTGTTGGTGTAGAAGAATGCTTGTGAATTTGTACATTGATTTTGTATCCTGAGACTTTGCTGAAGTTGCTTATCAGCTTAAGGAGATTTTGGGCTGAGACGATGGGGTTTTCTAGATATACAATCATGTCATCTGCAAACAGGGACAATTTGACTTCCTCTTTTCCTAATTGAATACCCTTTATTTCCTTCTCCTGCCTAATTGCCCTGGCCAGAACTTCCAACACTATGTTGAAGAGGAGTGGTGAGAGAGGGCATCCCTGTCTTGTGCCAGTTTTCAAAGGGAATGCTTCCAGTTTTTGCCCATTCAGTATGATATTGACTGTGGGTTTGTCATAGATAGCTCTTATTATTTTGAAATACGTCCCATCAATACCTAATTTATTGAGAGTTTTTAGCATGAAGAGTTGTTGAATTTTGTCAAAGGCCTTTTCTGCATCTATTGAGATAATCATGTGGTTTTTGTCTTTGGCTCTGTTTATATGCTGGATTACATTTATTGATTTGCATATATTGAACCAGCCTTGCATCCCAGGGATGAAACCCACTTGATCATGGTGGATAAGCTTTTTGATGTGCTGCTGGATTCGTTTTGCCAGTATTTTATTGAGGATTTTTGCATCAATGTTCATCAAGGATATTGGTCTAAAATTCTCTTTTTTGGTTGTGTCTCTGCCTGGCTTTGGTATCAGAATGATGCTGGCCTCATAAAATGAGTTAGGGAGGATTCCCTCTTTTTCTATTGAAAGGAATAGTTTCAGAAGGAATGGTACCAGTTCCTCCTTGTAGCTCTGGTAGAGTTCGGCTGTGAATTCATCTGGTCCTGGACTCTTTTTGGTTGGTAAACTATTGATTATTGCCACAATTTCAGATCCTGTTATTGGTCTATTCAGACATTCAACTTCTTCCTCGTTTAGTCTTGGGAGAGTGCATGTGTCGAGGAATTTATCCATTTCTTCTAGATTTTCTAGTTTATTTGCATAGAGGTGTTTGTAGTATTCTCTGATAGTAGTTTGTATTTCTGTGGGATTGGTGGTGATATCCCCTTTATCATTTTTTATTGCAGCTATTTGATTCTTCTCTCTTTTTTTCTTTATTAGTCTTGCTAGCAGTCTATTTTGTTGATCCTTTCAAAAAACCAGCTCCTGGATTCATTAATTTTTTGAAGGGTTTTTTATGTCTCTATTTCCTTCAGTTCTGCTCTGGACTAAATGCTCCAATTAAAAGACACAGACTGGCAAATTGGATAAAGGGTCAAGACCCATCAGTGTGCTGTATTCAGGAAACCCATCTCATGTGCAGAGACACACATAGGCTCAAAATAAAAGGATGGAGGAAGATCTACCAAGCAAATGGAGAACAAAAAAAGGCAGGGGTTGCAATCCTAGTCTCTGATAAAACAGACTTAAAACCAACAAAGATCAAAAGAGACAAAGAAGGCCATTACATAATGGTAAAGGGATCAATTCAACAGGAAGAGCTAACTATCCTAAATATATATGCACCCAATACAGGAGCACCCAGATTCATAAAGCAAGTCCTGAGTGACCTACAAAGAGACTTAGACTCCCACACATTAATAATGGGAGACTTTAACACCCCACTGTCAACATTAGACAGATCAACGAGACAGAAAGTCAACAAGGATACCCAGGAATTGAACTCAGCTCTGCACCAAGCGGACCTAATAGACATCTACAGAACTCTCCACCCCAAATCAACAGAATACACATTTTTTTCGGCACCACACCACACCTATTCCAAAATTGACCACATACTTGGAAGTAAAGCTCTCCTCAGCAAATGTAAAAGAACAGAAATTATAACAAACTATCTCTCAGACCACAGTGCAATCAAACTAGAACTCAGGATTAAGAATCTCACTCAAAACCGCTCAACTACATGGAAACTGAACAACCTGCTCCTGAATGACTACTGGGTACATAACGAAATGAAGGCAGAAATAAAGATGTTCTTTGAAACCAATGAGAACAAAGACACAACATACCAGAATCTCTGGGACGCATTCAAAGCAGTGTGTAGAGGGAAATTTATAGCACTAAATGCCCACAAGAGAAAGCAGGAAAGATCAAAAATTGACACCCTAACCTCACAATTAAAATAACTAGAAAGCAAGAGCAAACACATTCAAAAGCTAGCAGAAGGCAAGAAATAACTAAAATCAGATTGTTTGACATTTTAAACAGAAATAAACATTCCCCATTGCCACATAGAAGGATAGAATGGAAGCAACTCAGACACTTTTTCTTTATCTTTGCCATCACTCTACTCTCATTGTTTATTTTTCAACTGTTGGTTAAATATAAAAACATGTACTACCACAGAGGTTGGAGATACAAACTACACCTGTACCTGAATGGAGTCTAAATGATTCCTAATTGTTACAAACTTACTCTCTAAACCAATGTGTGCAGCTGGTCCTGCCTGTGTTAGGGCCTACTCTAGAATTGAGAGTCCTCTGAATTAACTTTATCTTTTATTAGTGGGCAATAAGCATGTGCCTATTTGAAACTTATACACGCATCAATAAAAGTCAACATTAATAGCAGCAATTGTTTGACCAACAAATAATTTGGAGAAACATGTATTTTTCTCCCTGAAATCACTTAGAATTGCCAGTGCTTGGTGACAATAAACAGACTGATGTTTAGCAAGGTGTATTATTGTTTTCAAGTTCTTTAAGACAATGCACTTCCTTATTGCCCACACCCAGAACAGACTGCCTCCTGGTTCCACCCTTGGTGCCACTAGAACTTATGCACATGGATTCTGGAGCTAAACAAACTGGTCCAAATTCTGCTTCCTCCATTTCCTGGTGGTAAGATCTTCAGAAGGTTGATAAACCTCTTAATGCCCTGGTTTCTTCATTGAAAAATACACCTATAGTAGTAACTGCCTTATAAATTGTAATGATGTTTGCATAAGTTAGTATGTAAAGTGCTTAGATAAGTGCCTAAAGCATAATAACATTAATATACATTAGCTAATTAGATAATCTGGTTGAAGAAGGTAAAGTGAGGTCCGGTGGGGAGAACTAAGCTGATAGCAGAGACGGGACTGAAACCTAAATCTGCCCTATTTTAATTCAGTTCTCTGATCTCTGAACAATATTGATTAACGTGATTATGGTGACAAAATGAACAACTTCTCAAGAGGACCTGAAGACTCAGAACTTTAAAAGATGAGAAAAGTTTTTTGGAAATTGGTTTATGCAACTGACACATACTAGTTTTGCAATGTTGAACCAAGTACCTAAGCCTCTCTGACTCGGTTTGACATGAAGTGTTACTGTATGGAAAATGAAATAATACATCTACAGCACCACTAACTGTCTGCACCTGTTTGCTTCTCAAAAATCTATTATTTTATTACTATTATTGTTATACGTGGATGCTGCCCAGTAGAAATATAACATGAGCTACAAATGCAAGCCACATATGCAATCTTAAATTTCTGGTGACTACGTTATAAAAAGTAAAAAGAAACAGGTGAAATGAATTTTAGTAACATTTTTACTCAATTTATCCAAATAGTACCAATGTTCTCTAACATAAAAATTAATAATGAGATATTTTACTTTTTTTCTTGAAAACAGTATGTATTGAAATCCAGTGTATATTTTGCACTAGGACATATGTCAATTTGAACCAGCCGTACAGCAAATATCCAATAGGCAGAGATGACTAACGGCTATTATTTTAGATGGTTACAGGTATACAGTTACTCTAACAGGTGGCATGAACTGAGGCTATAAAAAGGTATCAAAGACTTCTGATGATGCCTTGTACCACATTTATATTTTGGATAGTCAAGTGAAATCAAGGATGTCTGAGGGAGTTCATGAACCTTCAAGTATTTGACCTAATATAAGGAAATAGACATATATCCTTATATTTGACATGTATCCTTACATCCTCACGTATAAGGATATATGCCATTTCAATGATGCAACAGTGATTTTTGTAAATGCCCACATAGAATTTAGTGGAAGAGAACAAAATTGAAAACACACTTTTTCCTGAAGAACAGATATTTTTCCTCCATTGGTCAGATTTTGAGACGTACATGTCTACTGAGGTTGATTGCATTGTCCTTTTTGCCTTGCCAACCAGGAAGCTCATACTAAGTTGGGCATTCTACTATAATGGTTATCATTAGCCAAAGTTTTTTCTACTTGCACTACTCTTGGCTCTTGGTTTTTGTCCTAATTAATTTGGCCTAATTAATGTTCTCATAGTCATTTATTGAAAATTATTTGAGGAGAATCAATATATATAAAAGAATAAGTAAATAAAACTTCCTTAAATGCATTCCTTAGTACCTGATTCACACAGAACACTGGGCTCAATGAATGACATCTTTATGTAAGACATGAATTAGAGTTTAATATTCATATAACAGTAATTAAACCTCAAACTATAGATTCAGAGACTGTCACAGCCTGGAAGGGTTGAGAGATTATCTCTTTTAATTAATATAGTCCTAGAGAAGTTTAGTAACTTTCGTAAAGACTTCAAGATCGCTAATGGCAGTCCTGGCTTTTAGAAGGCTTTCTTTCCAATATATTAGCTTCCTCTAAATCCATTTCAATAAGATTCCAATGAGCAAATCATCTCTTAATGGGTGGGCAGAGGCTGGGGCAATTTAAACCTTGACATTAGCTGGTATGTCAGACATAAAGTAATAATGTGTTATTTTTTATTTGCTAAGGGAAAACTATGCTTAACCTGACCAATCCATCATGTAAAGGAGTCTGCATTATCCATTCCTGATAATAGAACCATTATTCATGTGAGATGACACTGCACTGCAAGGTTAGACTATGAATATTAGTTTTTATCAACTACACTTGATAATATCACAGACATTCTAATTATTGAAATTACTGAATATAACTTGGCATTGGTTTAGGAGAGAAAACAGACATTCCCATCTACCAGTCGTAAATTGGCTCAAGCCTACTGAAGAGTAGTTTATGAATATAAAGCAAATCCTTAAAAATGTGCATAGCATTGTACCAAAGATATAGCTTCCAGGTACAGTATTTATCCTGTCAACTTAGAGCCTCTGCTTACATATTCATATTATAACATACATCCTTGTCACCATTTCCAATCCCTATCAGGACCTGGAAAGTGGGATAGGTCCAATTATGCCTATTTTACAGATTAACAAACCAAGAATTGGCAAATTCAAGTAACTACCTTGCAGTCACACAACTAAGAGCTTGGATTCAAACTCAAATCTGTCTCCAAATCGAGTACTTTGAAGACTATGGTGAGTGTTCTAGAGTTTTAAAAAATTTTCTAATATAGTTTATGTTAAGGTTTCCAGATAAAATACAGGACATTCACTTAAATTTGTTTCATATAAGCAATAAATAACTTTTAGTTTAACTATGTTTCCATCATTGCATGGATGTCCGTGCAATAATTGGTACACCCTTATATTAAAATTTCATTTTTGCTTATCTCAAATTTAAATTTAACCAGGTCTCCTGTACTTTTATTTGCTAAATCTGGCAGCCCCATTCTGTGGGTATCAAGGACCCAGGCCTGAAGATAATCAGAATAATGACAAGGAGAATGGAAAGTATAAAGCTGCTCAGCCACAGTCTTTTTTTTGTTTTAGATTTTAAAAAAAATTTTCCTCTTTATTTAAATATAAAACACATTTATAACATGCAAATTGACTTAACATTAAATGGCGTCTTCCCAGACCAAGTATTTGTGAATGTATCTTCAAGCACTGAAAATAAACCAACATATTCGACAGGTGGACTCAGACTCTTCTATCACCTCATGTCAAATGGAGTTAAACACAAATTGAGTAGAATTCTTAAAGGGAAAAACTGTCATCTTTTGGACATACAAAAAAGTTGTCTCATACATCAACTATTAAATTCCTTGGCTGATTAAAGGACAGATCTTGAAAAATAACATAACTATATTTTACTATCTGGGACAAGCCCTGTGGTAATTGCTATATAAATGAGAAAATAATGCTGTTCATATTTCTGACTACTTTAAATATGTTCATGACATTTTTTTACGTTATTTATTTTATAACCAAACTTCATGTTTTCACTCATTACTTTCTTTTTTTTTGTTACTTTTTTATTATTATTATACTTTAAGTTTTAGGGTACACGTGCACAACATGCAGGTTTGTTACCTATGTATACACATGACATGTTGGTGTGCTGCACCCATCAACTCGTCATTTAGCATTAGGTATATCTCCCAATGCTAACCCTCCCCACTCCCACCACCCCACAACAGTCCCCGGTGTGTGATGCTCGCCTTCCTGTGTCCATGCATTCTCATTGTTCAATTCCCACCTATGAGTGAGAACATGCGGTGTTTGGTTTTTTGTCCTTGTGATAGTTTGTTGAGAATGATGGTTTCCAGCTTCATTCATGTCCCTACAAAGGACATGAACTCATCATTTTTATGGCTGCATAGTATTCCATGGTGTATATATGCCACATTTTCTTAATCCAGTCTATCTTTGTTGGACATTTGGGTTGGTTACAAGTCTTTGCTATTGTGAATAGTGCCGCAATAAACATACATGTGCATGTGTCTTTATAGCAGCATGATTTACAATCCTTTGGGTGTATACCCAGTAATGGGATGGCTGGGTCAAATGGTATTTCTAGCTCTAGATCCCTGAGGAATCACCACACTGACTTCTACAATGGTTGAAGTAGTTTACAGTCCCACCAACAGTGTAAAAGTGTTCCTATTTCTCCACATCCTCTCCATCACCTGTTGTTTCCTGACTTTTTAATGATTGCCATTCTAACTGGTGTGAGATGGTATCTCATTGTGGTTTTGATTTGCATTTCTCTGATGGCCAGTGAGATAAGCATTTTTTCCATGTGTTTTTTGGCTGCATAAATGTCTTCTTTTGAGAAGTGTCTGTTCATATCCTTTGCCCACTTTTTGATGGGGTTGTTTTTTTTTTTCTTGTAAATTTGTTTGAGTTCATTGTAGATTCTGGCTATTAGCCCTTTGTCAGATGAATAGGTTGCAAAAATTTTCTCCCATTTTGTAGGTTGCCTGTTCACTCTGATGGTGGTTTCTTTTGTTGTGCAGAAGCTCTTTAGTTTAATTAGATCCCATTTTTCAATTTTGGCTTTTGTTGCCATTGCTTTTGGTGTTTTAGACATGAAGTCCTTGCTCATGCCTATGTCCTGAATGGTATTGCCTAGGTTTTCTTCTAGGGTTAGTGGCACAATGGATAATGCATCTGACTACAGATCAGCCACAGTCTTGACCCAAGAAAAGACATCAGGAGTTGTCTAAGGTTGCAGAGGTTGCAAGTAGCAGACTGCTTACCTAAGACAGAGCCTTCATCCAGAGAGACAGAGAATGCAATGACTATCTTATGTTGTGTAATCATGCAAAATAAATTCCAGTCTCCCCAGAGGGAAATATTTAAATTGTTTAAGAGTTAAACAGTGGTGTCAAATAGGAAAACAAGAAAATATATTCATTCTTACATAAAATATTTTGAGAAAAAAAAGCAGAGTCAAACACTTAGTGAAGAGAATGTATGTTTGTGATGGCGAGACAGTATGAATGACTCTATAGATCACAGTGAATTCATTGATTGGATATAAAATTGAAAAGGAGGGATGGAAGATAAAGGATAATGGAATGTAAATCAGTCATTATTATAATTGTTCGAAGAAATGAACAAACACTATATAGATGTAAAATCTGTCCAGGTTTCCTAGAAACACATCTGATATGTATTCAGGAGGTTTATTGGGAGTATTCCATGAGGAAGTGAGGAAAAGCAGGATTGGGCAGATAGAAAAGTTAAATTGGAATGCAGTTAACATGGATAACTCAGCCAAAAACATGTGGGGCTCTGAAGCTAGGATGCTCTTCAGGGTTGTCCCAACTGAGGCAAGGAGCCTGGGTTTTGTACCTTTGCATAGATGAGTCATTAGATGAGGGCTGCCCTGGAGTGGGGATGTAACCTTTGGGGTAGCTCATTCCTGTGGCTGGAGGCAATTCCCAGAGAGGAGCAAAGTGGTGATCCTCCATCAGGCACACTCTTGGCAGCTGGGAAGGTGAATGCCTCAGTCCTGAAGGGGATACGGGTGGCACATCACAGCATCCACCATAACCCACTTCTTGCTCTGTTCAAATGTGCTTGTTGCTTACGTTAAGTTTAGCCCATTGGAGACCAACTTCTCCAGGATCCTGGATTGTGTCTTTCTTGGGGAAACTTATAAGAAAAGGTTAGCAGGATAATGTATAACCCTTGCTTTTGTAGCTGGTCTTGGAGCTGTAACTGAATCACATTGTTTTCCTTATCAATCTAGTTTCCCTTCACCATTAGCTACTACCTATGCTGGTCTTAATCAGTGGCACAGACTCTCATCTCTGAGGAATCTGAGCCATTGGTCACTATGCTCTTCTCAGGCTGTGGCTTCAGTTCTTGACTAATTACCATCAAGATTAGGCAAAGATCACCAAGTAACAGTCTGTGGGCCACTTGAATATCAAACTCTTTCTTTTCTATGCCAGTTGTGAAACAGTGGAGGTCTGAAACAGGTAATGAGGGTCACCTACTTAAATCCTCTGAATGGGCCATCAGTTACCCCTGTCAGGATAGTGAGTCTTTCCTTGCTTTCTTCTGTCTTGGCAAAGGAAGTCTGAAGTGATCAGAGGGCAGCCATGGCCTAAAGTTCCATGGGTCTTTTACTATGTCTCCTGGTGAGGAATTTGACTGTGAAAATGGCTTGGACAAAATGGGTGACTGATGGGTAGGGTGGGCTCTTGTGGGTATGGCCAGCTCTCAGTTGTAGTGATCTGGGGGCAGGGACACTGTTTTTTTTTTTTTTTTTTTTTTTTTAGATGGAGTCTTGCTCTGTCGCCCAGGGTGGAGTGGTGGAGTGCAGTGGCTCGATCTTGGCTAACTGCAAGCTCTGCCTCCTGGGTTCACACCATTCTCCTGACTCAGCCTCCCAAGTAGCTGGGACTACAGGCACCTGCCACCATGCCTGGCTAATTTTTTATATTTTTAGTAGATATGGGGTTTCACCATGTTAGCCAGGATGGTCTCGATCTCCTGACCTCGTGATCCGCCTGCCTCGGCCTCCTGAGGACACTTCTATTCCATCCAAACCAGCCTATAGAATTTAGGGGGAAGCACATGACAACCTCACTGCTTTTCTTAGTAATTTATTTGTTTTGGATCAAGGGCATGCTTGGCAACTGAAGACTATGAAAATAGATTCCAAATCTTTGAGAATGGATAACAAGAATTGATAAGAGATTCAAGATTTCAGTCAAAGAAGCAAGAAATAAGGGACTCATGACTTCAGTCAGGGAATTTTCCAACTTGACCAGAGTAATGAAAATGTAATCAAGAAACTATAGTATATATTAACTGAGTGACAGTGGTAGGCCATTTGGAGAAAGGCTATAGCATGAGAGTTTGCCTAATGTCCCAGAAAGAGCAAAGGCTGTGATGTCAAACAGATCCCCGC
This sequence comes from Homo sapiens, assembly GCF_000001405.40. Lineage (NCBI taxonomy): Eukaryota > Metazoa > Chordata > Mammalia > Primates > Hominidae > Homo > Homo sapiens. The sequence continues at coordinate 131,074,318 of NC_000008.11, forward strand.
ATGAAGCTCAGCTCTGCTGTCACCCAACTTTTAGGCCTTCTCAGAGCCTCAGTTTCCTCATCTGTAATAAGGGGCTATAAATAGATTTTACATGTCACCATGCTTGTTTACTAAATTATAGGTTTAGAGATAATGTATGTAAAATGTACATCCTAGCTTCTGGCCCACTCCCACCCAATAAATACTTGTCCACTGTCCATTTAATTGGAATTATGCAGACAGCTTTGAGATACACACACATTAGAACAATTCCCATTTAGAAAATCAAAGGAGACAGGAACAAGAGCAAAAGGAGAGCAAGCCTTCCCCAGGTTATCAGTTTTGTGTGATCCTTGAATATGTTTGATATAAAAATGACAGATGAAAATGCTGTAGCTCAGACCCAAAGTTAGTAAACATGCAGACTTTGATGAAATTATGAACAATTCATAATGAGGCTGCTGCCGCTGCAATGACGGAAGCAAGCACAAGCCTTGCAGGTGCCAGGATTACACAGGGAAGTGAAGAAGAGCATGAGATACACATTTTATTGAAATTAAAGTTCAATGTGATATGACAGTTTGCCTTTTATGGATGTTCATTTAAAACTAGGAAAGATCAGAACCAGTAACCAGGTCTTGTTCTTTGGACCAAAACAATTAATTTTTAGAAAAAAAAATCAAAGAACTAACCTACTATTTTAGCTCATTTAATTTTTGTAACAATTTTATGAAAAAGGTGTGGTTCCCGTCATTTTAAAGAGGAAAAACAATGGAGACATAGATAGGAAATTAGAGTTTCCAACATCACACAAGGAGGGTGAGATTTGAACTCCCAACGGCCATGTTACCTCCATTGTTTCATGCTCCTTCATTCCATGCCCATGCTGTTCCTCTGTGGTATGTTATTTTTATAAAGTATGTAAGAAATATTTTCACACTGTGTTACAGACTGAAAGTTTGTGTCCTCCTAAAATTCATCTGTTGAAATTTAATCCCCAGAGTGACTATATTTGGAGGTGGAGCCTTTGGGAGGTAATCAGGTGATGAGACTGGAGACCTCAAGAAAGGGATTAGTGTACTTATACCAGAGGCCCAAGGGAGCTCAGCTGTCTCTTCCACCATGTTAGGACACAGCAAGAAGGCTTCGTCTATGAACCATAAAGCTGGTGCTCACCAGACTCCAAATCTGCTGGCATCTTGATCTTGGACTTTCGAGCTTCCAGAACTCTGAGAAATAAATGTTTATTGTTTAAGCCACCTAGTCTATGGTAATTTGTGATAGCAGCTCTGGCTGATTAAAACACTGATTTTTGGAATATTTGTAATATTGACTTAGTTAAAGCAGTTAATACACGTGTTGTACCATGAACTAAAGAAACAACTTGCAGGTCACATTCTTCAAATAATAATTGATCAGTCAGTAACCATGAGTTGAGTGTCCACCATGCTGAACTTGTGTTATACATAATTACTTTTTGCTCCCATGTCATGTTCTAATAGCTGTCATTGTTAAATATAAAAGCTAACAATTTCTATTTTCCACACAAGCTCTTCTTAAACTTTTTTCCAAATTATCCTCACAATTTTTTTTTGTGAATAGTTCCTAATTTAAGTTAGTTGCTCATTTCACTGACAATTCCATTGCATAGTCATCATTATTTTTCCCAGTTCCCATATTATTCCCATTCTCATTTCAGCCTTCTTCATCTTTCACTTCTTATTATTTACCTTTCTGATGATTTTTAATGATAGCACCAAATACATTCAAATGAAAAATTCCCTATACACAGTGCTTGGGAAAGGCCTCTGATTATATTTGCTTTCTTTCTTTACCTCTGAAATTTAGAATTACTTTTAATGCTTTCTATGTGTTAGAAACTAGAAAAACAAAGATGGATCAGAGGTTCCTGCCTTATGGACTAATAGTATAGATGGTGGGATGGTGAAGACATGTAGCAAACATCCACAATATAATGTGACAAGTGCTGTAATCAAAGTGAGATCCAAGTATTGATGGAGCACTCAGTGCTCATTTGACTCAGCCAGGGGAGTCAGGAAATACATTCCTGAGAAAGTGATATTTGAACACAGTCTTGAAGATTGGTAGGACTTTTCCTGATTGAGTGTTTGAGAGGGAAGGGCACTTTTGTGTGCTTGGGGATTAGAAAACTTTGGCTTGATTGGAGAGGTAGTACCTGTGTCCACTGGGGTAGAAGCAGAAGATGGTAAAGTGAGCTACAGAAGATGGGACCAGCCTAGATAATGAGAATGGAATCCTACTTTCAAGGGGAAATCATATAAAATGGACCACAGGGTTAATGGAAAATAGGGCGGGAGGTTTCGTAGAGGCAGATCAGGCTCGAAGATAAGTTCATGGTCATGGAAGACTTTATGTAACATGCCAAAGACTTTGTCTTTTATTCCCTATGCAATGGGACATCCTGATAGGTTTTTTCACAGAATGGACTTAGATTTGTTTTGTTGATTGTGGAGAATAAATTGGAGGAAAGAAGTTAAAAGGAAAAGGAATAGTTAAGCAGCTATTTAAGTAATTCAGGTGAAAGATGACGAATGTCTGGACATAGATGTGATGAAAGAAAAAAAAATCCCAGCGTCCCTGCTTTCTCAGATCTCGCTGTGTATTTTGGGGGAACGCAAAATATAATAATCATATACGTAACAATACTTTATATTTTTGCAATGCTTTGAAAGAACAACTGCAACATCAAGTCAAATATTTGTTGAGTGCATACTATATGGCAGCCACTTCGTGTTAAGTGTTGTGTATGGTTTAGCTCAATTTAATTTTGTTCTCCCAACAGACTTATAAAAGAAGTAGAACACACATGCTTCCCATTAGGTGAGAAAGAAACATGCCTGAGAGTCTAATGGATTACTCAAGTCTGTGCTGCCAAGGAAGAACAGAATCTTTAGGTGAGCAAAATTTCATACTTCTGGTTTTGGAGGTGTTCTTTCCAGGATACTGGGATTAACTCAGCATATGTCACATATGTTAAATGTTTGATGTATATGCACCCTATATTGAATGATTTCAGAGGCCCTTGGGCTGAGCTTTGAAAGCTACAGGCTGAACTCCAAGAAGTAGAAGAGTGAGGGCTGAACGTTCCCAGTGGTAAAGAAGTATAAGCATTCAATTTCCCCTATAATTCCTCAGAAGACATAACTGATTTTAATTAATCAATCAAATATTTATTTCACCTCCCCTCTGCTACAGAAGCTGTGATAGGACCAAAAGATTTCAGATTGTCTGAGAAAAGAAGCCATCTGTTAGAGTCGACAGGTTATGGTCTCAGAAATCATTGAACCTGGGCTTGAATTCTGACACCAACACTACATAGCTGTGTGGCCTTGGAAGTGTCACTTAACCTCTCTAATCCTCAGCTTCCCCACCTGTACAACTGAATCAGAAGTATGCAAATTGCAGGGTTGCTGTAAAAATTGGAGTTTATACACTAATGTGCTTTGTACAGTATAGAACCAGGAGAAGGTGCAAAATCTACGGTCATAGTTCATTATTATTATTATTATTATTATTATTAATTATTTAGTATCTTTTGATCTAGTAAGGAGTGTGGAGAGGGATGACAGTGTGAATCCTTCATAAATCAGGAGGTGGAAAAACAGAAGTTTGATTCCATGGGGAGTCTGCTAGAAGGTCTAGAAGTGCACAGTGGTGATGCTGGCAGGGGTCTTGGCAGCTAGCTAGGGCCTTTGTTCTTATTGTTCTTTTTGAAAAGAGTGGTCCTTATAATGCTTGCAGTCTCCGACTCCAATCCTGAGGGAGAGGAAGCTCCTGAGATGCCCATAAATATCCATTTTACTCTGCCTTTTCAGATTCTGCTGCTTAAATGCAATACAGCCCACGCTACCTATTTCTTTACATCCTTTTGGTTTACTCTGTGCTTTCAGAGGCCCCCAGCAAGGACCGCCCTGGGAGCACAAAGCAGCTGGAAGTTCATAATTGCAATAATTTTATCTGCCTCAATGCTGACACCTGCACAATGCACTTTGCATAACTTTGAGAAGTGAACCTGCTGTGTGCTATTGGCAAAGGGGTTGGAGGCAGAGTGTTTGCTTCATGAGACCCAAGGCAATGTAATTTAGAAAGTTCCCAATAGCGTGGACCCTTCAGTGCGCCATGCCACAGATCACATTTAGTTATTGGAGTCCCCATGGTTACATAGGATTTCTTTCCCACTGTGATACTAGTGATCAAACAAACTTTTCTTTTTCAAAATGAATATTGCTGTATTGCTATGTGTAACAGTAACAATGGTACTACCCTGTTGCAATAATTTTAGAGAATATAGAAAATTATAAAGAAATAAAAAAAGGTTTTTGGATTCTGGAGCCAGGCTTCTAGGGCTTGAATCCTGGCCCTGTTACTTATTAACTGTGTGTTCTTGGACGGACGTCTTAGGTTCTGTGCCTCGGTTTCTTTTTTTATAAAAGGGGAATAATGAAAGAAGCTACCTCATTGGGCTGTTAGGTGTTTCAGGCGAAACACTGCACTTAAACTCTTTAGAATAATATTGGGTTCTAAATAAATATTAGCTATTATTGCTGCCCTGCTGGTACCTACCCTTCCATTCATGTATTTTAAAGTGAAGTTTCATATGTAAATAAATCATATTGATCGTGCTATTTTGAAAATCCTTTTTAAAAAATGTAGCACACTGTTGGATCTGTTTCCTTGTCTATATATAAAAATCACCATCATCATTTAAAAAAGCACAATGGTAAGAATGTGGCTTGCACAGCCAGATGGTCTGGATTTAAACTCTGCACTGCTGCTTACAAACTGTGTGGCCTGAATGGGCAAGTCATTTGACTTCTCTCTTCCTCAGTTTCCCTATGTGTAAAATGAGGATTAATAATTAATACCTCATAGAATTATTATGAGGATAAAGTAAGTAAATACTCATTTGTAAAGAACTTAGAATATAGAAAGTTTATATAAAGATTTATTTTAAAAAAGAGAAGAAAGCACAGTAAGGAATATTGGATGTTTTGCCTCCCTAGTGTCTCTTCCCAGCTCTGGTAGTAACACAAGCCTCTCCCCTGCGGGACACTGTCCTCCACCCATCTGTTCACAGGGGGATCCTGGGACCAGGATAAAAAATTCCCAGTAGCAGAGTGATGAGTCCAGAGTTGACCTACAAAGGGAACTGTTTCCTGTGGTTCAGCTTCACAGATGCCAGGCCAGGATCCTCCCTTAGGCTTTTCTGCAAGATCTACAGGAAAAGGCTGCTGCTCTCTGATAACAATATTTCATATCCTCAGTTGAACTCCTCATCTCCTCTACACCCTAGCCTACTCTACCCACAGCCTTGCACATCCCTATCCTTGTAGTTTCTCAAAGATTTTGACCCCTCTCACTTACACTAAGCAAACAGTCTGTCCATAAATTCTGTTGTAAGTTTCTTCAAACGTACCCAGAGTCCAACTACACTCACCATGTCCTCTGATGACACCCTGGGTAGATCCACGGCCATTCCTCACTGGGAGATCTACAGAGACACTCCAATGCTGTCCTTGCTCCCTGCCTGGGAAATAGTATGTGGTGATCCTTCAAACAAGTAAAGAGACCATGTTCCTCTTCTACTCAAAGTCCTACAGTGACTCCCTGTATCCCCTAGGGTAAAAACCAAAGCCCTTACAATGGCCTACAAAGGTCTATCTAATTTGGTTCCTTGCTATCTCTTCTGTAACTTTCCCTCAATCTCACTTCACTCTAGCCCTAGAGGCCTTCAGAGGTTCTCGGAACACACCAGCCATGAATCTATATTGAAACTTTTAACTCTAGCCATTGGCTTTACCTGGAATGTTTTTTTCCCCCAGTATTTGCTTGGCTAATTCCTTTATCATCTCCTTCAAGTTTCCACTCAAGGTTCATCTTTTCTACGAGGCATGCACTAAGTAGCCAATTGTTTAACCCTATAATTTATGCATAAATTATAATCATTTAGATATTCTATTGTATCTTGTGTTCTGACAGCAGCTATCATCTTATATCATTTTACATAATTTACTTGTTCATCATCTACCCCCACACCCCATCACATAGTATAAAATGCAAGCTTTCGGGGACAGGATTACTTTCTCTATTTTGTTTATTAATGTGTCTTAAGAACCTCAACCACTGCCTGACTATAATAGGTGCACAACAAAAATTTATTAAATTAATCACTTGAATTCGTAGTTCCTCAGTACCTGAAACCAGATCTACTATTGGAGATTTTGGCTACATAAACACTAAGTTACTTATTTTATCTTAGCTAGCAGTAATGTAACTAGTAATTTATCTTAGAATTAGTATACTATTAGTATTAGATACTTAGCATCTTAGTAACTAGTAATTTATCTGAGCTAGTAATGGTATTCTGTCCATTCTGTCACTTTTAAGTAAGAGATTATCTCAATAGATGCAGAAAAGGCCTTTGACAAAATTCAACAACCTTCATGCTAAAAACTCTCAATAAATTAGGTATTGATGGGACATATCTCAAAATAATAAGAGCTATTTATGACAAACCCACAGCCAATATCATACTGAATGGACAAAAACTGGAATAATTCCCTTTGAAAACTGGCACAAGACAGGGATGCCCTCTCTCACCACTCCTATTCAACATAGTGTTGGAAGTTCTGGCCAGGGCAATTAGGCAGGAGAAGGGAATAAAGGGCATTCAGTTAGGAAAAGAGGAAGTCAAATTGTCCCTGTTTGCAGATGACACGACTGTATATCTAGAAAACCCCATTGTCTCAGCCCAAAATCTCCTTAAGCTGATAAGCAACTTCAGCAAAGTCTCAGGATACAAAATCAATGTGCAAAAATCACAAGCATTCTTATACACCAATAACAGACAAACAGAGAGCCAAATCATGAGTGAACCCCCATTCACAATTGCTTCAAAGAGCATAAAATACCTAGGAATCCAACTTACAAGGGATGTAAAGGACCTCTTCAAGGAGAACTACAAACCACTGCTCAATGAAATAAAAGAAGATACAAACAAATGGAAGAACATTCCATGCTCATGGGTAGGAAGAATCAATATCGTGAAAATGGCCATACTGCCCAAGGTAATTTATAGATTCAATGCCATCCCCATCAAGCTACCAAAGCCTTTCTTCACAGAATTGGAAAAAACTAAAGTTCATATGGAACCAAAAAAGAGCCCACATCTCCAAGTCAGTCCTAAGCCAAAAGAACAAAGCTGGAGGCATCACACTACCTGACTTCAAACTATACTACAAGGCTACAGTAACCAAAACAGCATGGTACTGATACCAAAACAGAGATATAGACCAATGGAACAGAGCAGAGCCCTCAGAAATAATGCTGCATATCTACAACTATCTGATCTTTGACAAACCTGACAAAAAGAAGAAATGGGGAAAGGATTCCCTACTTCATAAATGGTTCTGGGAAAACTGGCTAGCCATATGTAGAAAGCTGAAACTGGATCCTTTCCTTACACCTTATACAAAAATGAATTCAAGATGGATTAAAGACCTACATGTGAGACCTAAAACCATAAAAACCCTAGAAGAAAACCTAGGCAATACCATTCAGGACATAGGCATGGGCAAGGACTTCATGTCTAAAACACCAAAAGCAATGGCAACAAAAGCCAAAATTGACAAATGGGATCTAATTAAACTAAAGAGCTTCTGCACAGCAAAAGAAACCACCATTGGAGTGAACAGGCAACCTACAGAATGGGAGAAAATTTTTGCAACCTACTCATCTGACAAAGGGCTAATATCCAGAATCTACAATGAACTCAAACAAATTTACAAGAAAAAAACAAACAACCTCACCAAAAAGTGGGCAAAGGATATGAACAGACACTTCTCAAAATAAGACATTTATGCAGCCAAAAAACACATGAAAAAATGCTCACCATCACTGGCCATCAGAGAAATGCAAATCAAAACCACAATGAGATACCATCTCACACCAGTTAGAATGGCGATCATTAAAAAGTCAGGAAGCAACAGGTGCTGGAGAGGATGTGGAGAAATAGGAACACTTTTACACTGTTGGTGGGACTGTAAACTAGTTCAACCATTGTGGAAGTTGGTGTGGGGATTCCTCAGGGATCTAGAACTAGAAATACCATTTGACCCAGCCATCCCATTTCTGGGCATATACCCAAAGGATTATAAATCATGCTGCTATAAAGACACGTGCACATGTATGTTTATTGCAGCACTATTCACAATAGCAAAGACTTGGAACCAACCCAAATGTCCAACAGCGATAGACTGGATTAAGAAAATGTGGCACATATACACCATGGAATACTATGCAGCCATAAAAAATGATGAGTTCCTTTCCTTTGTAGGAACATGGATGAAGCTGGAAACCATCATTCTCAAGAAACTATCACAAGGACAAAAAACCAAACACCGCATGTTCTCACTCATAGGTGGGAATTGAACAGTGAGATCACATGGACACAGGAAGGCGAGCATCACACACCGGGGACTGTTGTGGTTGTGAGGTGGGGGGAGGGGGGAGGGATAGCATTAGGAGATATACCTAATGCTAAATGATGAGCTAATTGGTGCAGCACACCTACATGGCACATGTATACATATGTAACAAACCTGCACGTTGTGCACATGTACCCTAAAACTTAAAGTATAATAATAAAAAGAAAAAAAAAAGAGTTTAAAACAAAGTATTGTATATACTTACCGTGGCTTTGCTCTTGATGTCCTATTGATTGATATTTATGTGATTTACAGATATCTTCATAATAAATTATAGTTTATAAATATTCTTGCAAATGCAAATTTGTAAGTAGCCCCAAAATTATTTTTTCTAAGGAAGAATTCTTTCCAATCAAAATTGTAGAAGTAAAATTTTTGGATCAAAGATTTTTGAAATACATTGCCAAATTGCACTCTAGAATGAATTTTCTAATTTATAATTGTAGCCAGCAATAGATTAGGGTGTTCCTTTCCTCACACTCTGGCCAAAACCAAGAGGAGAAAAATAGTATCTCATTGTGGTTTAAATTTGAATTTCCTTGATAAGTAATGAGAATAAGTATTTTTTAATGTTTATAATTATTTAATTTTTTATTATGATATCCTTTACCTGTTTGTAAAATCTATTCAGAATTTGAATAATGAAACCATTCCTTCACATCAGGAGTTCCATTTCAGAGGGTCATATCCGTGTGTGAACATTTCTGTCTAGGAAGAAAATTTACATATAGCCCCCCACCCCCCAAATCTTGGGATTTCCTTCCAGAAGGCTTATACTGATATTTACATGTCAAGACCAAGCAGATTTGGACTCCAGATTTGAATCAAGCCTCTTTGTAGTGGTCAGGGGACTTAGGTTATTCATAATGGAAATTCATTTCTGATGGGCTCAAGGAATTTATTGAATGCCATAGAGACCATAAATAAGACAAAGATAAAGTAAAACCAGAAAATTACCAACCAGAATATTTTCCTCACCCACCCTTGTTTCTTTATGTGCATCCACTTCTCCTTCCCTTTTCTGCCTTACTGCTCTAGACTGTAGAGAAAAGATACTCTTTTACTTTGTCTCTCAATCTCTGTCTCTTTGTGTGTGTGTGTTTCTATTTCTATCTCCTTTCATTCTCCCTCTCTCATTCTGTGTTATGGGATGACTTGTGACCTCTCAAAACTCCTGTGTTGAAGCTCTTAACCCTTACTTACTACCTACACATTATATTTGGAGATAAGCCCTTTAAAAAAGATGATTAAGTTAAATTGTTTAACTTAACAACTAATAAACCCCTCTTTTTTTTCTTTCTCCCTTCCTTCCTTTCTCTTTCAGTCTGTAACCTCCTCTTCTCCTTTTTCTGTTATAGTTTGAAAAATCCCTGTTCAGATCATGATGGGTTGCATACCCAGTCATTATAGCCAAAGTTCGAGGTATCACAAATTTCCACTAAAACCATAGATTTAAAGTGGGATAGGGGAAAGATGAATAACTTCCTCTACACACTCCAGAAGGGGCAGGCCTTCCTTAAGGTGGGAGAGGAGGGCTGGACAGAGGGCATGTCCACTAGACTCTTGGAGGGTATGTCAAAGGCAGCCACTGATTTGATAGACAAAGGATACTGAGAATTTTTCCAAAGCCAAATCTGAGGGTCAACTTTAATACCAATTAAGAAAGAGTGTCCAGGTATAGAAAAACGAAACAAAACAAACATACAAACAAAGGAGCACCATCCAGGGAGTCAGCCTGAAGGGGGAATGAACAAATGGACATGTTTTGCTGCACAATTATTTACTTCCATGGACAGGTTGGACAGTACAGCCATAAGAGTGAAAATACAGTATTCTGATAATAGTCCAACACTTGATGTTAGAAACCAGGGATGAAGAACTTACTTTGTCTTTTACTGTTTTGGGTATCTTAAGTAAGTTATTTAACATCTATGAGCCTCTAATACCTTGGATTTGTAAACTAAAAAGTATCTGAGACAGGTCTCAATCAATTTAGTTTATTTGCCAAGGTAAAGGATATTCCTGGAAAAAATAAGCATGGAATCACAGAAACAGTCGTGGCCTGTGCCTTTCTCTGAAGATGATTTTGAGGGCTTCAATAGGTAAAGGAGAAAAGTGGGCTGGAGGAGAAAGAAGGAGGGTATGATAATCCACATGTTGAAAGAGAAAAGGAGCAGGTAGCAGAAGAGTTAATTATGTATTTCTCTTGTGCTCAGTAAATCTAGCACTTTACATAGGATAAGGTGAACATACATCCTACCTATGGAGATATTTAACCTTTTATCTATACCTGTCTGCTTAGTAACAAAAGAAAAGGCAGCTTCTTAAATGACTCAACTTTCAGCTTAATTTTTTTCTTTTGGCATAGTGAATTGGGGTCCTGAGTTTTTATTTTCCATTCACAGATTCAAAATGGAAGAAGTAATTCACCGTGTCTATGATATCTGGCACATAATAAGTGATCAATAAATGTATGACATCAAGCATTGCAACATAATACCTTGCAATATATATTTATAAGCTAAGAACTCTAACATAATCAAATATTATTCTCATTTGCAGTAGTCATTCAGATCTCTAGGACTAAAGAAAAATCCAGAGATGTGGGGAAAGGACTCTAAGCTTATCTATTTATTTTTAATATGAAACACATTTCATCTATTTTAGCCTGGCATAAAAAGTATGGCACCTCAGAATTTTGTGAAATGATGAGGTACACGTTATTAATACCTACCACTATTCAGTTTTTCCTGTTTTCCTTGGCATTTTGGTAACTGGACTTTCTAATCCCCTTGCAGTTGGGCAGATTCATGTGACAAGTTCTGACGAATGAATCGAGAAGGGGAGTGGCTGTGCTGCTTCCATGTGGAGATTTTGAGAAGCTCCCTAACAATTCTCATATTCATCTTACTAATGTTATGGTGGTGATATAGTTTGAATGTATCCACCAAAAGTTCATTTGTTAGAACCTTAATTTCTTACTGCAGCAGTGCTGGGAGGTGGAGCCTAGTGGGAGGTGCTTTGGTTGTGTGGCCTCCACTCTCATGAATGGATTACTGTCATTCTTAAAGGAATAAGCTAGTTTTTGTGGGAGGGGGTTAGTTATCATGAGAGTGAGTTGTTATAAAAAGCAAGCTTGGCTTCCTCTCTGGCCATGTGATATCTCCCACCATGTTATAAAGCAGCAGGAGGCCCTGGTCTGATGCTTGCACCATGCTCTTGGACCTTCCAGCATCCAGGACCATGAGCCAAAATAAACCTCCATTCTTTATCAATTACCCAGTCTGTGGTATTCTGCTATAACAACAGAAAATGGACTAAGACAAATGGTATTCACTGATAAAGTTTAATATTGATTTCGCAGAGCCCTGAAGAGTTTTTCCAACCCAGGGTGCAGGAGGCTTGATATTCCAGTTCTAAAGTACTATTCCCTGACTCCTGATATCAGACTCTAGTTAGAGCCTCTTTTGTTTATCCAAAACACATTTTGACCCCTGCAAGTCTTTGCTAAGGTGTAACTTTCTCTGTTTAGAATCTGTTTCTGGGTGGGGATTGTTTTGAATTTGCAAAAACACAAGGTTTAGTTAAAGTAAAATCATTATGGTAGTTTGTTTCTTTCTAATGCTGTTTCCATTCTTTTAGTGTACTTTAGAACAGTTTATGATAATCAGTATCTCTCCCTCCCTACTTCAGAATGATGCAAAGGCTTTAAAATTCTTTAACTCTTCCAATCTCTCACCACTGATTTTATGTGTTGACTTTTTATTATTAATTTCCCCTTGTTTTGATACTTCTAAGTTGATCAAAACCATTGTTATATGATTTTGTATTGTTTAGGTTTACTTACAAGTTTATCCATTTTTAAAATTCATCATTCTATTTTGCAGCATATATCTTCCTTCTGGGTTTACGTTCTTTCTTCATGAAGTACATTGTTTAGTGCTTTATTTATTTATTTATTTATTTTTTATTTTATTTTATTTTTAGTGATGATCTGTTAGGGATTATGTCTCTCAAATTTTGTCTTATAATTTCTTTATTACACCCTCAGTCTTGAATGACAGCTTAAGTGGGTATACTATTCTAAGCTGATGGCTTATTTTCCCAAAGTTTCAGTGATATTATTTTGCTGTTTATTAGTTTCTAAGGTTGGTGTAGAGAAACTAATGTTGGTCTGAAACATATTTTTTCTCAGCAAATCTGGCTTTTTTTTCCCTCCCTCGTTGCTCCCAAGACCTCCTCTTTGTCTTTGGTTTCCTGAATTTTTCAATAAGATTTCTAGATGTGTATCTTGTTTTGTTTATCCTTTATATAACTCAACGTTCTTCTTAATGAGAATATTCATGGTTTTCCTCAATTCCGGAAAATTCTCAGACATCATATCTTGTCTCATTTTATCTGTTTTTTCCTTGTGTAACTACTAATAGACATGTTGGAATGACATAATTTATTCAGTTGCTACCTCTTTGGTTCTTTTTGCAGTGGTATGGTATCTATTTCCTCAGATCTATTTTTCATTACGTGGCTCTCTCTAAAGAATTAATTGTGTCTAATTTACTGTTTAACTTGTCCATTGAGTTTTCAACTTCAATAACTGCTTTGTTTCTTTACAGAAGTTCTATGGAAGTTCTATGTATCTGTTCCTTCTTTCACAGTGTTTTTTTTCTTATGTTTCTAATTTCTTGTTTTCTGACATTAGCCATAGTTTGCTTGTCTATTATATGAAGAAACAATCTAGAAATGGTTAAGAAAACATTTTGGGGTCAGAATGCATGGTTTGAATCTCAAGCTTGCTAAGTACAAGCTGAGTTATCTTAATACACATTAACTATTAAAGCCTCTCTTTCTTCAAATGTAAAATGAACATATTGATATAATCTATTTTATCGAGATATTAGGAATTAATATTATATTTAAAATAATTAAAAGAGCATTACACATAATTGCTCAAAAAATGTTAGCTCTGTCTTCACCATCACCATTATCAAAAATGTTAACTCTGCCAGGGACTTTTCTATGTGATTTGTGAACTCATTGTTAGTGAGGCTTTATCTTTCAGAATACTGTGAGTCTTGGTATGGTGGGTTATTCCTAATGGTCATTTTCTATTTATTTCTCTCAAGTATCTCAGGAGAAATTTCAGGCTGGGCTCACGTTTTATTTTAGTTTCCTGAGCTCTGTGTTGCTAAATTGAGTCCCTAAAGCTGAGGGTCTGCAGGTTCATATTAGGATTTGAGGTGGCCCAATAAATAGTAACAGTTGTTGGTCGGTCTGCCTGCATGTCTCTCTGTCTTTCTGTATTTCACTAGATTTCTATTATCCTTGTTTCTCTCTCTAGCTCTCCTGTTTTTCATTTTTGGTTTCATCTTACCGCTTTTATAACCTTACTGCAAGTATTTATGAGTTTATTCCCATAGTCTAGCTCAATCCTTGCTACAGGTACAAGGATTAAATAAATGAGTAGATTTCCCCCTTTACAGAAGAGTCAGCTTGTTGTTTTGAATATAAGTTGAAAATGTACCCTTTGTAAGAAGACACCCTTACTACAATAATACTCCTATTCCTATTCCTTCCACCGTTACTGCTGATATGATAGCAGTTTCTTAAATGACTTAAATACTCATTCTGTGCCAAGAGTTTTTTCTACAATGTATGTGTAAATTCATAAAACCCTCATAACCATCTTTGAGGAAAGATACTATCATTAATGCCCTCTTACTGATGAATAAATAGGAAAACTAACCTGTTTTAGGTCAGTGTTTCTCAATTGGGAGCAATTTTGCACCTTCACCAGGGGACACTTGGCAATGTCTGGAGACATTTTTGGTTTACACAGCAGGGGAGGGGGATGTTAGACAGCAGGGGAGTTACACAGTTACACAGCAGGGGAGTTCAGAGATGGTGTTAACATTCTATAATATACAGGATTATACATGTAAAATATTATCTAGCCTCAAATGTTAAAAGTGTTGAAGTTGAGAAATACTGAGCTCAATAGAATACACGATCTTTTGCTTCATTACTTTTAACTTCATATACACTTTATTTTGCATACCCATATAGTTTTCTAAATACCATATATTTGTATTGTTTAAATCTGATCTGTCATTCTTTATCTGTTAATGGGTGAATTTGACTAATTTATGTTTATGTAATTATTGATATAGTTGAGCTTATATCTACCATCTTAATTTATTATTGCAGTCTCTACTTTAATCCTTTACACCTTTCAAAAGCTGATATCCATATGAAGGACCATAAACCCTCCTTAATATCCTTGTGGATGATGGAAAGACTAGAAGTTAAGAAGATATTAATTGAAAATTAAGTAATTTGGAAGAGGAGAACCCTACCTTTTGGCTGTCTGTAAAATTAGGTTATTGGAATAGACAACTTAAAAATTCTAACATGAGGTTGATAGATAATAAAACTGTCCTGCATTTGGGATTCATACTAAATGAGTACAGGCATACCTCACTTTATTGTGCTTTGCTTTATTGTGTTTTTCAGATATCATGTGTTTTACAAATTGAAGTTTGTGGAAACCCTGCATCAAACAAGTCTATTGGTGACATTTTCCCAACAGCATTTGCTCACTTTGTGTTTCTGTGTCACATGTTGATAATTCTTACAATATTTGAAACCTTTTTTATTATTATACATGTTCTGGTGATCTGTGATCAGTGATCTTTGATGTTACTACTGTAATTTTTTTGGATGCTGTGAACTGTGCCCATATAAAATGGTGAATTAAATCAATACATGTTGTGTGGTTCTTACTGCTCCAATGACCAGTTATTCCCCAACCTCTCTCCCTGTTCGCAGACCTTCCTAGTCCCTGAGACAACAATCTTGAAATTAGGCTAATTAACAATCCTACAGTGTCCTCTAAGTGTTCAAGTCAAAGGAAGAGTCACAAGTCTCTAACTTTAAATCAAAAGCTAGAAATAATTAAGCTTAGTGAAAAAGGCGTGTTGAAAGCTGAGATAGGGAGAAAGCTAGGCCTCTTGCACCAATCAGTTAGCAAAGAAAAAGTTTTTGAAGGAAATTAAAAGTACTACTTCAGTGACTGCACAAATAATAAAAAAGTAAACACCCTTATGCTATTATGGAGAAAGTTTTAACGGTCTGTATAGAAGATCAAACTGGCTACAACATTCCCTTAAGTTAAAGCCTAATCCAGAGAAAGGCCCTAACTCTCTTCAATTCTATGAAGGCTGAGAGAAGTGAGGAAGCTGAGGATGAAAAGTTGGAAGCTAGGAGAGGTTAGTTCATGAGGTTTAAGGAAAGAAACCATCTCCATAAAACAAAAGTACAAGGTGAAGCAGCTTGTGCCAAAGCAAAAGCTGCAGCCAGTTATCCAGAGGATCTAGCCTAGGTCATTGATGAGGTGGCTACACTAAACAGATTTTCAACGTAGATGACATAGGCTTATATTGAAAGAAGATGCCATATAGGACTTTTATAGCTAGAGAAGAATAGTCAATTCTTGACTTCAAAGCTTCACAGGATAGGTAGGCTGTCTTGTCAATGGCTAATGCAGCTGTTAACTTTAAGTTGAAGCCAGTGCTTGTTTACCATTCTGAAAATCTTAAGGCCTCTAAGAATGATGCTAAATCTACTTTGCCTATGCTCTAGAAATGGAAGAACAAAGCCTGGATGACAGCACGTCTGTTTAAAGCATGGTTTGCTGAATGTTATACACTCACCATTTAGACCTATGGCTCAGAAAAAACAAATTCCTTTCAAAATTTTACTGCTCATTGGCCACACACCTGGTCAACCAAGAACTCTGATGGAGAGGCCCAAGGAGATTTATGTTGTTTTCATGCCTGCTAACAGAACACCTATTTACAACTCATGAGTCAAGGACTGATTTAGATTTTTCAGGTCTTATTATTTAAAAAATCCATTTCATAAGCTCCAGCTGCCATAGATAGTGATTCCTTTGAAGGATCTGGGCAAGTAAATCTTTTGGAAGAATTCACCATTCTAGGTGCCATTAGGAACATTCATGATTCATGGGAGGTGGTAAAAATATCAACATTAACAGAAGTTTGGAGGAAGTTGATTCTAATCCTCATGGAGGACTTTGAGAAGTTCAAGACTTTAGGGGAAGAATGAACTGCAGATTTGGTGGAAATAGCAAGAGAACTAGAAAGAAGTGGAGCCTGAAGAGGTGACTGAATTACTGCAACCTCATGATAAACCGTGAATCATGAAGATTGTTTCTAATGGATGAAAAGGAAAGTTGTTTCTTAAGATGAAATTTACTTCTGGTGAAGATGCTGTGAACATTGCTGAAGTAAAAAGAAGGATTTAGAATATTACATAAACTTAGTTGATAAAGCAACAGCAGGTTTCAGAGGATTGACTCCAATTTTGAAAGAAGTTATATTGTAGATATAATGCTATCAAACAGCATCATATGCTGCAGAGAAATCTTTAGTGAAAGTAAAAGTCAATTGATGTGGCAAATTTTATTTTTGTCTTATTTTAAGAAATTGCCACACCACTCCAGCCTTCAGCAGTCATCACCTTGATCAGTCAGTAGCCATCAACATCAAGGCAAGACCCTCCATCAGCAAAACCTTCATGACCTGCTGAAGGCACAGATGATCATATCATTACCATGTTTTAGCAATAAAATATTTTAAAATTAAAGTGTATAAATATTTTTTTTTGAGACATGGTCTTACTCTGTCACCCAGGCTGGAGTTCTGTTGTGTAATCTTGGCTTGGTGCAGCCTCCACATCCTGGGCTCAAGGGATCTTCCAACCTCAGCCTCCCAAGTTGCTGGGACTACAGGCTCATGCCACCATGCCCGGCCAATTTTTTTTTTTCTTTTCTAGAGACGAGGTTTTGTCATGTTGCCCAGGTCTCAAACTCCTGGTCTCAAGTGATGATCCTCGGGCTTTGGCCTCCCAAAATGCTGGGATTTCAGGCATAAGCCACCATGCCCAGCCAGTATATTTATTTTTTAGACATAATGCTATTGCACACTTAATAGACTATAGTATTGTGTAAACATAACTTTTATATGCACTGAGAAACCAAAAAATTTGTGTGACTTTCTTTATTGCAATATTGGCTTCATTGAGGTAGCTTGGAACTGAACCCACAATATCTCCAAAATATGCCTATAGATTTTAGCTGCTTTTTGCCACACAAACAAACAAAAAGGGTAGCTATGTAAAATGATACATATAATTTGTTTCACCTTTTTACTATCCATAACATCATGTTATATATTTAAATATACACAATTTTAAATGTGTATAATTTAAATATACACATTTACTTCTAAAAATTAGATATTTAAAGATTTTTGTAGCAGACTTTACCGATGTGCATTGATTATCAATGTGCCTCCTCCCATATGCACACAAATGCTTATACATTCTTGCAGATAGACAGAACCATATGGCTCTGTCTGACCAAAATCACTTCTGGACTGACGCATTTAAGAGCTAGTTTGTGATCCGCCTTCTACCTGTTTTTCTTGTATGAGTAACAACTAAGCTTCCTTTTGGGATGATAAAGCATTTGTTATCTGAGTCGCTAGTGACAGTATTGGTCAGAGACCCTGGATGACATATTACGTGAGTAAAAATAAACTTTTGTTGAGTTAAGCCACTGAGATTTTGAAGTTTGTTATTGCAGCACAGTCTATGTTATGACTTCTCAGTGTCACAGTTAGCTGAGAAAAAGTTTGACTCAGAATTTTTTCCAGCTTTATTGAGATATAACTGACAAATAAAAGTTGTATATATTCAAAGTGTACAATGTGATGATTTGATGTATATGTAGATTGTGTAATGATTGCCACACTCAAGTTAATTAACACAACGCTCACTTTGTAAGGGAATAGAATGGTAGGTACAGTGAAAGGGTGGTAAAATTATTTATCACCTTCTTTGCGTTTCTACATCATTTTGTTCTTACTTCACATATAGCATGTGCCTTACTGAATTGCAGTGTGTATTTTTACATAGTACTTAGTTCCACTAGACAGTGAGATTTGTATTCAGGATTTTGTATCTAGATGATGCCTTATTTATCTTTATAGCCATACACATAATATGGTGGTAGGCAGAGTAGATTCATGGATTTTGAGTAAAATAATGAATCTGTAAGTATACAAAAGCAACTGACAACCAGACACAGTGGCTCACACCTGTAATCCCAGCAATTTGGGAGGCCGAGGTGGGCAGATCATAAGGTCAAGAGATCGACACCATCCTGGCCAACATGGTGAAACCCCGTCTCTACTAAAAATACAAAAATTAGCTGGGCATGGTGTCATGTGCCTATAATCCCAGCTACTCAGGAGGCTGAGGCAGGAGAATTGCTTGAACCAGGGAGTGGGAGGTTGCAGTGGGCCAAGATCACACCACAGCACTCCAGCCTGGTGACAGAGTGAGACTCCATCTCAAAAAAAAAAATAAATAAATAAATAAAAGCAACTGACACAGGGCCTACACACAATTGGATGTTCAGCAAATTACTGGTTGAACGAATGAATAAATATCTGAATACATGAAAGAATGAAAGAGGCCACTTGTATTAGACTGTTCTCATGCTGCTGATAAAGACATACCCAAGACTGGCTAATTTATAAAAAGGTTTAATTGACTCACAGTTGCACATGGCTGGAGAGGCTTCACAATCATGGTGGAAGGCAATTGAGGAGCAAAGTCACGTCTTACATGGTGGCAGACAAGAGAGCTTCTGCAGGGGAACTCCTATTTATAGAACCATCAGATCTTGTGAGACTTATTATCTACCAAGAGAACTGTATGGGGGAAACTGCCCCATCATTTAATTATCTCCAACTGGGATCCTCCCATGACACAGGGGAATTATGAGAGCTACAATTCAAGGTGAGATTTGGGTGGGGACACAGCCAAACCATATCACCATTGTATACCAGGAAAGAGGGGTGAAGTTATAAAAGTTGTAAACAGGACCCTAAAAGCAAGAGTCAGAAGGTCTCTGAGACAAACTCCATGTGTTTTATGATCTGTGAGACGCACCCACATCTCTAAGCTGTAGTAGGAGATGTGTCAGGGAACCAGCTGCTGCTCCCTGGTGGTGGTGTCCTTGGTGGAGGTTGGGGAGGGGTAAAGGCTCTCTGGATGCATGGGGGTGGGGGTGATTTACTTAGTGAGGTTACAGGGCAAGTGGCAGCATATATTAGGAAAGAAGCTATTGTAACAACCTTTTTAAGTCTAGGCTTAAGAAAAGCTGTCAGATTTGGATGGGGAAGACAGGCATAGAGAAGAAGGATAATAGTTCTGGAATCTGAGCTAACCTGGTCAGGTGCTCCAGGTATGGCTTGGAGTCTTGGAGGTGGCTATGTTCCAGGACCTGGGAAAGTAGCCTGGATAGAGGTCTGAGCCCGGCTACTGCTTTTGGGTCCAACTTTCATGCAGTTGCTACTTGGCTACCAGGAGCCCTCCCCATGTAGCTGCAGATATTCCATTATCCAAGCTTCCTAATCGAGTCGGGGATGTCTATTTTTTATGCATCTACTCTGAGATTACTACTAGAAATAACTGTCTCCAACGCTTGTATTATTTTTATGTTGTGCTTGTGTGATTAATGGTTGTAAGATGAGGTGAGATAGTAAGTGTGCTCAAGCATTGAACTCTGGGGACAGATAGGAGCAACCTGGGTTGACCCTGAGCTGCGAGAGATGTGGGGTAGAGAATGGACTCTGGCTGTACTAATAAAAAAGGCTCTCATTTATTGGACAGTTCCTAGATTTTTGGGAGCTCAGCTAAGGATATTTTCATAAAAACAAGACTCCTGAATTTAAATCCAATAGTGGGACTTTGTGAGAATCATTTAATCTTCTCAGGCCTCAGCCTTCTCATCTGAGAAATGGGGATAATGATTCTACTATCTCATGAAGCTGCTATGAGTATTAGTGAGTTAATGAAAAAGAAAAACTTAAAACAATCTGACAGATGGTGAGCCCTCAGTCAATGTTATTGACTTTTGTTGTTATTGTTTAATTCTCACCACAATTCAGTGGGTCCCATTGCTATTCTTACTTTCTCTATATAGAAATTGGGGAACAAGTTCATGAGGAAGTTAGTGAGGCCACTAGGACAGGAATCTAAGCCTGTCTGAATTTGGAGCCTTGACTCTGAGCTACTTTACTGAGTTGGATTGTGTCTTCCAAATTTACGGAACCTCAGATTGTGACCTCAATTGGAAACAGGGTCTTTGTAGATATATTGGGTAAGATGAGATCATACTGGATTAAGATGGGCTCTAAATCGAATGTGACTGGTGTAATTATAAAAAAAAGAGAGGCTACACAGAGGCGCTCCCAGGAGAAGCCCATGTAAAGAAAGAGGTGAGATTGGAGTGATGCATCAAGAAGTTAAGGTGGCCGGGCGCAGTGGCTCAAGCCTGTAATCCTAGCACTTTGGGAGGCCGAGGTGGGCAGATCACGAGGTCAGGAGTTCGAGACCATCCTAGCTAACATGGTGAAACCCCGTCTCTACTAAAAATACAAAAAATTAGCCAGGCGTGGTGGCGGACACCTGTAGTCCCAGCTACTCAGGAAGCTGAGGCAGGAGAATGGCGTGAACCCAGAAGGCGGAGCTTGCAGTGAGCCGAGATCGCGCCACTGCACTCCAGCCTGGGTGACAGAGCGAGACTCTGTCTCAAAAAAAAAAAAAAAAAAAAAAAAAAAAAACCAACAAAAAAAAACAAAACTCAAAGCACTGCTGGGAGCCACCAGAACCTGGTAGGAGGCATGGGAGGATTTCTTACACTTCAATTTCAAATTTCTGGCATTCAGCTCTAAGAGAGAGTATGTTTCTGTTCTTTGAAGCCACCCAGTTTGTGCTAGTACTTTATGTCATCTCTAGGAAACCACGATTGCCACTATACTCCTTGCTGGACTGCTAGTCCAGCCCTGGATGGAGCTTCTGTTTTGGGGGATTGAGGGTCTGGGATTCTCTGTGGAGTCTTTCCTGTGTCTGACTGGCAAGCCTATTTTTAACTTTAGCTTGTGAAGTTCATTTGGAGGGATTTTCTCACTTTTCAGTAGGAGTCAGACTTTACACCCCAGAATGCAAGTTTTTAAAATGACAGAACTGCAGAAAGGGCTTGTGAAGATGCCTAGAGGGTAAGAAAAGCTTTTTTTCCTTTGATTATTGAAGTCTTTGGGGAAAATTTAAATCATGATCATCAAAATAATTTCAAACATTGTCATGTCAAGCACTATATTAAGCACATTAAATGAATTATCTCATGTAATCCCATTAAACACCATGAGGTGTTTAATGCTACTATTCTCCCCATTTTCTAGATAAGAACACTGGCTCAGAGTGCAAGCAGTGTGTCACACTAGGGTGAAGGTTAGCTGGGCCATGGCTCTTGCCCCAGGCCCTTAAATGTCAATCTTGATGCATGGGAGGTTCTCTGGAAGCTGTGGCAGAAGTAAAATCACTGGAAATAGTCAAACTTCATTTGTACCTACTAGTCTATGTTCTCCATTACATTGAATGAGGATGAAAATCAATCCATCCACCTTGAATCCAGCATGGTTTACATGGTTAGAACTCGGGAAACTCAAATTGCTGTTTTCAGCTTGAGAAGCTAAAAAACAAAATGAGAGAACAATAATCAGAGGTTAGTACTTTTGTACATTTCAGCAAGAAAACATCAAGATGATGTTAGAGTGTTTCTGCAGCTCAATGTAGGCAAAAATTTTCATAGAGCATTAACAAAACTTTTAAACTAGGAATGAAAATGACAATATAGTGAGTACCTTTGAAGTGCCAGACCCTTCTTTATACATATTTTCACATTAATTCTTACTATAACCTTCAAGGTGGGCATCAAATATCTCCATTTTATATATAATAAAAGAGGGGGTTGGAGATGTTATGTGACCTGCATTAGGCAAAAAAGTCTTCATCTCTCTGACTCCAAATGATACTTGTAATTAATATGCACTTGGCAATTATGTCCCAGAAATTATTTTAAAGGATTTAACATAGGCTGAATCATTTTATCCTCACAGAAATCCTAAGAGGTAGGTTTTGTTATTATCCCTGTGTTAAAATGGAGGCTGCATAGTATTTAATATGGTTTGGCTTGGTCACCATCCAAGTCTCATCTTGAATTGTAGTTCCCACAATCCCATGTTGTGAAAGGGACCTGGTGTGCGATAACTGAATCATGGGAAAGGCTTTTTCCTGAGCTGTTCTCCTGATAGAGAATAAGTTTCATGAGATCTGATGGTTTTGTAAAAGTGAGCTCCCCTGTACATGTTCTCTTGCCTGCTGCCACGTAAGATGTGGCTTTGCTCCTCTTTCACCTTCTGCCATGATTGTGAGTCCTCTCCAGCCATGTGAAACTGTGAGTTCACTAAATCTCTTTTTCTTTATAAACTACTAAGTCTTGGTATGTCTTTATTAGCAGCGTGAGAACGGACTAATACAGTGTTCCATGGTATATATGTACCACATTTTTCTTTATCCAGTCTACCATTGATATATCATGTAACACTATGCAGCCATGAAAAAGAATGAGATCATGTCTTTGCAAGGACATGGATGGAGCTGGAGGATATTTTCCTTAGCAAATTAACACGGGAACAGAGAACCAAATACCGCATGTTCTCACTTATAAGTGGGAGCTAAATGATGAAAACACATGGACACACAGAGGGGAACAACACAGGCTGGGGCCTTTTGGAAGGTAGAAGGTGGGAGGAGGGAGAGGATGAGCAAAAATAACTAATGGGTACTAGGCTTAGTACTTGGGTGATAAAATAATCTGTACAACAAACCCCCATGACACAAGTTAACCTATGTAACAAACCTGCACTTGTACCCCTGAACTTAAAATAAAAGTTAAAAAGTCTAAATTTACACATTTAAAAAAATAAACAAATAAAATGGAGGCATTCAGGTGGATTAAGTTACTGTTCCAGGTCACCATTTGGCAAAACCAGAATTTGAACCCAGGTGGCCTGTTCCAGAGCCTGTGCTCATTGACCTTTTAAGTTCTCAAACAAACAGCATGCAGTTGATTAGGAGCAGCAACTGTAGCAGTAAAAGTAACAAAAAATAATGTGTAGCTGGGGTAAGAAAGTTTTGTTACTCAGAATTTCCCTTAGATGGTCTGTCCTGACATGAGAGGATGGTAAGGGAATAGGTCAGACCATAAAGATGGAAGAAGTAGAATTTCCTGGTAGGGAGAGATGGGATAACTAGGAGGGATGGGAGAGGGAGAGAGGGCCTGGAGGAGGCAGGCATTTATGTGCTCTATCATAGCTCAACAGTGTTGGGCAGACACTGAAAAGCAGCCTGAGTAGATGTAGAGCTGGCCAGAAGCAACACTGGAGGAGGGTAGAGCCCAAGATGAGGAAGAGATTGGGAGAATGTAATTGTCCTGAAATTAGGAGAAAAATCTTTGGGAAAGGCACAGAGTTTGAGAGGTGATGGCTTTGGGATTGAGGGAGCTGAAGGCAGATGAACCAGATTTTCAAGGGTATAGGAATGCCCACTGACTGACTTCCTGAGTTGAAAATGGTATTCAGATATAGATCAACCTATTCATCTAGGACTCTTGCTATAATTATTTATTAATCTGGTTTTCTCTGTGGAACCATTATCTTCTTAATCATGTCATGTTCTCTTGCAGCCAAGGACTTGGGGATAGTGGAGTGGGGAAAAAATGAACATATTTGCGATGACTGCTATGTGCTATAGTCCTAGGTACATTGCATATTTCAGTCCTACCTGGAACAACCAACTGTACTAAGTAAGAATAATTATTCTAATTTGACAGGTGAGGATAATCAGTTTCAAAGAAGTTAGTTTACTTTCCTAACATAATTAAGCTAAGTGACTTGCCCCAATAATAAAAAAAAACTATTTTAAAATTTATATAGAACAAAAAAAGAGCTCACATAGCCAAGACAATACTAAGCAAACAAACAAACAAACAACAACAATAACAAAAACTGGAGGAATCACTCTACCCAACTTCAAGCTATATTACAAGGCTACAGTAAACAAAACAGCATGGTAGTGGTACCAAAACAGGCACATAGACCAGTGAAACATAACAGAGAACTCAGAAATAAAACCGCACATCTACAACCATCTGATGTTCAACAAACCTGACAAAAACAAGAAATGGGGAAAGGACTCCCTACTTAATGAATGGTGTTGGGAGAACTGGCTAGCCATATGCAGAATGGCTTCCTTACACCTTATACAAAAATTAACTCAAGATGGATTAAAAACTTAGATGTAAAATCCAAAACTATAAAAATCCTAGAAGAAAATCTAGGCAATAACATTCAGGACATAGGCATAGGCAAAGATTTTAAGATGAAATCACCAAAAGCAATTGCAACAAAAGCAAAAATGGACAAATGGGATCTAATTAAACTAAGGAGCTTATCCATAGCAAATGAAACTATCATCAGAGCAAACAGACAACCTACAGAATGGGAGAAAATTTTTGCAATCTATCCATCTGGCAAAGGTTTAATATCCAGAACCTACAAGGAACTTAAGCAAACTTACAAGAAAAAAGCAAACAACCCCATTAAAAAATGGGCAAAGGATATGAACAGACACTTCTCAAAAAAATGCATGTGGCCAAGGAACATGAAAAAAAGCTCAATATCACTGATCATTAGAGAAATGCAAATCAAAACCACAATGAGATACCATCTCACACCAGTCAGAATGGCAATCATTAAAATGTCAAGAAACAACAGATGCTGGCAAGGTTGCAAAGAAATAGGAAAGCTTTTACACTGTTGGTGGGAATGTAAGTTAGTTCAATGACTTTGGAAGATAGCATGGTGATTCCTCAAAGATTTAGAACCAGAAATACCATTTGACCCAGCAATCCCATTGCTGGGCATATACCCAAAGCAATATAAATCATTCTGTTATAAAGATACATGCACATATATGTTCATTGCAGCACTATTCACAATAGTAAAGACATGGAATCAACCCAAGTGCCTATCAATGATAGACTGGATAAAGAAAATGTGGTACATATTCACCATGGAATACTATACAGCCATAAAAAGGAATGAGATCATGTCCCTTGCAGGGACATGGATGAAGCTGGAAGCCACTGTCCTCAGCAAACTAATTCAAAAACAGAAAACCAACCACCACTTGTTCTCAATTATAAGTGGGAGCTGAATAATGACACACATGAACTCAGGGAGGGGAACAACACTCACTGAGGCCTGTTGCGGGAGGGCAGTGGAGGAAGCCATTAGGGAAAAGAGCTAATGCATGTTGGACTTAATACCTAGGTGATGGGTTGTTAGGTACAGCAAACCACCATGGCACACGTTTTCCTGTATAACAAACCTGCACATCTTGCACACGTACCCTGGAACTTAATAATAATAATAATTAAATAATTAAAAATAAATAAATAAATAGAAAATAACTTGCCCAAGAAGTTGACAAACAGGTTTGATGACTTTCCCAAGGTCCCTCATTTTTCTGACCCCAAGATTACACTCTTCTCTTTCCGCCATTGCTACCTTATCATATTCCAGAGCCTCCCTTTGTTCCTTCAGCACCAACACAGAGCCGAATTCTTCCTAGATACTCAATAAACATTTCTCTTAATTGAGTAACTGTGAGATGACCAAGGTTAGCAGCAGGATGGGCTTGTCCCATTTTTTATTTTCTAGAAGTTTATTCAGGAGGGACCCTGGATATCCTGGAAAGGAAAGCTAATTCAGGTAATAATTTTACCTCTAATAATGCGAATTTTACATATTTCCCTCCTAAGCTCTCAAGATCCTACTCATTGAAGCGTGCTAATTTTTTTATTAGCTATTTCTGGAAGTGTTTCAGAGTTAATAGAAGAACCGTAATGATCAGGTGGATTTTTTACCAGATGCCTGCAGAGTATGAAAGCTCTGCTTCATTGTCTCTCTTGCTTATCTGTGACTTTGTAAAAAGGTCATCACATTTCTAGGCCTAAGTACCTTTTCAGAATAATGGGGATGTTAATGCTTTCATTAATTTTTAATAAAATGTACTTAAGTGAATCTTTAAGGTTTCTACCAGAAGGGAGGACAAATTCTGAGATTTAAAAAATTTTTTAAACAGCTCTTTTTAATTATAATTGATACACAAAGAACTGTGTATATTTCGTGTGTAAAATTTGATGCACTTGGACATATGCATCACCATATGGCAATGCCATTGTGATACGATCACCACAGTCAAGGTAACAGACAAAATCAACACCTCCCAAAGTGTTGTTACCATAAAAATAACAATGAAAAAAAAAAAAAGAGGCACAAGGAAACATTGGGAAATCCTGAGAAGTGGAGGCAGACACCTGCTTTAGAGTCCTGGCTGTTTAAGTCCTTGTCTGTATAAATTGGATTCTTGAATATGTTCTTAACATTCTAACATTTCTATTTCCTTAATTGTTAAAGCGATTTTAAAAACCACCCTCCAGGTTATGAATGGCTCCTTCTGGAGTTTTCTAATGAGGAGCCTGGCAAACATTTCTAGCCTGGACCTCTGCACCAGCTTTCTAGGTGGTGTCCCCACCCAAGGTCATGTCATAATGCTGATCTTTCTCCACACCTGTATTAGTCCATTCTTACACTGCTATAAGGACATATCTGAGACTGAGTAATTTATAAAGGAAAGAGGTTTAATTGACTCATAATTCTGCAGGGCTGGGGAAGCCTCAGGAGACTTACAGTCATGGCAGAAGGGGAAGCAGCCATGTCCTTCTTCACAAGGCAGCAGGAGAGAGAAGAATGAGTAAAGAGGGAAAAGCCCCTTATAAAACCATCAAATCTCATGAGAACTCATTCACAATCATGAGAACAACAGTATGGGAGTAAACATGCCCATGATTCAATTACCTCCCACCAGGACCCTCCCATGAAATGTGGGGATTATGGGAACAACAATTCAACATGAGATTTGGGTGGGGACACAGCCAACCCATATCAACACCACAGCTAGGAGCACATCAAAACATGGATCAGATCCCATCTCTCTCCGCTTAAAGCCCTCTAACTGAAAGTAAGGTGACTGCAGAAGCAAGCACTATGCATTCCCCCAGAGAGAATCAATTCCGTGCCTGGCATTGTCTGCTGGAGTCATTTTAATGAAATTTACAGTTTCTCTAAGCCTCAGTTTCTGCATCTACAAAAGGAGAGCAGCAACACTTCTTTTGGAACAACTATGCTCACACATCCCGCTGTTGACCTATTGAGGCAGTTGTTAGTTTGTATTATTATTGCTTCTTTACCTGGCTATTATCACTGTGATGCTCTAAGTTGCACTAGGACAAGGCTTTTATCAACTGTTTACTCCTGTCTCCCCAAATATCTAGCACAGGGCCTGAAACAGAATAGTATTAAACTGATATTTTTAGACTGTCCAGCTGAAGTCTCTAACAACAAGGATTCTGTATTATCAACAAATGTATTCCTATTTCCTGGTACTAGGTTATTTTTTCTCCCCCTTTTCTTTCTCGTTGTTGAGATCTCTGCAGTGGCTCTCCTGAAGACAGCAAATCAGGACAAGCACAGCCCAGAAGGTTTGAGAGAGATAGAACATAGGCCACAATGGTAAGACAGTTTCAGACTCATCATTTTTAGGAGTGGTGAATTAGTTTTTTTTTTGTTTGTTTGTTTTTTGAGACGGAGTCTCACTCTGTCACCTAGGCTGGAGTGCAGTGGCATGATCTTGGCTCACCGCAAGCTCCGCCTCCTGGGTTCAGGCCATTCTCCTGCCTCAGCCTCTTGAGTAGCTGGGACTACAGGTGCCAGCCCCCACCCCTGGCTATTTTTTGTATTTTTAGTAGAGACGGGGTTTCACCGTATTAACCAGGATGGTCTCGATCTCCTGACCTCATGATCCACCTGCCTCGGCCTCCCAAAGTGCTGGGATTACAGGTGTGAGCCACTGCGCCCAGCTGGTGAATTAGTTTTCTATTGCTGCAAAGCAAACTGTCCCAAACTTAGTGGCTTGAAAGAGCTAGCATTTATTAGCTCAGTTTCTGTGGGTCTAGAGTCTGGACACAGATTAGCTGGATCTTCTGCTTCAGAGTCTCACAAAACTTGAATCAAAGCATCAGCCAGGACTGCATCTCATCTGAGGTTCAACTGGGGAAGGAACTGTTTCCAAGCTCATGTAGTTGTTGGCACCATTCAATTTCTTGTGAGCTATTGGTCAGAGGCCACCTTCAGTTTCCAGAGGTCTCCTTCAATCCTTCCCTAGATGTGTCCTCTTTGTCCCTAGAGATCCGGTTTCTACCTGCTTGGTGCCCCAGGAAGCTGACTTCTGTGGAGTGCATCAACTGAGCTCTTTGCTGTCCAACTTCTGGTTGGGTTTGACCAAGGGGAGAAACCAGCAGGAAATACAGAGAAGGAAGAAGCTTCATCTATGTCCATTCCCCTCAATCCTTCTCTTCCAGGCCTTGAGTTGCCTGTTTATTTCTAAGCAAATATTACAGAATTATTTTCTCCAGCTGCCTTCAGCTCCAGTTACTGTGCCTGGATTCGTGTAAACTGCTTCTCCCCTTGCTACTTAGGGTGGCAATGTCTCCCCTGGTTTGTTACCCCAGGGGGGCTTCATCATCCCTGTCGGTTTCCCTTAATCTGCTCACATCTTTACAAATATTCCCTTTATAAATTTTCCTTATTTACCCCATTTGTCTGTGCTAATTTGCCAGGACCCTGATATAACATCCTTTGACTAAAGCATCCTGACTTTAATCTACTACAGGTTCAGTACGCCTTATCCAAAATGTTTGGGACCAGAAGTCTTTCAAATTTTGGATTGTTTTTATTTTGGAATAGTTTAATTATACTTACTGGTTCAGCATTTCTAATCTAAAAAATCCCAAATCATCTACTACAGCATAGCTATTCCCATAGCTCTTATTTACAAATATCAAACAGAAAGAAACAGGGTCAGCAACAGTTGGTTAAAAATTGCCTTGCTTTTAAAAAATCTTTACATTTTTATTATAAGTAAGGGTAAGTACCTACCACTATCACATCTCTTAGTGTAATTATCCTTTATGCTACACTTAGAGAATTATATGGACTTTTATTGACTTTAAAAATTATGTGTAATAGTAGGCTATATTATTATACATGAACTTCATTTCTAAAGGAGTCATTAGATTTATTTGTAATAAGATAGCAGTGTTGGATCTGATGAGGCTGATCACTCCTCTTAGATACATCTGTATCTTTCATGTTCCCTTGACTGTGGCTGGCATACAGCAGGAGCTCAGTAAGTGTTAAAGAACTGAGTGAGTGGGTGGATAAATTATCTGCCTGCAACATTAGTTTAAGTTTCTTGGTGGACACTGCTGTGTGTTGTTTGAATGGCACATCTTTAGGCAGAGATCGCCATCCCTACATCACTGACTTCTGGGATTGGGGACAATTTATGCAACATTCTATTCCCTGAGAATAAGGCAAATTCTACACTGAGAGAACTTTTGCAGGTGGCCTTTTTTTGGGGAGATGAAACACTTTCTTGTTTTCTCAGTGTAAATCTGTTAAGAAAAGGATTGCACCTTGAAATTAATGAGCTCAGGAATGGAACTTAAAAACAACACAAAACAAGCAAAGTGTTCCTAGTATTGTTTGGGTATACAGAAGTCTCCCTTGAAGGGGAGACTTTATATACCCCTGAAGGGTGTATGTTCCAAGATATCTAGTGGATGCATAAGGCACAAACAGTACTAAACCCTATATTTTCCTATACATATGATCAAGTTTAATTGATAAATTAGTTACAGTATTAGATTAACAACCATAATAAAATAGAACAATTATAATTAAATTCTGTAATAAAAGTTATGTGAATTGTGTTTCTCTCTTTTTTCTCAAAATGTTTTACTGTAGTATTCACTGGGTAACTGAAACCACAGAAAGCAAAATCATGGATAAAAGGTAATATGGTTTGGCTGTGTCACTATCCAAATCTCATCCTAAATTGTAGCTCCCATAATTTCCATGTGTTGTGGGAGGGACTAGGTGTGAGATAATTGAATTGTAGGGGTGGTGTCCCCTATACCGTTCTCATGGTAGTGAATAAGTCTCATGAGATCTGATGGTTTTATAAGGGGAAACCCCTTTTGCTTGGTTCTCATTCTGTCTTCCCTGCTGCCATGTAAGATGTGACTTGCTCCTCCTCGCCTTCCACCATGATTGTGCGGCCTCCCTAGCCATGTGGAACTGTGCCAATTAAACTTCTTTCCTTTATAATTACCGAGTCTCAGGTATGTCTTTATTAGCAGTGTGAGAACAGACTAATACAAAGGGGAACTACTGTATGTTGCTCCTAGGGACCATTGATTTGCCCACTACTTGGACTTCTTTCCTGTGCATGTCTTCAGTTGCTTCCACTATTCTTCTCTGGAAATGATTTCATGTCCCCCATATTTATCAGTCCTCCCCAACCAGCCCAATGTGTCTCTTGGGTAGTGATATTGCTTTCTATCTTGTTGTGTCTCTGAGGTTGTGTGTTTCCAGGAGATTTGCACTAGCTGCTAGATGTGCAATGAATGCTTGTAGGTAAATCTTTAACCAGGAAATGATCTTGGAAGTTCAACGTTTCCATGTTTCCAAAAAATAAATCGGAAATTACAGAGGTGTGATTACTTGCCTCAGGTTATAGGGATGGTTAGTGACAGAGCTGGACCAAAAGGCCTTGAATCAGGGTTCTCTGTATATAAAATTTTGTGATTTAGAGGGAGGAGAATACAAATAAAATATTTCTTAAGCTAAAATGTAAAGATGTGATTATTCTGGTTAATAAAAATTCAGAATATATATTATATGTATACTGAACTTACACATATAATACATGCATAGTTATAGCTTTCATTTAAAATAATACAGTCCGTTGAAAGGCCCTATCAAAGTATGGAGATAATTTGCATAAAACATACATATTAAATATGAAAAGGAAACAGTAAAAATGAAAAAAAAACTGGAAAGAAGAAAAGAACTCAATGTGCCAAGTAATTTACATACTGACAGCAAGTTTATTTGAATTGAACATAGAAATGTATGTAAATTGGCCCGCCTATTTAAGAAAAAGATATGCAAATAGATGTCCACAGAAATCTGCTACCCTTCACGCTGAAGTAGAAAACAAGATGCTTAATTTCTGCTCAAATTATTATTTTTTCTTTCCAGAATGTCCCCTCAGGAAACTCTAGGAACAAATTCTTCCATGTCTAGCATTTAGCCATTCATTCATTCATGTAACTGTCTTGCATGGTTCTGAGCCAGGCATTATATAGGGTGCTGAAATTACAAAGATGAGTAAGACACAGAAAGTTCTAGTCCTTGAGGAGCTCAAAATCTAATGAGAAAAAAAGATGTAGATGGTCTCTTATGACCACTGGGATCCTTATGCACTGGGAATACATGTGCTCAATGTACAAAAGCACCTGGGATACGTATGTTGTTATATATATAACATAAAATGGCAGTGGTGCATATAATAAGGTTGACAGTGACTCTATTGATATCTCATATTCATGATGTTTCCATGACAGCCAGTGACCTCAACTTTCCCATTTTTCTTTGAGTCCCCTTCTCTTATTGCTTCTCCATCTTTTCTAAGTCCTCATTTTGGGTTCAACATTTTCAAGTGCCTCCTGACTGTCTTTAAGCCTAACCACGATCTGTGTAGTCTTTCTAAGCCTATTCCTCTATAATTCCATATTGATCTTTCTATATAATGGGTCACAGGAATGAAACTAAAAGAAAAAAAGACGAGAAAAAGGAAATATATTTCTCTTGAAGAATTTGCTTTCAAAAAGTATAAGATTTGGGAGGGGACAAGAATTCAAAATTTCATTTAGTACCTTGATAATTATGCAATCATGAGTAAGTCACAATCACTTTTGAATAAACCACAGGGAAGAGTCATGAGGAGGACGACATGAAATAATGTAAGTAAAGCAAATTTATGTTTCCATCCTAGGCCCTTCCCTAAAACTCCAGGCTCATATAAACAACTGACTATGTGACATCTCTACTTGAACATCTTAGATTCATCTCAAAACATAA
The DNA here is from genome assembly GCF_000001405.40 of Homo sapiens. Lineage (NCBI taxonomy): Eukaryota > Metazoa > Chordata > Mammalia > Primates > Hominidae > Homo > Homo sapiens. The sequence goes on from NC_000008.11 coordinate 131,106,929, forward strand.
CTAAAACTGAATTGCTGATATTCTCCCCCAAAGCTGTTCCACGCATCTCCTTACCTAAATCTTTTAATGGCCATTGGCCACTCTATCCTTCCAGTTGCTCAGACCAAGCCCTTGGAGTCATCTTTTACTCTTCTCTTTCTTTCATGCCTCACATATAATAAATAAGAATATCTCATTGTCTCCTCCTTCAAAACACAACTAGAATCCAACGATTTTTATGAAGTCCATGGCTATCATACTGGCAACATCACATAGTTTCTCAGCTCAGTTGTGATAGCCTCTTTAGAACTCTCCCTACGTTGACAATGATGCCTGTAAACAGGCATACCTAAGACATTGCAGGTTTGGTTCCACACCACCATAATAAGGCAAACATCTCAATAGTTTGAGTAACAGAAATTTATTTGTTTCTCAGTACATGTAAAAATCATGTTTACACAATAGTGTAGCCCATTGAGTGTGCACTAGCATTGTGTCTAAAAAAAATATACATACCTTAATTAAAAATAAGTTGTTGCTAAAATATATAATGATAATCTGTGCATTCAAGTCATAATCTTTTTGCTTGTGGAGGTTCTTGATGTTGATGGTTGCAGACAGATCAGGGTGGTAGTTGCTGAAGGTTGAGGTGGCTGTGTCAATTTCTCAAAATAAGACAACAATGATGTTTGCAGTTTTTTAAAAGACGATTGACTCTTTTAAAAAAATTTTGTCACCAAAGATTTCTCTGTGGCATGTGATGCTGTTTGATACCATTTTACCCACAGCAGAACTTCCTTCAAATTTGGAGTCAACCCTAACAAACCCTGATGATATTTTATACATAGGTTTATGTAATATTCTGAATCATTTCTTGTTATTTCAGCAATGTTCACAGCATCTTCACCAGGTGTAGATCACATCTCAAGGAGCCACTTTTTTCCCCCCTCATCCATAAGAAGTAACTCCTCATTGGCTCAGGTTTTATCATGGGATTGCAGCAATTCAGTCACATCTTCAGGCTCCAGTTTTTTGTTTGTTCATTTGTTTGTTTGTTTGTTCATTTTGAGACAGGGCCTAGCTCTGTCACCCAGGCTGGAGTACAGTGGTGTGATCTTAGCTCATTGCAACCTCTGCCTCCAGGGCTCAAGCCGTTCTCCCAAGTAACTGGGGATATAGCTGTGCACCACCACACCTGGCTATTTTTTTTTTTTATTTTTGTAGAGATGGGGTTTCACCATGTTGCCCAGGCTGGTCTGGAACTCCTGAGCTCGAGAAATCCTCCCACCTCGGTCTCCCAAAGTGCTGGGATTACAGTGGTGAGCCACTGTGCCTGGCCTCAGGCTTCATTTCTTATTCTAGCTATTTTGCTATTTCCACCATATCTGCAGTGCCTTTCTCCACTGAAATCTTGAACTCCAAGGATTTGAATCAAGTTTTTCCAAATGCCTGTTAATGTTGATATTTTGACTTCCTCCCGTGATTCATGAATGTTCTTAATGGCACCTGGAATGCTGAATCTTTCCCCGAAGATTATCAAATTACTTTGCCCAGATACATCAGAGCAATCATGATTTATGGTACCTGGAGCCTTACAAAATGTAATTTTTAAATAATAAGATTTGAAACTTAAAATTAGTCCTTGATCCATGGGTTGTAAATAGGTATTGGTTAGAAGACATGAAAACAACATTAATTCTTTTGTACATATCCATCAAAGCCCTTAGGTGACCAGGTGCATTGTCAATGACCAGCAATATTTTGAAAGGAATCTTTTCTTTTTTGAGCCATAGATCTCAACAATAAGCTTAAAATATTCAGTAATCCAGGTTGTAAAGAGATGTGATGTCATCCAGGCTTTGTTGTTCCATTATACAGCACAAGCCGAGTAGACTGCCATTATACAGCACAAGCTGAGTAGCATCGTTGTTAAGGGCCTTACAATTTTCAGAATGGTAAATGTGTATTGGCAATGCACGAAAGTTACCAGCTGCATTAGCCCTTATTAATCAGCCAGTCCTTTGGTGCTTTGAAGCCAAGAATTGACTTTTCTTCCCTAGCTATGAAAGTCCTACATGACATCTTCTTCCAGTATTAGGCTGTTTCGTCTGCACTGAAAATCTGTTATTAGTGTAGGCACCTTCATCAGTTATTTTAATTAGATCTTCTGGAGAACTTGCTGTGGCTTCTCTATTAGCACTTGCTGCATGGCCTTGTACTTTTATGTTACGAAGACAGCTTCTTTTCTTAAACCTCATGAACTAATCTCTTCTAGCCTTTAATTTTTTTTTCCTCACCTTTTTCAGTCTTCATAGAATTGAAGAGAGTTAGGGCCTTTTTCTGGATTAAGTTTTGGCTAAAAGAAATGTTGTGGTTGGTTTGATCTTTTATCCAGATCATTAAAACTTTCTTCATATCAGCAATGAGACTGTTCTGGTTTCTTATCATTTGTGTATTCACAGGAGTAGCACTTTTAAGTTCCTTCAAGAACTTTTCTTTTGCATTCACAACTTGGTTGACTGTTTGGCACAAGGGACCCAACTTCCAGCCTGTCTTGGCTTTTTACATGCCTTCCTCACTAAGCTGAATTATTTCTAGGTTTTGTTTAAAGTGACTCTTCTGTTCACTTGAATAGATATAAGCCATTGTAGGCTTATTAATTGGCCTAATTTCAAGATTGTTGTGTCTCAGGGAATAGGGAGGCCTGAGGAGAGGAAGAGAGATGTGTGTGTGCAGGGAGGGAGCCAATCAATGGAGCAGTCAGAACACACACAACATTTATTGATTAAGTTCACCGTCTTACATGGATGCAGTTAGCGGCATCCCAAAACAATTACAATAGTAACATCAAAGGTCATTGATTGCAGATCTCCATAACAGATATAATAGCAATAAAAAAGTTTAAACTATTGCAAGAATTACCAAAATGTGACAGACACAAAATGAGCACATACTATTGGAAAAATGGTGTCGATAGACTCACCACAAACCTTCATTTTGTAAAAAACACAATTCTGTGAACAGCCATGAAAAGAAGCACCATAAAATAAGTTATGCCTATAGTTGGTTCTCAGGAGAGAAGACAATATAATGTTTCAAAATCTTAAGTCAGGTCATGTCACTGCTCAAACCCTGCAATGACTCCCCATTTCATTCAACATAAAAGCAAAGCTTCACAATGACCAATGGGGGCCTGTGTGAAGTGGCCCCTCATACCCTCTCTGACCTCAGCCCTCTGCTCTGTCTCTGTCCTTGCACTTTCTTATCTGGCCATCTTGATTCCTCACTGTTCCTTAATTTGCCCACACAAGCAGCTGCCGTGGGACCTTTGTACTAGTTGTCCCTCTGCCCAGTACCCTCTCTTTTTCATGTACTTGAATGGCTCATTTTTTCCACCTATTTCAAGTTTTTGCTCAGATTTCACCTTCTCAATAAAACCTAATGGGACCACCAAACACTACAGTTCTCTCGCCAGTCCTCTTGATTCCGCTTGTGTTGCTATGTTTTCTGTTTTTTTTTGTTTGTTTGTTTTGTTTTGTTTGAGATGGAGTTTCGTTCTTGTTGTCCAGGCTGGAGTGCAATGGCGCAATCTTGGCTCACCGCAACCTCCACCTCCTGGGTTCAAGCGATTCTCCTGCCTCAGCCTCCCGAGTAGCTGGAATTACAGGCATGCACCACCACGCCCAGCTAATTCTGTATTTTTAGTAGAGATGGGGCTTCTCCATGTTGGTCAGGCTGGTCTGAACTCCTGACCTCCAGGTGATCCGCTTGCCTGGGCCTCCCAAAGTGCTGGGATTACAGGTGTGAGCCACCATGCCTGACTACGATGTTTTTTAGTAACACCTAACCTCTTTTTAATGAGCTAGAAAATGTATTCATTTAGTCTGTTCATTTTTAATTGTATATTACCCCCACAATATGAAGTCGCTCCCACCAAGGGCAGTGATTTTGTGTGTTTTGTGTACTAATATGCCTCAGTCTATATCTACAAACATATTCAGAGATCTATAAATATTTGCCAAGTGAGAGTACCTGGCTTACAGCAAGAGCTCAATTATGATCAGTTTTCTCTTTCCTGTCTCATCTGCAAGTGAAAAGCTACAGAATGTTTGTTAGAATCAAAAGAAGAGATGTCACCAGCTGTCTTTCCTCCCTGTCCTTGCTGTTGACAAGTCCCCATTCAGTGTGGGGAACTGTCACTGCTCCTGAGGTGACATTTTCCACCTGGGAAGGCATTCATTGCTCCTGACGTGGATTCATGTCACATTAGGACAAATGCCATGCCTCTCCTCCTCTTCGTGCCAGATGCCATGTTCCACTGCATCTCATGAACAGAAGTCTTGTACTCCTCACCAGGAAAACACTGATCCTCTTTTCTGTTTCCTCTTTGCTTGGCAGACTGCCATCCAGGCCCTGAGTTTCACAGCTTTTCTTTGTTGAAAGGATTTTCTTTGCTTATGTGTGAGAAGTTTTTGCCTTCCTGGTTACATCCATTGTGGCTTCTGAGCCTATTTGGGTTGTCTCTGCCAGGACTTAATCTTCCTGACTTAGGCCTTGCATAAAAGAGAATGCTCAGTGGACTATCACTAACATTATGTTGCCCAAACAATGAATGTTATATTATAGTTTACAAAGCCCCTTTCTATTCATTCACTTACTCATTTGGTCTTGCTTTTTTATATATAAACTCAACTTTTATTTTAGATTCAGGTGGTACATGCGCAGATTTCTCACATGGGTATATTGTGTGATGCTGATGTTTGAGATACAAATGACTCCATCAACCAGGTATTGAGCATCAACCAGGTATTGAGCGTATACCCAGCAGTTTTTCAGATGTTGCCCCACTCCCTCCCTCCTGCCTTTAGTAGTCCCTAGTGTCTACTGTTGCCATATTTATGTCCATGAATACCAAATGTTTAGCTCCCACTTAAAAGTGAGCACATGCAGTATTTGGTTTTCTGTTCCTACATTAATTTGCTTAGGAAAATGGCCTCCGGCTGCATTCATGTTGCTGTAAACCTGTGATTTCATTCTTTTAAGGCCTGCATAGTATTCCATGGTGTATATGTACCACATTTAAGTAATACTTTTATAATTTTTGTGGGTACAGAGTAGGTATATCTATTTATGGGGTACATGAGCTGTTTTAATAGAGGCATTCAATGTGAAATAGGCACATCATGAAGAATGGGGTATCCATTCCCTCAAGCATTTATCCTTTGGGTTACAAACAATCCAATTACAATCAAGTTATTTTAAAATGTACAATTAAATTATTATTGACTATAGGCACTCTGTTGTGCTATCAAACAGTAGGTCTTAGACATCCTTTCTATTTTTTTTAACCCATGAACCATCTCCATCCCCCACTCAGCTCTCCTCTATCCTCCCCAGCCTCTGGCAACCATCCTTCTACTCTCTATATACATGAGTTCAATTGTTTTAATTTTCAGATCTCACAAATAAGTGAGAACATGTGTTATTTGTCTTACTGTCCTGACTTATTTCACTTAACATAATGATCTCCAGTTCCATCCATGTTGTTACAAATGACTGGATCTCATTCTTTTTATGGCTAATTAGTATTCCGTTGCATATATGTACCACGTTTTCTTTATCTATTTAGATAGGCATCAGTTGCTTCCAAATCTTGGTTATTGTAAACGGTGTTCCAACAAACATAGGAGTGCAGATGTATCTTCAATATACTGATTTCCTTTCTTTTGGGTATATACCTAGCAGTGGGATTGCTAAATCATACAGTAGTTCAATTTTTAAATTTTTGAAGAACTTCTTAAATGTTCTCCATAGTGATAGTGATTGTACTAATTTACATTCCCACCAACAGTGTACAAGGGTTCCCTTTTCTCCACAACCTTGCCAGCATTTTTATCGCCTGTATATTGGATATAAGCCACTTTAACTGGGGTGAGATAATATCTCATTGTAGTTCTGATTTGCATTTCTCTGATGATCAATGATTTTGAGCACCTTTTCATATGACTGTTTGTCATTTGTATGTCTTCTTTTGAAAAACATCTATTCAGATCTTTTGCCTATTTTTCTTCAGATTATTAGATTTTTTCCTATAGAGTTGTTTGAGCTACTTATATATTCTGATTACTAATCCCTTGTCAGATGCATAGTTTGCAGATATTTTCTTCTATTCTGTGAGTTGTCTCTTTAGTTTGTTGATTGTATTCTTTGCTGTGCAGAAGCTTTTTAACTTGATGTGATCTCATTTGTCTGTTTTTGCTTTGGTTGCCTGTGCTTGTGGGGCATTACTCAAGAAATCTTTGCTCAGATCAATGTCCTGGAGATTTTCCCCAATGTTTTCTTGTAGTATTTTCATAGTTCTAGGTCTTAGATTTAAGTCTTTAATCTATTTTTATTTGAATTTTGTATGTAGTGAGAGATAGGAGTGTAGTTTTATTCTTCTGCATACGGATATCCAGTTTTCCCAGTACCACTTATTGAAGATACTATTTTTTCCCCACTGTGTGTTCTTGGCACCTTGTTGAAAATGAGTTTACTGTAGATGTGTCAAATTGTTTCTGGGTTCTCTACTCTATTCCATTGGTCTATGTGTCTGTTTTTATGCCAGAACCATGCTGTTTTGGCTACTATAGCTCTGTAATATAATTTGAAGTCAAGTAATGTGATTCCTTCAGTTTTGTTCTTTTTGCATAGGGTAGTTTTGGGTATTCTGGGTCTTTTGTGGTTTCATATGAATTTTAGGATTACTTTTCCTACTTTTATGAAGAATGTCATTGGTATTTTGTTAGGGATCACATTGAATCCATAGATTGCTTTGGGTAGCATGACATTTTAACAATAATGATTCTTCCAATCCATTAAAATGGATTATCTTTCCATTTCTTTGTGTTGTCTTCAGTTTATTTCATCATTGTTTTACAGTTTTCATTATAGAGATCTTCCATTTTTGGTTAAGTTAATTCCTAGGCATTTGTTTTTATGTGTGGCTATTGTAAATGATATTACCTTTAAAATTTCATTTTCATATTTTTCACTGTGGGCATATAGAAATGATATTGATACTTGAATGTTGATTTTGTATCCTGTATCTTTACTGAATTTATCAGTTCTACTAGTTTTCTTGTGGAGTTTTTAGGTTTTTCCAAATATAAGATCATATCATCTGTAAACAAAGATAATTTGACCTCTTTCTTTCTAATTTGGATGCCCTTTATTTTTTTCTCTTGTCTGCTTACTCTAGCTAGGACTGCCAGTATTATATTGAATAACAGTGGAGACAGTAGACATTCTTGATGTGTTCCAGATGTTAAAGGAAAGGCTTTCGGTTTTCCCCCATTCAGTAAGATACTATCTGTGGTTTTGTTATTTATGGCTTTTATTGTGTTGAGGCACGTTCCTTCTATCCCCAGTTTTTTTAGGGTTTTTTTTTTTAATCATGGAAGGATGCTGAATTTTATCACAGGGTTTTTCAATATCAATTAAAATATCGTATGGTTTTGTCCTTCATTCTGTTACTATATCACATTGATTAATTTGTGTATGTTGAACCATCCTTGCATCCCTGGAATAAATCCCACTTGTTCATGATGAATGATTTTTCTAACGTATTGTTAAATTTGGTTTGCTAGTATTAAGGATCTTTACACCAATATTCCTCAGATACATTGGCCTGTAATTTTTTTATGTGTCTTTGTCTGGTTTTGATACCAGGGTAATACCAGCCTCATAGAATGAGTCTGGAAGTAGTCCATCCTCCTCTATTTTTCTGAATCGTTTGAGTAATATTAGTGCTAGTCCTTTAAATGTTTGGTAGAAATCAGCCATAACACCCTCAGATCCTGGGTTTTCCTTTGATGGGAGACATTTCAGTGTGGCTTCGATCTCAGTATTGGTTTGTTGAGGTTTTATATATCATCATGGTTCAATATTGGTATATTTTATATGTCCAGGAATTTACCCATTTCTTCCAGATTTTCCAATTTGTTAAACATGTCATTGTTCATAATAGTCTCTAATGATTCTTTGTGTTTCTGAGGGCTCAGTTGTTAAGTCTCCTTTTTCATTTCTGATTTTATTTATTTGGGTCTGCTCTCTTTTTCTTAGTGTAGCTAAAGGTTTGTCAATTTTGTTTACCTTTTCAAAAAACCAACTCTCCATTCAGTTAATCTTGTCTATTGCTTTTTTTAGCCTCAATTTTATTTCCAATCTGACCTTTATTATTTCTTTCTTCCTACTAATTTTGGGTTTGGTTTCTTCTTGCTTTTCTAGTTCCTTGAGGTGCACCATTAGGTTGATAATTTGAAGTCTTTCTACTTTTTTTGATATAGATATTTATTATTATAAACTTCTCTCTTAGTACTGTTTTTGCTATATCCCACGGATTTTGGTATACTGTATTTCCATTTTCATTTGCTTCAAGAAATTTTTCAATTTCATTCTTAATTTCTTCATTAATTCAATTGTTGTTTAGGACCATATTGTTTAATTTCCATGCATTTGTATATTTTCTGAGGTTCCTCTTGTTATTGATTTCCAGTTTTATTCCATTGTGGTCAGAAAAGATACTTGATATGATTTCTATTTAACTGAATTTGTTCAGACTTGTTTTGTGGCCTAAGATACAATCTATTCTGGAGAATGTTCTATGTGGTGATGAAAATAATGTGTTTCTGTAGCAGTTGGGCGAAATGTTCTGTAAATGTCATTTAGGCCTATTAGGTCTGGTATGTAGTGTAACTGTGCGTGTCTTTGTTGATTTTCTGTCTAGATGATTGGCTTACTATTGAGAATGGGATATTAAAGTCTGTTACTATTATTGTATTGCAGTCTATCTCTTCTTTTATATCTATTAATGTTTGCTTTATATGCTTGGGAGCTCTGGTGTTGAGTGCATAGATATTTATAATTATTATATACTTTTGATGAATTTGTCCCTTTATCATTATATATTGATCTTCTTTGTCTCTTTTTATAATCTTAGATTGGTCATCTGTTTTATCTGATATAATTATATCTACTTCTGCTCTTTTTGTGCTTCCAGTTGTATGGGATATATTTTTCCACCCCTTTGCTTTCGATCTATGTGTGTCTTTACAGGTGACATGGGTTTCTTGAAGGCAATGTATAGTTGGGTCTTGTTTCTTTATCCATTCAGCCACTCTATACCTTTGAATTGGAGAATTGAGACAATTTACATTCGGCATTATTACTGATAAGTAAGAAATTGCTACTGCCATTTTGTTGCTTGTTATCTGTTTGCTTTGATACTTCTCTCTTTCCTTCTTACTGATTTCCTTTGTGGTTAAATGATTTTTCTCTGACAGCACCTTTTAGTTGGTTGCTTTTTATTTTTACTGAGTCTATTATATGTTTTTGCACTGTGGTTATACAAACGCTTATGAAAACATTTTATAGATATAACAAATTATTTTTAAAAGATGACAACTTATCAGAGATCACAAATACAAGAACAGAAACAAAGGCAAAACACACCTACAAAATTCAATGCTTGAACTCTTTTCCCCCATGTTTTGACGTTTAGTTACCTCCATTTATACCTTTATATTACCTATGTCTTATCAAGTTCTTGCAACTATTACTGTTTTTGATATATTTGTCTTTTGGACTTTATAATAGATTTATGAATGGGTTGCTCTCACCATTACAATAATAGAGCATCCTGGGTTTGTTCTCTTAATTTTACCAGTCAGTTTTTTGCATGAAAAGTTTGCTTTTTACACATAAGTCTTTCTTTTTTCAGATCAAAAAACTCCTGTTAACATTCCTTTGCTCATGCTCAGCTCCAGCTCCCCATTTTTTTTTTTTTTGAGACAGGATCTTTCTGTGCCTTCCAGACTGGAGTGGGGTGCAGTAGCCCGATCATGGCTCACTGTACCCTCAGTCTCCTGGGCTCAGGCAATTCTCCCACCTCAGCCTCCTGAGTAGCTGGGAACACAGGCTGTGCCACCACACCCGGCTAATTTTATTTTTTTGTAGAGATGAGGTCTCTCTGTATTGCCCACACTGGTCTCCAACTCCTAGGCTCAAGTGAGTTTCTTGTCTTGGCTGCCCAAAGTGCTGGGATTACAGACATGAACCACAGCACCTAGTCTCAGCTCCCTCTTATATATCAATACTTCTTAGATTTGGGCTTTTGAGGGAATTTTTATATCTTGTAGGCAGTGTTTGTTTCTTTTCATTCTTCTTTTTTCCCTCTGATTGTGTATTTTTGAATGACTGGTCTTTGAGCTCACTTATTCTTTCCTCTGCTAGGTACATTCTGCTATTGTGAGACTCTAATGAATTCTTCAGTTCAGTAAATGTGTTTCTCAGTTCCACAATTTCTGTTTGAATTTTTATTTTGTTATTTCAGTCTCTTTTTTAAGTTTCTCTGATAAATTTCTGATTGATTTTCTGTGTTACCTTAGAAATCATTGAGTTTTCTTAAAACTGCCATTTTGAAAGCTTGGTCAGAGAGCTCACAAATTACTGCTGTCTTAGTATTAGTCACTGGATTTTTGCTTGTCATTTTGGGGAGGTTGTGGCTTCCTGCTTGCTCTTATTTCTTGTGGGTATGTGTCTATGTCTTTGCAGTGAAGGATCAGTAATTTATTGTAGTTTTCTCTGTCAGGCTTGTTTCATTTTTTATTGGATATATTTGCTTAGAGAATCTTTACTGCTAGGTTGCTGCCTCCTTTATGGCTCTAGGTGGTGGCATAAGCCTGGGTTTGCCTTGGCTTTAATAAACAATGAGAGAGCTGCCTGTTCCTGAATGGGGGAGGTCGCAAAGGGATTTTCCTGGCAGTGTGTCAAGGCTGGCTAGGGGTTAATGCCAAGAGGACCTGTAGGATGTAACTCCTATAGCATGGTGCAGCTCAACAGCCACTCTGATTTGGGACCTCTTTTGGCCAAGTAAGACAGCAGAATTTCCAGGGCTGGAGATGGTGGTCCTACCTCCCTTCTTTGTCTCTGCCTGTTTTCAGGAATATGTCTCCTTCAGGTAGTCACAATGTTTTCTGTGCGCTAAGGAAGGGATGGGTCTCCTGCCAGGGCACCCAAGATGGTAGGAAAGCTGGTTGATCATCTCCATCTCACTTTTTCCAATGTAGAAACCATGAATTGGGGGAAGATTTTCCACGCATTTGTTGCTGGGCAGAATGTGGGTGAGGGTCATCCCAAATGTGGAATTCTGATTCTCTTTACCATCTGCTCTGGGTTTTTCACTCCTTTGTGGGAACAGAAAATGGTCTTTCCCTCATCTCTGAGTTCTGAGTTCTTGCTTGTGAAAAATCTGAGCACTGTATATCTGATTTTGGTTTTCTCTGGGGGAGTGAAGCCAGCTTTCTTCTACACTGCCAGTCTGGAATTAAAAGTCAAAAACATAGCATTCTTTTCACTTAATTCATCCTGAACCCTCCTTTCCACCTAATAACCTCTTAAGTTTCCCGTGTTTAGTTTAACATACATTGGGAAATGCTGGGGTTGGAGAATTTTCAATGTTCTTTTCAATTCTAAAATTCTACTGATCTATTTCAAGATAGCAGCCTGTGGTCTACCTGGAGAACCCTGAGTTGATGCTAGTTGTTCTTGACCCACATTTTGAGGATTTCTTTATTATATTTTATAGCTGCTCTTAGGTTGCTGAAGCAGGTTATTTAGAAAACACTAACTATCCTCATCAGAAGAATCTCCTGAAAAGCAGGTCTCTGAGAGGCTGTTTCAGTGAATGATCATTGAAATGAATCCTGTGTCCACTCATTCTGAAGGAAACATTTGTAAAGAGGAATTGTATCTCAGAGGAGGCCCTGAGGTTCATGGGGGTTCCTTGCTGCAGAGGACTTTGCAGGAGATGAGAGTGGAGAATTATTTATTCTATTTTAGTGTCTGGTTTGGGGGTGTGGGGAAAGATTGTGTTTGTGGTCTTGAACACGTGCTCTAAGACACTCATACAATAAGGACTGAAACCTTTTAGGAAAGAGACTTTAATTAACTCACAGCAGGCAGTCTGTTCTAGGAGGATGTGTCTTCTATCTTTGTTTTTTTACTTTGTTGGGTCATTCTAATGAGCCTTATTAATTTTTAAAATTTCCCCTCAAAGCTTTTCTGGGTCATTGCTGTAGGGTTTCTCTGTGACACAGATCATGTGTAATGAGGCAAAGGGCAGCTGCAGCTCTTAATCTTCCACTGGGCAGCACCTTTAACTTTAAGTTCATTAAACAGTGAGTTGTGGACACAGACCCAGGGCAGACTTGTGTAGCAGTCTTTTGTCTTCACAAGAAGCTGGCTTCAGTTGGTGTGGCTCTCTGAGTTTGGATTCAAAATTGTTTTGTGTGAAGATGATGGCAGAGAGAAGCTGATCACAGTGAAAATGCAGGACACGAGCAAACTTTGTTCCAACATGGGCCCTGTGATCTCCCACCTTGGGCTTTGAGCAGAGTTCTCGTCACTGGGGATTTGGATGAAGGCCTGCTCTTATGGAGCTTGTATTTTTATGGCCATGGTTGGGATAGGGAAGAGGCAATGGAGAGATAATGCACAAACAAATAAGTACGTAAATACGATAATTTCAAATGGTTATAAATGCTGTGAAGAAAACAAAAACAAAGAAGAGGAATTATGAGATGGCCAAAAGGTGATCAGAGAAGGCTTCCTGAAGAAGGGGCTTTTGAACTGATATCTGCAGGACAACGAGGGGTAATATCTTCCATGTGGAGGGAACAATAGCAATTGTCCTCACTTTGGGATGAGTGTGTCAAGTTTAAGGAACAAAATGATGTCCAATGTGGCTGGAATTTATGGAGTGAGTGAGTGGTAAGATTTTTTGCTTGTGCAATCTGAAGCCATTGAGAATTTTAAGCAAAGTCATAATACAATGGGATTTATGCCTTAAAATGCTCTTTCCCGCTGTGAGAAGGTAGACAGCATAGGGGAAAGAACAAAAGCAGTGAGATAAGAGAGATGTATTGATAAAGTAATTAATGCTGGAGAGGAGGTAGCCTGGACTGGTGACAGTAAAGAAATTAAAATCCCAAGTAGATGATGTAGTGTTTGCCACAAAAGCAGTCATTGTGATTAATTATTGTTAACATTAGTATTTAATGTTTGTCTCACTCCATGCCCCAGAGAGTTTTAAGCTGACCTCATATCTCTCGTGTTAAAAGGGGGCAAAAAGTGCTTCTGGAAGGAAGTTCTTTTCTTGGTCCGGGGGCTGTCAGTGACATGTCAAAGAGGTCAGAGATGCCATGAAAGGAGCCTAAGCTAGTTCAGGAAAGCACCTGGAAGCCCCAGTGGTCCATCTTATGGCTCCTCATGCCTCTGGGCTTAGCCTAGAAGAAGAGCAGTGCTCTAAAGAATGCATAGGCTCTAACTGGCCCAGAGAAGCTATGTGGGGCATGTCTTCTTTCAGGCTATTACTGTCCTTGTTGAGAATATGTATAATTGCCTATAAATAAACACCTTCCAGAACTGCTCTCATACAATAAATCACTTTAACCTCCACTATATCTTGCATCCTTTTGATTTTTTTAATGAAGGACTCCATTTTTAAACACTTATTTTATCCAGCTCAAAAATCACAGGGACAAAAATTACTTTCGACCTTGTTTTCCCTAGATTTGTCTGCAAATGATTGAGTCCCAGGATCCTCTAGGTAATAGATTGCATTTTTCCTACCATATCTTTTATTATCCATCCATGATAACCACGTACTACTTTTACTTTTGTGCTTTTGTTCATATCCTCCTCTCTCTTTCTCTACCTGAAAAGAAAGATGGGAGAAAATAATAAATCTGCCTAACCAATGGGATTAACATTAGTGTCAGGTCGTTGCTTCTTTCCTTCAAGAACATTTTAGCAACAGCGGACCAATGAACTCCTAGAGGGAATTCCTTGCAGCGATATTGGATGAGTCCCAAATATGCTTAGTTATTTGAATATTTCTATTAAAATATCAAAACACCATTCTTCTTGCAGTCTTCATTTCATGAGTTATCCCCACACACATTCGTACAACTCTGATTAAGGAGCGTCAATGTGACAAGTTTTTTTTTTTTTTTTTTTGAGACGGAGTCTCGCTCTGTCGCTCAGGCTGGAGTGCAGTGGCGCAATCTCGGCTCACTGCAAGCTCCGCCTCCCGGGTTCACACCATTCTTCTGCCTCAGCCTCCCGAGTAGTTGGGACTACAGGTGCCGGCCACCATGCCCAGCTAATTTTCTGTATTTTTAGTAGAGACAGGGTTTCACCGTGTTAGCCAGGATGGTCTTGATCTCCTGACCTCGTGATCTGCCCGCCTCGGCCTCCCAAAGTGCTGGGATTACAGGCATGAGCCACCGCACTGGGCCGTGACAAGTTTTTTTTACTAGTGATTCCACAAGGGATTTAAAGTGGATTTATTTATTATTTTGTTACTATGCTTACTTAAGACAGAGAAGCAGCAAGGTGTAGGGAAAGAACAACAGATGGGGAGACAGAAAACCTCAGCTTTAGCTCTGACTGTGATTCAATAAACTGTGTGGTCTTGGACACAGAATTTACACTTTCTGTATTTCCTTTCTCATTTGAGAAGACTTAAATTTTACATCTAATCCTCCATGCGATGCCAACATTACAGGACACTAGGGTTTATCAACTGACTTCTTAGAGGACTGCTATCAAAAGCTCTGGATTTCTATGAAACATTAAAAACTCGTAACTATGGAGTTCTTCCCTTCACACCATAATAATAATAAAAAAAGCATTTTAAAGAAAAACAAAGAGAAAGGCACATAGCCTCTATGCAAAACCAGTTATCAGGCAACTGGATTGAGATAGTTTGGGAAACGCCAGAGAGAACATTAGAGACACTTATGAATGACCCCAGAGAAGGCACTGTTGGACACTCTCTGGAGCCTGGAATGGATCCAGGCAGAGGTTACTGAGTGTCCACTTTCCTCCCACTTTCCTCTGGGGAAACTTAGGAGTTTTTCCAGCCTCTCTCAGCAGAGGCAGAAGGGAGATGAAGGGAAGAGAAGCTGGCATTCTAGAAGCCATCAAAAGACGAGCTAATATGCCAGATATTGGCTTTCAGCATCTTGGCTTCTTTCACTGCAGTCCTAAACTGGCCGACAGGGACATTCAGTGATTCTCTCAGGCTAGAAGGGCAGAGGAAGAGGCAGACCATGGTAATCAAAGCAGAAAGACAGTCCCTTGGCTTGTCGATGGGGTGCATCTGGCCATCTGGCATGGCCAGGCTCTCCTTTATGTTTGCTGTCATATTTCATCATCTCTGCAACTCTGTGAAGTAGATATTTCTGTACTATTTTTACAGATGAGATGGTGGCTCACAGTGGCTTGATACTTTACCCAACTTCATTCAACTGGGAAGTGTTTGAACTTGTGTCTGCCTAAATCCAAGCATGTGCTGCACTCTCCGTAGAAGCACAACGCTTCTGGAGTTAGCATTTCACCCCAGAGATCACCTCCTTTTACTGCCCTTCTATGACTTTCAGCTGGAAATGGTTTGCCTTCCCTACCAAGACCCCCTTAAGACCTTTCTATAAACCCTCAATGGGCATCATTTACTTCTTTATTGGAAGTTTAAGATCTACAGGTTTTAATTTGGGCATACGGGGAGAGAGAACATAAAAATAAAGAGAGACAGAGAGAACATGAGAAACATCCTAATGCCTCTGCTTTTGATCCAGTTGGGTTTCTGAGGCTTAATAATGGCAAGTGACCTTTGCTGTTATAATAAAATCCAAACCCCTTCCTGGGCCCTACAAGGCCCCCTGCGGTCTGGTTTCTGGCTGCCTCTGTGTCATAAACATTGACACAGCTTGTTCTTGCCCATTCTTCTCCAGACACAAGATCATCATTCAGCGCCTCTAACATGCTGAGCTTGCTCCAATGGCAGAACCTTTACAATAGCTCCTCCATACCCTAAGTCCTCTTTGCTTTGTATTTCAACACCTGGGACTTTCCCCAGTCTTCTTATGTCCTCCCCACTCTGATCTTTATATGGCTTAGAACAGCTTCTTTTCCTTTAGATATCAGTGTCAACCCCCTCTGAACACTTCAACAATAGCCAGTTCCAAGCATATCATCCAGGTTTCTTTCTCTCTTTCTCCCTTTCTCCCTCTCTCTCTTTCTCTTTCTTTCTCTTTCTTTCTTTCTCTTTCTTTCTTTTCTTTCTTTCTCTTTCTTCCTTTCTTTTTCTTTCTTTCTTTCTCTCCTCTTTCTTTCTTTCCCTCCCTCCCTCCTTTCCTTCCTTCCTTCTTTCCTTCCTTCCTTCTTTTTCTTTTTTTTTTGAGACAGAGTCTCATTCTGTCACTCAGGTTGGAGTGCAGTGGTGTGATCTTGGCTTGCTGTAACTTCCGCCTCCCAGATTCAAGCAATTCTCCTGCCTCAGCCTCCTGAGTAGCTGGGATTACAGGTGCTCACCACCATTCTCTAATTTTTGTATTTTTAGTAGAGATGGGGTTTCACCATGTTGGCCAGGCTCGTCTCAAATTCCTGACCTCAAGTGATCTGCCCTCCTCGGCCTCCCAAAGTACTGGGATTACAGGCGTGAGCCACCATCCCTGGCCTTTTTTTTTCTTTCAAAACATGTATTACCGTCTAAAAATATATTTTTATGTTATTTATGTCTCATGGAACTACTGGGGGAAAAGAACACCGCAGATATCATCACTTTATTTTACAAGTGAGAAGACCTCAAGTTCAGAGAGCTTATGAGATCTCTCCAACGTTAAGACTCAAACCTAGTCCACTGAGTACAAAGTGCTTTCCACATTACCATATTGCCTGCCCTGGGGAAAGGTACACTCTTTGGGAGCTTACTTAAATTATTTGTTATTCCTTTTATGACTATATACTTTTGCTTCATTCTCCGCTCATAAATTACATCTATATCTATATCTATATCTATCTGTCATCATGCCCTTCATAATATTTCAACGTAGAAAAATGAGATCAATGCTGAGTGTGTGAGCAAATGCATGCGCCTCCGTGGCTGAAAATCCTTCCTATTCACACCTTCCTATTAAGATCCCAGTGGACATTATGTTGGGTAGGAGTCATTATTATATACATCTCTGGGACCTAACACAGCAGTAGGCACAGAATAAATGGCCAACAAATGCTTATGGAATAAAGGTATGGTGGACTGCATGTTGTCCTTATTACAAGTGATATTTCCCAAATTTCCTCTAAAGTCATTAAAAAAGAGCTTTTAAACTCAAGACATGTACCATAAAGTTCTTCCAAATTTAAGACTAGACTGAATGATGCCTGCTTCTCAGAGTAATGAGGACTGAGAGGTACCTCTATTTTTACGTTTCATGGCATGATGAGACAGAGGGGCATATGTTTCCAGACAAGACAAAAAGAGTCTCCAAAAGCCCTCCTGTAGGGCAGAATTAAAATACATGCAACATTATGGTCACACTAGGAGTCATAACACTAGCTGGTCATCAAGCATAAGAGAGAATGTGACCATCTCACACCAGTGATTTTGGGTAACATTTCAGAATTGAAGAGGATTCTGGATTGTACAAAATCTGTTTTATCCCTTGGGTTCAAGAATGGCTTGGATGGTGGTGTCTGTTTAGCTGAATACATAGGAGCCCTCTGGTGATTTCTGGAGGGGTGTGTAAAGATGCATACAACGGATTCTGCTGTAGGAGAATGTGGGGTCTATGCATGGAGAGGACACGTGTGGATGGAGGATGTTGAAGGGCAGTGTGGTGTCTGTTTTCAGCTTTTGCTGTGGTTTGCTAACCTGGAATTGAAGTAGCAGAGCAAAGCTTGATGTGAGTAATATGTCTGTGTAATTGGGGAAAGATTATGGGTCAGATTCCATATGGCTTAGAAATTTCACTGACTCTAATTCCTAACTTCACGTCTCCTAGCTAAAAGATGCCAACAGATCAAAGATAATGAGGAAGAGTCATCTTTACAATCCCCTCCTGAATGTATGATTCCTGTTTGGCTTAGAGGAGTTCAGAGACCACAAAGTGTAGGAGTGTATAACTTGTCTAGATGTATTTTAAATCTCTTAGTAAGAATCAGAGAATGTCAGAGCAAGGAAAACACTTAGAATGCACAGAACACTTCCACTTTTAAAATTTTTCATTGAGAAGGAGAGTTAGGCCCTGACCTCCTCTGAGTAATACTTTAGCCAGCAGCCACACGTGGCTAGTCTGAATTGAGATATGTCAAAAGTATAAAATACACATCAGATTTCAAATACTTAGTAAGAAAAAAGTTTGAAATATATTGTTAATAATTGTTAATTGATTATTAAAAGTAGCAATTTGGATATATTGGGCTAAAATAGAAACAATTTAAATTTGATTTTATCTTTTCCTTTTTACTTTTTAAATATGGCTACCAGAAAATTTTAAATTACACATGTGGCTTGCATTATATCTTGGGCTGGCTCAGAAGAAAACAACTTGCCCGCAGCCATGGAACTAATCAAAGTTGAGACTAGAAACTAAGTATCTTGACTTGGTCTCTCTTTCCCCTTCCCTCTCCTCTTTCCTCCCTCTCTCCTTCTTCTTGGTCCTCTTCACACTTGGTTCATGGTAAATTCTCATCACCGTTACATGCTAGGCCTCTCCTGATTCTCCATCGATCTGTTCTTCCTCACAGCCCACTTCTGCCTCTGCCCTCAATATTGTTAATAGCAGTCAGTTTTCTAAGGTGGGCTGACTCTAGCCCTAGAAAAACAGCAAAATCTGCTCCTTAAATTTCAAGGCATGTTTGGGACTGTGGCAGTTTCAAAATTTTGGGTTCCTTCAAATCTGCACTTAAAAATATTTGTTCAATATTTATTCAGTGAAATAAAAGATAGATGACAATTTTATTACTAAAATTATTTACTATTTGCTTTTGTTCCAAATAAGGGATTTATGACATACACATGAATGTGAAAAAAAGATGTCTTATTTGAAATGATATTTTATTTCACAGTGTTTACAGATTATAAACTTTTAATTTACTTAGGACTATAGGAAAGGCAAAGTACAACAAATTTCTGAAATCAAATGGGGAAGATAGTTTACGTTATAAAGCTTTTACAAAATAGTACTTGAAAATATTATAATTTTATTACTTTCAAGCATATAAAATTATTTCCACTTTTTAAAAAGCAGCTTTTTTTGAGATATGATTAACATACCACACAATTTATCCACTTAAAGTGTTCAATTGTTTTCAGCATATTTACAGATATCTGTAACCATTAAGACAGTCAATTTTATAATATTTTCATCAACTCAAAAAGAGAACACGAATCTTTTATCTATCACCTGTCTATACCCATTCCTTCGCAGCCCTAAGGAACTATTCTTTTTTAAATTTTTATATTTTCAATGTTTGTGGGAACTTTTTATTGCCATAGATTTCCCCATTTTGGACTTTCATATAAATGGAATCATATAACATGGCATTTCACGGTTTTTGTATCACTCAAGAGAAGATATTGGTTATTCATTCCTCTAAAGACAAATGCTGCATACAAATGGATTCTATTACAATAGCAATATTTCATGCATTAGTTGCTTTCAGCATTTCAACTGTAACAGTTAGCTCCAAGTAACTGTCATTCATATTGCTGCCTCTAGTGGCATAATTTAATTTTCAGTGCCGTGCTGCAAAATTTCTAAACAGATATAATGAACAAAGCACCAGTAAGAAGTGTTCTTTTATTTTCTCTTTAGAACACCATTTTACTGGTGGAAGTGAAACTGATGTAATTTTCTCCAATCCTGTAAGTTCTGGATAAAAACTTGAGTTTACTGGCAGCTGTTCTATTTCAGTTCTGTTTTACTGACCTTGGAGACGGATGCTCCAATGACCACCTCCTTATTCCACCTTAGTGTGTGCTAAGCTTTTGCTTTCTATGAACATGACTATCCTCCTTTCGAACTTTATACTCCTGTAGTTCCAAGCTTCTTCTTGTTTCCCAACACTCTTTGTTCTTTTATGTGTCAGGGAAATAAGAGTCATTAAGAAGTTTTAATCAATGAGGTGATATAGTCAGATTTGCATTTTTGAAAGATGGCAGGCCATTTTGGAAGAGCAGGAGACCAGCTGGAAACCACAGAGAGGTCTGAGCACAAATAGCAGATGTAGGATGGAGAGACAGAAACCTTTTTAGCGGCAGAAATTGATAGTTGTTGCTGATTAAACACATGAGGGGCACTACGAGCATCAACGGTAACGACCAACATTTGGTAAATGGCGTCTTCCTTCGCTGTCATAAGGTTTGCAGGAGGAGAAAAACATTTGGGGTAGAAATTGTTTATTGGTTTAGCCTGAGTTTAATGGGCCTGAGTGACATCTGAGAAGTGTTGAGTTGGCAGTTGGGTATACACATCGTAACTCAGAAGAAAGATTTTGGTCAGACACATATTCACCAGTATTCAGCATATTGATGGTTGCAACCACCCAGGGAGAGTAGGGAGAGATTTCTGGGAAACATCCACTGGACTGATAAAAGAAAAACTTCAGCTGAATTAAATTTAAAGGAGTTTGACTGAGCAAGGAACAATTAGCAAATTGGGCAGCCCCCACAATCACAGCCGATTCACAGAGACTCCAGCGCAGCCATGTAATGGAAGAAGATTTATAGACACAAAAAGCGAAATGAGGTACAGAAATCGGAAGTGAGGTACAGAACAACTGGATTGGTTACAGCTCCGCTTTTGCCGTATTTGAACACAGTTTGAACACTCAGCAGTGTATGAATGGTTGAAATACGGCTGCTGGGATTGGTCAAGACTTAGCTATTGTTGCAGGTGCATACTCCTACCTAAGTTAAGTTTTCAATCTTGTCTACCTATTAAGCTAGGCTGCAGGTCATCCACAAGGACTCAAATACTGAAGTACGGAATCCTTCTCAGGCCATATTTAGTTCGCTTTAACAGGACTGAGGTTTAAAAGATGAGCAGAATAATAGGAAATAATAAAAGAAACAGATGATTAGCCAGAGGTTTGGGGAAACCACTGAAAGAATGTGTTGTTGTGGAAGCCAAAGGAAAAAGTTACTTTAAGAAGGAGGCAGATGTTCATGTAAAGTAAGGTAAGGAATGAAAACGCCATTGGCTTTAGGTCTAGATTTTTGCTGAGCTTGCTTAGGGCAGTGTAAGTGGGAAGTGGGCTTGACATTAGATTTCGGTGAATTAAAAATTTCAGTGAGGTGAGGAAGTTGTGACAACGAGTATAAGCAAGGTGGCTACATAGGTTGTAGTTTGAAGATGAAATGGAGTAAAATAAAATTATTTTTGAGTCGGCAGAAAATGCCCATAGCATCCTATACTGGCCTCTGTCATAGAATTTAACACGTTGAATTTGTGTCTATCTCCCTGTCATTTGCTCTTGAACTCCTTAAGGATAATAATTCTGTTTTTTCCATCTTAGAATCCCCAAGTCTCCTGACACATCATGAGCAGGCAATATTTTATTGTTGTTGCTAATGGCTGTTTAATAAAAGGATGAATAAAAGGGAAATAGGTGCATTCTTATGCCTGGATAGGCTGCTCACTTCTTGGCACTGCATTTAAAAGGAATAACTATCAAATAGCTATCAAATATCAAAAGAGATTGCTCAAGGTTTTCTTTGCTGTAACTTGACGTCTTTATCTGTTTTAATTTCTGTGTGCTTAGTGCTTAGACATGATGTCCAACACACAGCAGGTATTCTTAAAGGGATTTTCACTTGAAATAATAGTGATGTGACTGAATGGACAATGGATGCAGAGTATATGCTTAATCTGAAATAGACCTGGGGAAGAGAAGGTTCACGGGTTCACAGTTACTTTCTTGAAATATTTCAGGGCCTGTCAGTTACAATGAAGGATAGGTATCTTTTCTATGACCCCAAGGAATAGGAGTAGAACAAAGAAAGGAAGTAAGCAAAATATGTCAGCAACTTAACAGAATTATTGTTCATGTCTGTGTATTCTGTTTACTTTATTTCAGCAAAATAATGATGCTTTTGTAATAAAATATTTATGTTATTTGTGTTCTACTGGCAGTAATATTCTAAAAAATTAAAATATAAAATAGAGTTCTATTTGAAGTATATACAAGTTAAATATATTTTCAGAAAAACTAAACTAAATGTAAACTAAAATGTAAATTATATTTCTAAAAGTGTAAATATTAACAAAATTAAAATTATTTTGCATTCATTTTCAAAAATTGTCTTACAAAGTATTTCTAATTTTTGAGACAGAGTCTCATTCTTTTGCACAGGCTGGGTGTGCAGAGGTGGGATCATGGCTCACTGTAGCCTCTACCACCTGGGCTCAAGCAATTCTCATACCTCAGCCTCCAGAGTAGCTGGGACTACATGTATGTGCCACCTCACCCAGCTAATATTTTAGTTTTTTATAGAGATGAGCATCTCACTATGTTGCTCAGGTGGTCTCAAGCTCTTGAACTCAAGCCATTCTCCCACCTTGGCCACCCAAAGTGCTGGGATTACAGGCATGAGCCACCATACCTGGCTTATATAATATTTAATATTGCTTATTAAAATAGAAATATGAAATATCATTAAAATGAATTAATATGAAAATTTAAGTAAAATTCAAATATAATAATTTTATGTGTATAAATCTTATTAAATACATTTATAAAAATAACATATTCACATTTCTTCCATTCAATGATCACCAACTTGCCAATGTAAAGAATTGAGATAATACTAAACACGTTACACTTAAGCTTAAAAATATACAATTTTAAGAGTGAAGTGCATGGCTTAATATTGAAATGTTTCTCAGTTGATATGTGCAATTATTCTGAATAGTAGAGTACCTTCCAAACCACAAATTGTAATATAAAAAGATTCAAGAAAAATGGATGTTTGAGATTCCTGGAAATCTGGTGCTTTAATAATGCCAAAAAATTATTCATGAGAGGAAAAAATTCACAAGGTAGTAATTTTATCTTTTCTCTTTCCCAAATATTTTCACTTTTCAGGTCTTCTGTGCAAAGTTGTGTCCACCCCCAAAGTCTGAAGTGGCTCCATTCACAAACTTACATGGAATTTGGACTTGGCCATCTTTCCTTTCAAGAATATATGGTAAGTGACCTTGAGAAACACTTCTCTGAGGCCCGAACAATGTCTGTGAGCTAATGCTTTGGTTTATGAGTTGTGCTGTGCCATTGTTGAATATAGGTTCCCAAGAGATAGGAGCACAAATGTGTTTTTATAAATTTACTCATATTGCATCTGTGGTATTCAGGATCTTCTAAAACATAGGGTTCAGGGAAAGGCCACCTCTTGTGTCAGAGTCTAAAGGAGATATGATGTGGATATGGCAGATCAGCACTCAACCTCCATTCCAACCTCCTTCCATATACATTTATATTTGTAAAACTAGTAATCTAAAAATTACATTTCCCAGACTCCCTTACAAGTAGGGTTCTGGTTAAATTGAGTTTCTGCCAGCATTTGCACTCACATGAGATTTGGAAGGAGAAGTTGATCAGAAGCGATCTTTCTGCTGATATTGTTGTTGCAGCTGGCAAGCTCGGTCATGGAAACACTGGGTTTTATGTAGCAACATTTCAGGCTCCAGTCTGGGGGTTGGCCTCTGAGTTTTTGCTAGTGCAGAACTGCCATGCATAAAGTAACTAGATGAGGTGTCATCCTTCTATCCCCAGGCCACAGGCAAGGTGGTTTCTTCCTGGAACCAACAGATGCTATGGCAGCTTCCCTATCTCCTTTTTGCCTTTGGCAGAGGTAGCAACTCTCCTGGAGAGCATTTGGTGATGCTGCCTTATGTCCTGAAAGGAAAGTGAGAGCAGAGGCTTGAGAAGGGAATAAAGTTCAGGTGCAGACAAAGAAGAGCAGAAGAGAGAGCCAACCTTCAGTGGGTGCTCACTTTCTGTGTCCTCTATCACATAATTGCATTTCAGACCTTATCTCATTTAATGTTTTTAACTCATTGTTTAAATAGGTGAATGATATAGTAATGCATCTTGCATGTATTAAGGTCCAATTATGAACAGGCCATGTTCAATTGCTTTCAAAATTATCTTCTCAGTGAGTTCTCACAATAAAGCTTTGAACTATCGATCTTTATTTTACAAATGAGGAAATTAAAGCTCAGCAAAATTAACATCACATGGTCAATAAGTGGCAGAGGTGATTTGGGGCCTTTTTATGATTACCTCGACTTCAAAACTCTGTTTCCTATCACATGAAGGATGGAGATGGAGCTAAATAATGTGGATGACTCAGTTAATTCTCTGGAGACTACCAGGATAACCCATATGACATTTTCTTCTGCAAATCTCCATTTGTCTTCTTAGCCTATAAAAAGTAGTAGTAGATCAACCTTTGTTAAAATAGGTTATTGATTTTATTTCTTGTTGTGAATTGATATTTGTTGTGAAATTTATTTGAAATAATTTGGATAATACATGAAAGGATGAAAAAGAACATAAAAATTATCCAAATCCCACTATCTCCAAGTAACCACTGTGTACATTTTAGTAATCCATCTTTCTAGGTTTTATTTTTTCTATGTAAATGAATGCACACAATTACACTTATACAGCTCACACTCTCTAATAATCTGCTCATTTTATTGCTTATAATGATTTCCTGTCATTACTTTTTTCCTAAATCTTCAGTCTGATAACCAGCTAGTATTCCATTTAATTGATATGTCATAATTTATTTCACTGGTTTTATAGTTCTGAACCTTTGTTTTTCCATTGATTTTTGGCTGTCACATACAAAGCTGCATTGATCACACACATTGATGTTTCTTACGTGCTTAATAACCTTTTTAGGAATGGGATTTTAGGGTCAAAATACATTGTGGGAGTGGATGCATGTATATTATCATACTGCCTTCCAAAAGGATGTATCTCACATTCTCATCAATATTTTGTAAGAGCGGCCATCCCCACCCCTCCATTGCTACAATTATTTTTAAAAATTATTTTAAATTTTATTTTTAAAAAATTAGTTAAAATAAACCAAAAGTATGTATCACCTCAAATAGGAACTTATCCTTAATTCAATTAGAGCCATGTTAACATTGAGTTATGTGGGGGATAGGGAAACAGTTTGGTTTTTCTGTCACTTTCACCCAGTATCAATGGGACTTGGAAAATGATGCCACCTTGCT
This sequence comes from Homo sapiens, assembly GCF_000001405.40. NCBI lineage: Eukaryota > Metazoa > Chordata > Mammalia > Primates > Hominidae > Homo > Homo sapiens. The sequence continues at coordinate 131,132,044 of NC_000008.11, forward strand.
TATTCTTATCCTACAGTTAAAACTGCCTGTTAAGACTTGTCCCCTCCTCATACCCTGAGAGAAGTTTGATCTCTGCCATCAAGATGTGACAGCATGCTGTCTGGCTGTAACCTTTTTTATTGCCTCAGTATGGACTTCCTGGAATCTAGGCCTTTTAGGACACTGTGATAAATGTTTGATCAGTTTAAAAGAAGAGGCAGAAAAATCCCTAAATATCTGAACTATGCCAGCAAATTCTCTGAAGTGGCTTTAGTGTACCTATTTTTAAAAATCAATTTTTGTACCTAGCACTTTGATGTTATTTTCCAAATTCCTTTTGCTATGATCAAAATCAATGTTGAGTGAAGTACTTTGCTGGGCTACAGGACTCTTCCATGAGGCCTTTGGCTGGCAATAAATAGGGTAGAGGGAAAGAAAAGTGTAGTTAGGGTCTAAAAGTTTGAAGGGAACCTGAATGTTACCTGACCCAATCTCTCTCCCAATCTTGGACCTGAGAACAAAAGACTGCATTCTATTTCCTCTGGCAAAGAGTTCAGCATAATGCTTGTATTTATACCATGCAATTGCAAGCATCCTACTTGCATTATCTCACATGTTCTCATATAATAATGGCCTGAAAAGATCATCTATTATCATTGCCATTTTTCAGATTAGAAAAGGGAGACATAGACAGATTATTTTGCCGAAAACCATATAGCAAGTAATTGCTAGAACCCAGATGCAAACCCAAGGAGTTTTATTCTAGAGCTTACACCCTTCTCACACTGCTCTTTGCCTTGATGATGGAAAGTAGCTATGCTTTGAGCCAGCCAGGAAAACTCAAGTTTGATCCCAGTTCATTCTCCACCTCTCTGATCTGCTCTCCCAGCTGTGCTGTGTTTTAGGGTATATTGATTGGCACTGTGGTGCAGGGAGAGAGGATGGAGTTCCAGTCCATCTAAGCCTTGTCTCCTCTACTTCCTCACCATGCTGCTTTGGGCAAATTTCACAGCTTCTCTGAAACCTCGTTTTCCTCATCTGCATAGTTAGGATCACAATAACCACAGCACTATTTAGTTGTGAGTTTGTAATAATAATTTAGAAAAGTACCAAAGAAACAGATGTTTTATTCATCTTTTTTTCCCTTTGTTTTGAGAGATAGTACCTCAAATATCCATGGCTCAACTTGATCTTATTGTCTCTTGACTCAATGTTCTCAATTCTATTGTTTTTAAAATATTAATAACAACAATAATAATAAATGTCTAACTTCACATCAGCTTTACATAAATCATCCTGGCCCATCATCATCTATAATTCTCACTACAATCCTGTGAGAACAGCAGTGACTTTATTATCACCCTCATTTTACAGAGGAGGAAATGGAAGCTTGGGAAGATGGGGGGACCTGACCAAAGTTATGGCAAGTCCACGTGAGTGAATCTGTGTCTTGAAAACAGGTCATCTGACATTGGGGAACAAATTTTTTCCACCACAGCATACTTTCTTTAACTTCTCACATGATATGTTTTCCACACTTTCTGTTGCTACTCTGGTTTTTTCCTTTTAGGTCATGGTCATTGTCAATAACTTCTTGGAGGCTGGTAGAACTGAGTTCAGCATTTCAAATGTGACCCACCCCACACCACATATTTTAATGTCCGCTCATTCCAGGATGCCTGGAAGAATGGGTTTCACTCTAGGCTCTGTTTCCAATTTGTTGCGTGATATTGGTCAAACTGCTTTACCACTCTAGTCCTTGGTTTCTTCATTTTCAAAAGAAGAGATTGAACAATGTCATATATATTGTAGGCCTTCAATAAATTTTGCTAGAATAAAGGAATGAATGGATGAATCAATAAATTAGTGATTAAACTGGATAACTTCTTAATTCTTTATATCTTTGATTTTATATTAAGAGTAGCATTTAATAATTAATTAGCATGGTTCCATCTATATGATTGACTTAATTTCTTTAGCAACACCCAAAATTGAGCCAGGTTTCTAACTGTTCAGTGGTAAGCCTCTTTCCTCCTTGGCTTTATGTTTTTATGCGGAAGGTCCCCCATTACAGCAACATCTTGGCCTCTTTGTTTACCACCATCTTCAGAGAAGAAAGAGTAATTTAATTGACTAGTGAATTGCTCAGTTCATTCTGATTCTTCTTTTTGGGATGTTCCTGTTTGTAAAGAGGAACCATCTAGTCTATTTTCTCCATTATGCACCAATTTAGTGGAGGCTGACTTTGTATGCCCAAAGAGGGAAACAGTGATTTGGAGTTAAGTTTAATTCAGAGTGTTAGTAAGCCCATTGGCTCTATATGGAAATCATATTAATAACTATTAACAGCTTTTATCATAGTGAAGCTGATATTTGATTTTCATTTCTCCAATCTTGAATCCAGTTATCAGTTGGCTCCATAATTAGAAAAGAGTGAGGTATTAGTTATTGACTACCAATATCTGTCATTTGGTGAAAGCAAATAATCTTAAACACAGATAAGAAATAATATTTAAGGGTAAAATAAAAGGTAGAGGATAGAGGATTTGTTGGTCAGGAGTATCGGGGGAACCTGCCCCCAATATTTCAACATAGGTTCTTTCTATTTTCCCTAAGTGTCGGCTGATCTGAGAAATAAAGAGTACAAAGAGAGGAATTTTATAGCTGGGCCACCGGGGGTGATATCACATATCAGTAGGTCCGTGATGTCCACCTGAGCCGCAAAACTAGTAAGTTTTTATTAGGGATTTCAAAAGGAGAGGGAGTGTACGAACAGGGAGTAGGTCACAAAGATCACATGCTTCAAAGGGCAAAAAGGAGAACAAAGATCACATGCTTCTGAGGCCAGTAAAGACCACAAGGCAAAGGACAAAGCAAAGATCACAAGGCAAAGGGCAAAATCAAAAACTCCTGAGAAGGGTCTATGTTTAGCAGTGCACTTATTGTCTTGATAAACATCTTAACAGAAAACAGGGTTCGAGAGCAGAGAACCGGTCTGACATCAAATTTACCAGGACTGGGGTTTCCCAATCCTAGTAAGTCTGAGGGTACTTCAGGAGACGAGGGCATATCTCAGTCCTTATCTCAACCGCATAGGACAGACACTCCCAGAGTAGCCATTTATAGACCTCCTCCCAGGAATGCAATTCTTTTCGTATTATATTCCTTGCTAGGAAAAGAATTTAGCGATCTCTCTCCTACTTGCATGGCTGTTTATAGGCCCTCTGCAAACAGAAAAATATGGCTCTTTTTGCCCGACCCCTTAGGCAGTCAGACCTTATGATTGTCTTCCCTTGTTCCCTAAAATTGCTGTTATTCTGTTCATTTTCAAGGTGCACTGATTTCATATTGTTCAAACACACATGTTTTACAATCAATTTGTACAGTTAACACAATCATCACAGGGTCCTGAGGTGACGTACATCCTCAGCTTATGAAGATAATAGGATTAAGAGATTAAAGTAAGACAGGTATAAGAAATTATAAGAGTATTATTAGGGAAGTGATAAATGTCCATGAAATCTTCCTAATTTATGTTTCCTGTGCCATGGCTCCAGCCAGTCCCTCTGTTCGGGGTCCCTGACTTCTGGCAACACAGGAGCATGGCGTTGGACCCAAAGCTTTGGCTTGTGGTATCCATGGGGGATCTTAACCAGTTTGTAGTGATCTGTGTTGTACCATGGGACTGGTTTTGGTTTTACAGTTGTGTACTTGGTCCTTGTGGAGGCTTTGTCTACAAATGAGTAGGTTTTATTATATAAGCAAGGTGGAATTTTAATAATCATACACCGTAGGAATATGATGGCCATTTAGATCTTCATTTTGGGCTGTTGTAAGTGGACCTTAAAGCATTCAGATGTGGCTTGCCTTAGTATTTCAGGCAAGGTTGAGACAGAGATTAGAACCTTTTGGTCTTGATGGGTGGTACAGAATGTCTGCTTTTCCCAAGATCCTCAGCCAAGAGTCAGATCTGCAACTGGGACTTCAAAACAATAAAGCTAGCTATGTTCCACTTGTACTGCAGAGCCCTAATGTGTTAAGTTCTTGCTTTAAACTGTTATTGTCAGGCCTAGGCAGGCGGCCTTAAACTTGTGGCTCTAAATTCCATTTGCTACACTAAAGACCAAAGGAAGAACCTGAAGGTCCCAATTTCTTACAAATATGAGCTTGTCTGCTGGTTCCTGATAGTTACATACCACTGCATGGTGTCAAGTTGGCATAGAGTTTGTTCATTTTGAAGCATCTGACTATGACTTTAATTTCCCAAGATGAAATGATTTTGTCTACAGAATGGTGGTATATTTTTTCAGCAAACAAAATAAAGAGAGATCTTCACCGTAAAAAAGAATAAATTATTTTCTTAGAGATAATTATTGAAAATCCAGAGGTTAATCAGGTAACTCAAAAGGCTGCCTGTGCCTCGAATATTTACCACAAAGGGATTATGTAGAAAATCAAGGAAGAACTAGAATATATTGACTAGTATGCGTTAGTCTTATTGTCTGGACAATAGCAATAGAAAAATGGAAATTAACTATAGGAAGAGAGTGTTAAAGCAGAAACAAAAAACAGATTACCATAGAAGAAATGTTGACATCTTAGAAAAATAATAAGGCAGATATAAAAGGAAAAATTGATATTAAGGACTATGATAAGCAGATATAAAATTAAAAGTAATGCATCTTGGTATAATTGCCCTAAAAGAGGGCCTTAGAATATTTTGGTTGTTCTTAGATCAGAAAACATGACAGTTGTACAATGAAATATAATAAAGAGGAAAGATCTTGGAAATTAGACTGGAATTCACGTGCCAGGGTGCTGGCACTCACTAAGCGGTGACCATATAAAGAATCCCCTGAAGACTGGGAGAGACATGTGAGTGATCCAGAAAGTCTGGACAGACAAGAGAAATCATCAGAACATATGCAAAAGAACTTCTGGATCGACTTCACAGTGACATAGATGTTATAGGTGAACTAGCAGCTTTTACATGTAATCTAATTTTGGATTTATGATTCTAAGGCTACCATCCAGAGATAACTCTTCACAGTTAAATGATTAGATTAATTACATGATAGCACAATCTTCCTTTTGATTAACTCACTGTCAACCGATGAATAATTTTAATTAGATCTTCAGAATTCCTTTTGCCATATAATGTAGCATAATCCCCAGTGTGATAGCTTATCCTATTCACAGTCCCAGGGATTAGAGTAGGATATCTTAGGGACTATTTTAGGATTCTGTCTACCACAACACATAGGGAATCTAAGCAAAATAGTGATGATTAAGTCCAGCCTACATTAGATGTAGTCTGATGGAAAATTATCTCCTGGATGCATGCTTCAACTCAATAAATAATAATGGACAAGACTTATTGAAATGGGAGAGGCTTTTGGCACACCAAGAAATTATTTATTTTACATGTCGCATTGTGGGAAACAGCCTATAAGATAAAATTAAGAGTATAATACTGGACAAATAAATATCTTGACCAAAAAAGCAGGGAAGGAAAAGAAGAAAGGCATTTAATTACAGCGAATAGTAGAACTCTTATTTGTTAGAGAAGGAAAGATGCCAAAGAAGCAGATTGAATAGTTAGAAACTCAGTTAAGTGTTCCTGTGAGACTTAGCAGAACAGAGGAAAAAGAAACATTGAAGGCATAGTTAACTGCAGCAAAATAGCATGTAGCAGAAAGAACTTCTATTCAAGACCAGGATCATTTAAAAGGAATAAAGACAATGTCTTGAGGAGCTCATGGAAGAAGAAGTGATCCTCACCAGGACCCTGGAACAAACATTTCCAAAGCATCAATAGCAGCCTTACTTCCAGAATATACTGAGTGACTTTAACAGAAACAAATGTTTGGATAAGGAGAAGTCTAGAAGGCAGATTTTTTTTTTATGACCCGAGGAATTTCATTGCAAGAAGGAACAGCACCATCTCAGAAATGAACATGCTTGCTCACAAAGATAATGTGAAGGCTGAGGTACTGACATTGTCCTGGGTGCCAGGAATGTTGAGCTCAACATGATCAAGAGTGTTAAGAGGTTTTGAATTAACAGGGGCTTCCACATATGGGTATGTCCTTGCTTTTGTGAAAGGCAGGAGTTTCATAAATGCAGCCCTTTAAGAAAGTAGATTAGGCCAAAGTGGGCAGATCATGAGGTCAGGAGATCGAGATCATCCTGGCTAACACAGTGAAACCCCATCTCCACTAAAAATACAAAAAAATTAGCTGGGCGTGGTGGCATGTGCCTGTAGTCCCAGCTACTCGGGAGGGAGGCTGAGGCGGGAGAATTGCTTGAACCCAAGATGCGGAGCTTGCAGTGAGCCGACATAAAGCCACTGCACTCCAGCCTGGGTGACAGAGTGAGACTCCGCCTCAAAAAAAAAAAAAAAAAGGAAAGTAGATTAGTGAGACATTTTCCCCCATCAGGTATGGCAAATACACCATTAATACTTGATGGTAGATTTCTCCTAAATAAGTTTCAGCTCAAGTCTATAGACTCTTCATAGCTTAAATAGACTGACCAGCATTCTAGTCATGAGTATCCGCAATGCTCTCAGATACTTCTGAGTTTCTGCTATTCCCTGGGGCAATTAAGTACCAGAATAACATTTTACTTGGGTTAAGTGATTTGGAGACTGAGACTTTATGCTTTCTAATTTTCTGGTCATGAAGTAAGTGCCAAAATAATATTTTTAGCCCTATTAATTCTTTGGATTCTTTAAAAAAGGGAGCTCATGAGAGATTTGGAATTGGACTTATACAAATCTGAGACCCTATCAGAAAGATATTTATTATAGTATGACAGCCCAGGTTATAGAAGTGAAGGGATCAAGAATCCTTCTAGGCTGGACATGTTGGCTTACATCTGCAACATCTCTACATTTCCAATATTTGAGAGCTGGAGCACCATTTAGGTTGTCATTTGATCTCATTACAGAACCTCTGATGAGCTTTTTTGGACAAAGTGGCAGGGCATAATTTGGTAGAATAAAATATAAATTTCTAGTATTAGGTACAGCATGGCCTTGGAGTTAATTTAACTTATATCTATCTGGCATACTGTAGGGCTGTCTGACCCATTCTGGGGGAAAAATATTCAGTTTACCAGAAGGATACCACGAGGTATAATGGTTAATACTGAAGGAGTGACTTCATGAAAAGGGAGAAAGGAATAATTTGGTAGATTGCTGATCTTCTGTTATAAGGGGTTGGCTTATAACCCCTTATGATATAACCCCTTGGAAGATCCTGGGTTGATGACTGAGCTCTATAATTAAAAAATGTTAATTTTCTATAAATTATGAAAATGTTAGGGAATTGAAATGTTAGGGAGAGTTCTTTCTCCTGGTCTCATGTTTTCTATGAAAGGATCTTCTTTAGAATGATGTCCCTGGCCTCTTGCCCCAACTTTTTTATACCTCTGCATCTCCACTTCAACCAGAAGAGGACTGACCATATTTTATTGGTGGGTTTGGAAGAAGGAACCCAGCAGGAATGGCTTACCTTACTCCGGGTTTCCTTTGGGATCTGTCTATCTGCAAAAGGAAGCTTTCTGACCTGCTCTCTCTACTTCAGTGGAGCATCTTTCACCCACTACAAGGAAAGTCTGCAGTTTTAGGGGCTAAGTTCATTTCAAAGAAGTGTTACTAAGCCAGTTTGAGTGCTCATCACACAAAGTTTTAGTCCATGATACAGCTAACATAATTGTCTTCATGTCTCACCTCCTGACCCTTCTCAGTTTGTTTCAATGCATTAACTGAAACCTAATGAGTATAAAAGAAGTGGGGGTCTGGGTTCTAAATCTACCCCCGCCACTGGTATGCTGCTGCCTGCTGGGAAGATTACATCTATTCCCCGCATCTGAGACATCTCAGATATATAATGAAAGGATTGGACAAGGTAATCTTTAAACTTTCTTTTAGCTTTGCCGTACTGTGGCATGAATGGGAGACCTTCAGAAGGGAGTTCATGTTTGTAGTCTGTATTGCATATTGATTAACTGCCTTTTAACATCATAATTGTTAATTGTTTATTATGGCCAGATTTGGGGAAATGGGTTCCCAGACAGTGGTGTCATATATGGGGTCAACAATTCATTGCTATTAGGGTCCGCCCAGCTGTCATTGGTGACATTAAAAATCAAACAGAGCCTTTTGTGGTCTCCCTGCCTTCTTATGTTTAGATAGTTCTGATAATTAAGATTCTGATAATCTAGACATTTTTCTCAGAGAAAGAAAAAACACTGCCAAAACCTCCAAGTGGGTCGTGTTTGAATTTGGCTGTATTTAAGAAGTATGTCTACAAGTTTGAATTATCTCTTTTCCTGAAGAATTTTTTTAGGGCTGATATTCCTGCCTCCCACCCTCATGATTTTGTGTTTTTCTCTCTGGCCTTCTCTTTCAGCCATGCTGTCTTTCTTAGGCTTTAACCTTATTTATGTTTCCAATCTCCATAATACCTGGACACCTTGGCAATCAGCTTTTAATTTTAGTATGAAGCAGAGTGAGAGAAGCAGATGAAATATCATTGCTAAATAAATATTGGGCTTCTGTTTGTAATTTTGAAATGTTTTGAAACATTAGAAGTTGAAAAAAGAGCCAGGATTTTGAAGATTTGTTTTGTGTGTGTAGTTTTTCTATGGGATGCAGTCTGTCATATCCACACAGACATGGTGATGTGAAAAGAGAAAAATGGATCACCTTGAGATGGCACAGTGGAAGGAAAATCTGTGTTTTGAGATCCACTTCTGTAGTTCTTTTGTATGACTACCTCTGGTAATAGTATTTCTGATAGTTGACTGAATACCTAGCAATGATGATATTTTAAAAATGTTAATATTGAGGTTTCATTGTGTGCAAAGGACGTTCACATAAGGCAACATGTAGTAGCTCTTCCCTGAGACCAGCGACGTCCCAGAGAGGGACGTTCTGTCGGTCTGAGTCTGAGTCCTGCAGTGAAGAGAATGTGAAAGGAGCCACATATGACCCATGTGGACAGATACTATGGGAGAGAAATAAACCTCTATTGTTGCAAGCCTGAGAGTTTTGGAGGTTGTTTGTTACCATGGAATAATTTAGCAAAGCTGAGAGATAGTGGTGGCAGCACCACAGAACCATTCTAAAAGACGAACTGATAATACGAAACAAAGCACAATGCAATGACAACAGAAAAAAGGATGATATAGACTCCGCAACAAGACAATTCAATTAGAAACTCTAGAATCTCTGGTGACAGGGTTCAGATATCAGGTATCTGTGTTTTAAAAAGCATCCCAGGAAATTCTGATGTACCGTGATAGTGGTGAACTACTTATCTAGAGGAAAAGTAGAAATAAGTTTGCTTCTTTGTCTATTTTCACTCAAAGACTTTGGAGGATTTATTTTAGTCGGAAAAGCCCCATGTTGTGACTAAGTCATTTTGCTAAAGGGAGAATGCTGGGTTAGGATTTATGGTTCAAGCTTTAGCTAGTATTATCTGGTCTTAAGCAATCATGTAGTTCCCTTAGTGTCTCAAAGGTTAAGAGCAGAGTAGGACTTGGCTTCATTCTTTCAATAGGTGTGTATTGTTGGTTGATTGCAAACTGTGTGTCAGGCTCTGTGGTAAATGCAGAATTATTCCATTAACAAAAGTTGCTAATGTTATAAGGGCTACCAAAGAGTATTCAACCAAGCTGTGCAGAGATGCCGAATGGGACATCTAACCCAAAAGGTGGAAAGAAAGGCTTTCCTGTCTATTTATAATCCTTACTTCTAGTATTGTCTTAGCATAGTCTTCTTGTGTCTTTGTTCCAAAGACACAATTGTCTGGGAGAGTAAGGAAAACAAAGACACTAGCTTAGGAAAGGCCATATAATTATATTAGTAAGTACCATTTATCATTGTCTTTAACTACTACAAGCTGAATTCCTTCAGGGTAAGGGAGCACCATGTCTGTGAGTTATTCTCAAACATTTCAGAAAAAAATAGATTTAATTATGTGGGAGGAGGGAAGAGAAGGAGAAGAGACAAGGAGAAAGCAAATATTAACATTGGGAGAATCTAGGTGAATGGTATATGAGACTTTTTTTATTCTTGACACTCATGTACATTTGAAAGTATGTCAAAATAAGAAAAAAGCCAAGAGGAAAAATTATGCTTTTCCTATACACAAAGATACTTTCTATTACTTTAGGAAAAGTCATACTTGGAATGGTAAGGCTTAAGATGGATGGAAGTGCAGTAGTAAAGAGTCTTATCCCTGGGTTGGGATCAGGATACATAGATCTGGTTTAAGGTATCCTGAGTTTCTATGCAAGATGATACTTGTCTGGATTTTATTCAACAGACCAAGGGCATTGGGCTTGTTGGGAAAGGAGGATGATAGGGATGATTTTCTGATTCTGTGTTTCCTATTTATTTGCATGGTCCTACCACCATCTCGTTAGCCAAACTAAACCCTTGGAATAATCTCTAACTCTTCCTCCATTCTATAAGTTACTAGTTCCTGTAATTTCTATAAGTTACTAGTTCCTGTAATTTCTCCCTCTGAAGTCTTTTGGGTCCTCCTCCCACCTGCCTCACCACTCCACTCCCCAAGCCTGGAAATATAACGCTCTCCTACATCCACCATTCAGCTTGCCCTCATTCCATTAAGGTCTTATGTGCAGCCAAGGTGATCTTTCTAACCAAGGTGATCTTTCTAACATACACAGCTCTCAAACACCTCTACTCATGCCATTTCTCAAAGCATCAGTGGCTTCTTAAGGCCTATGGAATAAAATACAGAGGCTGCAACTTTTCATTGTATGCCATGATGTGGCTCCAAAATTCTTTATTCTTCCTACTACTAACACCTTTATGCACATAGCTTCAGCATCACTACTTTCTCTCTATCATTTATGTTTGTTTGATCTGAAATTTTGTCTGTTTGGCATTCATGCATGCCCTCACTCTTTTGTTCACACATATTTACTGAGCGCCTACTATGCACTGTCTGTTGGGGATGCAGTGGTAAATGAAGTTGATCCAATCCTTCCCTTCTCTGCATCTACAAGCTAATGAGAAAGAGGCATACTTTAAGTTAAAAGAAAAATATATGTATTTGTGCATGTTATGACTATAAAAAGAGTTACAAAATAGAAATATACATGAGGACTGTACTATGTATATAGTTTAGGAATATCTACTATATCTACTATATTAAGGGACTATCATGAGGATATTCCCCTAAAATTCTCCTACCCTCTAATATATCCATATTTTTTCCATTGTTTTTCAGGATCCAAAGTTTACCTCTTTAAATAGATCTTGCCTTAAGACTGATGTAATATCTTCCTCCTCTGAATGACAATAGTGCTCCAACTGAACATTCCCTATACACTAGATCAATAGTTACATATTATTATTCTGGAGCCTGAATGACTGTAGGTCAACAGTTACATATTATTATTACTAAACCCCAAGGAGGCTAGGTCAACAGTTACATATTATTTGTTGTTTTAATCCTTGTTTTACCTCCATTTCTAATCTCTGATGTCTATGACTTTGCATTTCCTGTTTTTTGTTCTCTTTATTGCCTCAGGGCCAGTCATAGAACTTTCCTTGTAATAAAGAATTCTGTGTACAAAATATTTATCAAATGAATAAATAAATGAACTCATGTATAACACATAGAAATATATTGTACAGTATGCCTTCTGTAATAACATATGAGCTGATTTTATTAATACAATCTTTATTAGATCAAGAAAAATAATTGCTGATTTTTAATATAATCACTACAAATTCTGGCCTTGACTGCCAAAATCAAGATCTGTTTTAAGGGCCTTGGACAGAAAATGTTGAAAACTACTTTAGTATAAAAGTAAATAATATACATAGAATAGTGAACAATAAATAATATAACTGAATAAATTTGGCAGAATAAAAATTTTGAAATACTAAGTGATCTTAGTATTTGATAGCAAAACAGGGTGATTATAGTCACTATAGACTATAGTACATTTAAAAACAACCAAAGAGTATAAATGTATTGTTTGTTACACAAAGGATAAATGCTTGAGGGGATGGATACCCCACTTTACATGCTGTGATTATCACGCATCACATGTCTGTATCAAAACATCTCATGAACCCCATAAATATACACATCTTCTGTGTACACATATAAATTATAATAAAAAAATTAAAAATGAATTATTAAGCGATCTTTGTCTATTTTACCATTTCTCCTTATGTCCTTTCTCCTCTCCCTATTGGAGTAGAGCTGTATCTAGATATCCTTACCTTTCTCTGTTCATTGCCTCAGAGAAGGAACATGACAGGGAGAATGTAGATAACAAAAATAAGATGGGCTTTTCTTGGCTTTGGAGTCATAAACATTAGGATCTTTGGGAAGCAGAAAGTACTGTAGACATATACTAAATTTGAGAGAAAACTGAATGATTAGGTAAGGATACTCTGTCTTTTCTGCTCCCACTCTTACTCTAAGAATGATTTCTCTGATGAGGGGAATAAATTTTAAGAGGAAGCAATAGAGTTTAGTTAGACCTTGATGAGTTCCTGTAAAAGGAAACTTTATCTTACGCTTCCTGGACTAAGCCAGGTGAGGCACACAAGCCCCAGATGGATTCCCGGGTAGAGGCTGAAGGAGGTTGCAGGTCTCCACCAGGATGGTAGGATGACAAGTTTTAGCCGATACAGTGTCAGTCAGTTTTGCAGATTCTCATGTCCCGGACTGGCAGGGGGTTAACAGAATTCTTGGGTGTTCAAGATTGACCCAGGAGTATATAGAAGAGGCTTATGGTCAGTGATGCTGACCTGTCTGAACCAATGACCAAAGGCCATGTGAGAGAACGACAGCACAGTAGATGATACTGGAGAGTTAATGGCGAGGACAAGGTGATCTTCAACACACATTATGTCACAATGCACACTCTTCAGAACTTTGATGATGGAACTGCACACTTCCCAAATGCTTACATAATTTCCTTTCCTGTGTTGTTTGGGGTGACTGTCTTGCAAGTACAATTTTTTCTTGTTTAGCAAGCAATAAATGCAGCTTTTTTGTTTCAGATCTTGTTGGCCTCTCTCTTCCTTTGACTAAATTGAATCATATAAAATTTTAAAGAAATATTGTATACATGAGTTTGTAGATTTAGTATTGTACCTCCTAGGTGTGTATAATACCAGCTTTCAAAAGCTCACAATCTGTTTTCAGATGTTGGCTGCTGGACTAAACAATTTTTGTAACACTGGCATATAATGTGAGAAACGCAAAGATAAGCTGAGAAGCTCTTTTGAAAGAGCTCAATAAATGTCATTCCTTTTATTTCACGGATGCATAAATGAAGTTTGACAGAAGTTATGGAAAAGCTCACATAGTTGTAGTGAGAAGTGAGAGGAATACCCTGATCTCATGTCTCCCCTATTGGGACTGTGTGCTGCATGCCTTGATTCTGATTCTGAATGAGCTGCAGAGGTGTGTGCGGGGGGTACTCCTCTTTCTTCTACAGTAGACCAGCGATTGTCAAACTTTAGGGTAAATCACAATCATCCCCTGAAGGGCTTGATACAACACTCTTGCTGGCCCAAACTACACAATTTATGATCTAGGTTTGGGGTAAAATCTAAGAATATGCATTTCTAGCAAGCTTTGAGGTTGACTCTGCTGGCCCAGGGACCACTTTAAGACACTTTAAGAACCACTTTTCTGGTTGTTCTCCTGATGAACAGGATTGAGTTAGAATTGAGTGTGAGACAGAGGAAGAGAAAGTAAACTGATAGACAGAGGGTTGGAAATGACATTTCCAGAGTTTCCGGACCCTTCCTTGTGGATTTGGGCACAGAGGAAGAGGCGGCAAGGTACATATTTCTCTCTTCCACATCAGTAGGGTAAACCATATTATTAAATCTCAAATTAGGCTACATTTTGAGACAAGTAAAATCATACTGGAGGGGAAAGCACATTTTACTATCCTGGATAATCTGTTGCTGTGATTAGCACAGAACATGGCTCATGGGCCCAAAGACCTGGGTTTGAATTTTCATATCAATAGCTGTATGATCTCGTTTATGTTTCCTGACTTCTATGGGCTTTATTGCTATACATAACAGATGAGGGGTGGGGAGAGGATGGCATGATAGCCCTCTTAACAGTTCTGTGAAGCTGTTATAGGGTTTCCTTTTGAGGTGATAAAAATATTCTGGAACTAGTTAGAGATGATGACTGCATAACATTGTGAATGCGTAAAATATCATGAAATTGAACATTTTATTTTATTTTTTATTTTATTTTATTATACTTTCAGTTTTAGGGTACATGTGCACAATGTGCAGGTTAGTTACATATGTATACATGTGCCATGTTTGTGTACTGCACCCATCAACTCGTCATTTAACATTAGGTGTATCTCCTAATGCTATCCCTCCCACCACCACAACCCCACAACAGGCCCCGGTGTGTGATGTTCCCCTTCCTGTGTCCATGTGTTCTCATTGTTCAATTCCCACCTATGAGTGAGAACATGCGGTGTTTCGTTTTTTGTCCTTGCGATAGTTTGCTGAGAATGGTGGTTTCCAGCTTCATCCATGTCCCTACAAAGGACGTGAACTCATCATTTTTTATGGCTGCATAGTATTCCATGGTGTATATGTGCCACATTTTCTTAATCCAGTCTATCATTGTTGGACATTTGGGTTGGTTCCAAGTCTTTGCTATTGTGAATAGTGCCGCAATTGAAATTGAACATTTTAAAATCGTTAATTTTACGTTACATAAATTTTACCTCAATTTTATAAATGTATCTATTGCTGTGAGTGTCCACTCCACAGAAAATAATCTGATGACTGTTAGTTTATTTCCCAGTTTTGCCCCCATCAATCTTGATTGGCTTCATCCTGAGTGGTCATTTGGTGCTTCTAGATTCTAAGCATAAATATTCTTCCACTACTATCAATAACAGCTTTTTATCCATTCTTATTTCTGGTTGCTTACACTAGTGGCTGTGATAGGGCCACTTGAAAATTTAAATAATAATAAAAAATATACTTTAAAGCAGCACATAATTTTCCACTCTGTGTTATACAGGATTTAGCTCAGAGGAAGAGAGAGATAAGAACCTGGTGATTATTGAGCACCTCGTATGTACTGGGTGCTTTTACAAATGTCATTTCATTTAATCCTCCTAATGACCTTGAGTGGCAGATCATCTTATCCCACTTTTGGACTGATGTCAACTGGGACTCAGAGAGATTAAGAAATCCATTGAGAGTCAATAGACACTGAACTGGAATTAAAGAGTTTGAAGCCCACGTTCTTTGCATCATATGCTACTCTCTTGAGCTGATAAGATTTCAGGTGAGAGGTTGGATACTGATGGACTTAGCAGAGGAGCAGATTTTGAAGAGGTGGACATGGGGGCAGAGGGCATTCCAAGCAACAGATGGAAAGCATAGAGGTAGAGGGAGAGAGTTTGGTGATGTATGTACAGCAGTCTCTGTAAAGTGGAGATCTCTTTCCAGGGACATGAAGAAGACAATAGCTTAAAACAAAATTATGGACTAACTTGAATGGCAAACTGAACTGGCTCCTTTGGACCAGCATGGCAACATCTGACTGGCAGTCTTTCCTGGGCTCCAAACAGTGCTCTTAGTAAAGAATATAAGTCCATTAACCTGGTTCACCAGGACAGCCAGAATTGGGCTCCCGCTCCCCGTTGTGGTCTCCTTTCCCATCGTTCTCCTCCTCACTCCCTGCTCCCTAGAGTGGGTTCACTTCTTTTCAGTTTCAGGAACCCTCCAGGTCATTTCTCACCACAGGGTCTTTGCATATTCTATTCCCTCTGCTTGGAGCTTCCTTCTCTAATTCTCTCTTTCCTCCTTCACATCTCTCCACTAAACACATTTCCTATCTTTTTTTTTTAATCCAATACCTATTATCATTCAAGTCACAGACAAAAATCTTACTTCTTTGTAAGGCGTTTCTGGATCTTTTGGTTGGATCTCTGCCACAGCTCCCTAGGGATACTCCTCATGCTTGCGAGAACGTTTTGTTTCCGCTCACCACTCTGGATTTTAAGGCCCCAGGAAGCTGCAATTGGGCCTACGCTGTTCACCACTACATCTGAAGTTCTATCACTGTGCCCCAGAATGAAGTAGATGACGATAAGCTATTTACTGAATAATTTCTAATGAACGTAGGTGTTTGTTAAAAACATAAACCTAGGTAAAGGGACATTTCATTCTAGCCGCACTCAGGCATCTCTTTACCCTCTTCTTAGTCTTCCCCATGGAAGAAAGAGTAACTTGAATGTGCGGTAAGAAAGGGCACATATGCATAGCTCAGCCTTCTTCTTAAGAGCTGTCCTGCTCACAAAGCACACAAATTATTGCTCTGTTTTTCCTCTGCTCTGCATTTTAAATGAGTGTGCCCACTATGGGAGACCTTGGGTTGGTGTTCAGAATTAGGAAACCTTGTCTTGCTGAAATGGGAAAAGTTCCTTATCCCCCTCACAGGGCATGTGATGGGGGTATGGCTCGCTTCTTTGGTGTCCTGCTGCTCAAACCTCTGCAGGGAGCATACAGATGGGCAGGCTGTGGGACTCCGACCCCATGGCAGTGTCTAGGGGTGAATGTTTACAGCTCCTGAAGCCCTGTGGGTGTGTGTTACAGGGTGCTCTTTTAGTTAAGCCATCTGTAGGTGGCTTGTGTTAGCTCAATTATACCCCTGCCTTATCTCCAGGACAGGGGGCTTTCGGTATCCCAGGGTTTCTCGCCTTGGTGTACTGGAAGAATCAGATCACATGCAGGCTTAGAGAAGGAGTGCAAGGTTTTACTGAGTGGAAGTAGCTCTTAGCAGATGGGGGAGCCAGAAGGGAGATGTCTTTCCCCTGGAGTTGGGCCACTCAGTGGCCCAGGCTCTCCTCTGGCCACCCTGGTCAAACTCCACCTCATTCCACAGGTGGATGGCCTGCCAACCTGCCAGTGTCTATTGGTGTGCTCTTATGCCTTGGCATTCCTCTCCACATCCAGCTGCTTTTGTCTTCTTCTGCAGATGTGTTCCTCTTGATGTCCAGCCACTCGTGTCTCTGGGGTTTTTATAGGCACAGGATCGGGGCTTGGCAGTCCAGGGCGGTCTTGGGAAATGCAAGATTTGGGCAGGAAAATAGAAATGCCTATCCTCACCTAGGTCTGTGGGCACAGGTCTGGGGGTGCAGCCCTAGCCGGGGACCACATTCTCCTCTACCCAGCACTTCCCTGCCCCTCCTCCATATCATTGCCATCTACCTTAGCCACTTTCTCAATTCAAATTTTATCAGTAATAAAGCTGCCTTCAATCTCTGTCTTACTCTTTTTTTAATGCTTTAACTGGTTAAAAACACAAGTAGAGAGGAGTAGAGATGATTTGTTAGACCCCGTCCAATCTCAACAGAAGGTATGAGCTTCTTATTTATTAAAGATAGTGTGTATATTTTAAAATGTTAGAAGCAGTGCTATAGTTAACATGGGACTTTTGAAAACTATTGTGCAAGGAACTAACATGATTGGATTCAGCAATCTAGCAAACATTTGTTGATTATCTGCTCAGTACAAAGGGCTGCACTTGACACTAGTAGGGAGAGGAATACAAAGATGAATAGGAGCTATTTCAGGCCTGCTGAGAGCTCACAGTCTATCAGCAAAGACAGACACATACATAAATAACTCTAACTCAAAGGCAGACTGTGATAAATGCTATTGTGGGAGAGTAAACAACATCCTATGGAGTTTAGGGGAGGGAGAAACTAACTGAAATTGAGGATCTTAAGAGAGCTTATAGGAGAGGAGAAATTTGACCTGGGCTTTGAAGAATCTGTTTCCGCTAGGGCCTAGATGAAGGAAGCAGTGGTGGCAGGGGGTTCAGAGGGACCCTTGGACTCTAATCTCAGGTACAGAACAAGAAAAGGCTTTGGAATGTGGTCAGTAAAGGATCATTTACAGGTTAAGGGTGCTAGAGTAAGGAACTATTCCCTAAAGAGACTCTATCTTTTAAAAGATAAGCAGTTTATAATGAGGTAAATTCATGGGCAAGTTGAAATAACCTGGGTTGAAGAGTTTCCTGCCTTTGAAAATTATTTGAAGTTGTTTCTTACATAACCACAACACATTCCTTTCCTTCCCACTTCACCTATTTTTTTTGGCTCACCATCACCCATGACTCCTCTCACATGTACCAGGGTATAAAAGACAGGCCAAGCATGGGACCTATAAGTGATAACAAGATTCAGGGCTCTAGCACACATTTTGTCCTGAATCACCTGGCTTAACTTATCCATCAGAGTGGACATTGGTTGTTTTTCACCCAACCAACAGCTTGTCTTTTTTCCTTTTAGCAGTGCCCAATTTTTATGATGGTGTATTTCTTCTTCCTGTTCACAGTGATTAACTCAGGGATGGGGATAAGGTGTAAGTCATTCCATTGAGAAACCATCCAGCATCTTGGTGCAATCATTGTAAAACAGGCACTATCTTCTCTGGGGTTGCTAAGCTGGTAGGATAGAAGCTTTGAGTTTGCTTGCACAAGCAGAAGACCAACTTAAGGAAACACAGCAGAAAGCAGAATCAACCTATGGAGAGAGAAAGATGTCCAAGGACGTCATCAGTACATTTGTATGCAACCAAACATGAAGCCAATATACCCATGGACTTTTTAAGTTACATGAGCTAATGCCTTCCTTTTATGGCTCAAGCTGGTTTAAGTTAGGTCTCTACCAATGGTAGTAACTAAAACAGTCCTGATTAATTCACCCAGATGGTGCACCACATCTGAAAGACATCTTTCATGCCTTTTCATCTCATAATTTTCTACTCTTTCTTCATTTAATGATCCCACTTTTTTCTTTAGATATGACTCTAGGTTGCTTTTGCTTGACTACTTTCTCAACTTCCTTTTAAAACAAACCCTGACCCTGGGTCCTGGGAACCAGGGAGAGGGCTGCCTGTGGGGTTGAGTTACCCTGTGAGCTACCAGATATAGATCCAAGGTACTGCTGACAGTCAGCATCTGGGCTTTGGGGGATCATACTGAACTGGCAAGCCTGCAGAAGCATCAGACCCAAAGCCTTTGTATAGCACAGGCGCAGGGAAAACAAAACAAAAAAAACAAAGCAATAAGCTCCATTAATCCAGGGTAGTGAGTCTGAGGATGGAGCCTGAGGGTTGAGGTCTGTTTAGTGAACAGAAAATAGAATGACTCAATAGAGTATTCCTGGAGGATATTTCAAGAGAGCTCCTGGAGTGGTAACGAACAGCCAATTTGTAGAGGGTTTTGAGAGCCAGGCTGAAGAGTTTAGAGTTTATAAAAGAAATGAAACTTTATGACTATAATCCTAGAGGCAATGTGCAGGGGGCTGGTGACAAGAAAATCCACTAAAAAGCTCCTGTTCTGATGTGTCTGGCTTGAGTCTGGGTGCCTGGGAGAGAGCTAGCATCACCCCTGAGGGCAAGGTGGTCCATGAGGGAAGCTGGTTTTGCAGGGCAAAGGGAGGAGGTGTTAAGTTAGATTTCAGACACGTGGGATTTCACATGCCAGAGGGTGAAGATAGTGTGGAACACACTGACTCGAAGATCCAAAGACAGAGTGGAGCTGATGATTAGAGTTAGGGGTCATTCCCATGGAAAGACAAGGCGAAGTTATATGTGTCACTAAGTTTCCTGAGGGAAAATGATGTCGATAAAATTTTCCACTTGATCCGTTCTCCTGCATTGTGGAAGGAGACTGGTAATTCATCTAACAGATAACACATAAACTTCAAAAAAATATACAGTGATTTAGGGGGAAACAGAGGTGCATAGAATAGGATCTAATTGTCTGCATGGGAAATTCCCTTTTGGGAAGATATTCAGAGCTCTGCTCCAGCCCATTTTCACAGGAAAGCTGCTCTCTCCTCCGAAAGACCACATGCAAACTTAAACCTTGGAAATAATTGGAAAAAATAATTTTAAAAGGCAACTACCATACAGAAAACATCATTCACATTTTTGTCTTTTATTTGCAACTTTGTGGCACAAAGCCTTACTGCAAGAAATCAGGGCCGACAGATTATATCGGTTTGTAAAGAATGTGTGGATCATTTACTGTTGGCAAATAAAGAAACATTATTGTAAAGAGACAGAAGAGACAGCAGATTTCAGTGATTATTCATCATTAACTTTTCCCTCTCTTTTATACTGTATTCCATTGGTAATTAATGCCCATCAATACTTTCCAATGTCTGTTGAAGCAGTTTGCTAAGTCCTATTTGTGGTGAACTTACTAGGTACCAAACTACACCAGGAATTTAGGAGAGAGAGAATAAGAAATGCTTTCTATCTCCAGGTTCCTCAGAGATAAACAAGACAACAGTAAACAGGACTTGTTTGGTGGTCGTATGGTAAATCTGATGCTGTGCTAAAGGTAATAATGGAGTGATACTTTCAGTCTTGGTTGATGGAAAAGATTTATCCCAGGAAGTGATATTTCATATGTTATTTCTGATATGACATAAAATATGCATAGGAATTTTCCAGTCAAAGAAACATACAGGAAGGACATCTCAAGTAGGGCATATTTGGAAAGTATTACTTTATTAATTAATTCATTCTACCAACACATTAAATACCTAGACATAGTGCTAGGCACTGGGGATACAGAAATAAATGAAATGTACACAAAGCAATGAATATTATTTTTAGAATCCATTTTCTACACCCCCAAGATATTGGTCTTAGATATTTCTTTTTGTCTTTCTTGCCCTGTTTCTATTGATATTTCTTTAAAATAAATATAGATTATTCAAGAGTCTGTGATGGGGAAATTGAGCCCTTTTATATCAGGGGCAGACCATATCACAATGAGGTCATTGTTTTGTATGGCATTGTATTCATATTTTTGAAATCTCCTTTTTTTTTTCTGTTCGGGGAATTAATGATCTCCCTTTCCCAGACAGCAGAACAAGCTGGGATAGTTGTTGTAACTTTGGATACCCAGAGCAATTAGAAGTCCTCCTCCTCAGCTGCCTGGAGACATGTTCTGATTTCAGTGCTGTCATGTATAATCCTGACTTGGTCAAGATGAAGCCGTTTGAGTTGACAACTTACACCCTCTGCCCCATGTGGCAGTTGTAAAAATAGACCCATTGCTGCAGGGACTGCAATGCAAGTCACCTTCTTGTTTCTCAGATTTTGCTTTTCTTTTTCCAATTCCCTTTCTGCCCCACACTGTGAGCCTTCAACATAGACAAATACAGTCAAGATTCTGGGAAACAGACATGCTCTGTACCATCTGCTGTCATGGACTAGCATCTTCCTGGTCCAGTTCCTTGTCTTCAGATAGCCAGAGCGAGTGAGCCTGGGCAAGGACACAGCGTGAGAAAATGCAGAACTCATCAGTTGCCTGCTTCTACAAGGGCAGAAACCAGGAGTTGGGCCAGATTTCAGAGAACTGACGAGATACTGTGGTGTTGTGTGGGCACAAGTCCCATGTGACTCTGTGGTAACCCAGAGGGGATATAAGTACCTCCTGTCCTTCTGTTGTCAACCTCACAGTATCTTCCTAGCACAGTGCCAGGTACAGATGTGTCTTCTGACTTTGACCTTCCTCTTACTGGTTCCATTATTCTGCCCATCCAGGAGGCTTCATAGCTCTAAACAAAACTCTAATCAATTTTCAGGCCATATTGCTTCATTCTTTGTCCTTCCTCTCCTGTCCAACCCTGTTTTCTCATCCCCACTCCCTCTACCAAACTCAGTCATGTGTCACCTCACACCAGGATTATGCTGTCTATCAGCCTCTATCAGGGGTGTCCAATCTTTTGACTTCCCTGAGCCACAATGGAAAAAGAAGAATTGTCTTGGGCCACACATAAAATACATTAACACTAACGATAGCTGATGAGCTAAAAAGAAAAATCACAAAAAACATCTCATCATGTTTTAAGGAAATTTATCTATTTGTTTTGGTCCACATTCAAAACCATCTTGGGCTACCTGCGGCCTGTGAGCTGTGGGTTGGACAAGCTTGCTCGATGCTATCACCCAATCCACACTTCCCATGCCTCCAAGGTTTTGGTTCAACAGGGGTTATATCCATCACTTTCCTATTAAAAATAGCCCATGGATCACCACAAATCCCTAATCTTCAGGAGGAGATGTAGAACTTTTTTCATTTCTTTCTTCTATCCACCCAGGGCTTCTGACTCTACATGCTGTGCTTTCTCCTGTGCCAGGGAAGGACTGCCTTCTCTGTCCAAAGCCATTTGTCTATTTGCCTCTGTCCTGTCTTCATGGTGCCCTTGAAACCAGCCCTGAGAGACTGCCCGACCAAGTGCCCTCAGTGCTAAGAAGCAGCTTCCCCCTCATCATTCTGGCAGAGCCTGATCGCCTTCATGTGTCACATATCATTGTTCTAAGCCTCCTAATGTGACATTGATGCTACTGCTATTTCCCTGGACTCAGATGCAGTTTTCTAATACATAGAGGAGCAAATCAGCTTGAAATTAGAAACTAAATGGCTACTTTTAGGGGAACAAGTATTTATTAAGCCCCTACTGTGTGCCAGGCTATTGTACTTCCTTATTTCATTTAGTCTCTGAAGATTCATGTTTTTCACATCTGCTAAATGACTGTGGAATGCCCTTCTAAAATTTTCTTAAGGTTTAAAGGCAACATAGGGCTAAGTAGATAACAGTCAATATGATCTTAAAAAAAACACTAGTTCACCACCTTCTACACTAACAGCTCTTTCAACAAGCAGGAGTTTTAATTTTAGAGTTACTCATAGGCCTTGTACTTCAACAGAGTTATCTTAGCAGATGAACTCAAGCCTCCTATGGAAAAGTGCAGGAGCAGTAGAAAGGTGGTAAATGTATGTATGTATTCTTATGACAGACAGGCATGTGGGCTGCACTTCACCTTTTCTGGTGAGATATGTAAGTCCAACTGTAAGAGATATGCATGCATGGATGGAATCTATTGAATGGTCAGATTCCATCCATGGAACAGATGGATAATGTCCATCCATTAGGCTATAGTATGTGTAATAATAGATGTGTCTTCAGGGATAATTAGTCTCCTTAACTGCTGAGTTGGATGCTAATTAAATAAGCACAAATATGAGAAAACTTGGGTTAGAGACAAGCAAAATTATAAATACACACACGCTCACACAGACATGCATACAGGCATGTACTGTATGTATAGACATGTACCCATCTGTCAATATACCTAACATCTACTTGTCTCACAACAGCCATTAGAGTATATCAAGATTTCTTCTTCTACTTCCTGCTGAGGGAGGGCCTTTGATTTACAGGTAATTGCTGCAGTTTTTAATTTTACCAGTATTTGCCTTAAGCCTGTCTCTTCAGATATTTGCATTTAATAATTAAAAAATATATCCAATAGGAACACACATCATTTTTAATTTTCTGAAGTCCCCAAGGCAGTAGTTGTAGCTGGGGAGAAACAGATTTTAAATTGTTTTTCAAAGCTTGAATTTCACTTATCTACTTCTGAGAACTACAAAACACTTAGGGTTGCTCCCCTTAACTTTTGGTCTCTCCCAGCTTTCTTCTTTCTCTGTTTCACCTGGATGACAAAGATATAGAATTCTAGAATTTAAGTGGAACTTGGAGATCTTTTTGTATAATTGCTTCTTTGAAAGAAGAAAAAGATGAAGTCCGGAGAGGGAAAATGATCTTCCCAAGACTCTGTAACTACAAAGTGGTAGAGCCTGAAATGATCCAGGTCTCTTAACTCCTGCTCAGGATTTTTTTTATGGAGTACAACTAATGTCTTTGCTTAGCCTGCTCGCTTGTCTGCTGTGAAACCCACCATCCTCATACCTAGACTCCTGTCCACCTCCTCTCAGGGATTATAGAAGTTCTTTAACCAGTTCCAGCCACGCAAGGACCCCTGAAATCCCAGACTTCACTGATCATACCCAACCAAATCAATGACCGTCTTTTGGCTTTAACTTCTTTTGACCAAAAAACAGTCGTGTTTTCTTCCCTTCTTTTCTTTTTTTTTTTTTTTTTTTGAGACGGAGTCTTGCTCTGTCGCCCAGGCTGGAGCGCAGTGGCATGATCTCGGCTCACTGCAAGCTCCGCCTCCCGGGTTCACGCCATTCTCCTGCCTCAGCCTCCCGAGTAGCTGGGACTACAGGCACCCGCCACGACGCCCGGCTAATTTTTTGTATTTTTAGTAGAGACGGGGTTTCACCGTTTTAGCCGGGATGGTCTCGATCTCCTGACCTCGTGATCCGCCCGCCTCGGCCTCCCAAAGTGCTGGGACTACAGGCGTGAGCCACCGCGCCCGGCCTTCCCTTCTTTTCTTTTAGAGACAAAATGTGGACAGAGCTTCATGGAAGGGAGCTTTCTGGAAGGAAGCCTTTTATTGTGTAAATGGTTCTAACCTGCTTGTTAATGAATATAAATACCTGACAACAAGGACATCCATAATTCAAAGTCATGCAGACCTAGTCTTTTACCACTTTTCCAAGACACACTAGCTAATATGTTTTGGCTGTGTCCCCACCCAATTTTCATCTTGGATTGTGACTCCCACAATTCCCATGTGTCATGGGAGGAACCTAGTGGGAGGTGATTGAGTCATGGGGGCAGGTCTTTCCTGTGCTGTCTTCATGATAGTGAATGAGTCTCATGAGATCTGGTGGTTTTAAAAACGGGAGTTTCCCTGCACAAGCTCTTTTCTTGCCTGCTGCCATCCATGCAAGACGTGACTTGCTTCTCCTTGCCTTCCTCCATGATTGTGAGGCTTCCCCAGCCACATGGAACTGTAAGTCCATTAAACCTTTTTCTTTTGTAAATTGCCCAGTCTTGGGCAAATTGTCTTTATCAGCAGTGTGAGAACAAACGAATACAGTAAATTTTGCTGTGATTCACCTATGGGGGCATGCCAGAGGCTCCAAACAGCATTCCTATCTGCCACTGATACCTCAAGCACCATTGGATATGCTAGGTCATATGGCCCAAGTGGCATAGCAGCTTGCACAGCAGCCTGGACCTGTTGCAGAGACTTATCCTGTTCTGGACCCCACTCAAAACTGTCAGCCTTTCGGGTCATGCGATAAATGGGCCATAGTAACACACTCAAATGAGGAATGTGTTGCTTCCAAAATCCAAATAGGCCCACTAGGCATTGTGCCTCTTTCTTGGGTGTAGGAGGGGCCAAATGCAGCAACTAATCCTTCACCTTAGAAAGAAGATCTCAACAGGCCCCACACCACTGGACCCCTAGGAATTTTACTGAGGTAGAAGGTCCCTGAATTTTAGTCAGATTCATTTCCCATCCTCTGGCACACAAATGTCTGACCAATAAGTCCAGTGTGTTTGCTACTTCTTGCTCACTGGATCCAGTCAGCATAATGTCATCAGTGTAATGGACCAGTGTGATATCTTGTGGATGGGAAAAGTGATCAAGGTCTCTTTGAAGAAGATAATGACGCAAAGCTGGAGAGCTGATATATCCCTAAGGTAGGACAGTAAAGGTATATTGCTGGCCTTGCCAGCTGAAGGCAGATTGCTTCTGGTGGGCTTTAGGGACAGGAATGGAGAAAAAGGCATTTGCCAAACATTGGCTGCATACCAGTTACCAGGAGATGTGTTAATTTGCTGAAGCAATGTAACCATATCTGGTACAGCAGCTGCAATTGGAGTCACCATTTGGTTAAGCTTACGATAATCCACTGTCATTCTCCTAGATCCGTCTGTCTTTTGCACAGGTCAAATAGGATAGTTGAATGGGGATGTGGTGGGAATCACTGCCCCTGCGTCTTTCAAGTCCTTGATGGTGGCATTAACCTCTGCAATCTCTCCAGGGATGCAATATTGTTTTGGATTTACTATTTTTCTAGGTAGAGGCAGCTCTAATGGTTTCCATTTGGCCTTTCCCACCATAATAGTCCTCACCCTACTAGTCAGGGAGCCAATGTAAGCGTTCTGCCGGCTGCTAAGTATGTCTATGCCAATTATGCATTCTGGCACATGGGAAACGACCACAGGATAAGTTGGGGGACCCATTGGACCCACTGTATGTTGGATCTGAGCTAAAATCCATTACTTACATTACCTTCATAAGGCCCTGCTTTAACTGGAGAACCACAATGACATTTTGGATCCCCTGGAATCAGCATTAGCTCAGAGTCAGTGTCCAGTAGTCCCTGAAATGTCTGATCATTTCCCTTCTCCTAATGCACAGTTGCCCTGGTAAAAGGCCAGAGGTCTCCTTAGGGAAGGTTGGGAGAAAGATTAACAGCATAATTTGTCGGTAGTGTAGTGAGCTTCTTCCTCAGGGTGACCCAGCCTCCCTTTCATTCAGGGGGTTCTGGGTATTTAAACTGGCTAAAGTCTGAAAGTTGATTGAGGGGCTGTGATTGTCTGTTTTTATAATTCAAATTAGTCTTTTGTCCACTTGACCTGAAGTTTTCTGCTTGTATAAATAAAATAGGAATGCTGTAGGCTTCCTATCAATTTCACTTCTAGGAACACTGTGATTAATCAGCCAATGCCAGAGCTCTACATGAGTCCAACTATTCTGATTGCTGCTTTGCCTCTGCTGTCCATTATGGTAGCTTTGCCCATCTTGCCTTTGATGGTTGAGTGCCACCACTTGGCCCCTGCTACCTCAGGATCCAATTATTCCCATTGCATTTATTTATTAATTTGTTGAGATGGAGTCTAACTCTATCATTTAGGCTGGAGTGCAATGGCATAATCTTGGCTCACTGCAGCCACTGCATCCCAGGTTTAAGTGATTCTCCTGCCTCAGCTGCCCCAGTAGCTGGGACTACAGGTGTACACCACCACGCCTGACTAATTTTTGTATTTTTAGTAGAGACAGGGTTTCACCATGTTGGGCAGGCTGCTCTTGAACTGCTGACCTCAGGTGATCTGCCTGCCTTGGCCTCCCAAAGTGCTGGATTACAGGTATGAGCCATGGCACCTTGCATTTAAATTTTGTGGTTGAGTGACTGTGGTTCCCACTGTTAGATCTGACATAAAGAGAAGAGCAATTACAAGACTCTTCAAAGATGCAAGTGCTGCCCTCAACAAATCTATTTCACAAAGCATTGGTCAAGGGTATATCTTCTGGACCCTCCCAGCTGGGATGGGTATGCCTAAAGTGACTAATCTACTCCACCATCCCAATCTCCCTAAGCCTTTGGATCCCTTTCTCTACACTAAACCAACAGAGATTAGGCATTTCTAGCTCACTCACAGTGGGCCATCTTTTAATCCATATTTCAGCTAACCAAGCAAATAAAGTACTAGAACCTTTTTTAATTCCTGAGCTACAACATTAAATATAGAATCCCTACTCAGTGGGTCCAAATCAATACCTCCAGCCTGATCCAACTCTATGTTCCTTCCACCGTCATACCACAACCTTAATATCCTTTCTCATGCCTGTTCTCCAGATTTCTGCTTATGTAAATTAGAAAACTCAAGCAGTTCTTTTTGAGTGTACTGCACCTCCTCATGGTTCCCACTCTGAACCTCACCTCTGGGGGCCTGCCAGGACTTTAGTCTAGTTAGAGGTCTAGAAGCAAACAGGGGTGTTGAGGGTGGCTCCTGAGGAGAATCAACATTATCTTGCCTGGCAACTGCCTCAGGGGAGGCCATCACTGTTGCCTCAGGCAGTGCAGGGTTTATCTCCTCAAACACAGGTGGAAAGGCTGATGGCAGTGTGGATCGGAAAGGGAATGTCGCCACTACTGGGGATGGGGAAGCTGTTTCTTCTGGAAAAAAAGGTTCTTCAGAGTTTACAAGCTCAATGTACCCAGCTTCATCAGGGTCCTCCCACACATCCCCATTTCAAGTTGCAGGGTCCCCTACTTTTCCAATCAATGCCCTCGCTTTAATGGTAGACACTTGGCAAGGCTCTGTGGCAACCTTTCATTGCAGGTCAGCCACTTTCATGATAAGAGTTTGTGTCTAATTTTCCACAATTTCAGCTCTTTCCTTACAGGAGATAAGACTCTCACTCAGGGCAATCTTAGCAAATTTGAGGCTCAGTACCTGCTTCTGAAGCTGGGAGTTAAAATCCCTGAGTTCATCATTTTCTTTAATCACTTTGTCCAGTGAACTTAGGAGCAACCAACGAATTTCATTATGTTCCTTGGTTCTCCACATATGGCCAAAGGTATTAGGTATAGTGTCAGTAAACTCCTTGCCTCTCGCTAGCAGTGAATCGGGAGTGTCAAATGCATTTATTTTGCATAACTCTCTGAACAGTTCACACCAAGGACTGTAAGTGTTCTCCATACTATTAGAAGTAGAATCCTTAGCACTTTGGGATCAAGTCATATTACGCAGCCAACTCTAGAAACCCCCAAACCAATAAAAGCACTCCATCCTTAATATTCTGTTCCCCTAGAACCACTCTTGGTACCAAAATCTGTATTAGGGTTCTCTAGAGGGACAGAATTAATACTCCTTAATTGGATATATATATCCTATTAATACTCCTTAATTGGATATATATATATATCCTATTATATTAATACTCCTTAATTGGATATATATATCCTATTAATACTCCTTAATTGGATATATATATATATCCTATTATGTTAATACTCCTTAATAAACTCCTCCATATATATATTTTTATTATAGTTTATTAAGGAGTATTATCTCACACAATGGTCCCACAATAGGCCATCTACAAACTGAGGAGCAAGGAAGCCAGTCTGACTCCCAAAGCTGAAGAACTTGAAGTCTGATGTTCAAGGGCAGGAAACATACAGCATGGAAGAAAGATGTAGGCTGGGAGGCTATGCGAGTCTAGCCTTTTCATGTTTTTCTGCCTGCTTTTTATTCTGGCCATGCTGGCAGCTGATTAGATTGTGCCCACCCAGGTTAAGGATGGGTCTGCCTTTCCCATCCCACTGACTCAAATGTAATCTCCTTTGGCAACACCCTCACAGACACACCCAGGAGCAATACTTTGCATCCTTCAATCCAATCAAGTTGACACTCAGTATTAACCATAACACAAGCTTTCTTTTTAAAAAAAATTATTCTAAGTTCAGTGGTATATGTGCAGGTTCATTATATAGGTAATCTTGTGTCATAGAGGTTTGTTGTACAGATTATTTTGTCACCAAGCTATGAAGCCTAGTACCCCTTAGCTATTTTTCCTGATTCTTCCCCTCCTCCCACCAACTCTCCACACTCTGACAAGCCTCTCTGTTCCCCTCCATGTGTCCATGTGTTCTCATCATTTAGCTCCCACATACAAGAGAGAGTGTACAGTATTTGGTTTTCTGTTCCTTTGTAAGTTTGCTAAGGATAATGGTCTTTAGCTCTATCCCTGTTCTTGCAAAGGACATAATATCATTCTTCTTTTATGCCTGCATAGTATTCCATGGTATAGGTACCACATTTTCTTTATCCAGTCTACCACTGATGGGCATTTAGGGTGATCCCATGCCTTTGTTGTTGTGAATAGTGCTGCACTGAACATAGATGTGCATGTGTCTTTATGATAGAATGATTTCTATTTCTGTGGGTATATACTCCATAATGGGATTGCTGGGTCAAATGGTAGTTCTGTTTTTAGGTCTTTGAGCAATTGCCACACTGTTCCTTAAACCACAGCAAGCACACTCCAGCTGCAAAGCCTTTGCACTTGTCCTGGCCTCTTCCTGGAACTCTCTTCTCCCTGGAATCTGCAAGGTTTATTCCCTCAACTCGTTCAGGTTTATACCCAAATGTCAGACTGTCAATTTTTCCCTGATTAGTCTATTTAAGATAGCCATCCCTGCCTCCAACACACCTATTTAGAATTTCCTGCTGCTTATTATATTGACAGTTATTACAGCATATTATATTCACCTTTTGGTATATTATCTGTGTTTGTCTAAAAGGATGTAGACCCCACGAGGGCAGGAATTTTTGTATGTCCTATTCTGTTACATCAGTAGTGCCTACAAAAGTGCGTGCACATATGACATTCAATATTTATTAAACATGGGAAATGAGTGAGTAGATAAATAAATGCCATATTCCTTCCATCAACTGTGGTGTCTTTCAGTGTTCTCAATGGCCCTAGTCCCAGGGATCCTTCTCTATTAAGAAGGTTGACCTGTTTGGTCAGTTATTCATGTCTTCTGCTATCACTCCAGATTTTATGAATTCTATTATCAGGCTGTACCAGTGGTGGAAATGATGCCTTTCCTTCTCTCCATTTACTTTTCTCTGCTTGACTCAAAATAACATTGAGCTGAACATCAGGAATCCTGAGTTTCATCACCATCCAGCTCCTTGATCCTGTAAACCCCTGCACTCTTCGGGCCGATTCCAGTAATCAGATAAACTGCTAACTGTGCCTTCCAGCTTTGTGATTGGAGCTACATTAGTATTAAGAGGGCTCCACATCAGAGATCATGACCCTCCTGGGGTCAGTGGAGCTCTAAAAAGAGAAGTAAAGAGGATCTCAGGCATGGGAAATACACTAGGGACCCAGTTACTCAGAGGCAGACATACAGTGAAGACTTGGTGAAGAGAACAGAAGGTGAGGCCCAGTGACTGAATTGCAAGGTCAGACTAAGACCAAGAATAGTTTTCATTCTCTTGTTAGCTCCTTAAATCCTCCCATGTGGGAGCCCAGGAGGAGCCTGGGATAGGGCAGAAGTACTGAGAGGCCTGAGTTACTGCATGGTGGAGTGGAGCTTGGCAGGGAACGGGTTTTATGCCATCATGCAAGCTGTTGAGCTGGGGGCGGGAGTGTAGCCGCTCTTCACTTTTGGTCCCTGGGTGGAAGCATTTTCCTAAACATTTTTAGATGACTGCCTACCCCTTGTTCATCCACTGGGGAGGAAGGAAGCATTACTTAATAGGTGAGTTTGTGAGAGGAACTGGACACAAATGGCTCAGCCTCTTCCTCTTGCTTTCTGGCAGGGATCATGCTGTAACTTCAACCTGGAGAAACTTGTGGTTTTCCACTTTTACCCCTGAAAAAGTGGGTAAATCTGCCTAATCTTGGGAGTCTACTTGCCCAGAGATATAAGCTGTATTGTCTAATATCAGCTTCTTGTCAATAATCAAGGTAAATTTTTGGCCTCCCTGAGTCTCATTTCTTAGGCTTACATTTCACTTTGGTTTAGAACTTGGGTGGGAAAGAGGAGTCCTATTTACTGACTCGCACATCATCTGTGTATCAGTCAGTCACCAACTCTTACTGAAAGCCCACAATATGCCCTGCACTGTGGCAGTAGGGAAAGGGGGTAGGGAACTAGTTGTGGAGTGTGTCCTATGCAGGAAGTATGCTCTGGATCCATTACAGGTATTCTCACTGAAACAACATAGTGACTTTGAAGGCAGGAGATTATTATTCCCATTTTACAGAAGAGAGAACTGCAGCTCAAAAACGTAAAACAAAAAACAAGACTTATTCACGGTGCGTACAGGTAGTAAATGTAGGAGTCAGAACATATATTTTGTGATGTCTGATCCCAGCGTCATGTTATTAGATGTGGTTCTGCTTTCTAACTCACAATCTACTAGTGTGAACAGATCTTCCACATTGTGTCTCTTGTCAGCTAGGTGCAAACTAAAATGGGAAAAAAAGACTGTCTACCCAGATTGAGGAAGATGGGTTATAAAAGGCTTAGCACGTTGATAATTGAGTTAAATGTTACCACTTAAGTATGAATCAGATAACCCTAAATTATTATCTTACCATTTAGTATCTCTTTGACATTAAGCAAGTTATTTAACCTCTCTGAGTCTAGCTCCCTCATTTGTAAAATAGAGATTATTGCAATAGAGATTTTTTGTGGGGTAGATTAAATCAAACCACGTAACATTTGTAAAGTTCCCAACACACTCCTGGCTCCAGAGTAAGTATTCTTAAGTATTGGTGTTTTCCTTTTTCACTGTCTGGATCTAAGCACTAGAATAAGAAGGTTTTAGGGATTGAGAAATATGCTTTTCCTTGAGATACATGATTTGGCTCAACATATCTTAGATTTCTGGGCATAATCTTCTTTGGAAGTGATTTTCACAGGTGACTTCCAGGAATTCAAATGTGATTTTATACTGGAACCACAGTCACCACCCTAAGGCTTGATATCAAACATCCTAATGTCAATTTTGTCTGATGCTTACAAACATTTTAAAGAGTAGACAGGCCCAGATGTTTTGGGAAATTTTATTGCTTTTGTTGCAGTTTATACAACTCTGATGAGACTATTACAATGCAAGTTTCCCTGTGCTCACCCCAAGAAGGCAGAAAGTAATTAGTATTTCTGTGAGTATATGGGGTGCTTTGAAACATTTTTCATCATCAAAATTTGAAAAAGAGGTAATTTTCATTTTATTTGTTTAGCGCTGATTGTTTCTTCCTCTCTTTTTACGGCGAATAAAGAAAGTATTGCATACCACGTTTGTCTTGGGATTAAAACAGAACTATGTCTTCAAATTATTTTGAAAATAATATGGTTGCATTGTTTCCTGAACTGGGTGGTATGGTGGCCAGGTCCTACCAAAAAAGTATGTTTTACGTAAAAGTTGACTCATGGCGTCCCGTGGGGCCTTTTTTTGCTTTTCTTTTCTTTTTTCTTTACTTTTGAGCAGGAGGGGATGCAGAGAATAAAATAAAGCAATCTGGAAAAGTCCAATATGGATTCAAATCTCCTTCTCTGTCCATATCCCCAAGCTGGTGTTCAAGGAGAAAAGGAGTCCAAGCATCTTTGAAGTTGCTTCGAGTGCCAATAACTATGCTCTCAGCTTTGGTATACATTGGGCTTTCCTATGGTGAGAAAAATGAACTACCTACATCTGGAGCAGCTGGTTAGGTGTTAAAATGAAGAACCCTGGTCCAACTTCATCCAGACAGACTGCATCAGTAGCACTGGGAATGAAGTCTGAGAATTTGTTTTTTATATTTATTTTTTAAATAAGCTCCTCAAAGTATCCTCATTCACTCTGAAGTTTGAAAAACACTGCCATTAAATTTATACAAAAGCACAGATAGACACAAATGAGGGTTTCCCCAGTAGTTGGACTAGAAAATCACTAATTTGGCTTAACTCTGAAAAGACAAGCCCCCAAAATTTACAAAAATAAAATATAAAGAAATGTTTTGTAAAAAACTTGTTCATCTTAAAACCACTCTCTTTTGCCTCCTGCTTTTCATCCATGTGCTGTTCTGTTTTCCTTGGGATTACAAAGTGTTCTAAATAGTTGTGATGATTTTGAGCATATTCCCTGAGATTATATCTCTACCAAGCCCCAGGGAGAAGAGAAGGTCAGAAGTAAGTTCCAGTGGTGGGGGTTTACCAGCTCTCCAACTCTAGTCTTGAACTGCTTTCTATTAAAGAATTCCTCCCCAGCTTGTTAGTCTTCTTTATCCATAAAACCTTGTCAATGCTCCCAGCTGGAATTAGTCTCCCCCTCTTCTAGGCTGCCACACTCTTTATCAAGTGCATTTCACTTATTTCTGCCTGCCTTGCAATGAGTTAAATCCAATAAAATGTCATTTGTGTAATGCTCTCCAAAGCATTTTTACACACACTAACTCATTGATCTTCACAATATACCTTAGTTGGGATTAGAACTATTTTTATTTTAATAAAAGTTATTGAGGCTCCAGGAGGTTAAATGACTTCTTCAAGATCAAGAAATGAGTTAATGCCAGAGGCATATCTTCATACCATTACACTGTTTTTCATATAAATTGTATAGTTTTATTCCTCTTTCATTAAGCTACAAATTTTTGAAATTATGCAACTGAACGGGTCAGAACATGCTAGATGCCATGCAACATAACTGCGTCAGTGAAGCCTCTTTCATTGAGAAATTTACAGTCTTATTAGATAATTGAGGTCCACCCTGATCACTTTCACCCAGTATTGCAGTTGTTTATTCTTTTCTTTCTCAAATGCATTTAAGTCTCCATATTTTAGATACTCCACCAAGAACTATACATACTTTAAAAAAATTGCAGTAGAATAATGTAGCTGTTATTAGGAATATAATCACAGAGGAAAGATTGACCCTAGAAGTACCAGATTGTCTAAGAGCTTGAGTTTAAGAGCTTGCTCACTGGAGGC
This sequence comes from Homo sapiens, assembly GCF_000001405.40. Taxonomy (NCBI): domain Eukaryota; kingdom Metazoa; phylum Chordata; class Mammalia; order Primates; family Hominidae; genus Homo; species Homo sapiens. Next base: position 131,166,111 of record NC_000008.11, read on the forward strand.
AGAATTTCTGGATTTGTTTCCTGTCTCCACCACTTAATACCTCTGTGACCTTGGGCAAAGATTTATATGTGTTATTCCTTGAATATTAGAGGAGCGTGTAAAGACATTAGAACATATCCTGATGCAGACTAAGTGCTAAATCAATGCCAGCAATGATAATAATAATAATTAGATGTTAGGATCATTATTTAAGCCTTGGGCCAAATTTGGGAAAATATTAGCCATCATATTTTCAAAATATTTTTCTTCACCACTCTTTCTGCTTTCCTTTGGAATGTTGATGACACAACTGTTAGCCATTTTGATATTGACTCAAGAGTCCTCTATTTATTGCTTTTTCAATCTTTTTTTCTCTCTATTGTTAAAACTGGATAATTTCTATCAATATTTTATAAAGTTCATTAGCTTTTTCCTCTGTCATTTCCAGTCTACTGTTGGGCCTATCCAGTGACTATTTTTATTTTGCTTAATGTATTTTTCACTTCTAAAATGTGCATTTTTTTGTTATAGCTTCAATTTATCTGAAGATATATATTTTTTTCATTTCAAGAGTGTTCACACTTACTTTGCAGAGCATGATTAAAATTACTGCTTTAAAACCTTTATCTAATAATTCTAATACCTGTATTATCTTGGGTTCAGCATATGTTAATTATCTTCTTGAAAGATATTGATATGTCCTGGTTCTTCATGTTTAATAGTTTTATAGTATATCTTGGGCATTTTAAATATTATGCTCTAAGGGTCTGAGTCTTTTAAAAAATCTCACACAGAATATTTTTTGTTAGCTTGTTTTAGCAAGTAATTGACTCAGTATCAGGCTATAAGTTCCTGTCTGCCTTCCCTCTAGGATATAGTTCCAATGTAGGTTTAATTTTCAAAGCCTTTGAAGTGCTATTTAGATCTGTCTCTTTTACGTACCACTCAGTGACAAATCTAAGATCTAGATGGGGATTTACCACATAGTTTGGTTCTAAAAGCCTCTTGTATGCAATTTAGGGCTGAGTCCCATGAATGCACAGCTTGAAGGCAAGCCCAAAAATGTATACATAACTTTATGGTACCACTTTATTTCCTAGTTATGATTTTCCTGGCACATTCTGGCTCCCAGCCTCCACATCTCGTTTCACCCCCACTTCTGCCTTGGTTTTCTCTCTGGGAAACTGGGGTTTTAGGTGCCCATCTCTGCCATGTACTTTCTGCAATTGAGTCTGCATTAGGGGCCAAGCAATGAGGGGATACAAAATGATAAAAAGCAGCAACAGCTATTTCTTCTATTCTCCTGGTACCACAGTTCTTCTGGTCAGTAGTCTATTTCCTCTCTTGGAGTTTTAGGTGCCTCCCCAGCCACTGCTGTCATTTTTACCATACTAATATGGGATTGTCTGAGGACCATGGTGGGAGAAAAAATAAACAAAAGAAACAAAAAACCAGAAAATTTATACTGTTGTCTCTAACCCATTTCCTGCTGCTTGGACCCACAAGGGAGGTTTTCTTCTACTTTGCTATGGGTTGAATTGTGTGCTCCTAAGATTTATATGTTGGTGTCCCAACCCTTAGTATCTCAGAATGTGACCTTATTTAGATGTGGGATCATTGCATGTGTAACTAGTTAAGATGAGGTCATGCTGAAGTAGGATGGCCTCCTAATCAAATATGACTGGTGTCTTTATAAAAAACGGAAGCTTGGACACAGACACATGTACAGGGAACATGATGTGAAAAGATACAGGGAGAAGACAGCCATCGACCTGCTCAGGAGAGAGGCCTGAAACAAATCCCTCAGTCACGGCCCTCAGAAGGAATCAACTCTGCTGACACCTTGATTCTGAACTTCTAGCTTCCAGAACTATGAGATAATACATTTATGTTGTTTAAGCCTGCCATTCTGTTGTTTGGATATTATGTGGTATTTTGTCATGACAGCACTAGCAAACTACCATTCTTTTTGCCCACACTTGGTGTAAACTTATGAGTTTTAGGCTTGGGGGTGGGGGCGGGTGATGGCAGGGAAGAACATAATTACCAGTTTAGTGTTATTCTGAGTTCTGGTTTTCTTTCTCAATCTGCCGGCTACCACCTGCTTTTTATACTCCTCGGATAGCTGCTGTAGGCATTCTGTACAGGGTTTGCAGTTACATTTAGTGAGAAAGACAAGGTGAAGTGAACTTACTGAGTCTTGACCAACCCAAACTGAGAGTTTTTTAGTTTGTTATGACCCTCTCCCCTCCTTAGATTTTACAAGAATGATTTGAAAAAGGATCTTATAATATTTCATAATTTCATCAAGGAATGGAAAAAGGAATCTCATGATCACCTTTGCTTTTGAAACTAATTTCCTCCAGGCTCAGTTTACAGATGTTAATATCTTTTAATTGCAATTTAAACTTCTGAGTTTATTCTGCTTATTATTAGTCAGGGTTGAGGGAGCTTTGAACTTTGGGACAATAAAATAAATTATCTGTGTTCACCTCTTATGACAAAGAATGAGCACCAATGGCACAGGCATTTTTAGGACTCCTGTTCCTGACTTATTCAGGTTTCAGCCAATTCAATTTTATAGACATTTATTGATTTCCCATTTTTTTTGAAAAACCTTTACTAATGACACTAAAAGGATAGAACAGACATGATTCTCTCTCTCAAGGAATTTAGGGGAACAACCTAAATTTTAAAAATACTCTAAATTTAAAAAATAGGAATAATGTTACTCCCCGTACAGATGATGTGTGGATATTTAGAAAAAATAAAATAAAAATTTTGTAAACATAAAATTTCATGACAATGAAGGGTAATTATATTTTATTTGCCCTAAAGAAGGCCTCTTTTAAGCTTTAAGAAAGGCCTGAAAATAGGAGTCTGAGTTTTCCTGAAGAAAACGATGTTTCCTCTCCTTAAATCCCTTCAAATTTTGTTTCTACATTTTCTAAACCTAATATTGCAAGGCAAAACAATCCTTATGTTTTTAGTCTGGAATTGTGCAGCAGCCTCTGCTGGCCCTTGCCCTTTTGGGAACATCTAAAATATCATTAAGTCTTTCTGAAAGAACAAGTACCAGAGCTGCACACAATATTCTGCCAACAGACATCCTGGGTCTTGCAAAGTGGGAGACTGTGATGTATCCGGATTTAAGAGAAAAATGCTAGGTATGAAAGTACACAACCTCTTACACTGATAGATAATTTGCTTTCACTCTTGAAGCTGTATGGAGTTTCTAATGTCTTTACTCTTCCTACTTCTCCAGCCTGTCAAAATAAGACTCATTTATGCAATAAGTAATGTATGAACTTACACTTGGTGATTGCGGTGGTAAACAACATAGAAAATGTCCGTGATTTCAAGGGGTTTGTATTCTAATAGAAGAGGGGGAAGAAGGGAAGGAAGAGAGGAAGGGAGGGAGGAAGGAAGGAAGGAAGGAAAGAGGGAGGGAAGGAGGGAAGGAAGGGAGGAGAAAAAAGAAAAAAGAAAAGAGAGAAAGACAGAAGGAAAGTTGGAGGAAAAGGAGGAGAAAGAGATAAATATCAGTTAATAATAAATGTTGAAAAGAGAATTACAATAGGGTAAGATAATAGACAAAAACGGGGTGTCAGGTAAAACCCCTCTGAGATATATGAAGGGCAAGAGCAAGAGCATTCCAAGCAGAGGAAGTAGCCATTTCAAAGGCCCTACAGCAGGGATAATTTTGGCACAACTGAGGAAAAGACAATAGGTCAGGGGCTAGAATGGAGATAACAGAGAGGGAAGTGGTACAAGATGAGGTCATAGAGATTGTCACAAACCAGATTACACAGGGCTCTGGAAGTCAAAGCAAGAAGTTTGGATTTTATTCTAAGTGTTATGGAAGCCATTAGCAGTCTTCAAGCAGGAAAGTAATATGTTCTTACTTTAAAATTTTTTTCACTGTCGTCTTTGTGAGAAGTGCATTGTATTTCTCCTTCAGGACCCATTTTATTTTATTTTACTTTATTTTTAGAGACAGAGGCTTACTCTTTTTGTCCAGGCTGGAGTGCAGTGGTACAATCATAGCTCACTATAGACTCAAACTCCTGGGTTCAAGCCACCTTTCTGCCTCAGTCTCTTGAGTTGCCATTATTACAGGCATGTGCCATCACACCTGGCTAATTTTTAAATTTTTGTTGAGATGGGCTCTCACTACATTGCTCAAGCTAGTCTCAAACTCCTGGCCTCAAGTGATCTTCCTGCCTAGGCCTCCCAAAGCATTGGGATTTTAGGCATGAGCCACCATGCCCAGACAGGACACATTTTAAATGTTTCTTTAATCATACATTCTCCCTTCAAACCCTTGGGCAAAATCAATTCTGCCTCCATCTTTGGCTTGAGTATAGATCTACTGAATATATATAGTCACTTGGACTTCAGTGACTAGTCCAATTTAATTGCACCTGAACGTTTCTCTTCGGGCTCAAGTGATCCTCTTGCTTTGGCATCCCAAATTGTTGGGATTATAGGTGCGAGCCACTGCTCTTGGCTGTTATTACTTTTAAAAAGTGTAAGTTGTACTACAGAGAGCAAACTTTGATTCATTTGGGTTAGCTTTTGGCATATTTCAAGATGACAACATTCAAGGAAAATAAGTGCCTTGAGGTGTCTTAAATCTAACTTTCAGGTTTTAGATACCAATGGCCTACAACATGACTTTCAAATTCTTATATCTAGCCCAGACTTCCTCTCAAAGCTTACACTCACATGTTCATTTGCTAAAACCTAACAGTCTTACTAAATTTCTCCCTGTTTCTCAATTTAATCCATCAGCAGCCCCTATAGGTTTTACCTCCTGAAAATATCTTAAATATGACTTCATATTAATTTAAAAATGAATCTGGCTAACAGTCTTTGATGTAGTTTCTCTCCAACTTATTACTAAAAATATATATTTAAAAAAGACAAAAATTGTCAACAGCATCAAATATTAAAACTTAAAATTACCGGAATCCAATGCACTTTTAACAAATTACCATAAATTTGAAAAATAGAAACAAATAATTTTCAACAAATTTCAATGTAGCCAGTGGAAACATATCAAATTTACTTTTCTGAAAATATAGTAGGAAATCCTACCCAATTTTTGGTTTATAGATCTGAAATACAAGGTCTGAACTAAAAGAAAATGGAGCCAATATCTCTCTTAACCCTAAGTTATTCTATTGAAAGCAGTCACCATGTCTTTGTCCACAGCTAGTTCTCCTTCGTATATACAGATCATATCATACTTGGAATTATTTAATATCTGATTTTTTTCTAAAGTGGCAGATAAAATTGCATGTATTTACCATGTACAACATGCTGTTTTGAAGTACAAATACCTTGTGGAATGGTTAAATCTAGCTAAGTAACATATGCATTTCTTCATATAGCTATTTTTGTGCTGAGAACATTTAAACATCTACTCTGTTTGCATTTTTCAAGAATTTGATATGTCTTCATTAATTATAGTCAACATGCTGTTCAATAGATCTCTTGAACTTATTCCTCCTACCAAACTGTCACTTTTTGACCAATTCTTAAGTAGAGTATGGTCTTCAGAAGGACAGGGTTACATCTATTGTGTTCATCATGATGTTTTTAACGTCTAGAAGAGAACCTAGGACATAGGAGGTACTCAATATTGCTTTGTTTTTGGACTACAACCATTTCTTCTGTAAAACAACTGTGGTATATTAAAAAAAGATAATTGGCAGTGATGTACTATATTTGGAAAATAGAGCACTTCATTTGGGATTAAAAAAAAAAGGAAACTTGTTAGCAGGCTGTTTTGTGACTTTTTTTCCCCACTGTAGTCCATTGATTCAGAGAACAATAAATCCTGTGGTGGGGATAGAAAAATCTCCAATTGTTGAGCAGATTGACAGATGACTTTGGAGCTGTAAATCTCAATTTCTTTGAGAATGATATTTAACCATCACCTAAATGAACAATGCCTGGAAACTAAGGCTGGTGAACACTAAGTGTACAGATATATGTTATAGGGCCCCAGGTTTCTCATCATATTTGAAAGTGAATAAATTGGAAAGTGAGGATGAAGCCTACTGCAGAACAAATGAAAAACAAAACAAAGCGAAAAGATTATTTTGAATACAGGAGATTTTCATACTATAGATATTATTTTTATAGAAATCAGAAGTAAATGTTAGAAAACTAAAGAATGTTTTAGTAGAACCCAAGAAATTAGGATTACTATAAAATAAAAGCAGAAAGTGTTAAGCAAGAACAAATTGAAATGCAAAGACAGCAGGCTTGGAAGGCAAGAGGGTTAGGAGAAATAGAAAGGACTATAAAGAAATAAAAAATTCGATAGAATTAAAATTACTAATACAGGTAGTAAAGGAAAATCCAGTAACCTGGCAACTTGATATGGGACCAGAATTAGTGGAGGACAACCTTGAGCAACTCTACTGAAATGCAAGGGAAAGGTAATCATCATGAGAGGACAAAATGACATCTATAGAGGAGGAAAAAAATATGCCACAGTGATGTTACTTTTAAGTATTTGAAATTTTCTCCTCATAGTACCATAAAAAATGATTTTATAGGCCAGGCATGGTGGCTCATGCCTGTAATCCCAGCACTCTGGGAGGCCAAGGTGGGTGGATCACAAGGTCAGGAGTTCGAGACCAGCCTGGCCAATATGGTGAAACCTTGTGTCTACCAAAAATACAAAAATTAGCTGTGCATGGTGGCAGGCACCTGTAGTCCCAGCTACTCAGGACGCTGAGGAAGGAGAATGGCTTGAACACAGAAGGTGGAGGTTGCAGTGAGCCAAGATCGTGCCACTGCACTCCAGCCTGGGTGACAGAGTGAGGCTCTGTCTGAAAAAAAAAAAACTGATTTTATAAATATGATCTGTATGAAAAATATCCTAAATGATTTCTCAGGAAAATTAACATGCTTATCATAAGGGTATGTCTTAAAAGATGTTAAACCATTTAAAGAAACATTTTAATAGGAATATCAATAGCATAAAAATTTATGAAAACATAAAAATTTAATAAATCTAACTTAGTAGCTAGTAACTATTACTAAAAATAAAAGTGAAATCAGGCAGTGAAGTTCACTGTTGTAGAATAACTGGAAGAAAACCCAAGAAATCACAAATTTCGTGGAGAGTCTGAATATGGCTATGAAAATAATTATGTAGTCTTGCCATGAGTGCCTTAAATATCTATTTATGATGAATTTACAAACATACACACATTGATCAGAATTACTTTGTTTAATCAGTTCTTACACAAATATTTATCAAGAACCCATTGTTTACTAGGTATTATACTGTGTTCTGGGCACCTTAAAAATGATCAAAAAGAGCTCTTTATTCTGCCGTCTTTGAGACTGGAGTCTAATGTAGCATACCATTAACAAATCAGACAATCACGAAACAGTCTGTTAAATGTGGTAGAGGTAGAGGGACCTGTTGGGCCCCAGAGGAGAGGTACTTCATCAAATCCTCTGGTCTCAGGGAGTGAGGGGATTATTCCAGGCTATGGTCATCACTGGTATGGGTATAGGAAAAACTCCCATTTTTGATCAGACCTACAGATGACTTTGAAGCTGTAAATCTCAATTTCTTCTTTGAGAAAGGTAACTAACCATCACCCAAATTAATAGTGTCTAGAAACTAAGGTTGGTGAACACTTAGTGGATACAGTATAGGGACACAGATTAGATAAATCTCAGCACATTTGAAAGGGAATAAAATGGAAAATAAGCATGAAATCTACTACAGAACAAATGAAACAGAAACAAAAACACATCATCTTGAACACTCAGAAGATCTTTATCTGAAAGCCAGAGGAGCTAGGACTTCTTTGTGTGTAGCCCTTAGAATAAAAGGAGAACAGGAAAAGACACTGAGAGAAACCAGCTTGAAGAGATAGACCACTTTAAGTTGCTGGATAGGTTTCCAAGTTTATCTTGGACTTTCTCAAATGTAAGATTCAAGACAAACTTGTGAATTTCTTTGTTCTTACATTTTGCAACTCACAGTAGCACATTGGGTTTGTTAAAAGCAATGTACCTTTCTAAACCCTTTCTATTTGCCAGGTACTTTACATATATTATTTTATTTCATTTCTTCAGAAATTTCATGAGATAGTCATGATTACCTTAATAAAGTGAAAACTATGAGGCAAAGATAAATATATTAACCTGTGAAAGTTTAAATAGGAAGTGGTACAGTGGGAATTCCAATATAACTTTCTCTATCTCCTGGACTGGGCGATCATGAGAAGAGGATGAGGAAGATGATGAAGAGCATCACCATCATCATTGTTACAATAGTAACTAATACTTACTAAGTACCAGACACTAGTTTTAGCATGTTACATCAATTCATTTGCACAAAAGTACCAGGAGTGTTTTTGTTTTATAGATGAGGAAACTGAGGCTTAAAGATACATTAAAAGAAAAACTTTAGACAAATTAAATGTAACAGAGTTTAATTAGCCAAAGAACAATTCATGAATTGGGCAGCCTCCCAAGCCAGAATAGGTTCAGAGAGACTCTGGCATTGCTGCTTGGTTGAAGAAGATTTCTGAACAGGAAAAGATCAATGGTGTACAGAAAACATAAGTGAGGTACAAAAACAACCAGACTGTTTACAATTTGGTATTTTCTTTATTTGAACACAATGTAAACAGTTGCCAACCTTTGATTGGCCAAACCTCAGTGATTGGCACAAGAGTAGGTTACAGTCTGTTTACACATATTCAGTAAGGTTACAGTTCATATATGGAGAAACCGTTAGGCTGAACTTAAAATATGTAAGGAGGCAGCTTCAGACTAAACTTAATTTGACAGGTTTAGTGAATCTGGGCATAATTCAGGACACTCAGTCAAATTGTGCTTGTGTTCTTCAGTTTCAATATTTAGTGACATACATGCTTGTTCTTCTGCGTGGGCTGCCCTCCCCGGCTCATCACCTGAGTTTGATTAACTTTTACACATACTGTACTTTAAACTGCAGCTCAGGCATCATCTGCTTCAGAAACTATTCCTCGATCCCTTCCACTCCCAGCCCCCATGTGATTAGGTACTGCTATTCTGGGTTCCATTACAGTGTATGTGTATCTTCATCCTCCCACTCCACATTTGATTTTATCTTTATCTGTGATTCTACAACTCCCAATCTTCCATGAACTCATTGAGGAGAAAATGTGCACTATTCCATTTGGGGCCCTAACTACTTTTTACAGTACTTGAGACACTGAGTTTTCCAAGATGCACAACTTACTGAGAGCTGAGCTGAGTGATTGGGAATAACTAAAAATTAAAGTAGGACTGAAGATGTGGTATTATACAAGACCGAATACTATTCAGCCATAAGAAAGAAGGAAATCTTGCTACTTGTGACAACATGGATACAACTGGAAGACATTATGCTAAATGAAATAAGCTGTGCACAGAAAGACAAATACCATGTGATCTCACTCATATATAGAATCTATAAAAGCAAAATTCATAAAAGTAGATAGTAGAATGATGGTTACCTGAGGCTGGGGAACAGGGGAAGGAGAGGGTACAAAATGTCAGAAGGAAGATGTTTTGAGATTTCTTGCATAGCAGGATGACTATCATCAACAATAATGTGTTGTATATCTCAAAATAAGTAGAAGGTACATTTCAAATGTCTCACCACAAAAAATGATAAGTAAATGAGATTATGGTTATATTAATTAGCTTGATTTAATCATTCCACATTGTATACATATGTTAAGATATCACAATGTATCCCATAAATGTATATAATTATGATTTGTCAATTAAATATAATAATAAATAGATGAGCATTTTGTCTAAAAAATAAAGAAAAAGTGAGTTTGAAGACAATATTATACTTAAAACTTACAAGTTTATTTGTGATAAAAGTGACATCTCAGTCCAGGTTAACTTATGCTTTTGTGTAGAGAAACTGTTTTATTGGTTCTTTTTCCTCCCTAAATGTTAAAGGACTTTTTTTCTTTATACATGGAAAGTAAAAAGAATCACAACTTGTTGTGTTAAAGGATTAATGTCATTTCATTAATATTGCCTGGTGGGTACTTTTCATATGCAAGCTACAGATTTTTTCTTTAGCCTAGGAAAAGTCTTTACCATTACAATCTTATTATTGTAGTTATTTAATTTAGTCTTTCATGTCGTTTATGTTCTATTATAAATTTTATCTTGGTTTCATTTATGAATTTGAATCTGGGGACATTTACCAACCTGTTCTTTCATGTAACCCAAACTAATGTTATGATTTCTATTGGGTTTCTTAATAATGGCCAATTAGCTTTTTGCATCTCTTTAGCTTTAACTGATATGAAATAATTTTCTTTTTGTGACTGGAATGCTTTTGTTTTAAAGATTCTAAGTCCTTTTTTTTTTTTTTTTGAGATGGAGTCTTGCTCTGTTGTCCAGGCTCGACTGCAGAGGTGGGATCTTGTCTCACTACAACCTCCGTCTTCCAGGTTCAAGCGATTCTCCTGCCTTAGCCTCCTGAGTAGCTGGGACTAGAGGCATAAGCCACCATGCCTGACTAATTTTTTTGTACTTTTAGTAGAGTTGTGGTTTCACCATATTGGTCAGGCTGTTCTCAAACTCCTGACCTCAGGTGATCCACCCACCTTGGCCTCCCAAAGTGCTGGGTTACAGGCGTGAGTTACCACACCCGACCCCTATCTTGATAAGAAAATTAATTTCAGAATGTGAAAGATTCCTTCTCTTTCTCTTACTTACTCTTTTTTGAATCTTTTGAACTGTAGTATCTATCCTTGTGTTCCTGACTTCTCTTTGTCTTGCATCATGCTTGCAAGAGGGCTCTGTATTTTCTGTGAGGGGTGCATGGTGACCTTCTCTCAGAGATTGCAAGTGTTCCTGTTTGCCATTTCTAGCACCTTTTTTCTTCAGATGTGGCAAATTATTGGCATATTGGTATTTTCTTTGATCCAGTTTTTACATTATTGTATAGCAATCACCCAGTGTTTTCAGCATGTGGCTATCACTCTTCTTGAATTTCTAGTAAAAATAGCATTTTTTTCTAGTAAAATTAATAGTCTTATTGGTCGTTTTATTTCAGTTCTGGCAGGTGGCTCCTGTATTTCATTTACATAGAAAAGTTACACATTAATTTTATATTCAAATTAATAAAATAGCTGAATAAAGAAATACTATACAATTAATTTATAATTTTCTTTATTCTCAGAGTTTTAGAAATAACATATGTTGTTCATATAATCAGGGAAAAAGTTATGATATTCACTCATATTACTGATAGGGAATCTGTCCTCAGATGACCACCTCAGGTAGGCAAAGAGCAGATTATACTAATACAAATATACAGTTGTGCCTCATGTAATCAACATGTTCTGAGAAAAACATAGTTAGGTGATTTTGTCATTGTGCAAACATCATAAAGTGTATTTACACAAACCTAGGTGGTATAGTCTACTAGACACTTAGGATACATGGTATAGCTTACTGCTCTGAGGCTACAAACCCATACATCCTATTATGGTACTAAATACTGTAGGCAATTATAACACAATGGTGAGTATTTGTGTATCTAAACGTAGAAAAGGTACAGTAAAAATACAGTATAAGAAATTAAAAATGGCACATCTGCATAGGGCACTTACCATGAATGGAGTGTGCAGGACTGGAAGTTGCTCTGAGTGAGTCAATGAGTGAGCAGTGAGTGAATGTGAAGGCCTACGACATTACTGTCCACTACTGTAGACTTTATCAACACAGGACATTTAAACTGCACTACATTTATACAAAAATTTCTTAGCTTACTAACCTTAGTTTATAATATTTTTTAAAGTATAAAAATTGATTATTTTTAACTTTTTGACTCTTTTGTGATAATACTTAGCTTAAACCACAGACACATTGTATGACTGTACAAAAATATTTTATATCTTTGTATTTTTATTCTATAAAAATACACTAAATTTAAAATAAAATTTAAAAGCTTTTTACTATTTTTAATTTTTTTATTTTTTAAACTTTTTTGTTAAAAACTAAGACACAAGCACACACCTTAGCCTAGATGTACATAGGGTCAGGATTATCCATGTCACTGTCTTCACCTCCACATCTTGTCCCACTGGAAGATCTGTGGGGGCAATAACTTGCATGGATCTGTCATCTATGACCACAATGCCTTTTTCTGGAATACTTCCTGAAGGACTTGCCTGAGCTTGACTTACAGTTCACTTTTTTAAAAAAAGTAGAAGGAGGCTGGGCACGGTGTCTCACGCCTGTAATCCCAGCACTTTGGGAGGCCAAGGTGGGCAGATCACAAGGTCAGGAGATCGAGACCATCCTGGCTAACACGGTGAAGCCCCGTCTCTACTAAAAATACAAAAAAAAAAAAAAATTAGCCTGGCATGGTGGTGGGCACCTGTAGTCCCAGCTACTTGGGAGGCTGAGGCAGGAGAATGGCGTGAACCCAGGAGGCGGAGCTTGCAGTGAGCCGAAATCGTGCCACTGCACTCCAGCCTGGGTGACAGAGAGACTCTGTCTCAAAAAAAAAAAAAAACAAACAAAACAAACAACAACAAAAAAATTAAGTAGAAGGAGTACATTCTAAGGTAAAAAGTATAATGAATACAGAAACCAGTAACATAGGCGTTTATTGTCATTAACAAGTATGTTCTGTATATAACTGTATGTGTTATACTTTTATAAGACTGGCAGTGCAGTAGGTTTATTTACACCAGCATTATCAAGAACACGTGAATAATGCATTGTGCTGTGATATTAATATGGCTATGATGTCAATATGGCTATGATGTCATCAGGTGATAAGAATTTTTCAGTTTCTTTATGATCTCATGGGACCACCATAGTATGTAGTATAATCTTCTGGGTCCATCATTGATCTGTCATTGAGGAGCAGCACAGGACTGTATTTGTATTATCTGTCTATCTCTTAGTTTAGTTTTTATATCAACCATTGGAATGTGCGCTTCATAGGGTAAGGATTGTGCCTGTCTTTATCATTGTATTGCAGAACCTATACCAGTACTTGGCACACAGTAGGTGCTTACAAAGTTCTAAATGAATGCATAAAGGAATAATGAGAGTCTGGATTAAGAGCCCTGTAAAGAAGGTGACTTTATAGTAACATGAAGTTTAAGCCAATATTTTTAGACTAGAAGGATCCAAGGCTTCAGCCTCAGTCTATGAACCTGTCATCACCAGGTCCCTCCTGGTGGGCCTCTCAGGGGTACTAGACTGTCTCCTCTAGAGTCCTTCTTTGAGCCTTTATCCTGGTATCTGCTTGACAGACTCTGCCTACCTTGAACTTCTTTCTGACTCTGTTATCAGCCCATCCATGACACCTGGCTTCTTCCTGACCTGGATGAATTTCTGTTCCTGACCTGGGCATGACTTGAATTTGACTTTCATTTTTATCTACTGGTTGTCTTGTTTTAGTGTCCATGGAGGGACTGTGATTCCATTAATGAAAATTTGTATTTTCTGACGAGTGTGAGGACATTAATGAAAATGTTAACCATGATTGTATTTGGGCTAATGTATTGGACATTTTTTTCTTCTTCTGTATTTATGACTCGTGGATTTTTCCAGATTTGTTGTGCTGAATATAATACACATATGATGGAAAGGTAAATGTTTTAACAATACTGCAAGATGTCTGACTTAGAACTACATGGCATGCTACTCCACTTATAATACATCATATGGTATCCCTTGTTCCAAAGTATGCAACATGAGTAAAACTTGAGGCACAGAAAGGGAACAAAAACTCTTTATTCATTTCTGGCCTTTTATACTCTATGGTCACTTTACTGTCTCTGCTATCATACTCATCTCAAGTACTTTGGAAAGTTTCCAAGGAATACCTAATGCTCTGAATCTAAGAATTGGGTTTGCTACTTGCTGAATTTGCTGTTCTTCTTCTCTGCCCCACCTCCTTGTGGTGAGGTTTACTGCGCAGGGACATGACCATGGGCATGGAGGCGAGCCTTGGGATATCCCACCTCTACTGAGGTCATCACCTTCCCTTGCTCTGGAAACTGTTGAATCTGCCTCTGTTACTTGTTCTCCCAATGGCCCATACTAGTTTCTTTCTCTTTTTAATTGCAACTCTTTGTATTTTAAAAAATTTATTTATTTATTTTTGTAGAGACAGTGTCTCACTCTGTTGCCCAGGTTGGTCTCAAACTCCTGGACTCATATGATCCTCCTGCTTCAACTTCTCAAAGTGCTGGGATTACAGGTGTGAGCCACCATGCCGGGCCTTTCTCTCTCAAAGTTAGAGTGAGTTTATGAGAGCAAGCCTATTGGACATGTTTGAACATTTCCTGAGCTGTAGTCACAATTACTACAATGCTTGTCGCTACTTCATTGTCAGTGCCTGCCTTGGAGCAGATGTGAGTGCTCCAGATCTCTTTTCCCTTCAGACAAAATACATACCAAGACGCCTCTTGGTCCTTCATGCAAATGTTTCCCTATCAATTCTCCCCTGAAATTCTTGAGCTGTCTGCAAGCATGTCTGGATTTTAAGGTTAATATTCTATGGGCTGCCAAGCTGGAAACCTGCCACACAAATGACTGTGCTTAATTTGATTGATGGAACTTAATGTGGCTATGTCTCTTGTATTGCACATTTTTTATTCTTGGAAGGCCAGGACAAGACATTGCACCAGTATTGTTTTGTGACTCAGATAGGACTCTGAGTAACCTTGGGGAAAAGGAGCACTTAGCTGTTTTGCTTACATGCAGTGTGGTATTTCTGTGGGAGCTTGCCGCCTTCACATGTACACCATTTATCAACTAAATTCCTCAGCTCTCAGATGAACTTGATCTTAAGACAGTCTTGAATTGCCTTTTAGAAAAATGGAAAAACCAGGATTGGGGGGCATTGGAATTATGAATAGTGTTGATTTTAAATTTGTGAAAGATGATTGATCTACTAATATTAATACTAGAAATAATATTAACATTGATACTAATATTAGCTCTCAGATATTGAATACCTATATTCTAGGCTCTTTGCTAATAAATTTATCTACATTGTCACATTTAATTTTTACTGCATTTCTCTGAAGTAGAAATACTATCCTCATGTGACAAAAGAGAAATCAAAATATTGGAGAGGTTAAACACCTTGCCAAACAATATGTAACTTATATGTGGCAGAAAATGCTGTGTTTCTTTCCAAATCATATTCTTTTAAATCACTCTATGATTTTGATGTGTTTCTCTAAAGATTAGTGATGCTGAGCATTTTTTATATACTTGTTGGCCATGTACATGTCTTCTTTTGATAAGTGTCTGTTCATGTTTTTTTGCCCATTTTAATGGGGTTGTATGTTTTTACCTTGTTGATTTGTTTAAATTCCTTATAGATTTTGGATATTAGGCCTTTGTTAAATCCATTGTTTGCAAATATTTTCCCCTACCCTGTAGATTGTCTCTTTACTCTATTGATTTCTGAGCTTTTAAAATCAGAAAATGCTACTGAAGCTCTTTAGTTTAATTAGATCCTATTTGTCTATTTTTGTTTTTTTGCAATGGCTTTTGGAAGCTTTGTCATAAAATCTTTCCCAAGGCCTATGTCTGGAATGGTATTTCCTAGATTTTATTCTAGGGTTTTTCTATTTTTAGGTTTTACATTTAATCTTTAATCCACATTGAGTTGGTTTTTGTATATGATGATCGGTAGCAGTACAGTTTCAATATTT
Source organism: Homo sapiens (assembly GCF_000001405.40). Taxonomy (NCBI): domain Eukaryota; kingdom Metazoa; phylum Chordata; class Mammalia; order Primates; family Hominidae; genus Homo; species Homo sapiens. Next base: position 131,181,824 of record NC_000008.11, read on the forward strand.
TGCATATGCCCAGCCAGTTGTCCCAGCACCATTTATTGAATAGGGAGTCCTTTCCACAATGCTTGTAACTACTGATATTGTCAAACATCAGTTGGTTATAGGTGTATGACTTTATTTCTGCTTTCCCTAACCTGTTTCATTGGTCTATAGGTCTGTTTTTGTACAAATACCATGCTGTTTTAGTTACTGTAGGCTTGCTTAAAGTCAGGTAATGTAATGCTTCTAGTTTTGCTCTTTTTGCTTAGGATTGCTTTAGCTATTCAGACTCTTTTTTGGTTCTATATGAATTTTAGAATATTTTTTTCTAATTCTGTAAGAACTGACATTGGTAGTTTGAAAAGGATAGCATCGAATTTGTAAATTGCTTTGGGAAGTCTGACCATTTTAACAATATGATTCTTTCTATCCATGAGTATGAAATGTTTTTCCATTTGTTTGTGTCATTTCTGGTTTCTTTAAGCAGCATTTTGTACTTCTCATTGTAGAGCTCTTTCACCTTCCTGGCTAACTATACTCCTAGGTATTTTATTCTTTTTGTGGCTATTGTGAATGGGGCTGTGTTCTCTTTATTATTATTATTATTATTTTTTGGTGGGGAGTGGGATTGTGTTCTTGATTTGGCTCTCAGCTTGAATGTTATTGGTTTACAAAAATGCTACTGCTTTTTGTACATTGGTTTTGAGTCCTGAAAGTTAACTGAAGTTGTTTTTCAGTTCTATGAGCCTTTGGGCAGAGACTATGGGGTTTTCTAGTTATAGAATTATATTGTCTGTGAAGACAGATAGTTTGACTTCCTTTCTTTTGCATGCCTTTTCTTTCTTTCTCTTGCCCAATTGCTCTGGCTAAAACTTCCAGTACTATGTTGTATAGGAGTGGTGATGGTGGGCATCATTATCTTCTTCTGGTTCCAAAAGGGAATTCTTCCAGCTTTTTCCCATTCACTATAATGTTGGCTATGGATTTGTCATGGATGGCTCTTATTATTTTGATGTATATTCCATTGAAGTATAGAAAAAACATCCTTTTCATCTGCACATGGCACATACTCTATGATTGGCTACATGCTTGGCCATAAAGCAATTCTCAAAAATTTCAAAAAAGCTGAAATTATATCAACCTCACTCTTGGACCACAGTGTAATAAAAATAGATACCAATACCAAGAATTTACCTCAGAACCATACAATTACATGGAAATTAAACAACCTGCTGCTGAATGACTTTTGAGTAAAGAATGAAGTTAAGGAAGAAATACAAAATTTCTTTGAAACTAATTAAAGCAAAGATACACCATATCAGAATCTCTCAGAGACAGCTAAAGCAGAGTTTAGAGTAAAGCTTATAGGGCTAAACACCTTCATCAAGAAGTTAGAAAGATCTCAAATTAACAACTTAACATCATACCTAAAGCTACTAGATAAACAAAAGCAAACCAACCCAAAAGCTAGCAAAAGAAAAGAGATAACCAAAATCAGATCCAAACTGAACAAAATTGAGAGGGGAAAATCTACACAAAATATTAATGAAACCTAAAGTTTGTTCTTTGGGAGAGTGAATAAGTTTGACAGACTGCTAGATAAATTAACAGAGAATAAAGACAGAAGGTCCAAATAAATACAATAATAAATGACAAAGATGACTTTACCACTATGCCACCATAATACAAAAAAAACTCTCAGAGACTTTTAAAAACACCTCTATGCACACAAACTAGAAAAACTAGAATAAATTTGTTAATTCCTGGAAACTTATGACCTCACAAGATTGATCCAGAAAGATATTTAAATACTGAGTAGACCAACAATGAGTTCAAAAGTTGATTCAGCATTAAAAAAAACCCCTATCAACCAGGAAAATCCCTGGACCAGAAAGATTTACATCCATGTTCTACCAGATGTGTAAAGAACAGTTTGTACTAATGCTACTGAAATTATTTCAAAAATTGAGAAGGAAGAACTCCTCCCTATCTAATTCTATGAGGCTAACATCATTCTGACACCAAAATCTTGCGGAGACACACACAAAAATGAAAACTTAAGGGCAGTATTCCTGATGAAATAGATGCAAAAATCCTCAATAAAACACTAGCAAATAAAATCCAACAGCACATACAAAGCTAATTGGCCATGATGAAGTAGGTTTTTTTTTTTCCTGGGATGCAAGGTTGGTTCAACATAACCCAAATCAATAAATATGCTTCTTCACATAAACAGAACTAAAAACAGAAATCACATGATCATCTTAATAGATGCAGAAAAGGCTTTTGATAAAATTTAACATCATTTCATGTTAAAAACTGTCAATAATTTGGGCATCAAAGGAAAATTTCTTCATTATTTTATTTGGAAAAAACAGCATTGTTTATAATTTCTAATTTTATTATATATATCTTGTCTCTTCATTTAACATTAAATCAATTTTTTCTCATAAACCCAATGGGCATTTTTCAATGAAATAATATGCATGCTTCTCTACCTTCCTGCAAGAAGAGCAGCCAGAGAGAGCAGTAAAAACCTGTTTCAGTGGGAATGTTGCTTAGGAGAATAAAATAATAGAAAATATTAACAAATTTGTGTTAGGAATTTACTTACCTCTAAGGGTTTTACAGGTGGAGCAAAGTGTCTAATATGATAGATAAATGAGAAAGAAAATATCAATTTTGATGAATTTGAGGATGTATTCGTTATTCCATTTTTGTAAAATTCAATTAGATTGGTAAATTTCTCCTAATATAAATCCACACCTTGTACACAGACAGAGAGTTGGGGATTGAGACAGAGAGAGAGAGAGAGAGAAACAGAAGTAGGCCTATAGAACTCTGTAAATCCATTAAACTAGGGACATGGATGAGGAAATATATTTGCTCACCCTTTTAGTCACAGGTGGAAGGAAGGTAGGAAGATACTCAGGATTTTTTCTACCAAAGTGGTTCTCAAACTTTAGGGTACACTTGATTGCCTGCAGAGCTTTTGATATTCAGATTTCTGGGTCCCATCCCAGAGTTTTTCATTCAATAGATCTTAGATAAGACTAAGAATTTACCTAACTTCTGACAAGTTCCCAGGTAAAGTGGATGCTGCTGGCCCAAGGACCACTTTTTGAGAACTGCTGCTCTAGAAAGAAGACTACCATGGCACTAGAAATAAAATAATAACAACAATAGCAAAACAAAAACTGTTGCTTATGAAGCATTTGCCATGTGTTAGGCACAGGTCTAGAGCTTTATGTAAAATACCTCATGATACACTTTGGATATTTTTCTCCACCCAAATCTCATGTTGAATTGTAATCCCCAAAGCTGGATGTGGGGCCTGGTGTGAGGTGTTTGGAACATGGGAGTAGATCCCTCATGACTTGGTTCTGTCTTCATGATAGTGAGTTCTCACAAGATGTGATCATTTAAAAATGTGTGGCACTTCCTCTCTCTCTCTCTCCCTCCCCTACTTCTCTTTTGCTTCTGCTTTTGCCAAGTGATGTGCCTGCTCTCCCTTCACATTCTGCCATAATTGGAAGCTTCCTGAGGCCCCTCCAGAAGCAGATACCACTATGCTTTCTGTAAAGCCTGCAGAACCATGAGCCAATAAAACCTCTTTTCTTATATGTTACCCATCTCAGATATTTTTATATAATTAAAAGAATAGCCTAATAAAGAAAATTGGTACTAAGGATGGGGCATTGCAATAAAGATACCTGAGCAGAGATTGGAAGAATTGGAGGGCTCATAAGAAGATAGGAAGTTGAGGGAAAGTTTGCAGTTTCTTAGAGATTGGAAAAATAGTTTTGACCAAAGTGCTGATAGTGATGTAGACAGTCCAGGCTGCTGAGGTCTCCGAAGGAAATGAGGAAATGACTAGGAACTGAAGCAAAAGTCATGAATGTTATGCCTTGGCAGAGAACTTGACTGCATACTATTCATACTGTAGGGATCTCTGGAAGTTTGAATTTGACAGTGATAATTCACTATCTGCTGGAAGAAATTTCTAAGAAGCAAAATGTTTAAGATGTGGCCTGGCTGCTTCTAAGGGCCTCTGCTCAGATTCAGGAGCAAAGGAATGACTTAAAGCTGAAACTTAGGGAAGCATAACATAAAATTTTGGAAAATATGCAACCCGGCCATTTGGTAGAAAAGAAATGCCAATTTTCAGGAGAAGAATTCAAGCAAGACATGGAGCAACCACTTGCTAGAGATGTTTGCATAACTAAAAGGGATCCGAGTGCTGATAGCCAAGACAATGCAAAAAAGGCCTTGAAGGCATTTCAGAGACCTTTGCAGCAGCCCCTCTCATCACAAACTCTCAGGCCTAGGAGGAGAGGATGGTTTCAGAAGAGAAATAGTTTCAGACCCATTGCCCTGTGCAGCTTTGGGATACTGCTCCCCTTATCTTGGCTGTTCCTTCTCCATCCTCAGCTCAAAGTATCCCCAGATACTGCTCATGCCACTCCTCTGGAGAGATTAAGCTGCCCTAAGCCTTGACAACTTCCATGTGGTGTTAAGTCTGCAACCCGCAGAGTGCAAGAGTGAACGCTTGGTAGCCTCACCTAGATTTCAGAAGTTATATGAAAAAGCGTGGGTGCCTAGGCAGAAACCTGCTGCAGATGCAGAGGCACCACAGAGAACCTGTATTAGTGCAGTACCTAGGGGAAATATGGGGTTGGAGCCTTCACACAGAATTCGCACTGGGGCACTGCTTTGTGGACCTGTGAGGAGAAGGCTGCTATCCTCCAGACTCAAGATTGGTAGATTTACTGGCAGCTTGCACCCTGCATCTCAAAAGCTACAAGCATTCACTCCCAATTTGTAACAGCAGCCCTCTGAATCCTGCAAAGACACAGAGGCAGAGCTGCCCAAAGCCTTGGAAGCCCACCCCTTGCACCAGTGTGCCCTGGATGTAGGACATGGAATTAAAGTTTATTTTGGAACTTTAAGATTTAACAACTTCCCTGCTGAATTTTGAACATGCGTGGGGCCTGTAGCCCTTTTCTTTTGGCCAATTTCTCCCTTTTAGAACAGAAATATTTACCCAATGCCTATGTCCTCATTATGTCTTAGAAGTAACTAACCTGGTTTTGGTTTTACAGGCTCATAGGTGGAAGAGACTTGATAGGCTCTTCCTAGAGACTTTTACAGGCTCATAGATATGAAGAGACTTACTGTGAGAATTGGCTCACAGAATTATGGAGGCCAAAAAGTCCCATGATCTGTTGTCTGCAAGCTTTATAACTAGGGAAGCCAGCACTGTAATTCAGTTTGATGTAACTCCCAGTCTTAGTGAGGCCTTGGGTGGTGAGGTTGGGGGAGGAGGGACAACTGATGTAAGTCCTGGAGTTGAAAGTCCCAAAAACCAGGGCTCTGATTCCCAAGAGCAGGAGAAGATGGATTTACTAGATCAAGAAGAGAGAGAGTAAATTCACTCTTGCTTTTCATTTTTGCTTTATCAGGGCCCTCGTGGATATATGACATCTACCCACATCTGTGAGGGTGGATCTTCTGTACTCAGTCTTTTGATTCGAATGTTGATTTCTTCCAGAACACCCTCATGGATTCACCCAGAAATAATGGTTTGCCAGCTCTCTAAGCATCTCTTAACCCAGTCAAGTTGACACATAAAATCTGTAAAGTGGAACTCACCATCTGTAAAATGAAACTCAGTGTTCTTTTGTGAGGTCGTAGGATGTGTTAATACCTTCTCCATTTCTCTTATACCTCCAGCTCTACCATTTACTTATATTGACTTTGGGTAAGTCATTTTGCATTTTAGAATTTCTTGATTTTAGCCCTTTATCTGTGTTTTGACTCGGCTCATGTCATCTGTAAAATAAAAGGATCATATCTATTTTAAGCCTCCTAATTATTTGATGTTCCACTAGATAAGAGGTATGAAAATGCTTTGAAATGGAAAACAAGCACAAAGCTATGTTGAGGAAACTTTCTTATCATTTCTGCTATTATTGATTTTTCCATGTGATTTTCACAAACGTTCTAAAAGGTACCTGAGGATACACTGCTATTTATTAAATTATAGAACTCAATTACTGTCAGAACCATTGAGATTTGCATACTAGGTTTCTTTGGAACTCTCATAAAGAATGTGGACCTAAGTGTTGTGGTGTAAACATAGGAGAAACCCTGCCTTATTTTAATGCATGATTGCTATTTTCAGGCATTCTACTAAAAATTTGTCATCTCATTTAAAATTCACTGTAACTCTATGAGGTTTGATGGTATTATTGTACTAAATTTTCCTGTAAATTGAGGTTTTGAAATGTTAAGCAATTAGCCAAAGATCAGTTAGTTAGTAAACTTGTCATTGAGTCAGAAACAAACAGGGCAGACTCCCAAGCCCGACTTTGTAACTAGTACTTTCTGATTTCGTTTTTCTCAATTCACACAAATAAATCTTAGTAAAATTTCATTTACAAATTTTTCTTTTTCTTTCATTTAAAATGTTCTCATATATTTGATACTTTCTACCCTTTGTCTATATCAGGGCAATGTGTGGCAAGTTTAGTGAGAAACGAGTCTTATTCTTCAATATGAGGGAACTTCTTAACAGATTTGTCATTCTGGACACTGCAACAAAATTTACAACAAGTGTACATTATATCCATTGCACATATCTGTCTACAATGCCTGGAGGGTTTCTTCAACCTCAGATTTTATAAAGACTAAAATAAGGATTTGTCATCCACATTCTGAGATGAAGGCTCAATATATCTTTCTATTTTGTTCATGTATGCAAATACATATTCCAAATTTGCTAAAGTTCTATGGGAGGATCTGATGTAAGCTTAGAGTTACTCCTCCTTAAAGAACTAGCTGAAACCCCAAGGCAGAGCATTGGTCTCTCAGGAAAGCCACCTTAACTTCCTCCAGGTGCAGCTGAATCAGCTCTATGTCTTTCATTCTCTCTCTGCTCTTGCTGGTCTATTCTTGAATGACACTTCCTCAAGGATATACTTAACCTTCATCTTCACTTGTGCACTTGGGCAAGGCTCATCTTTAGTTGGCTTTGTCATGGGAATGTCACTCTTTCCAGTAACTCAGCAAGTGTCTGACTCATCAATTGCAGGTTAACAGGGAAACAGCTTCCTGTTCTCTAGGTAAAATTCTTGCGGGACCTGTCCCTCTGTAACCTTAGCACCTACCTGCATTCTATCTACTGCTTTTTCTGTTATAGAGTGTTTGAGGAGAGGGACTGTAATTTGGAGCAGGTAGAATAACTCACTATTTGGGTGTAAAGTCTTTCACTGTGAAGAAAGAACATATTTAATACAATTTGACAACTTTATTGAAGGCTCAGTATTAGCAAGTCTGAAACTTCCCAAAGTGCAGAGCTTATATTCAAAACAATTTTAGAAGAAGGACAGAATTTTTTTGATGAGTATGTGTTTAATGTGTTTTAAAATAATTCTCTCTAGCTTTCTACTTTAAAATATAACTGGTATCTCCATAAGCACTGATAATTGTGATTTTACAACTATCAGTGCTTATGACCAGGTAAATGCCATCTCAAGACACCAAAGTAGATTGTCAGAACCATCAAGATAGCCAGTTAGCTGAAGGATCTAGAAAGCATAGTGAAGTAGGCTTATGAATGAGTGCACTTTGAGAAATGCTGACCTAGATTAAACGATATCAAGACACACTCCATAGGACATTGTCAGTCCCCCTACTGTTGTTCCCCATAGCTGTTTGTGTGGCTCTCCTATTTACTTATTTCGTGTTTGCTCACATTGTCTGTATCCAAATCTAGAGTCTACCAATTTTCTTGCTGTGTGACTCAGGAACAATTACTTACTGCTTGGAGTCTAGGTCCCTTCATCAATTATATGAAGAACTTAGAATAACACCTACCTCTCAGGGTACTTATAAGGCTTAAATGAGACTATATATGTATTTAGCCTAGTACCTGGCCTGAAGAAAGGGCTTAATAGGTGGTAAAAGTATCTTTAAGGGATAAAATACATATGACGTTATTTCAAGCTTAATAATCCAAAATTTTCAGGGAATTCTAAAAACTGAAACTGACTTGCAACTGTTCTGCTAACTAAACTGTGGGTCAATTGAGGCTGACAGAAGTTGAGATGTTTGTGGTCACTGATATATCCAGAGCCTGGGATCTATCCCTCCTCTTCTGACTGTGTGGAAGGGCTCTTTCTGTGTCCTAGTGCTCCTCAGAATCAAACATTTCCCTAGTCTTCTTACTGAAAATATGATTCCTATTCAATTAATCAAATGCTGTATGTACCAACACAGAGACTCTTTAAGAAAATCTGATGTAACAATCCCAAGAATCACAACCGACTTAGTGAAAGGTAGAGTCCTGGGGTTTACCAAATCCTTGTCCTCCACACCTCAGTGGTACATTGCATAAATGCATTTCAGAAAAGAGACTAGGGACATTTCCTTCTCTCCTCCCAAGGTAATGCAAAAAATAAAAGAATCCTTTATAAGTGTCACAATGGTGCTTTTTTATCAAGGGCAACAGATGTATAATACATTACATTATTTATTGTTTCCTTTCTCTGACCTGAGGTAAAGAGTTCTGTTGTCTTATCCTCAGATGGAATAAGAGTGAAAGTGTTTGTTTCTTTACATATAATCAGATTAGTTGTTGTCATTACACTGTTTCCAAGTTGTTTCTTACTGTGTCTCTCTCTCTTTCATAATGGGAAAATATGTTCTATGCAAAATTGGAGACATGCTTCTGCTTTTTCAGATGTTAGGGGTACCATCTGCACAAGGTCCCAAAGTTTGTGAAAGAGAAGGTAGGTGACACCTATCAAAACTTGATGCAATAAACAGTCTAGATGATGGGGAACACAGGGTTGGGCATTTTTGAGGCGGATGAAAGCGGGCTTCTTATTATCCAGAGAAGTTATGCCACCTATAGGCTAAGTCATATGTAACAGACATAACAAATGGTCATAGAGATAACACACACAGTGCAGACCTCTTTTCTCACTCTATTTTCCTGCACACAATGCAGCCCTCTTTTCTTTCCTATCAGGAAAATAAAGAACGAGTTGTCCAAGTTCACTTACTTAGTACTTAGGCAAGTTCATCCAGTGTTGTTAAAGTAACATCTGACCACTGCTTTCTAATAGCATACCAAACTTGGACAATTAACTAAAAGTTTCTAAACCTCTGTTTTTCTCATCTTTAAAATAAGACAATAGTGACTAAAGATTTGTTGTGTGCGGTTATCATGAGCTGCTATATATCGTGCAACGCTTGTCATGGATTAGATGCCTAAAAAAGTTGAACCATTACTTTACTCTTAGCAGTCATTTGCTATTGTGGACATTCAGATTGTTTTCATTCATTTGTTAATGCTTTTATTAGAAAACTGTGAGGCAAATACTCTGTGCCAGGTCCTATGCAGGGCTAACTATGGAATGGGACTGAAAGTCTGGGAGGACAGATGACATCAACAATACTATTCAAGTTACATAAAAGAGGCAAATTATCTTAGGATGGGACAGTGTTATAGGAGGGTTTTTGCTTTTTGTTTTGCCTTCTTTCAGTTTTATTTTTAAAGTATGATATAAAATTAACTTTTAAATAATAGAAAGAATATATAAATATTTCAACCAAAGCACTGGAGCACTAATATGGAAAAAACATAATTTTGTTGACTTCTGTAGGTTTAACTTGTGTTTAGTATTTGTGACAGGGACCAAGAGTTGTGCCCTTTCTCCATTCATTTCTTCTTCCATTGTAAGAGAATTATTATCTGGGTACATGGCATCCCAGAATTGCAACTGTGTTATCTAAACTCTCCTGCAGCTTTGTGAGACCATATAACTAAGCTCTGGGCAATGAGACATAAGAACAGAAGTTTTCAAATTTATAAAGTTCAATTTATAATTTATAAAATTTATCAGCCATAGTTTTCAAGGTAAGATATTTTTCTCTTATGTTTTCCCCCAGCAATTTTATAGATTTAGGTTTTACATTGAGGTTTATGATCCATCTTGAGTTATTTTTCATGGATGGTGCAAAATTTGGTTCGAAGTGAATTTTTTTTGCATATGGGTACCATTTACTAGTTCTTTGGGTACCATTTACTAAGAAAGCTATCTTTCCTCTACTGAATTGCGTCCACATCTTTGTTGAAAATCAGTTGTGCATATATGTATGCGTTTATTTTTGTATTTTCTATTTTTTTCTATTGATAAGTGTGTCCGTCTTGATGTTATCACTATTCTCTCGCAATTACTGTAGCTCTGAATTATTGAAATCAGGTAGTATTTGTCCTCCAAGTTTTGTTCTTTTCAAGGATGCCTAAGCTTTACTAAGTCCTTTGCATTATTATATGGTGTTTAGAATCAGTTTGTCAATTAAAAAAAAAGCTTTCTGGAATTTTGATTGAAATTCTATTAGATTTGTGGGTTAATTATGAACATTTGATGTCTTAGCTACCGAGTCTGCCGACACATGAACACAGCGTATCTATCTCTTCATTTAAGACTTCTTTAATTTCTCTCGGTGATGTTTTATAGTTTCCAGTGCACAAGTTTTACACTTCTTTTTTAGACTTATTTCAAAGTATGTCAAATTGTTACAGAATTGTAAAGTTCTCCTTCGTTTTCCACCATGATTATAAGTTTTCTGAGGCCTCCCAGTCATGTAGAACTGTGAGTCAACTAAATCTCTACTGTTTGTGAATCACCCAGTCTCAGGTGGTATCTTTATAGCAGGGTGAAAACAGACTAATACACTTCATTTTCATCTAATGTATTGTTTCTGTTCTAGGTTCTCAGCCAGTATATCTCATTATATGTACATATTATATCTTTTTAGGCCCCTCTTGGCTGTGACAGTTTCTAAGACTTTTTTTAATTTTTGATAAAACTGGCAGTTTTGAGGCATAGTGGTCTGGTATTTTGTAAAGCATCATTCTATTGCAATCCGTGGTAAAGTTATTCTTTTTTTTACTTTATGAATACTGTACTTTTTGAAAGGGATTCCCTACGGTTAGCCCACATTAATGAATGGGAATGCTCCACTTCCTTAAGGTGAAATATCTATGTAAATTATTTATAAGTCTTCTGCATGTGAGATGTATCTCTTGTAATTTATTTATTTATTTATTATTTAGTTATATCACTATGGACTCATGGATATTTATTTTATTCTTTTGTTTATAATCTGATACTACTTTGTATTACATATACTATATCATATTATATATACCATGTATTTATTTATTGCTCTGATTATTACATTTTTGGCCACTAAGAGCACTTTCAGTTAGTGTCTCTTTGTCATATCCCATCAGTGTACTGTGTGTTGTTTTATTTTCAAGTGACTTCTTTCTTTCTAGTACCACAAGATATTTCAAATCTCATATATTTCCTGCCCCAGTTCTAGAATCAGCCATTTCTCCAAGAAGACTGAATTCCTTTCATTTGAGAATGGTATTAGAATCTGAATTGTGCATGCTAGGTATGGTTACTGCTGCTGGGTATTATTATTTCTAGGTCCTCTCAGGTGACAGAGAAAGAAAATAACCATATATGGTTATATTCTAATTTGCACATATATGCATATCTATATTCCTATATGTAATAATCTATATTTATTAAATTAAATATGAGCTAATACTGATGTCTCCAATTCTAATGCATTACCATATGGGCCATTCTGGCCTCCTCTCCTTGCTTATCTGTAAACTTATACTGTAACACTGAGAAACCAGTTTTTGCCATTCATTTACTTAATTGTTCAATTCTGGTATAAATGTATAAAGCACCAGAATTTTTAGCCCATGACCCTGTGGGAAACAAATTCACAAACTGGAGTGCAGTGCAAAGCAATTGCTTTCTAAATTTAAATTTCTGATTGCTTATTCATAATATACAAAGTTACGATTATTTATATATTGCTTTTATTCTTCGGCCTTGTTAAACTCACTTATTAATTTTAGAAGATGATTTTATAGACACCAGTAAATGTTTTACATATGTTATCATGTTCTCTGGGAATAAAGACAGCTTTACTTCTTTCTTTGGAATCTGTATACCTGTAATTTCTTTTCATGTATTTTTACAATGACTAGAACATCCAGTAAAATGTTGAACAGAAGGGGTTAGCATGAGCATCTTTGCCTTTCTCCTCATCGCTGGAAAAAATGTTCAATTTTTACATCTTTATCTATGATGTTTTAGGAAGTTTGTTTTCCCTTTATTTGCTGAATGTTTTTTTTTTTTTAAATGAGGAATAGATGTTGTATTTTCTCAAATAGTTTTTATGTAACTATGGAGATGATCATACAGCTCTTTCTTTATTCTGTTGAGATACTGACATATACTTGTTAGTCTTTTACTGTTAAACCAACCTTGCATTCTTAGAATAAGCTACTGGGTCATATAACTTTTGTATGTCTTTGCTAAAATTTTGTTATTAATAACTCCATTGACATTCATAAGAGTTATTAATCTGGGCTTTTATTTATTTATAGTGTCCTTGTCTGATTTTGGTTATGGGGAAACCAAATAGAATTAGTTGTGAAGTATTTCCTCCTCTTCAATTATTTTGGAAAAATTTATATTGAATAGGTTTTAAATATAAAGTTAAATTTATTAATGACCATTTGGGCTACAATGTGAGCTTTGGTAGTTTGTGTATTTAAAATAGCTGTCAATTTCACCTACGTTATGGGATTTTTGACATAATGTTTTAATATTCTCTTATTAACTTTTAAAAATATCTGTAATCTGTATCCATTTTAAACCTTTTACTCCTGATGTTGGGAATTTGTTTCCACTTTTTCAGCTGGATAAATATGGCTAGATGTTTATCAGGTTTCATGATTTTGATCAAAAAATTGACTTCTGGTTTTATTAATTTTATCTATTTTTGTATTCTATTTCATTGATTTTCACTCTGATCTTTATTATTTCTTTATTCTGCTTACTTTGCTTTGAATTTGGCCTTATTTGTCTAGATTTTCAAGATGTAATCTGAGGTCATTGATTTGAGACCATTCTTTTTATCATATGAAAGCATTTAGTGGTATAAATTTTTCTCTATGCATTGTCAGCACCCGACAAATTCTGATATGTTTGCCATTACTTTTATGCAGTTCACAATGATATCTGACTTCTATTTTGATTATTTCATTGAGTCATCCTTAGAAACATGTTATTTACTTTCCAAATATGTTGAATTTGAGGATTTTCCAGATACCATTCTGTAACTGAGTTAGTACCATGGTGCCAATTAACATACTTTGTATGATATCAAAGTGTTATTTATTGAGATTCATTTTATAGGACAGGGCATAGTAATGTTGGTAAGTTCCATGTGCACATGAAAAGATTGTGAATTCTGCTATTGTTGGGCAGAGTTTTCTAAATTGTCAATCAAGTCATGTTGGTTGATAGTGTTTTGCAAGTCTTCTAAAATCTTAGTGATTTTCTATCTACTTGCTTTATTAATTACTGAGAATGGAGTACTGTAATATTCATCTGTAAGTGTGGATTTGCCCATCTCTTCTTTCAATTCTTCATGTTTTTGAAACCCATATTTTGCTAAGTGGCTAAAAGCTTAAGATTGTTAGGTTCTCTTGATGAAGTTATCCCTTTATCATTATAAAATGAGCTTCTTTATTATTATGAAATGATAATATTCTGTGCTTTGAAATCTACATTGTCTTTTATTGATATAGCTACTTCGGACTTTTGATTAGTGTTTGCATGATAAATCTTTTTTCATTCATTTTTGACCTATGAGTGTGTTCATTTTTGCCTGTGTTTGTTGTGGGCAGCACGTAGTTGGTCCTTATGACATTTTAATCTAGTTTATCAATCTCTGATTTTAATTAGGGTATTTATGTTATTTATACTTAATATAATGATTGATGTTTTGGTTAAAATTGAGCATCTTTCTTTTTGTTTTATATTTGTCCTGTCTGATCTTTCCCCACATTTTCTTCTTTTTCCCTGCATTTATTTGGTTACTTAAATTTTTTTAGGATCACAGGTTGTCTCCTCCATGTTTCCAGATGTTTAACTTTGTGTATTCTTCAATAATATCCTGCTTATATGGTTTTAATTCTTCCTGTGATAACTGCATGCTAGATTGACTGTGAGCAGCCCTTCTTATAGGTAGTCTTAGCAACAATCATCTGTAGAATAATGGTTTTTCTCATCTTCCCTCTTTTCCCTCAAGACATATTTTAAAAATTTTTGGATAATTTCTTTTGATTTTACTTATATTTTCTAAATATTCAATAATATATTTCCATTGAGTGTAATTTTATAGTTGAGACAGGTCTTACTCTGACACCCAGGCCAGAGTGCAGCAGCCTGATCACAGCCCACTGCAGCCTTGACCTCCCCAGGTTCAGGTGATTCTCCCACCTCAGCCTCTCAAGTAGCTGGGACTACAGGTGCACACTACCACACCCGACTGATTTTTGTATTTTTTGTACAGATGAGGTTTTTGTACATTATTCAACCCATTTTGCTCAGTTTGGTCTTGAACTCCTGGGCTTAAGTGATAGACCCACTTTGGCCTCCCAAAGAGCAGACAAATGTTAATTTAATCAAAGTTGGGAATAAAGCAAAAGGTTTATGAAAACATAATGGCACCTAGCTTTTCAGTGTATTCTTTGCACATTTTCTGAGTAAATCAACTGAATTATAACCTGCTAAGTTCCCTCTTGGCTACATTCAGTTCCTTAGCTAGAGGACACTTGAGCATATCAAGGGTGTTCAGACCTATTCTGAGCTCTAAGATAAAGTATGTTAGACAGTCAGTGGGAACTTAAAGGGCAGACTAGTACCTGAGTTAGGGAATCAGGCTCTGGCAGGCAAGACTGCTCCTGGACAGTGGTTGGGAGGGGATGCAATAGAGTTACATGGCTGTTTCAAGATCTGCCAAGGTTGGTAGGCCTGCAAAGGCACAGACAATCATGCTTCCTGCTGGTTTGAAAAGAGTAGTACTACTCCCAGAGCAGAGCTGAGAGGATCTGGAGTTGAGTTTCAGGGCTGTTGTATTGTCACAGCTGGGACCAAGGTCAGTGGGCCTGTCACCTGAGGCATGTGAGGGCATGGCTCCTTCTAGTTCCCTTGGTGGATAGTTCTGATGGCAAGACAAAGGTCAAATGGGGATGTAGCTGAGTATATAAGAGACCATTTCTGGATCTGGAGCCAGGACTATGCTTTAGGCCTGCCAAAGGGTGTGCCTCTGCCTTCTCAAGATGACCTGCTTAGGTTTTGGGCTCCACTGGGGTTTTATAACCTCCTACCTGAATCCCAAAGTTCCAACAAGGCAGTTTTGTTTGTGAATGGCTGAAAATGTTGCTATGGTGGAATATGAGTGGGAATCTCATATTCTGCTATCTTGCTGATGTCCTTGGTGACTTTTAAAAGTATGCAAAAATGGACAATCTATGGAGTCCAGTCAAAACTTACAGAGATAATCCACATTCAAGTAGTTTTTGAGTGTGCTTTTGTCAATTTTTGGCTTTGCCAAAAAGCAAGCTTCTGCTATAAGTTGCATGGCTATGGTAGCTAAAACACAGGTGTAAACCTCACCCCATAGACTTTCTTTCTGGCTAGGAAAGACAGGGAAAAGAGACCTTGTAGGTCAGAAGGTGAGGCAAAAAATATTAAAAAGAGAAGACAGAAAAAGTAAATCACTGTTTTTACCAAGGTTTTTTTTTTTTTTGGTAGTTCATTCTTGAAGAAACTTTTCTCAAGTGGAGACACATGCCTTGAGAAATAGACACATCTATTTCCAAAGTCCTGAAAGAATTGTTTTTGTCAAATTTGTCCAGTTTTAGCATTGGTTTTTGGAAAAAGGATTTGTTAAGCCCCTTACTCAGCCAATCCAGAAGTAACACCAACATTTAACAGTCAAAAGAAAAGGAACCTGTTGGGAAGGAAGTTACAATAAAGATACCCATACTTGCTAACAAAAATGAAGAGAAGGTACTAAAAACAGTATTAACATACTACTATATTGAATTGTTTTGGAAAGAGAAAAATTGGCGATTTAAAAACTGGAACATAGGGAAAATGGGTGCCTGGAAGAATGTCATTATTCAACCTAAAGGAAGGAGAAGGCCCATCAAATCTAGTATTGTGTGCATGATTTTTATGGTCTAAGCAATGAAAGCAATTAACATCAGGGAAATGCATCACTGGCTATTTGTATCTTTATTCTTGTGATCCCCTTGAGCTCTTTCAGATCTGTCGATTGCTTTTGTGCATCACCAGTTCCTGATTAAAAAGGGATAAATGATGCAAGTGAAAACTGCACGTGTAAAAATTATGTATACTACTTCTGTCCATTTTCTTCATGTTCATTTCCCTTTAGCTTTTTAGTCATAAATGGTGGAAACGTAACAGGAAATTGTGAACAATGAAAAATTGTCCTCAGAATAAATTGGTTGTAAAATAGTAATTTATGAGAGCACATTAAGAAAACCGTGGTTCTATAGTCTTGAATAATGACTACAGGGAAAAGATTTGGAGTTGGAGAGATTCACTTATTATTTCATTCATTCAACAAATACTTACTGAGCTGTTACCAAGGGCCATGCATTGCTGGGGATACAGCAGAGGACAGTAGAGACAAACTCCCCTGTGTTTCTCAATATGACATTCTAGTTGGGGGAGACAGGTTATAATCATGGTAAGTTTGTAAATTATATAATATACCAGAGGGTATCAGTTTTATGGCCAAACATTAAATAGGATGTGGGGACAAGAAACAGTGTGAAGTTCTGCAATTTTGAGTAGTATAGACATGGTAGACCCCACCAAGCAATAATTTGAAGAGTGGAGGAAGCAAGCCATGTGAGCATCTAGGCAAAGAACATGCCAGGCAAAAGGAAAGACAAGTAAAAAGGAAGAAGATTACTTGTCATGTTAAAAAAACAAGGTAAGAGTGACAGTAGATTGAGCAAGGAGAAGAGTAGAGGAGATGAGGTCAGAGGACCAATAGATCAGGTTATGCAGCACTCTGAAGGTTAACTCAGAGAGTCTGGTTTTTACTATATATAAGATAGGGAGCAATTGGATAGAGAAATAACGAGATCTAATATTGATTCAAAAAGCTGATTACAAGATCTGTGTGTTTTTAGGAAAACGATTAGGACGTTGAGTGATGAGTTGGCATCAGTTAAATGCCATTCTTTTAGTCTTCTGTTCACACAGATGTTACTGCCGATATTAGATCTACAGGGTCAAGTCCCAGATTGTTAGCATGACATTCAAGGCTCATCTTGATAGGACACCTACAACCACTTTTCAGCCTCATCACTTGTTTCTTAACTACCAATGCGCTCTTATCATCCCTATCTCACCACCCCACGTCTCAAATATATTAAATGTGCTGGGCAGGCAAATAATACATTTTGATGTTGCTGTTTCTACCTACCTAGAATGCTTTTATTTGTCTCTGGAATTCCTATTTCTTCTGGTTAGCATAACACTTATCACATTTTATTACAACTGGTCATATTCCTATGTCTCTCCTTGAATCCTTAACAACAATACTGACTACAAGCTCTATGTGAGTCCATTGCAATGAATACAATAGGAACAAATCTAATCATCTGATTCAAGTTAAGGAATGTTTACATTTAGGCTAAAACTAATTTCAGAAAAAAAGAAGGCAGTTTAAAGCAAAAACCTTTATTTCAAAGGATTTGTCATGGTGATAAACTGAAAAACTTTATTGAGAGGTAGGTAAGGTACTAGGAAAGTAATGGGTATTGCAAAAACATAGGCCAAGAATGCCTTTTATTCAATATGCTTATTATTACTTGATATTACAGTGTACATTTATTTACATTTTGCTCTCTACCAGGATGAAATCTCCATTAGAGCAGAGACTTTGCCTTTTGCACTGCCATGCTTGCATTTCTTAAAATATCTAGGTGCTTGGTAAATATTTGTTAAATGAACAAATAATCACTTTAAGTGAACTTTAAATTTAGATATGAGCTTTTTCTTTATCATGAAGAATTATTATTATTTTTTGCTGGTAAAAGGAGCTGTAATAAAGTTTTCAAGAAAAATTAACTCTTTGGCTTGAGTTAATTCTTAGAGGAGTTATCTCAATCTTACAGAGTCTTACCTAGGGATTATTGGTAAAGATAATGATCAATGTATTTAAGAACAGGTATATAAAAATTTCAAAAGTGTTCTTCAGGTTATTACTGTTTACAGTGATCCAAATTAAAAGCCAATACAATGGCTACCATTCACATTATATTAATTACTTATATTAATTATAATCATATAACTAATAATATTAACTTTTAATTCCAAATAATGTTAACTTTTAACTCTAAGAAAACTAAAAAAAATAACTCATAAGTAAGTTTCTGGTTAATATAACTTGGGGAAAAATAGACTCTAGAGCCATGTGATAATGGGCAAGACCTTGAGTCTGTAGTTTTATTTCTCTGAAAGGATAAATATTGACCTCACAGTTTACTAGTGTCTTTTCCTCATTCATCAATCTTTTATTATTATTTTTAGACTATAGATTGGAACCAGTTTCCCAGCTAACAGTTAATTTTCTGGCCCTGTGTGCTGAGTTTATTTGTACTTTTACCACAGCCTTGGCACTGCTGCAGCACAATGGAAATTCTGTGAGAGTCACTTTATCATGCTTCATACTTGATACGGTTTGGATCTGTGTCCCCATCCAAATCTCATGTCAAATTGTAATCCTTAATGTTGGAGGTGGGGCCCGGTGGGAGGTGATTGGATCATGAGGGTGGCTATGCCTTTTAGTGCTGTTCTTGTGATAATAAGTGAGTTCTCATGAGATCTGGTTCTTTAAAGGTGTATGGAACCTCCTCTCTCTCTGTTTTCCTCCTGCTCCAGCCATGTGAAGTGCTGACTCCCCACTTTTGCCTTCTTCCATAATTGGAAGTTCCCAAAGGCCTCCCCAGAAGCAGAAGCTGCTATGATTCCTGTATAGCCTATGTAACCATGATCCAATTAAATCTTTTTTAAAAATATAAATTACCCAGTCTCAGATATTTTTTATAGCAGTACAAGAATAGACTAATGCAGAAAATTGGTACTGAGGAACAGGGCATTGCTATAAAGATACCTGAAAATGTGGAAGTGACTTCGGAATAGGGTAACAGGCAGAGGTTGGAAGAATGTGGAAAGATGAGAAGAAGACAGGGAGATGAGGGAAAGTTTGGAATTTCCTAGAGACTAGTTGAATTGTCGTGATCAAAATGCTGATAATGATATAGACAGTGAAGTCAAAGTTGAAGAGGTCTCATGGAAATGAGGAACTTATTGGGAACTGGAGCAAAGATTGTGCATGTTATGTTTTAGCAAAGAACTTGGAGACATTGTGCCTCTGCCCTAGGGATCTGTGGAACTTTGAACTTGAGAGTGGAACAAATTTCTAAGAAGCAAAGCATTCAAGAAGCAGTCTGGCTGCTTCTAACAGCCTATGCTAATATGCATGAGCAAAGAAATTACTTAAAACTGGAATTTACACTTAAAGGAGAAGCAGAGCATAAACGTTTAAAAACTTTGTGGCCTGGCCCTGTGGTAAAAATGAAAAGCCAATTTTCAGGTGAGGAATTCAAGCAGGTTGCAGAAATTGGCATAAGTAAAGAGGAACCAAGTGCTAATAGCCAAGAAAAAAGGGCAAGGGGCCTTGAAGTCATTTCAGAGACTTTTGAAGCAGCCCCTCCCATCACAGGCCCAGAGGCCTAGGAGGGAAAAATGCTTTCATGGTCCAGGCACAGAGCCCTTCTGCCCTGCACAGCCTTGGGATGCTTCTTCCTGCACCCCAGCCATTCCAGCTCTGGCCATGGCTAAAATGGGTCCAGGTATAAAATGGGTCCTGGACCACTGTTTCAGAGGGTTCAAGCCAGGGGCCTTCATGGTTTCCATGTGTTGTTAACCCTGCAAGTACACAGAATGCAAGAGTTGAAGATTGGGAGCCTCTTCCTAAATTTCAGAGGATGTATGAAAAAGGTTGGATGTCCAGGCAGAAGCCTACTGCAGGGACAGGGCCCTCAGGCAAAACCTCTGCTAGGACAGTGTAGAGAAAAAATGTGAAGCTACAAGCCCCACACAGACTCCCCACACAGATCTCACAAGTAAATTCTTGTGAGATCTGGTAATTTAAAAGTGTGTGGCACCTCCCCTTTCTCTATCTTTCTCCTGCTCCTGCCATGTAAAGTGCTGACTCCCCTCTTTTGCCTTTGCCATAATTGGAAGCTCCTTGAGGCCTCCCCAGAAGCAGAAGCAGCTACGCTTTCTCTGTAGTCTGCAAAACCATGAGCTAATTAAAGTTCTTTTCTTTATAAATTACCCAGTCTCAGATATTTCTTTATAGCAGTATGAGAATGGACTAACACTATATATATATATATATACACACACACACACACACACACACACATATATATGCATGTATATATATATAGTATTGAAGTGAAATGAAAAATATATATGTGCATGTATATAATACATAGATATGGATGATATATGCATGTGTGTGTATTTGTGTGTGTGTGTATATATACATACACACACATATATGCACAGACATATGTATATACACACACACACACACATATATATATATATATATATATATATACACACACACACATATATATGAATTCCAACAGATAATCCCAGGATACTTAAGGAAAAGGACAATTATAAGACCTTCGTGAGGAGTGTGTTCTCTTGATTCTGCCACAGGAGTAGACTTTTATTATTTTGCCTACCACATGCCTTATCAATCTTTTGAGAACAATGTTCTGATTTTGCTTTGGGAGGATAGTCCTTCCTTTTCTGGTCCACATGCATAAGGTAAACAAGGCTGACTTTATCCCCCTCCCCTGCCCATACAATCCCCTCCACCCAGATTCCAGATGCGTAGGCCTTGACTGAGCTATGCTGTCAATGCATACAGCACCCCCAGCCATGGAAACCCGTTCAGGAGTTGAGAAGTGATCCAGTTCAGGCCATTCACTGTCACCATGACTCAGTTCTCTGACTCCTGTCAGCACTCTCTGGGAAGTGCTGGAACAGATGCTGGGGCATTGATAACCTGAAGCTATTTCAGGAGTCACCAGGAAGAACCCATAATGTGTCCCACCGAGAGGAACTAGAGAGAAAAGTGGAACTTGTGACACCGCTTGGACCCTGAATCATGATTTAGGTAAAGCCAGGTCTAATCCTGGACATTTTACCTTACGTGAGCACCCACTCCCCTTTTTCTTAGCTGGTTTGAATCAGGTTTTCTTCCCCTAGCAACTGACAGCATTTTAACTGATGCAGACACTAACCAGTTTCATGACTGTGGACCCATCAGATTATCTGCCCATATTTCCACTAAATGAAAATAATAATTTCTGTCCAAAAGTAGTACAGGCTGTAGAAAAGTATTTGAATAGACTATTAATTTACATATACATTAAAACTGATGCCTGATTTTTCTGGCCACCAAACATTTCTTGTACATAGTTGTCCCTCAGTATCCATGAAGGACTGGTTCTGGGACCCCCTCACATATCAAAATTCACAGATGCTCAAGTCCCACAGGTGGCCCTGCAGACATGGAGATATGGAGGGATGACTGTATTTCATTCTCTTGATGCACTGTTTGCTGTTCTCATATGCCTGAAATACACATCCACATGCTATCATTTATCTGTATTCAACTCTATGTTAGAAACTTTTAGGGCTGGCTGGGGACATATAAAAAATGAATGTTGTCACCTTCAACAGCTTTAAGTGAAGATTAACATTTGGAGGTATATGTAAAAAAAGCAATTGCTAGCTGGAAGATAAATTAAGCACTAAAAAAATGTTCATTGGAAGATAAAAGTTGCCTTTTTGAAAAAAAGAGATTTCACGTCATGCACTCATTACATATTATCTCATTTATTTATTGTCAAATGTATAACAAGTGTATGTGATCTCTACTTTATAGATAAGGAAATTAACATGATGAGGGTTTGAATAATGTTATATAGCTCATATGTGATTGCGTAAGAGTTCAAACCTTTTGTCTAAGCCTAGAATCTATGCTTTTTATAACTTTTGCCTTGAAGGATAAGGAAGATGTGGGAATTCAGAGGAGGTGTAAAGGGAAGTCTGGAAGAAATGACCTGTGGATCTTTCCTAAGCTCCAGGTCTTAATTAGCACTGGTGTAGTCTGGGTAGCCTCTACACCACCTATAACCAGTCTTGATGTAAGACAGGTGAATTGGCCGGGCACGGTGGCTCACGCCTGTAATCCCAGCACTTTGGGGGGCCGAGGCGGGTGGATCACGAGGTCAAGAGATCAAGACTATCCTGGCCGACATGGTGAAACCCCGTCTCTATTAAAAATATAAAAAAAAATTAGCTGAGTGTGGTGGCCGGTGCCTGTAGTCCCAGCTACTTGGGAGGCTGAGGCAGGAGAATCGCTTGAACCTGGGAGGCAGAGGTTTCAGTGAGCCGAGATCACGCCATTGCACTCCAGCCTGGGTGACAGAGTGAGACACTGTCTCAAAAAAAAAAAAAAAAAAAAAAAAAAAAAGACAGGTGAATTGCATGCCCGGTGAGAGGGGGATATGAACGACTGTATTACTCACTGAACATTTAAGACTATTCATAGTACAAGCACGTTTGCAATTTACAGGGTGCCCAGAGCTCCAATGAAATGTCCAAATCTAAATAATGTGAAGGCTCTGAAGAGCTCAGAATGGAGAAATGTGCATCCCTTCCATTTTATCTTACTAATATTATCAGGAAAGCCATTTAAATTCATATGCAATCTGAAATACATACAGTTTACACCTGAAGTCTTTGACTGTGGTTTTATATTTGAAGCTTACTTTTCCCATTGCAGATACAAAAAAACAAAAAAAACAAAAAAAAAAAACAAAAGAATCATACAAGGTTTTACAGATTCAACTGTCATATAAAAGCCAACTTTGGAGTGGCATACCTGTTAATTGCCATGTTTCTCTACTGTGATTAATTTAGAGAGGCTATAGTTCCTAAATATAACATATTGAGTGCTGTGGTTTCAGGAATAGGATTTATAGGAGGTAGAGTTAAGATGAGCACATATGAAGAGAAAAGAGTTAACATTTAAAGACTTATGACCTGTCAAGCACAAAGCTTAGTTTGCAAACATTGTATCAGTAGATTCTCGTAACAATCTTCTGAAATAACAGTTTTTATCTTCATCTCACAGATGAGGCTCAGAGGGGTAAGCAATCTTTGCAAAATTACAATTTATACAGAAAGGCTAGCATATTTTTAATACTTTACATGTGCTAGGTGCCCTGCTAAGTGCATTGCGGGGTCTGATACAATCCTCAGTACACTGATATAATCCTCTCCTTGCAAATAGGAAGCCAGGCTGCAAATAGGAACCCAGATAAAAAACTGCTCAAGATATCACAGGGATAACATTAGGGGGTATGCAACTAAGAAGTTGGCTTTTATATAAAAGTTGCATTTGTAAAACCTTATATGCTTCTTTTTTTTGTATCTGCAATGGGAAAAGTAAGATTCAAATATAGAAACTAGCTTAGAGGACTTCAGGTGTAAATTGTCAGAATTTGAACCTAGCACTGGTGGACTCAACAATATCAGTCAGGGTACTCTATTTGTCCCAACATCTCCACTTTTTAGAGGCCCTTTTGTAAAATCATCAGGTGAAATTCATAGATAATATAACCAGTTACACATATAATTTCAAGAAAAGCCAACAGAAAGACTTGAATGTAGTATATAAAATAAAGTTTTAATAAAACAAAATCTTTAATCCAATACATAATATATGCTACTGGATTATAAATATTTTACAATGTACACAGAAATTTTTTATTATTGTAATTATTTTATCTGTGATTACTGACGTATGAATATTCTAGAAGGCTTAACACATTGTCAGATGTTTCCAGGATCACAGGCTCACCAGAATATGACAGCTACAAACACATTGTATCTGAGTGTATTATCTTGGCAACTCAAATATCACAAATTCATTACTGTTGGTGATTTTCTCAGTGGGGAACAGACCGTAGTAACATTCTAAAAATAACAAAATATTTTCTCATTTTGCATGGTAGCTGCATTCCTGGACAATTATGTTTATTTTAGTACCATGAAAATTACAATCGTGTGTGTGCATGTGTGTGTGTAATAATTAAAAGCATTTGTTAAAAAGTACAGAGTAGAAACTTTGAAAATGATATGGAGTGAGAAACAGTTTTTTTATGTGAGGGGCTGTCTCTGGCAATGCAGAACACCAGCATCCTGATTTTCACATATAAAATATTGATCACTATGCCCAATTTGGGAGATAAATGAAAATGTTCACTATACCTTTCTAAAATTCATTTTGGAGAGTTGTCCCCTTTTGAGAATCACTGTCATCAAGTTATCAAATACTGAATCTATCTGACTCCCTCATGAATGCAAAACCATAACAGGTGAGACTTGAAGAGATTGAAGAGTAGGCAGACTTCTCCTTAACTGAGCCAGTATTTCTTAAATATCAATCATTTCTTTGTCATATTTAGGATATTTGCCTTATATGCAAAACACTGATATTTAGTATTTCTCTTTTAACTGATTCACTTTTTACTATAAAATTTTCACTTTAAAAATGAACATCTGGGGGGAGGGGGGAGGGATAGCAATTAGGAGATATACCTAATGCTAAACGATGAGTTAATGGGTGCAGCACACCAACATGGCACATGTATACATATGTAACAAACCTGCACATTGTGCACATGTACCCTAAAACTTAAAGTATAATAATAATAAAATTTAAAAAATGAACATCAATTACTATCTTAAATGGAAAATAAGAATCACTTGCCATAAGTGAAATGCAAACTTGAAAATAATGTAATGAATAAAGCAAACACAAAACAACAAATAGAAGATGATGTTAGATTGTGTTGCCAGTTGAACAGTCTCAGCCTGATGTCTATTCTTTTTTGTCTAATCACTGCATTAAGCCTAAATTGTCTCCCCAGAACAGCAGCGACCCAGTTCTTTGTCTGGTTTCCAGAAGAACGGAGGGAAAATTCATTTTTTTATACTTTATGACAAGTCAGCTGCCATTATTCTCATCTCTTCAGGATAAAGACAGTGTTTGGTTTTGCTTAAGAATAAAATACATTCTTTTCTCCTGAGTGTATGAATCCCTTTTATAAACATTTATTCTTTTTTATAACAATAAAGTATTGTGACGTATTTGTTACTGAGCACTATTCTAGACATTTAAAATATATTATTTCTAGTATTTTATGCAATACTCCAAGGTATGCCTCAAAGCTCCCATTTTACAGATGAGAAAATTGACATGCAGTGCATTTGCATTTGACTAATTTGCCCAAAGTCTCACAGCTGGTTTGTGGCAATGCCAGGATTCCAACTCAGGGCTAATTACAAAGCTCAGAGAACTGTTACTATTCCTTATGTAAATTTACCATGGAAATAAAAGCCATAGTAACATAGACTTGCCTGTCTGTATGGAGATAAGTACTTAAGGTGATTTAAATTTTTCTCTGACTAAATAGAGATGTGTTAGCCTTAACCTAGTGGTATATTAATCTAATCCAAAGAGTTTTATTTTAAGTCTCTTCCTGTTACTTAAGAGAAATGTAACTAAGCACATTCACCCAACATGAAAGCTCTATTGTTTATCAGTTTCTCTAAAATGTTTCACAATGCTGGTTCAAAAGGGATCTGAAATCTAGTAGCAAATGAATAAAAACAGATGTTGGGTGCTCTGGAAGTTGGTGCCATCCCTCAACATCAGTCTTTATGACAGTTGCTGGTACTGCTGGGGACTGGATGAGGCAGATGTTAAAATCAGGGAATACCGAAGGCACGGGTGGCTTAATATCCTTAATTCTCTCCTGTCATGCTCTACTTCATATGCTGTTTCCCCTGAAATTGCAATGTGCTTTCAGCCTCTCACTCTAACCAGGTCCTGCACACTGCTTTGGAACACCTTCATTTCAAACCTCCGTTAATTTTTTTCCAAATATCTGATCATTCAAACCTTCCTTTCTCAATCTAATTACATCAACTTGCCTCCTACTTCACGGAGAAAATACAAGGCACAACTCCCACATCTTACCTGCATCTGCATCTGTATTTTCCTCATTCCCTTCTTACACCACAGACAATGGGTCCTTCTTTAAATAAAGCTAACCTTCTTGCATTGTGGATTGAATTCCACTCTCAGGAATCTTGCTGCACTGATTAGACCCCACTATCCTTATATACCTTCAATTCTTTCCTCTCTTCCAGGTTGTTTCCATCATTTATACATGCCAAAGTCTCTCTTCCCTCTGCAAACTCTGTTATCTTTCTGGGTTACTCCACCAGCCACATGGCTTTAATTATCATGTCTTTACAAACTATGGTAAGTTTCTATTTCATTTATTTATTTATTTATTTATTATACTTTAAGTTCTGGAGTACATGTGCAGAACGTGCAGGTTTGTTACATAGGTATACACATGCCATGGTGGTTTGCTGCACCCATCAACCCGTCATCTACATTAGATATTTCTCCTAATGCTATCCCTCCCCTAGCCCCCAACCCCTCACAGGCTCCAGTGTGTGATGTTCGCCTCCCTGTGTCCATGTGTTCTCATGTTCAACTTCCACTTTTGAGCGAGGACATGCGGTGTTTGGTTTTCTGTTCTTGTGTTAGTTTGCTGAGAATGATGGTTTCCAGTTTCACCCATGTCTCTGCAAAGGACATGAACTCATCCTTTTTTATGGCTGAATAGTATCCCATGGTGTATATGTGCCACATTTTCTTTATCTAGTCTATCACTGATAGGAATTTGGGTTGGTTCCAAGTCTTTGCTATTGTGAACAGTGCCGCAATAAACATATGTGTGCCTGTGTCTTCAAGACCAGAACTTTCTTAACTTCAGACTCATACATCCAACCATCAGCAGGATATCACCAATTAGGGTTCCACCAGTGCCTCGTCTGCTTTCTCTTCTGAGTGTTGCTCATCCTGGTGTGGCCAACTTCACAATGTCTGAAGCAGGATCTGGAAGAGGAACCTCAACTTCTTCCATCCCTGTCCTCACCATCCGCAGACAGTTATCAACCTGCAGTGACTCCTAATGTCTCTCAAATGCCCCCTGTCTAGATATCTCCACTGTCACTACCTTAGCTTAAGGCCCATTGTCTTAGTCTACTTTTTGCAGCAATAATAGAATGCCTGAGACTGGGTAAGTTTTAATAAAGAGGAATTTATTTGGCTTATGGTTCTTGAGACTGGGAAGTCTAAGAACATCCTGCTGGCATCTGACAGAGGCTTTTGTACTGCATCAACATCGCAGAAAGGCAAGCAAGCATGTGAGACAGAGAGAATGGAGGTCTGAACTTAATGCTTTTGTTAAAAACTCGCTACTATGAAGACTAACTCACTCTCATGATAACAATACTAATCAATTCATGAGGCAGAGCCCTCATCACCTAATCACCTCTTAAAGGTCTTACCCCTTAGTACCGTCACAATAACAATTAGATTTCAAAATGAAGTTTTGGAGGGAACATTCAAACCATGGCACCCATCATCTCTCCTCGTGCCTGGATTACTGCAGTAACTCTCTTGGGCTCCCTTCAGCCAATCTCATTCTCTCTATTCTATTATCTGTAATGCCATCAGAGTGGTCAGTAGAGAAAACTAACCTGAAAATGTTCTTGCTCTGCTTACAACCTGCAAGATAAAAAACTAGTTACTAAGCGTGACGCGGAATTCTTAAAAAAAAATTATTTTAAGTTCAGGAGTACATGTGCAGGTTTGTTATATAGATAAACGTGTTACAGGGGTTTGTTGTATAGATTATTTTGTCACCCAGGTACTAAGCCTAGCACCCATTAGTTATTTTTCCTGATCCTCTCTCTCATCCTAACCTCCACCGTCCAATAGGCCCTAGTGTGTGAGGTCCCCCTCTTTGTGTCCATGTGTTCTCATCATTTAGCTCCCACTTTTAAGTGAGAACATGCAGTATTTTGGTTTTCTGTTTCTGCATTAGTTTGGTAAGGATAACGGCCTTCAGCTCCATCCAAGTTCCTACAAAGGACATGATCTCATTCTCTTTTATGGCTGCATGGTATTCCATGGTGCATATATCCCGCATTTTCTTTATCCGGTCTCCCATTGATGGGCATTTAGGTTGATTCTGTGTCTTTGCTATTATGAACAGTGCTGCAGTCGACATACATATGCATGTGCCTTTATGATAGAATAATTTGTATTCTTTTCAATAGCTAGCCAGTAATGGGATGGCTGAGTTGAAAGGTAGTTCTGTTTTTAGTTCTTTCAGGAATCACCACAATGTTTTCCACAATGTTTGAACTAATTTACACTCCCACCAACAGTGTTTAAGTGTTCTTTTTCTCCACAACCTAGCCAGCATCTGTAATTTTTTGACTTTTTTTTTTTTTTATCATAGCCATTGTGACTGGTGTGAGATGGTGTCTCATTGTGGTTTTGATTTGCATTTCTCTAATGATCAGTGATGTTGAGATTTTTTCATATGCTTGCTGGCTGCATGTATGTCTTCTTTTTTAAAGTGTCTGCTCATGTCTCTTGCCTACTTTTTAATGGGTTTTTTTCTTCTTCTAAATTTGTTTAGGTTCCTAATAGATGCTGGATATTAGACCTTTTTTCATATGCATAGTTTGTGAATATTTTCTCACATTCTGTAGGTTGTCTGTTTATTTTGTTGATAGTTTCTTTTGCTGTGAAGAAATCCTTTAGTTTAATTAGATCACATTTCTCAATTTTGTTGTGATTGCTTTTGCCTGTTCCTATGTCCAGAATGGTATTGCCTAAGTTGTCTTCCAGGGTTTTTATACTTTTGGGTTTTACATTTAAGTCTTTACTCCATGTTGAGTTGATTTTTGTATATGGTATAAGGCAGGGATCTAGTTTTAATCTTCTGCATATGGATAGCCATTTATCCCTGCACCATTTATTGAATAGGGAGTTCTTTCCCCATTGCTTGTTTTTGTTAGCTTTATCAAAGATCAGATAGTTATAGATGTGTGGCCTTATTTCTGTGCTCTCTCTTCTGTTCCATTGGTCTATGTGTCTGTTTTTGTATTACTACCATGCTGTTTTGGTTACTGTAGCCCTATAGTATAGTTTGAAGTTGGGTAGCATGATGCCTTCAGCTTCATTATTTTTGCTTAGGATCTCCTTAGTTATTTGGGCTCTCTTTTGGTTCTATATGAATTTTATAATGGTTTTTTCTAGTTCTGTAGAGAATTTCAGTAGCTTAATAGGAATAGCATTGAATTTATATATTTCTTTGTGCAGTATGGGCACTTTAATTATATTGATTCTTCCGATTCATGAGCATGGAATATTTTTTTTCATTTGTTTGTGTCAGCTTTGATTTCGTGGATCAGTGTTTTGTAGTTTTCCTTGTAGAGACCTTTCGGCTCCCTGATTAGCTGTATTCCTTGATATTTTATTCTTTTTGTGGCAACTGTGAATGGGATTTCATTTCTGATTTCGCTCTTGGCTTGGATACTATTAATGTACAGGAATGCTACTGATGCCAGAGTTAAATCTTAGCTGAATCATAAGTCTGTGACATAAGAAAGCTGCTTCACCTCTTTGTGCTTCAGTCTTTTCAGCTTAAAATAGAGATAAGAATAATCCCCATATCCAAGATTGTTTTATAGATTATGGTAATACAGGGAAAATATTCAGCAAGTGTCTGTAACCTACTAAGTGCTTAATAAGCATTAGTTATTATTATTGTTTCATAATGTAGCATGAGATTCTTCTTAGTGCTCATCTCTAAGCCTGGTTTTTGTCTTATATTGTCATCATGAGCTCCTGTATGTCAAGAAAAAGAAAATATTTTCCTCTCCCTAAAACCTCACCATATATCTGTCTATCTATTCATTTCAATGTGCCAGGAATTCCTTAAAAGACTATGAATGAATAAGTCATTTTTTGTTGTATGTAAAAAAAGACAAAAGTGCAGTTTTCTTATATGGATATGTTGCATAGTGGTGAAGTCTGAGCTTTTAGTGTAAACATCATTCAAATAATGTAAATTGTACCCACTAGGCAATTTCTCATCTTTCATCCCCCTTATAACTTTCCACCCTTCTGAGTCTCCAGTGTCTTTTATTCCATACTCTATGTCCATGTGTACACATAATTCAGCTCCCATTTATAAGTGAGAACATGTGGTATTTGACTTAGTGTTTCTGAGTTATTTTGCCTAGGATAATGGCCTCCAGTTCTATCTATGTTGCTGCAAAAGACATGATCTCATTCTTTTTTATGGCTGAGTAGTATTCCATATATAAAAATATATATCCAATCATCCACTGATGGACACTCAGGTTGATTCCATATCTTTATATCCTTGCTATTGTGAATAGTGTTATAATAAACATATAAGTGCTGGTATCTGTTTTATATAATGGTTTATTTTCTTTTGGGTAGATACCTAGTAGTGGGATTGCTAGATCAAATGCTAGTCCTATTTTTAGTTCTTTGAAAAATCGCCATACTGTTTTTCATAGAGCTTGTACTAATCTACATTAGTACCAACAGTGTATCAGCATTCCCTTTTCTATGCATCCTGCCAACATCTGTTATTTTTCATCTTTTTCATAATAGCCATTTTGACTGATGTGAGAGAGTATCTCATTGTGGTTTTGATTTACATTTCTCTGATGATTAAGTATGTTGAGCATTTTTTCATATGCTTCTTGGCCATCTGTATGTCTTCTTCTGAAAAATGTCTATTCATGTCCTCTGCCCACTTTGTACTAGAGATTTTAGTTGTTGTTGTGGATGATGTTGCCAAAGAAACCTTAAGCAAAAAGAACAAAGCTAGAGGCGTCACATTTCCTGACTTCAAATTATAGTACAAGGCTACAGTAACCAAAACAGCATGGTACTTGTGAATACAGCTAACTGATGCTTGACAAAGATGGCAAAAACATACACCAAGGAAAGGACACTCTTTCCAATAAATTGTGCTGAGAAAATTGAATTGTCATGTGCAGAAGAATGAAACTGAACCCCTATCTCTCACCGTATACAATAATCAACTCTAGATAAATTAAAGACTTAGCCTAAAACTATAAAAATAGTAAAAGAAAACCTAGGGAAAAGTCTTCTGAATGTTAATCTAGGCAAAACATTTTTAAACTGAGACCCGAAAGACAAATGCAACAACGACAACAAAAATAGATTAGATAAATGGGACATAAACTACAAAGCTTCTGAAAAGCAAAAGAAATTACAATAGAGTAAACAGAAAACCTATAGAATAGTAGAAAATATTTGCAGACTATGCATCTGACAAGGTATGAATATGAATATCCAGTATCTACAAAAAATATGACTTATACTCTCCAGTGACTCCCAGAATAACAGAGGTAGGAAGGCACATATTCAAGTAGCATATAACAGTATGAAATTTGCTGCAATTTAGGTGCTCCATATGACAATTTCATATTCATTCTTCAAAAGGGGTAAATGGGAATATCACCTCCTATCTGAAGTCTTATTTGATTTTCCCATGAGAAAATATTTTTCTGTTTTCAGCTGTAACCATTTTCTTAGCTTCTCACTGTGACCACAATATTTTGTAATTACTCATATTAAATAAAGGGCCATTTGAAGACTGAGCAGTAGTGTTTTGTTTGCTCATTTGTTTTTTTACCCTTTTGTAGGGCTTTAAGATTTTGGACAGTGCCAGGAATACAGGAGACTGTCAGATGCTGGATGACAGAGGAAGAGAGAGAAGGATGGACGGAGAGTTGGATGGGGGAAGGAAGGGAGGGGATGGTTGGCTGGATAAATGACTCCAGGGGAAACACAGAGGAAGAAAACATAAATTCTGATTTCAGGATAGGGAAGTCTATACATGGTGTGGGAAGGCTGGTGGTGGGAAATGCATTCATTCTAGGCAGACAAAAAGCATGAATTAAAGCACAGAGGCATGGGGTTGAATGATATATCAACTGAGTGGTGAGTAGATCAGTGCAAACAGAGTTGGGACTGGAAGCTGGAGGGGAAAGTCAGAGTGAAAAATAAAATAGGTTTCAGACTATAAAGGACCTTGGAAACCAACATAATGAATTTGGTTCTTCAAACCAGAGCAGTTCCTCAATGGGTGAACTTGCTTGTCTTTCTATAATGGTTAACCATTATTGAAGACATTATTTTTTTTTACTTTCAGCTAAGTATCAAGTACTTGATTAAAACCGAGAGCAGGAAGACAGCTTCAGTGGTTTTTCCAGAGGGCCTAAATCACAGAGTTTTGGAATCTCTCAATTTAAAAGGAAATTGAAATCGCTTCAATACTCATTCAGGCTGAAACTACTTTTAGAATTTCCAAGAAGAACAATTGAAAACACAAATCTGTCTCCTAACAATGCTCTGGCTTTGGGATTCTTTCTGTCTTCTTTTCTGTTGAATGAGACAAAATTGAAGGAATAATAATACCTGACATGCCCTTATATTACATTTGTAGAGCACTCTTACAAAAATGATCTCATATGATCTTCATAAAAACCGTGTAAGCTAAGCACTATTATCTTCATTCAGCAGCAAGCAAATAGGCCAGAAATAGCAAGGCAGGCAATTCTTGATTATCTCACCTCTCTTTTTCCTTAACCTTCCCAGCTGGGTAAGGTCTGAGGATTTCTGCAAGTAGATAAAGGCCCCCTCAGATGCACAAATCAATCCCTAAAGAGGCAGAAAGAAGGTGAGGGGCTATGTAATGGGTTGAAAATCTGCTCTGTTGAACACTTTCCATGATTATGATTATCTAATCCCATCACCACTCCTGGACTTAACTATAATTGTGCCTACTTTGTAGAAAAGGACAAACAAAGCTCAGAAAGGTTAATAAATTTGTTTACGTTAGCCCAGCTGCAAAATAGTAGGACCAGATTTCATCTCTATGTGTGGCTTCCAACACACACTCCCTTTCGTCACCTCACACTGAGATGATGTTAGATTGTGGCCTCAGCCTGCAGACTGCCATGTTTTACCACTGATCAGCCTTATGACCTTGATACTGGCTTTATAATTTTGAGAAGCTGCTTCAAGTTCTCATATTTAAAATGAAGATTCTATTAGCACTTCCCTCTAAGAGTTTCTCTATAGATGATAAAAATATGACAACACATAAAGTGCCTAACCAGTTCCTATTCCCAACACACTAGGTAAGTGTCGTCTATAGTTATCAAGTATCTTATGAGTCTTATAATTAATTCCCTTCCCCAGACCCACATCTGATCTCCTGACGCAGAAACAATTTGTTTCTCTTGTGCTAGGTCACAGTTGTCAAACAGACTTGACACTAGAATCTCAGAATGAATCAACTGGGAGCCCACTTGGTTTCTAATCAGGTTTTCCTACAACTCTCATTGTATCAGCCCAATCTGAAGGCCAGAATTTACCACTGGGATTTTTTTTTTTGCTTGTCCTCCAGTCCCCCGAACCCTAGCTCATTGGATTAGAGCTCAACTAGCATCCCTTACACAGAATGATGTCCTAATGTCCTGTCCCTAGCATGCTGGCCAGTGTTCCTCTTCCTTTACGTATCCTTGGAAGAATAAGTCCTGCCCTGTGCAGCATTACTGAAGATTGACCCTGTTCTTTCCTGGCTTGCTCCTCTTCTCTGTTGGGATTTTACATCAAACATTTACTATATGTCAGGAAGTAGAAGATGTCACAGAAAAACAACTTCAATCACCCAAACATGGTTGATGTCCTTAGAGGGAGTAGCCAGACTTTAAGTAGTCAATTACACAAATAATTATTTGATTATAGTTGAGAAAATTGATTAGAGGAAAGATAGAGGATGCTTTGAAAAAATATAACCAGAAGACTCCATCTACTCCATCTACTCTGAGGGTTCAGAGAAGGATTCTTGAGGAATTGAAAACAGTAGTGATCCATGACTCTGAAGGATGTAGTTTTGCTTATTATGTATTCAGGTATAGTATGTGTATGTGTATGTGTGTATACATATGTATATATGTGTGTATATATACATATTTATATATACACACATAAATATATACATATTTATATATACACACATAAATATATACATATTTATATATACACACATAAATATATACATATTTATATATACACACATAAATATATACATATTTATATATACACACATAAATATATACATATTTATATATACACACATAAATATATACATATTTATATATACACACATAAATATATACATATTTATATATACACACATAAATATATACATATTTATATATACACACATAAATATATACATATTTATATATACACACATAAATATATACATATTTATATATACACACATAAATATATACATATTTATATATACACACATAAATATATACATATTTATATATACACACATAAATATATACATATTTATATATACACACATAAATATATACATATTTATATATACACACATAAATATATACATATTTATATATACACACAAATATATACATATTTATATATATACACACATAAATATATACATATTTATATATATACACACATATAAATATATACATATTTATATATACACATAAATATATACATATTTATATATACACATAAATATATACATATTTATATATACACATAAATATATACATATTTATATATACACATAAATATATACATATTTATATATACACACATAAATATATACATATTTATATATACACACATAAATATATACATATTTATATATACACACATAAATATATACATATTTATATATATACACATAAATATATACATATTTATATATACACATATGTGTATATATATACACACATACACACATACACACATATACACACACATGTATATATATACACATATATATGTGTATATATACACACATACACACATACACACACATATATAATTCCAATTATATACTGCTACTATGTGGTTTGAAAAGAATGGAGGAAAGAGTTAACCATTTCTCAAAGCTGTGATACATTTCTCAAAGCTGTGATACATTTTCCAATTTACACCAGTGATTTTTATAACATGCTTACAAGAAATTTTATTGAGTATACATCTGACACTTTGCTAAACACATTGCATTAATCTTATTTTCTGTTTGATTAAAGTCATGAGTAATAAGCGCACATAATTTTCAGGCACTTTTCTTGGTTCTCAATAAAGAAATGCTTTAAGACACAGTCTCTGCCTTAAAAGCGCTTACAGTGGAATCATCCTCACTGCAAATCTGAATTGTGTATCAGTCTAGGTGGGCTAGGATGTGGTGTTTTAATGTATTGGTTTCCCATACCTTCATCACAAATGCACAAAATGAGCAGCTTAAAAGTCACCTATTAGTTCATAGCTTATTAGCTCATAGACCAGAAATATTCATGAGCATTAGTTCTCTCTGTATGGTCTCACAAGGCTTAAATAGAAGTGTCTGGCAGGTGGGGCACCTGTCTGGAGTTTTTGGGAAAGAATTCGCTTCCAAGCTCATTTGAGTTGTTGGCTGATGACAACTTGCTGACTGTTTGTTTGGGGGCACTCTCTGCTCCTAGAAGCCATTCTCAGGTCTTTCCGTATGATCCCTCCCATCTCAGCAGCAAAAATCTCCCTTGCACTGAATGCCCCTCACACTTGAAAACTAATTTCTTCTGCCACCAGCCAGAGACAACTCTCTTAAAGGACTCATGCAGTTAGATTAGGCCCACCCAGGTAATCTCCTTATCAGTTATTTATAGTCTTAATTACATCTGCAAAATCCCTTTTGCAGTGTAAAGGACTGGGAGTAACACCAGGGAGAAAAGGTAATGAGACCACCTTGAATTTTTCCTACCATGTGTGACAAACAGCCCTGCAATTTCAGTGGTTGAAGAAATAGAGGCTAATTTTTCGCTTATGAACAAAGTTCATAATGGTTTGGCTCTAACCCTGTTCTTCAATGCCCTCCCTCTAAGAAGCAGACTGATGGAACAGCCACTGTCTAGAACATCACCAGATGCACAGCAGTGGGACACAGAGTGAGAAGATGGATCGCATGCCAGCCTTTAACACTCTGCCCAGAAGGAATCTATATAGCCTGATCACATTCCATTCACCAAAGAAAGTTACATGGCCAGAATTACATCCAAGAAGCCAAGGATGTACAATCCTACCATCTGTCTGGAAAAAGAGGGACCCAGAAATATTTGGGAGACACAATTAATAAGCTACATAGTTCCTCTTTTCATTGCCAAATATTTGGCTCACTTTCCATCTAGCATACAAAATATACTCACCCTTCCTTCCCTCCAAGGATGCAACCCCAGAATCCCATTTAGTTGCACATCAAATCAAACTTCAGAGTTTAGGGCTGTGCAGGAGTCTCTCCATGAAGGAGTAAGCATGATATTCTCTGTAGCAGGTCTAAAGCCACCCTTAGTGTTGTTGTCCTCATTTGCCAGAGAAGCCTCATTTGGCTTCAAAAAACTAAGTCACATGATCTAAGTCAAGCAACCAATAAATGATGTCCCTTATTGAATGTCACTTTTTGAAGTGATTTCACCTATTAAATGCCAGGATTTAAATATAGGTCTCTCTCTTCACAACAGCCTCATTCCTTTACTCCCAATTGACAGAAGAGGAAGCGATATGGGGGATGCAGCTTGCCTTCTAAGATCATTAGTCCAGGTGGGAGCCAAACACATAAAAAAAAGCCATCCCACTTTGTGGTCAAAACTGCAATAGACCTCAGCAGAGTACTGTGAGGGTGACAGGAACATCAGGGGACATCGTGCCCCACCTACAGGTTGGGGGTGAGAGAGGGTGATTGAACACATTCCTGAATAATGAGAAGTTTCCCAGGTAGGCAAGAGAAAAGAAGGAATTCCAGAAATAAGAAAGGGAATGGCATGTACAAAGAACAAGAGGAAGGAGTGGGTGGTGATCCCTGGGGAGTCTGGATTCATGTATGATGAGACACAGCTTGAAATGGGTGTTGGCTAGTAATAACTGTAAAGGGCTGTGTGTGCTTTGCTGAGGAATCTAGACTTTATCTTGTGGCAGTCCCAGAATTTAAGAAAGATACTCTCTTAATCCAGACCTTCCAAGAAAGAGATGTCAAAATTCAATTACACATGCCATCATCTAATTAGGAAGAATGCCTATGAGATAAAAATGGGGAGGGAACCATGGAAAGCAGAGAGAGTGTCACACCTAGTGGATGAAGGATGGAGAGAAGGTTGGGTGGAAGTGTTCTGGAGTTCTAAAATCAACCAAAAATGTCTCAAAGTGAGAAATTATGAAATAATAGTATAGGCATATTTAAAAATAAGTAACTATTAGAAAAAATGCAAAGAAAGTTCAAGAAATTAAAAGTGCTTAACTATGTGGAGCTGGATGGGGGTGGAAAGTGTGGGGCAGTGAGTTCTTGCTCACTACTACCCATGGTGTGTGTGTATGTATAATTAAAAACTGTGTTCTTTTTCTAACCTGCAAAGAAGAGGATGGATTTGAGGTGTTTTGTACATGAGGCAGCCTCTGCATGAGACACCTAGCCATTTCTCCTTGGGCCATTTTCCATTTCCCAGAGCTGCTTGGGGCTTTATGAACTATGTAAAAGAACCTGTTTGATGGAAACTTTCCGGCCGTGCCTATTAACCAGTGACCTTTCTTCTCGATGAATCCTCACCTGTTTCAGCCTCTGTGCTGTTTGGGGAAGAAGAGAAAACACCTGAAGTGGCTTTCAAAGGAAGGATGATAAACCTGTACTAAAACTGGCACTAGGGGAGAGTGCGTGGGCCTCGACAATGTGTACTGAAGTGAATGAGCTGGTCCCCTGAGAGATAAATAAGGGGGTTTTTAGGAGAATTGACAGTGGGAAAAAAAAATATCTTAAGGAGCAAAAAGTAGCTACACAAAAGAGAATGGAAATAGATTATCTGATAAAACAAATGGCCAGAACAGGTTAAGGGAG
Source organism: Homo sapiens (assembly GCF_000001405.40). Classification (NCBI taxonomy): domain Eukaryota; kingdom Metazoa; phylum Chordata; class Mammalia; order Primates; family Hominidae; genus Homo; species Homo sapiens. Next base: position 131,219,832 of record NC_000008.11, read on the forward strand.
AGCCCAGAGCTGCAGCACTGTTCCAAGATAAAATTATTACCAGACATGCTATATAGACCCAGACCTCTCTCTCATCTTCATATGTGTGCACGCGCACACACACACACACACACACACACACACACACACATTGTCTGTTTGCATGTGGTGCTGTAGTCATTGCTTCTGGCCATGTCACATTACTTCTTGAATGCTCCATATCCTTGAAATAAAGACCTAGATCTCTGCCTAGGCATCTAAGGCTCTCCTATCCATCCGTTCTCAAGCCAAAGCATCAGTGCTTCATGGTCCTTCCATTTTTCTTCAATTAAAATGTGCCTTCTTCTCTAGTTTTATATGTCATTGCCCCTGCTGGCCTCTCAGATACAGGTTGTGTGCAAGTTGTCCTGTCCCTATCAGAGCACTTTTTTTTTTTTTGCACTGCATTAAAATAAAAAATTATTTGCTTGTATCCCTAAGGTCTTACCTTTAGTACCTTGAGGACAGGGACTTTATCTAGGTTCCCATTTACTCTTGGAGCCAAACATAGGACCTGGCACTTTCCAAGTTAATATTTCTTTAATGAATAGTTAGACTTAAGAATAGAGGCTCAGCTGAGTGCCAAAGGAAGGAATAAGATAAAATTTTTCCTCGTAATCTTCCTTGGGTTTTGATTTTTCCTAACTAATGTTACTTTCTCATTCCAAGATTTATTCACTTTCATTCTGCTTATTAGAGAAAACAGAAACAAAAACAGTGAGAAGCAGATGTTATATTTTCATGTGTCAATGATCTGCATCATATAATTCATCTGAAGAATTGATCTTCTCCCTTCTTCATTCTTTCAAGAACCTCTCACAAGGTTCTTGTTAAGAGGGAAATGCAAGAAAACAAAATGTGTTGATCATGTTTTCCAGAAATTGTGTGGGATATTTCCAGCACATTTTATCCCATTAAGTCTATGTTAACTCACAGGTTGGTGTTTTTATTCCTATTTTAAAGTTGAGGAAATGAAGGTGCAGACAGATGCAATCTTTTGCCCAGAGTCACAGAGCTAGCAAGTGTCAGAGCTGAGATAGAGCTCGTGCAACAGTGACTTGAAACTGGTACCCACTTTCCATCACCCAGGTGCCTCTCAAACACATTTCCTTGAAGAAGATCTTTGCAGTTCTCTTTTAAAATCTCCCTACTGTACAGTTCAGGTCCAGTGAAGGGAAGTGATTTGCTTAATGTAGTTATTTTTAACGTGCCCTTTGCGTTTTCATAGCCCTTTCCTCACCTTACTCAGGAATAGACTGATTATGCTTTTAATAGCTAAACCAGTAGATCAGAGAACTATAGAAAACAAATATATGTGGGCAACCCTTAGATAAATGGTCCAATGAAATGTGCTTATTTTGAATGCAGAACTTTGGTGTCAGGCAGGGTCAAGTTCAAATTTGAGTCCAGCCACTTGTTAGCTTTGGGAGGAAGAAGCTAACCTCAATAAGTATAGTTTTCTACTAAGGTTATTATAAGGATTAATTCAGGTGAGGTATGTAAAATGCTTGTCTAGGGCTTGGTATGTACGTCATCTAAGAGTGTTGTTATCTTTATAATTAAGCTTGTCAAGTGCAGAAGTTTGTAAAGTGTCATTGATAGTAAATACCATGGAGAACAGATCTTACTCCCTGTCCCTTACCTCCCACTGTATAAATGTGATACAGCCATAATAAGTCTCCGTGTCCCTTTCTAGTACCCTGAGTGTGTTAGGCTTTATAATTCTTAATTTCTCAGTATTTCCAAAATGCCAGTCTTTTCAAAATTGTGCTTTGGAAAAAGAATTTTTTTCTGTTTTTATATGCCACCAACTTCCTTCCATGTGGCTTTAATGTTTTTCACTCATGAAATCTGGAACATAAGGGAGTGTTGCTGTGGAGAAAATCATGACATCATTAATAACAAAAATGCTTTGAGGTCACACACATGGCTGAGACATTGACTTTAAGAGCTCTAAGTTGCTAGCAGTACTTGCAATTTCAGGAAGGAGAGCTATGGTCTTAAAGGAGAGTATGCTTGTGGAAATAGATTTCCTGCAATAGTGAGAATAAAGTAAGAAAAAAAGCTCATAAGCTTTGTAGTCAGGAATACCAGTTTTCAAATCCTGAGACCATAATTTGTAAACATGACTTTGAAAAAGACTGGTATGTCCTCTCATCTCAGATTTTTTAGTCATAAAAGAAGGATTTCAATCCCTGCTTTGCAATATTGTCATGATTCTTAAATGTCAGTTAAATACCCTGTGTCTCTCAGGTTGAGACTGTTCATAAATAATAACTCTTTTTACTTGGAGTTATAGTGCTTTGTATTTGGACCCAAACCCGTTACTTGGTAGCTCTGTGATCAAGCTAATTAACCACTTTGTACCTGAGTATCTTGCATGTAAATAAAAATTAATATTCAGTTTAATATGTCTACATTATGGATCTCCCATGAATATCAAATTAATTAACTTATAAATAGTGTCTGGGATGGAGTGATTCAATAAATGTCTTTCTCTCCCTTTCCTCCGTTTTCTTTTACTTTTTAAATTCTCCTTTCTCTACCCCTTGTCCTTCCCTCTTTACCCAGGGATAGCTATTAACGTGCCAGGATATTGTCCTCTTATATAGGGATGCCTAGTTGCAATAATGCAGCTCTCTCCTATTCCTTAGTTTCCAGAACCAGGCTGCCCAGAAGCCTGTCTTTTCTCCCCCCTTTCCATGAGCAAAGGTTATGCAACCAGTAAAGAAAGCTGACGACAAGCCACCAGTTGTCTCCATGTCCTGTTCTTCTCTCTGTGAAGAAACCTTGAGGTTTAGGTTCAGGCTTCCACTGTCACCAATGTATTTTCATGGGGTTTCAGGCTGGCTGACACCATTTTTTTATTTTTATTTTTTTTAAGACGGAGTCTCGCTGTCTCACCCAGGCTTGAGTGCAGTGGCGCGATCTCAGCTCACTGCAAGCTCCACCTCCCGGGTTCACGCCATTCTCCTGCCTCAGCCTCCAGAGTAGCTGGGACCACAGGCACCCGCCACCGCGCCCGGCTAATTTTTTTTGTATTTTCAGTAGAGACGGGGTTTCACCGTGTTAGCCAGGATGGCCTCAATCTCCTGATCTTGTGATCCACCCGCCTCGGCCTCCCAAAGTGCTGGAATTACAGGCGTGAGCCATGCTGACACCATTCTTATGTGCATGCACAATAGACAAAGACATCATCTCTCCTGGCTCTGAATAGAACTTACCAACCACCCATCTACTCTAACACTGTAGCCCAATTAAATCACAAATAAATGCTGCTAAATGATGGTGTAATTTGACTATATTCTTATGGCTCATACATTTACTCAGACATTACATAACCTCCCTAAACCTCAGTGACCTTGTCTCTGCAACAAAGATTGCTGTAAGGTTTAAACAAAATGCAACATGCAGGTGCCTATATGTGCCTGATATATTCTTTTAATATTTTAGGAATCAAACAAACCTAATGTTGAGTACCAGGGTTTTACACACACATGCACACACACATTTTAATAACATGTATATATATAAACAAACACACATATATGCATTTTTGCCCCACCATAGTACTAACACATTCTCCATGTACTCCCCATTCCTATTCCCTCACGTTTCTTTGCTCCTTTTTACACTTACTAATTGCATAACTTTACATGAGTTGCTTAACTCTTCTGAGCTTTAGTTATCCACATATAAAATGATGATAATACTTCACAGGGCTATAGTAAGGATTAAGTAACTAATATATGTAAAGTATCTGCCTAATATCAGAAGCTTAATAAATGCTAATTGCCTTCCTTTCTCATTCTTTCAGCCTAAGAAATGCCTGCTGCAACCTTTATGGTAAATGAAACAACAGAGACCCTCCAATAGTATAAAAAAGCACTCAGATTATTTTAGACAGAGTATCAAAAGCTTTCTATACAATTTTCTTCCAAACTAAAGGTGAACTATCTTCTTCCCAGGCCCAAATGCTGCATAAATGATCCCTTTACTAGTTGACAATACCATTTGAAATAGTTGTATCAGTAGAATGCCTCCACGTTCTTTGGGCACATGCTGAGGGCAGTGGCTCCCAGGAGGTAAACTGAGCTCTCCAAAACTTCCAGCAGGAAAATATTACAGTGATTTTTATGATAAGGGAACCATTACTCACATCTGAGTAAGTTTACAGTACTAATTTTCTTCAAAAAATAAGCAAAAAGGCATAAGAATTCTATCACAATCTTCAAAGTATTGCTATTTAAAAATTTATAATTTTAACATTAATTAAATGGATAGACTTTATTTTTCACCATTAACATAAACTGATAGTTTCCATTTATTCTAAAAATAATATGACTTAGACTCCATCAGTTCTGTGGAATTTTCCATAATTGAAAACTGATAATTTTAGTTTTAAAATTGGATGATATGTTCAAAGGAAGATAATTGGTTAGAAGACATAATATTCATTCACCACTGAATTATTGAGTGACTTCCAGTGCTTTTTGGGTAAATATTTAATAATCAGCGCTTTTATTTTACCTTGGAGAGGTAGATTTGTAGCGTTTATCAATTTCTGTGGGGTGAAAATACTCCCACCATGCCTAATTCCAAGCTAATTGTTTGTAACAACTGATTTGTAAAACTCCCGAACTGCTTCCAGCACAGTGTTGGCTTTATATGAAGTCCTCTGATAAGTATTGGGCAATAGATATAGAGTAAGCACTACATTCATTCAAAATGTTAAAAAGTTGGTCGGGCGCGGTGGCTCACACCTGTAATCCCAGCACTTTGGGAGGCCGAGGCGGGTGGATCATGAGGTCAGGAGATCGAGACCATCCTGGCTAACAAGGTGAAACCCCGTCTCTACTAAAAATACAAAAAATTAGCCGGGCGCGGTGGCGGGCGCCTGTAGTCCCAGCTACTCGGGAGGCTGAGGCAGGAGAATGGCGTGAACCCGGGAAGCGGAGCTTGCAGTGAGCCGAGATTGCGCCACTGCAGTCCGCAGTCCGGCCTGGGCGACAGAGCGAGACTCCGTCTCAAAAAAAAAAAAAAAGTTTACTGAGCTGTCCTAAAGAATGCAAAAAGCACTGAACTTGAAATGGATTATTAAAAAGTCAAAAATAACAGATGCTTATGAGGTTGTGGAGAAAAAGCAACATTTATACACTGATGGTGGGAATGTAAACTAGTTCAGCCATTGTGGAAAACAGTGTGGCAATTCTTCAAAGACCTAAAGACAGAAATACCATTTGACCTAGCAATCCCATTACTGGGATACAAATCATTCTGTTATAAAATCACTTGCATGCATATGTTCACGATAGCAAAGACATGGAATCAACCTAAATGACTATCAATGGCAGACTAGATAAATAAAATGTGGTACATATACACCATGGAATACTATGCAGCCATAAAAAGAATGAGATCATGTCCTTTGCAGGTACATGGATGGAGCTGGAGGCCATTATCCTCAGCAAACTAATGTGGGAACAGAAAACCAAATACCACATGTTCTCACTTATAACTGGGAGCTAAATTATGAGAACACATGAACACATAGAGGGGAACAACACACACTAGGGCTTGTAAGAGGGTGGAGGCTGGGAGGAAGGAGAGGATCAGGAAAAATAACTAATGTGTCCTAGGCTTAATACCTGGGTGACAAAATAATATGTACAACAAACCCCCATGACACAGGTTTACCTGTGTAACAAACCTGCACTTGTACCTCCAAACTTAAAAAGAGAGAGAAAACTCGATTTGGATTCTGGTATTTTCCCTATGTAGCAGTAATATTAACAGAAAAATATATAATGTTCCTAAGTGTTAACATTTTTAGGTATTGTAAAAATAATGTCGGGATGATTAAATGAGAATATATTGTGTGAAGCTGTAACCCAAGAGAAAGAGTACGACATGTTTCAATAGTAATACCCCTAATAAGCTGTAAGATGTTTGATTTTGGGACGCAGGAAGTAGCCTTTCATTGAACAATTGAAGGATCTCACATGGGGAGCAACTTTTCCCATCAAAAGGAAATATCTATACACCAATCTCCACAACCGCAGATTTAGAGAGAAGAAACCGCGGACAGGCCACATATTTAGAATCGAGTACCGGATTAAAGGCAATAATAACAACACAATAGCAGTTAATAATTATCTGGTGCTTATTGCATATATGGAAATTGTTTTACTCCAGTTACCTCATATAATCCTCAGACAATCCATCTAAATGTCAATTAACAGTTCCATTAAAAAGTTGATTTCCATTTTGATACATTTTCTAGATTCAATGAATTTTCAATAAAGAAGTGAAACTTGATTTCAACAATGTTTTTCAGAAGCTAAAGCTTTTGCCAGAAGGAGAAAGATCACCCCACTCCTAATCTGCATTTCAACATCTCAGCAAATAATTGGAATGCATTAATACTTTAGAAGTAACTTCTCAAAGGAATTTTTACTTCATTTCTAAAATATCAGGTTTTTTTTAGAATAAAATCTGTATGTTTCTAATTTCTTCCATTTGACTTATGAAAGTTCTGAGACTCTGTTTAAAGGAATGGATGCCCCAAATACCTGGCAAATAGCTCTTGCTACTGACTATAGTTTTATGATTTAAAGCATTCATATTTTATGTATTTTAAACTAAATGTCATTTAATTAGCATCTTGTCTAATCCTTTCCTTATTCAAATCATCCTTTATTCAGCTCCCAGATTTATAGTCCAAAAGCTCTAGCTCTTATCTTGTCAACTCCATCTTTAAAAATGTTAACTCCTACAGTCTATAAATAAATTATAAAAACTATCAGGCATTGTATTAGTCTGTTCTCATGCTGCTAATAAAGACATACCCAAAACTGAGTAATTTATAAAGGAAGGAAGATTAATTGACTCACAGTTCCACATGGCTGGGGAGGCCTCACCATTATGGCAGAAGGCAAGGAGGAGACAAGCCACGTTTTACATGTAAGCAGGCAAGAGGGCATGTGCAGGGGACTCCTCTTTATAAAACCATCAGATCTCGTGAGATTTATTCACTATCAGCATGAGAAAACCCTGCCCGCATGATTCAATTACCTCCCACTGGGTCCCTCCCACGACATGTGGGGATTACTACAATTCAAGGTGCGATTTGGGTGTGGACACAGAGCCAAAACATATCAGGCATAAATAGTCCCTCACATTCAGGCCCTAGTTTCCCTTTCCAACTTTGTTTTCCCCAATATGCACAGAGAGGTGCATGCACCCACACATATGTATACACCCATATCTACACACATATACATACATAAATACATGCAAATGTAAACATAAACACATACACATGCACTTTTGCCCCACTGTACCATGCATCTCCTTCTCCTTTTTCTCCCCATTCTTATTCTCCCATATTTCTTTGCTCATTGCATCCCTTATTCCAGGAATCCCCTTATACTTCACATTGACACACACACACACACGCACACATAAATATGTAAGATACATATCTTACATATTAATTAAAATCCAGCTCCAGGGTAATCTCTTCAAAGAAGCCTATCTTGAACTTCTCTTTACCACACACACACACATGCTACAATTCTCTCTCATTTCTGAGCTACATTCACATTTTTCTGGGGTTACAATTGAGCTCAGATTATTTGTCATTTGCATTCATTAGTTACATTATGTGGCCAATATCAATTCTAAGTATTCTTCAAGAGACTATTACATTGCAATTCAACTTTTCATTCACAGAATACCTTGCAGAATTATTGGGAATATATATATATATATGTCATTCATTGCTTAATCACGGGGATACAATCTAAGGAATGTGTTGGGAGGCAATTTCATCATTGTGCAAATATCATAGAGTGTACTTACACAAATCTAGGTGATATAGCTGACTCTACACCTAGGTATATGGGATAGCCTGTTGCTCCTAGGCTACAAACCTGTACAGCATGTTACTGTACTGAATACTGTAGGCAATTGTAACACAATAGTATTTGTGTATCCAAACATATCTAAACACAGAAAAGGCATAGTAAAAATACAGTATTATAATCTTATGGAAGCACCATTGTATATATCGTTCATTATTGACTGAAACGTTATGTAACACATGACTGTAAACATACAAACACACACGCACACATACACATACACAAATGCCTAACTGTGTATGTATTTATTGAACACAAGCTTTCCAAAAGCTGTCAACTAGCCATTTTTTAAAATCACATTTTCTCTCCCTCTCAAGGTCGAGAACTTTTTTGAAATCTTGTAAGAAAGTTTACTCACTTTTTAAATTTATTTTTAAATTGATATATCAAAGTTGTATGTATTTTGGGGGTATGTGCGATTTTTTTTTTTTTTTTTCTGAGACAGAGTCTTGCTCTGTCACCCAGGCTGGAGTGCAGTGGCGCAATCTTGGCTCACTGCAAGCTCCGCCTCCTGGGTCACACCATTCTCCTGCCTCAGCCTCCTGAGTAGCTGGGACTACAGGCACCCGCCAACACGCCGGCTAATTTTTTTGTATTTTTAAGTAGAGACGGGGTTTCACCGTGTTAGCCAGGATGGTCTCGATCTTCTGACCTTGTGATCCACCCGCCTCGGCCCCCCAAAGTGCAGGGATTACAGGCGTGAGCCCCCGCTCCCGGCCTGTGTGATGTTTTGATACATGTATACAATCTGTATTGATCAAATCAAGGTAACTGGGATATCCATCACCTCAAACATTTATCTTTGTTTTGTGCTCGGAACATTATGATTCTCTGTTTTAGTTATTTTGAAATACACAATAAATTATTCTTAACTATAATTTTTATGGTACTATTGAATACTAGAATTTATTATTTCTGACTGTATTTTTGTATCCCTTCATTTTGTACAAAAAAATCACCGCTGATACCTTGTATTGAGTGTCAGGATATGTACTGAGCTAAGCACTTTGCATAAATCATTAAAACAAGAATAAGAATTGCCAACCTTGTTATATCTTTTTCCTACTTCAGCAGCACTTGCCTAGGTTCTCACATTTAATTATTGCAAACATTAAATGAAGTAAATATAATTATTATCCTCATATTCTAGATAAATAAGCTAATCATTGGAGAATTTAAATAGTTTGTTCCAAATCACAAAGACTATAACTGGCAGAGCTGAAATTCAAACTCCTCTTTGTCTGACTCCACCAGATAGCTAACAAGTTTTACTGCTTTCCACCTTAGTAAGAGTAATTTATGGCTAAAAACACTGCTAGCATTTTTCAAACCTGGACTATCTTATTTTATCTAATTTTATTTCTTATCCTTTCTGTGTTTTGCAAGATCGATAAGCCAGGCAATGGAATTCCCAGCCAGTTTATGGAAATAACTTGGCCCATAAAGTTGAGGTGAGGCAAGCTGAACAGTGGACAAGCAGGGAAAAGACCTTTCTTTGTCACAACTTTGCTAGTAACAGCTCTGTGAAGCCACTGGAGATGACGGAGAAGTCACCGAAGATGAAGCTTTATTTTCTCTCCATTCACAGATCTCTTAGCCTTGAGTCTTCATTTCCTCCACTAAATAAGACTCAGCAGCATTAATAACAACTCTGACACCCTCGAGGCATGTGCCATGTTCCAAGCAACATCAGATATATTTGGCATCGATTATCTCATTTAATTCTGCCAACAACTCTATTATGTTGATGCAAGCAATGCCTCCCCATTTTATAGACAGGAAAATCACGGTTCAAAGGGATGCTGAAATGTGCCTGAGCCTCACATTTGGTGAGTTACAGAGTCAGGAAGTTTTGCTTCCTGAAATTGTAACCTATATACCAAACCAATTGCAGGAAGATTGTGAAGATCTAAATAGTAATAATAATAATAATAATAATAATAATAATAATAATAATAATGATGAAAGTAGCTACAAACTCTAAAATATTTTGTAAAATTTTAGGCACTTCATGAATGTTTAGTAGTCCATTTCAATGTTTAGTGGATTCTTATTACTGAAGGCAACTGGGTAGAGGGAAAGTCAGGAACGAGCACTGACCCCTGTTCTGCAGGCTCTAGAATCAAACACTTATTAATTAGAATATTGGCTCAGCCATTTGCTGCCTGTGTCGCTATGGGTAAGTCACATAAATGCACTGAGCTTCAACTTCCTCATCAGCATAATGGGGACTATGAAGACTATGATGCTTCCCTCTCTGGTAGGAGGATTAAGTAAAACAATGGGGTAAAAGTGCCTGAAACAAAGGCTTGATAAGTGGGTTTACTTTTTTCTGTGCTCTATTGCACCATGTAAATGGGTTCCAGAGGTGTGATTAGAAATGAATCCAAATTAGAACAAACAGTCATGGGAGAAACCAGGAGAAGGGAGATGAAAATGTTTCCTGACATGTAGCTGAAGTCAAAGGGGATAGATTTTTTAGCCTAAGAAGTAAAAAGGGACAATAAGCCTATGCTAATAAGAAAATATTTCATGCTGGATTTCCCAGGAAATAAATGTTACATAGTTTTAATTGCCTATTTTTTAGTGGCTGTGATCTCTGGACCCTTACCATGGAGGCTGAACTTAAAACCACCAATCTGAGTTATAAAATAACATGAATTAGTTAGGAAAATTGAGATTAATAGTGACCTTTTAGAAGAAAAGTTTTATTAAAAGCATATATTTTCCTCCAGTAATGTATATTTCATTTTTCTTACCTTTAATTGTATTAATGTATAATATATACATTATATAATATAATGTATATATTACGTACATTATATAATGTATATATTACGTACATTATATAATATAATGTATATATTACGTACATTATATAATGTATATATTACGTACATTATATAATATAATGTATATATTACGTACATTATATTATATAATGTATATATTACGTACATTATATTATATAATGTATATATTACGTACATTATATTACATAATGTATATATTACGTACATTATATTACATAATGTATATATTACGTACATTATATAATATAATGTACATATTACGTACATTATATTATATAATGTATATATTATGTACATTATATTATATAATGTATATATTATGTACATTATATAATATAATGTATATATTATATAATGTATATATTATATACATTATGTAATATAATGTATATATTATATACATTATGTAATATAATGTATATAATATATACATTATGTAATATAATGTATATAATATATACATTATAATGTATATTATACATTAATACAATAATGTATATTTCATTTTTCTTACGTTTAAAGGTAAATTTTCTTACCTTTAATTTTTTGTACCTCTAATTTTTATAGTTACTTAATGAGTGCCACATTAATCAGGATAAGGTAGGTTGTACTGAAGTTATCAAATAAACCTTGAAATGTCAGTGGTATAAGTGAACATATGTTTATTTCCTGCATATACCCATATCCAGTGCATATTTATGGGGGGAGGCTTCACTCCACAGAGTCACTCAAGGACCCAGCATCATGGAGGCTCCGCTATCTCGACATATGACTTGTCAATTCACTGTCACAAGAAAGAAAAAGATGGAAGAATTGTGTGGTGTTTTACAATGGCTCAACCAGGAAGAAATACACATCATTTCTCACATTTCATGGTCAAAAAATAGCTGCATAGCCCCACTTAGCTACAAAAGGCTGGGAGGACTCATATTCCATTCGTCAAGGAAGGAGGGATATACAACAAGACTTGGTGAGCACGTAGCATAGTCCATGTGCCAATTAACAATTGCATTACTTTTTAATTTTAATTTTATTATTATTATACTTTAAGTTTTAGGGTACATGTGCACAATGTGCAGGTTTGTTACATATGTATACATGTGCCATGTTGGTGTGCTGCACCCATTAACTCATCATTTAGCATTAGGTATATCTCCTAATGCTATCCCTCCCCACTCCCCCCACCCCACAACAGTCCCTGGAGTGTGATGTTCCCCTTCCTGTTTCCATGTGTTCTTATTTTTCAGTTCCCACCTATGAGTGAGAACATGCGGTGTTTGGTTTTTTGTCCTTGCCATAGTTTGCTGAGAATGATAGTTTCCAGTTTCATCCATGTCCCCACAAAGGACATGAACTCATCCTTTTTTATGGCTGCATAGTATTCCATGGTGTATATGTGCCACATTTTCTTAATCCAGTCTATCATTGTTGGACATTTGGGTTGGTTCCAAGTCTTTGCTATTGTGAATAGTGCCGCAATAAACATACGTGTGCATGTGTCTTTATAGCAACATGATTTATAATCCTTTGGGTATATACCCAGTAATGGGATGGCTGGGTCAAATGGTATTTCTAGTTCTAGATCCCTGAGGAATCGACACACTGACTTCCACAATGGTTGAACTAGTTTACAGTCCCACCAACAGTGTAAAAGTGTTCCTATTTCTCCACATCCTCTCCAGCACCTGTTGTTTCCTGACTTTTTAATGATCGCCATTCTAACTGGTGTGAGATGGGATCTCATTGTGGTTTTGATTTGCATTTCTCTGATGGCCAGTGATGGTGAGCATTTTTTCATGTGTTTTTTGGCTGCATAAATGTCTTCTTTTGAGAAGTGTCTGTTCATATCCTTTGCCCACTTTTTGATGGGGTTGTTTTTTTCTTGTAAATTTGTTTGAGTTCATTGTAGATTCTGGATATTAGCCCTTTGTCTGATGAGTAGGTTGCGAAAATTTTCTCCCATTTTGTAGGTTGCCTGTTCACTCTGATGGTAGTTTCTTTTGCTGTGCAGAAGCTCTTTAGTTTAATTAGATCCCATTTGTCAAATTTGGCTTTTGTTGCCATTGCTTTTGGTGTTTTAGACATGAAGTCCTTGCCCATGCCTATGTCCTGAATGGTATTGCCTAGGTTTTCTTCTAGGGTTTTTATGGTTTTAGGTCTAACATGTAAGTGTTTAATCCATCTTGAATTAATTTTTGTATATGGTGTAAGGAAGGGATCCAGTTTCAGCTTTCTACATATGGCTAGCCAGTTTTCCCAGCACCATTTATTAAATAGGGAATCATTTCCCCATTGCTTGTTTTTCTCAGGTTTGTCAAAGATCAGATGGTTGTAGATATGCGGCATTATTTCTGAGGGCTCTGTTCTGTTCCATTGATCTATATCTCTGTTTTAGTACCAGTAGCATGCTGTTTTGGTTACTGTAGCCTTGTACTATAGTTTGAAGTCAGGTAGCGTGATGCCTCCAGCTTTGTTCTTTTGGCTTAGGATTGACTTGGCGATACAGGCTCTTTTTTGGTTCCATATGAACTTTAAAGTAGTTTTTTCCAATTCTGTGAAGAAAGTCATTGGTAGCTTGATGGGGATGGCATTGAATCTATAAACAACCTTGGGCAGTATGGCCATTTTCACAATATTGATTCTTCCTACCCATGAGCATGGAATGTTCTTCCATTTGTTTGTATCTTCTTTTATTTCATTGAGCAGTGGTTTGTAGTTCTCCTTGAAGAGGTCCTTCACATCCCTTGTAAGTTGGATTCCTAGGTATTTTATTCTCTTTGAAGCAATTGTGAATGGGAGTTCACTCATGATTTGGCTCTCTGTTTGTCTATTATTGGTGTATAAAAATGTTTGTGATTTTTGCACATTGATTTTGTATCCTGAGACTTTGCTGAAGTTGCTTATCAGCTTGAGATTTTGGGCTGAGACAATGGGGTTTTCTAGATATACAATCATGTCATCTGCAAACAGGGACAATTTGACTTCCTCTTTTCCTAATTGAATACCCTTTACTTCCATTCTCCTGCCTGATTGCCCTGGCCAGAACTTCCAACACTATGTTGAATAGGAGTGGTGAGAGAGGGCATCCCTGTCTTGTGCCAGTTTTCAAAGGGAATGCTTCCAGTATTTGCCCATTCAGTATGATATTGGCTGTGGGTTTGTCATATATAGCTCTTATTATTTTGAGATACATCCCATCAATACCTAATTTATTGGGAGTTTTTAGCATGAAGTGTTGTTGAATTTTGTCAAAGGCCTTTTCTGCATCTATTGAGATAATCATTTGGTTTTTGTCTTTGGTTCTGTTTATATGCTGGATTACATTTATTGATTTGCGTATCTTGAACCAGGCTTGCATCCCAGGGATGAAGCCCTCTTGATCATGGTGGATAAGCTTTTTGATGTGCTGCTGGATTCGGTTTGCCAGTATTTTATTGAGGATTTTTGCATCAATGTTCAGCAAGAATATTGGTCTAAAATTCTCTTTTTTGGTTGTGTCTCTGCCAGTCTTTGGTATCAGGATGATGCTGGCCTCATAAAATGAGTTAGGGAGATTCCCTCTTTTTCTATTGATTGGAATAGTTTCAGAAGGAATGGTACCAGTTTCTCCTTGTACCTCTGGTAGAATTCGGTTGTGAATCCATCTGGTCCTGGACTTTTTTTGGTTGGTAAGCTATTGATTATTGCCACAATTTCAGACCCTGTTATTGGTCTGTTCAGAGATTCAACTTCTTCCTGGTTTAGTCTTGTGAGGATGTATGTGTCGAGGAAATTATCCATTTCTTCTAGATTTTCTAGTTTATTTGCATAGAGGTGTTTGTAGTATTCTCTGATGGTACTTTGTATTTCTGTGGGATCAGTGGTGATATCCCCTTTGTCATTTTTTAGTGCGTCTATTTGATTCTTCTCTCTTTTCTTCTTTATTAGTCTTTCTAGTGGTCTATCAATTTTGTTGATCCTTTCAAACCACCAGCTCCTGGATTCATTAATTTTTTGAAGGGTTTTTTATGTCTCTATTTCCTTCAGTTCTGCTCTGATTTTAGTTATTTCTTGCCTTCTGCTAGCTTTTGAATGTGTTTGCTCTTGCTTTTCTAGTTCTTTCAATTGTGATTTTAGGGTGTCAATTTTGAATCTTTCCTTCTTTCTCTTGTGGGCATTATTGCTATAAATTTCCCTCTACCCAATGCTTTGAATGTGTCCCAGAGATTCTGGTTTGTTGTGTCTTTGTTCTTGTTCATTTCAAAGAACATCTTTTTTTCTGCCTTCATTTCGTTATGTACCGTGTAGTCATTCAGGAGCAGGTTGTTCAGTTCCATGTAGTTGAGTGGTTTTGAGTGAGTTTCTTAATCCTGAGTTCTAGTTTGATTGCACTGTGGTCTGAGAGACAGTTTGTTATAATTTCTGTTCTTTTACATTTGCTGAGGAGTGCTTTACTTCCAACTATGTGGTCAATTTTGGAATAGGTATGGTGTGGTGCTGAAAAAAATGTATATTCTGTTGATTTGGGGTGGAGAGTTCTGTAGATGTCTATTAGGTCCGCTTGGTGCAGAGCTGAGTTCAATTCCTGGGTATGCTTGTTAACTTTCTGTCTCATTGATCTATCTAATGTTGACAGTGGGGTGTTAAAATCTCCCATTATTATTGGGTGGGAGTCTAAGTCTCTTTGTAGGTCACTCAGGACTTGCTTTATGAATCTGGGTGCTCCTGTATTGGGTGCATATATATTTAGGATAGTTAGCTCTTCCTGTTGAATTGATCCCTTTACCATTATGTAATGGCCTTCTTTGTCTCTTTTGATCTTTGTTGGTTTAAAGTCTGTTTTATCAGAGACTAGGACTGCAACCCCTGCCTTTTTTTGTTTTCCATTTGCTTGGTAGATCTTCCTCCATCCCTTTATTTTGAGCCTATGTGTGCCTCTGCATGTGAGATGGGTTTCCTGAATACAGCACACTGATGGGTCTTGACCCTTTATCCAATTTGCCAGTCTGTGTCTTTTAATTGGAGCATTTAGCCCATTTACATTTAAAGTTAATTTTGTTATGTGTGAAATTGGTCCTGTCATTATGATGTTAGCTGGTTATTTTGCTCATTTGTTGATGCAGTTTCTTCCTAGCCTTGGTGGTCTTTACATTTTGGCATGTTTTTGCAGTGGCTGGTACCAGTTTTTCCTTTCCATGTTTAGTGCTTCCTTCAGGAGCTCTTTTAGGGCAGGCCTGGTGGTGACAAAATCTCTCAGCATTTGCTTGTCTGTAAAGTATTTTATTTCTCCTTCACTTATGAAGCTTAGTTTGGCTGGATATGAAATTCTGGGTTGAAAATTCTTTTCTTTAAGAATGTTGAATATTGACCCCCACTCTCTTCTGGCTTGTAGAGTTTCTGCCGAGAGATCCGCTGTTAGTCTGATGGGCTTCCCTTTGTGGGTAACCCGACCTTTCTCTCTGGCTGCCCTTAACATTTGTTCCTGCATTTCAACTTTGGTGAGTCTGACAATTTTGTGTCTTGGAGTTTCTCTTCTCGAGGAGTATCTTTGTGATGTTCTCTGTATTTCCTGAATCTGAATGTTGGCCTGCCTTGCTAGATTGGGGAAGTTCTCCTGGATAATATCCTGCAGAGTGTTTTCCAACTTGGTTCCATTCTCCCCGTCACTTTCAGGTACACCAGTCAGATGTAGATTTGGTCTTTTCACATAGTCCCATATTTCTTGGAGGCTTTGTTCGTTTCTTGTTATTCTTTTTTCTGTAAACTTCTCTTCTCACTTCATTTCGTTCGTTTCATCTTCCATCACTTATGCCCTTTCTTCCAGTTGATCGCGTCGGCTCCTGAGGCTTCTGCATTCTTCACGTAGTTCTCAAGCCTTGGCTTTCAGCTCCATCAGCTCCTTTACGGACTTCTCCGCATTGTTTATTGTAGTTATCCATTCGTCCAATTTTTTTTCAAAGTTTTTAACTTCTTTGCCATTGGCTTGAATTTCCTCCTGTAGCTCAGAGTAGTTTGATCATCTGAAGCCTTCTTCTCTCAACTCATCAAAGTCATTCTCTGTCCAGCTTTGTTCCATTGCTGGTGAGGAGCTGCGTTCCTTTGGAGGAGGAGAGGCGCTCTGCTTTTTAGAGTTTCCAGTTTTTCTGCTCTGTTTTTTCCCCATCTTTGTGGTTTTATCTACTTTTGGTCTTTGATGATGGTGACGTACAGAAGGGTTTTTGGTGTGGATGTCCTTTCTGTTTGTTAGTTTTCCTTCTAACAGATAGGACCCTCAGCTGCAGGTCTGTTGGAGTTTGCTAGAGGTCCACTCCAGACCCTGTTTGCCTGGGTATCAGCAGCGGTGGCTGCACAACAGCGGTGTGCTTGTAGACCACTGTAGAACAGCAGATCTTGGTGAACCGCAAATGCTGCTGCCTGATCCTTCCTCTGGAAGTTTTGTCTCAGAGGAGTACCTGGCTGTGTGAGGTGTCAGTCTGCCCCTACTGGGGGGTGCCTCCCAGTTAGGCTGCTTGGGGGTCAGGTACCCACTTGAGGAGGCAGTCTGCCTGTTCTCATACCTCCAGCTGTGTGCTGGGAGAACCACTGCCCTCTTCAAAGCTGTCACACAGGGACATTTAAGGCTGCAGAGGTTACTGCTGCTGTCTTTCTGTTTGTCTGTGCCCTGCCCCCAGAGGTGGAGCCCACAGAGGCAGGCAGGCCTCCATGAGCTGTGGTGGGCTCCACCCAGTTCGAGCTTCCTGGCTGCTTTGTTTACCTAATCAAGCCTGGGTAATGGCAGGCACCCCTCCCCCAGCCTCACTGCCACTTTGCAGTTTGATCTCAGACTGCTGTGTTAGCAATCAGCGAGACTCCGTGGGCCTAGTACTCTCTGAGCCATGTGCAGGATATAATCTCCTGGTGTGCCTTTTTTTTAAGCCCATTGGAAAAGCGCAGTATTAGGGTGGGAGTGACCCGATTTTCCAGGTGCTGTCTATCACCCCTTTCTTTGACTAGGAAAGGGAACTCCCTGACCCCTTGTGCTTCCCGAGGGAGGCAATGCCTCACCCTGCTTTGGCTTGCGCATGGTGCGCTGCACCCACTGTCCTGCACCCACTGTCTGGCACTCCCTAGTGAGATGAACCCGGTACCTCAGATGGAAATGCAGAAATCACCCGTCTTCTGCGTCGCTCACGCTGGGAGCTGTAGACCGGAGCTGTTCCTATTCGGCCATCTTGGCTCCCACCAATTGTATTCTTATATGAATGATTGAAATGATTACATTTTCACTTTCACAGGTTGTAAGCTTTGTGACTCTGGAGACCACTGATTCCCTAGTGCTTAAAAAAGGCCCATTGTAGAACTGGTGCTTAGGATAGAGCTGTCAAATTCTAACACTGAATATGTACATCATTAATTTGCTCCATGGATGAACATGTATAGACCAGCATCTGAGCTCAGCAGCAGTGTTAAACACTGGGGAACAGGATTAAAGACATGAAAATGAGCATGTGATACAGTGAGTGTGTGCTGACATGTATTTAGCCTGCTCAATAACAAATCAAGCCACTGGAGGTGTCAGTAGGACACTGAGGTGGAGATATTCATTAAACACATTGAGCTCTTAGGAAAGAGATTCGGAGAAAACCAAGACCATAGTTACTTTTCTACTTAGAAGTAAACTCCAAAGAAGGGCTATTTTAAACATTGAAACTGCATGATGTTGTTTAAGATGTAGAAAGACTGTATTAGAAGAGAAGAAAACAAAAAGGCACTGTGTTTGTTAGGCACAGTCTAGGCCTTAAATCACTGAATTGTCCCACCAGCCCTGATTGTGTTAATATTCCCATTTCATAACTATAGGAGCTGAGGTCCAGAGAGGTAAGAAACTGGGCCAAAAATCGCACAGTTTACCCATATTTAAGCTCAGATCTTTACATGTCAGAGTCTAGCCTACATTTTCATATCCAACACAGTCTAATGGGATAGGACTGTACAGTGAGTTCATTTTCACCAGAGAAGTTCAAGCAGAGAATCTTCTTAGGGATACTGCAGAGCTCTGGAGGCAGTGAATTGGTCTTTTTACATTAGATACTCTTCAAAATACCTTGAGTATCCAGTGCCTCACAGAATTGAGTCTCAAGGATTCCTACATTCAGGAGGTGGGAGGAACGAAAGTGTCAGTGATGAAGAAACCACTTTTCCCAGAGAGGCCTGTCTCAGACTCCACCGCTATTCTGCCTTTTGTCTGCTGCCTGCAGCACTTGAGCCTGGGAAGAGCCCAAAGAAAGGAGCCCTAGAGAAACGTAATTGGTCAATCTTTCAGATTTAGAGCTCGAAGCATCCACTCACCCTCTAGTTTTCATGTTAAACTGTTCAAGTGGAAATCTCTTGACAGATGTAGTTAAGGTCATTTCAAGAGCAAATAGACACTAGCTTAGTTCAGTCACTTGCTCAGTAGTCTCCCTAGACATTTGCCAAGCTGGGTCACTCTCCCAGCCCCTAGAAGCTGCACAAAGCAGTCAGCAGCTTAGAAGAGAATGCCAGGTGCTCATGGGGTTGTGATTTGTTGCCTTTGATGCAACGCAGCTTGCAAAGTTAGTGTTAGGGATTGTTTCAGGTATAAACTAAGACCATCCACATGTTAGCCCCAATCTACCACTTGTAGTAATTTTGGAAAAAATGAAACACTGGTGGAGAGGTCGGGATACCCCCATCTTAGATATTAGCTTACCAGGTGACTGAGGCTAAGTCACTTCCCCTACCAAGCCTCAGGTTTACCATTTGTCACATGCCAGTTGTTCTTAAATTGAGTTCTTACTAATACTTTTTGTGTCCTATGCTGTCTGAGACATAAGTGGCTGAGACAATGGTCTAGGAATCTGTTTTCTGACATGTGGGAAGAACAGTAGCAAGTGTGGAAGGTAGCATGAGCAGTGAATTTAGTAGCAAAGCTTCTAGCTTTGTTATTACTAGTTGTATTACTGTGGGCAAGTTTTCTGAAAATCTGGTTCATTCCAAAAAACAAGAATAGTGTTATCTACATTACTGTGTTATGGTGAGGAATAAATGATAAATACAACTTCTAGCCAGGTATTTGACTAGATGCAAGACATGTGTTTGTATGCCCCCTTTTTCCTCCTCCTTAAGACACTAGGAAACAATATTCCCCTCAACATCTCCAGCAGTGGACCTCAGGGGTAATAACTCATTTGGACAGGGAAACCATCTAGGTATCCAGATTGTTTAGGGTAATCATTGAAAAGGAGAAGCAAATTTTTTTTTTAATCATAGCCCAGTTAACATCACTCAGAGTTTCCTCCATCTCAAGCAGCTCACATCCTTCACACTCCTTCACCAGACCTATGAAAAGGCAGCCCCAGTAGAGGTAGGACCAAAAAAAAAAAAAAAGCTCTAGTGCTAAAGTCTTGGTCTCTAAAGAGGATGGGAAAACTTCCTAAAGGAAGTGCATTTGAGATTACTTTTACAGAGTAGGGAAATGAAAATAAATGAAACCAAGTTTCAGAGGACAGAAGTCAGGCATGTGGGTTTATAACAGAGGATACTCAAGCAGATGAGGACTTTCTCCCACTGTAGCCTAGTGCAGAGGTTTCTGAAGACCTAGTTCTAAGGCCTGTATCAATAATTCATAGACTATCTCTGCAAAAACTTGTCAATTACTAATCTGGAGCTGGAAGCAACATAGAGGAAAGACAGAATATGCATACGGCAGCCAGAAGGACTGACATTTGGGAGTACAAGTGAGATACTCCAGGTGAGCTTTCAAACTTCTTCATGTGATATTTGAAAAGTGGCAGGGGCTCAACAAGTTAACTGTTGGGGGCTGAAAATTAATTCACTGTTTTAGTATTAAATTCTTGCAACTTCATTATACACCTCCCTCACTCTCTCCAATCCCAGTGCCAGCAAGTCACCATAGCCTGGAGAATACCCAGTGCTTATGAAGTTTCAAGCACTCTCCTAAATATTTCGGTTGTATTAACTCATTTATCATCAAGGGGTTAGAAATTGACATTTGAGCAAAGGCTAGTTGGTGATGAAGAAACGAGCCATGCAGATATTTAGAAGAGAGTACCACACATAGGGAGAAGGCATTGCAAAGGCCCTGGGATCAAGTGGACCTAATAGCATTGGAGAAGTCAGTGGCATGAACAAGAGGGAGGATTGCAGGATATAAGGCCAGACAGTGTTGGGTTTCATAAAAAAGCAATGCCAAGTCACATTTTTTAGTCCTCCTCAAAAATTATTAAATCTTCCTTAAGGTAGAGTCAGAGTCATTTTATTCTTTTCTAGACTGTCAATACGTCTTAATAGTGGTATTTTCAATGAATTTAATCTTCTCTATCCCAATGTAACATCTGTATTTTTTTTTTTTTTTTGAGACAGAGTCTCGCTCTGTTGCCCAGGCTGGAGTGCAGTGGCGCGATCTCTTCTCACTGCAAACTCTGCCTCCCGGGTTCATGCCATTCTCTGCCTCAGCCTCCTGAGTAGCTGGGACCGCAGGCACCCGCCACCCGCTACCACGCCTGGCTAATTTTTTGTATTTTTAGTAGAGACAGGGTTTCACCGTGTTAGCCAGGATGGTCTCTATCTCCTGACCTTGTGATCCGCCCGCCTCAGCCTCCCAAAGTGCTGGGATTACAGGCATGAGCCACTGCAGCCAGCCAACACCTGTATTTTCTAAAGAGGAATAACAAGGTGACATTTATGGAAATGTAGAGACCAAAAGTATGAAATAATAATATAAACATTAATCAAATGTACTAAACATAAGTTTTTATTTCTTTTGTTTTTTTCAAATTTTGGACCCAGAAAAAAGTACTTGAATTCTAATTTAATGAATGCTTAGATTAGTGATGTTAATGTTATCCTCTGATCCATGGAACTGATGGCTAACCTGGATGTTTATCTCAATTCTGCCCTTTGCTGACTGCATGATATAGGACACGTTAGTCAACCTCTGTCAGTCTCTATTAGTTTTTTCATCTTTAATATGGGAATATTTATGCTTACCTTGAAGGGATCTTGTGAGAATTAAATAAGGTAATTGGGTCAAGTGTTTGCATAACTGGTGGTGGCTCCATTTATAGTTGATGTGAGTCTCACTGTCATTGTTATCATGGTATTAGTTAAGACCCTTAGGTTTTCCATGACAGAAATCTAACTCAAATTAGCTTAAACAAAAACAACAATGTATTACAAATTTTCTTAGGATTGCATGAGATAGGAACAGGCCTGAACCTTAGGATACATCAGAAAAAGAAACTTGAGTAGCAGTAGAATCCTTGGTCAATTATCTTTGTTCATCTTTCTGAATATTATTTACTGGTCTACTTTTTTTTCTGTGTTTTAAGCTATATGCCCTCTACTGCCATCCTCATTCCATTCCTCAGATTTAACCTATGCAATAAGTGGCAAAGGGGAGCTCCCAAAGATTTCTCATATTTACAAGTTTAGTATTTTTGACATGAATCTCTCTTTTCCAAGTTCAAAAATTCCAGGGAAGGGGCTTATTGATCCAAGCCCTGCACCAATCATGTATAAAGAGGGCAGATTCATATACCGTAAGCTGCCCATGTATAGTAGCTGCTTCAATGGGGTGAATAACATGGGAGCAAAGGAATCTCAAAAGAACCAGCAGGAACAAGAATGTCCTCAGAAGAAGGCAGGATTGCTGTTTATAAAATAATAGTTTCCTACTGTAATCATTATATGTATTTTTGTTTATCATTATTATTGCACTTAGGACAAATTTTCTACTATTTATACAGTTCTAGGTTATTACATCATTAATTCTAAACAACCTGACAGAGAACTTTTGCTAGTTCTTCCAAGAGGTGTGCTTTGAATGTGCTTCTCCAAAGAAGACCATCACCTCCCAACATCTGATCACATTCTCTCCTTCGAAGACAGGAAGCCCTGCTTTTTCTCCATTTTGTTCCATTTAATGTAGGGTCCTCTGATGTCGTTCTTAGAGATGATAAAGAACAGCTGGCCACCATCTTAAGTATAGTAATGTTTAATAGGTCTGAAAACTGCGATTATGTCAATCCCTTTACCTCACTTCAGACTAAATAATCCCAGTCACTTCAGCTCTACCTCTAAGCTGCTGCAGCATTGTAATTAATTGCTACCCTATTGACTATTCTAGTTTCTCTTTTTCAGCTCTAACTTAGCTTTTGGCCCTGATGAAGTCCAGGGTCAAGTTGGCATTTCACTGCTTGGTCAAAGACAGTTTATCCCTGGAATATTTTCAGGGAGGGGAGTCAGGAGTGTAGGAAGAGACATATTCTGATGTGGGTGAGCTGTATGGCCAAAAGTTCATGTACGGTTTTCTTAACTGCTGTTAGTGGGATGACCATGTGTACGGGACACAATATAAAGTTTCATAGGCATGAATTCAAATCTTTGCTCTATTATCTATTGATCATGGGCAAGTGACTCTATTCTTCACCCATTTAAAAAATCTATGCTTTGGAGATAAGAATACTAGTAGCATTTAGTAGTAAATGGGATGATTCATATAAAATGCTAAATGATGTGCCAGATATATAAGAGTGGCCCAATAAATTTTAGTTCCCTTTTTGTTCTCCTTCTCTAAATGGGTTTTTTAGGAAACCAGCAAGTGATAAGAGCCAGATTAATGAGCAGGAAGATAATTCGTGTTCTAGTCCCAGCTCTGCTGGTAATTACAAGAAAAGTTATTGTATGACATTTGTCTCTAAAATAGAGAGTTGGAAATAAAGAAGTTAATTCCTAAGGTTGTTGACAACTCTAAAAATATAAAATCCTAAGACTACTGTGTTCCTTATAGGGTTTGGCAATTTTCAGAATTAGGACATCATTAACCACACACATATTTGCCCTAAAAACAACACTGAAAGTAATACTTTAATTCACAGACTAATATTCATGCATCTTTAACTGTATTAAACATCTCCTCCAAAGCAATCCTGTGCTCTTAAGTTTTCTGGTTGTTTGTTGTACCCTATTGAGAGGCAGAGCCAGGGAGTGAGACAAGAGTGGGAACGGAAACCAGAAGCCCAAGAAGGTTGTCATCAGTTCTGGGGAAGAGAGATCAGAGCTGAGCCCCTTACTGGCCATTGCCAGTGAGGGAAGGTCATGGAGCAAAGATCAAGAACCCCCAGCAGGGACAGCACAAGAGAGGCATAGAGTATATGAGTTAAGATTGTGAGTTTTTGAGAGTCAAGCAAACCTGGCCTGGAATCCTGTCTGTGCCATTACTTTAGAAGTATAAAATGAAGATAATAATTATTATATAAGAGGGCCGTTGAAAGCATTAAATGAGATAACGTGTGCAACGTATTTAGCATATGGTAAATACTCAGCCAACTGAGGCTTATATGATTAACAGAATCCACAGCAGGAGCTTGGTGGGATTGTACTAATAGAACCCAGAAAGAAATATGCTGAGCATCCCTCTCCTCCTTCAGACAGTCTGTTTATTCTTGATACATAACCCTTCCTACTGTGGGGGTTTCTGATGACAATAAACCAGGAAATCTCTGACATTGCTTTGAGTATAGATAAAAACGACTTTACTACATTTACCTTTTAGGAAAAAAGTTATTAGATGGTTATTTTGGCAACACAGTTGGTTCTTGACTGATACATACCAGCAGTCTAAATTGACAGTATTATTAAATGATCTTGCCTTCCTCAAACATATGCCAAGGGATGTAGGGGAAAGAAGAAGTCTGGGGCTAAAATTTTGTCACAGACAATCTGTGAATGAGAAAGGAATGTTAAGACAAGAACACACATTCGTTAGATAGGCATATTTAATTACATAAATAAAAAACTTCCATAAGTAACCAAAAAAAGCAAAACATGTAACTAAAGTTATAAGATAAGTGATAAGCTTGGGAAACTATATTCAGTAAAACATTGGAACTCTTCAACTGACAATTTAAATAAACAAAATGAAATTCTAAAAAATCCACAGGCAAAGAACATCAACAGATGTATCCCAACTAGAAAACAAACACAGGAAAAATTACTGTTACAAATAATCATGAGGTATATTAAATAAAACACGATCGTGCTTGTTTTACCCATTAATTATCACCTTCCCCAAATAATTAGACTCAATGCTAATGGCAGTGAGGTGAATGTAACAACCTCATACATTGTGGGTGGCATTTTAAATTGCTATAGTAGTTTGGAAAGCCATTTGGTCATGTATCTCAAAAGCCACTTCTGAGACACTGACCTACAGAAATAGTCCAAAATAGAGAAAAATATGTATGCACAAAAGGATTCATTTTTAATAGCAAAAAGTTAGAGGCAACACAAATGCTCAAAGAATAAACTATGGGAAATTAATTCAATGAAACATTATACATTCATTTAAAATTTTCTTTATGCAGAATCTATAATAACTTGATAAGCTAACACCATCATAATGTTAACAGAAAAAAGATACAAAATAATTTGTAAATTTTGAATATATTTTAAAAATGAGAAGTAAATTTATTAAAATATCATTTTTATTGATGTTGTGGAATCTTCCACCTGAAGAGTCTCCCTTTTTCCTTCTTTCATGAACAGCTACCGGCCCATTTTTTTTTTGCTCCTCTTTCCAGCAGTCCTTCTGCACCCCATTGCCACCATTCCCATGTTCTTGTCAAGGCTCTATAATGCCTTATTTGCAACATTTCTTTTCTTTTTGAACTCACTTCTTTGGGTTCCCCAGATACCACATTCTTTGATATTCCTCTTACCCTCCTGATCATACTCAAGCTCCTTGCTACCTTTGCTTTGTTCCTTGACCTTTGAATATTGGAGGGCTCCAGGAACCGGTTTCTGGAAGCTATGGTCTTCTTGGTTCTGCCCTTTCTCCTAAAATGAATTCATCCAGTATAATAGCTTTCGGTAACATTTTGATGACCATGATTCCTAAATTTATCTTTTCAATGCTGACCACTCATTGAGTTCTGGACTTAGATATCCAACTACTTATTTACCATCTTCACTTGCATATTTAGCATGCATTTCAAACACAACATAACCCAGTTGAAACATTGATTCTCACTTTCCCTTGTTCCCATTTGTATCAATCTTGATCTTCCCACCTCAGAAAATAACATCCCTATTGACTTAGTTGTTCATGTTAAAGACATAGAAGTATTCTTTCACTCCATCAGCATATCTCTCAGCTTTAACCTGAATCAATATTCTTCTCTTCATCTCTGTGTACATTGCCTTAATCCATACCACTGTAATTTCTCTCCAGAATCATTGCTGTGGAATCCAAATGTTCGCTGCTTCTACTTTTGCCCATATCTCCTGTGGTTTTCTTATTCACAAGCAGCCAATGTGAAATATTTAAGAAATAAATTAGATTGTATTATTTCCTCAATTTTCTTTTTCTAAGGGTACAATGGGAGAAATGCATGTTTAGTGTTATCTTCTTCCAGTAGATGGGGCTATTGAGCACCAAATTTTTCTCAGAACTGTTTTACAATTTTTTTTTTACATAAAAAGAGGGGTTCATCAATGTTGATTTTTACTAACTGTAAAACATTCCTCAGAGTATATCCACTATGTTTGCAACTATCAAAAATTTACAAAAGTGGAAAACATAAAATGTTTATTATAAATCATGAAAAGAATATAATTTGTTAATAAGATTCTCTTACTATTGGAAAGCCCTGCAAATTCGTGTGAACTCTAGAACATATATTGACAATCAATTATAATCTTTGCTAGGAGAAAGAGAAAGGGGAGCTCTTTTTTCTTCTATTGGTGAGTTTTACGTTTATTCCAAAATGGGCATGATTCATAGTCTCCACTGGGATTTTCCTAAGGCTCTCATCCATGTGGATGAAATAGGATGATAGCTAGGAAAGCAGAGACATTAACACTTAAAGAACAGCTTCTATGTATCATTTTGCATATTTTATCTACAGCTGCCATAGTATTTATTTGAGTTAAATATTCTCACCCTTATTTTATTAGACAGAAAAAATGGGGCTGAAAAAGGTTAAGAGATTTGCCATTAAGAAAAAGTAAAAAAAGCAATTGAATTTGAATCCACTCTGGCTTGCACAGATTCAAATAAGACTCTCACTGGTGTTCATACACTGTTCATACACAGTGGTAATGTCCTTGACTGAAAGCGAGAAGCGTGTGGCTCATGCTAAGGCATGATCCCGTGAGCAGAAAGTGAGTCAAAGTTGGCATAGAATGATTTGGTGTAGATATGGCTGGAATTAGAGGCAAGTGCAAGATGCTAGGAGACAGCATAGGAAGTGTCTGAAACAACAACCCTGTATTGACTTGTCAACCTTTCCATATGCTATTGCTGAACAGTGGGGGAGGGGTTATGGGTGAGCATGACATTACACACCTGTTAGTTACTAACGCTTTAACCAGGATAAATCTTACACTTAGTCTTCAGTTGTGGCAAGCAGTGCAACTATGGAGAAAGAAAGAGTATGAGCTCTGGATTTGAATCCTGTATTCTAGACCCAGTGTGACCCTGGACAGGATCATGACTAAATTTTAGGATTTTGAAAAATTGGTAGATATAGCTACCAACTGATTTTGAGGAAAAAGCTAAGTGAGCTCATGTTCTAAAAGTGAATGCTCTAAGCTTTACTATTGGCATTTGTTATCTTTAATAGCAATACTGACATGATGTATCAGTGACCCACAGACAATCTGTTGGCCATTTTTGCCCAGGATGGGAACCATAGTCAGAAACAGATAAGCACCTTATGTTTCTGGCTGGAGTCAAGAAGAGTAGGGAGTGGGTGAAGAGTAAACAAGCAGAAACAAGGGAAACAAAACCATTCTTCGGGTTCCATTTTGTTTCTGGTCAACCCATATCCCAGCAGTCCCTGCTTCTCAGGTCAATGAAGATTCAACAGACAGTGTGGTGTTGTCTGCTGCCAATTCATAGCCTTCAACTTAGAAACTAACAGACTTTTTGTGTGTGTTTCCTCTGCTGAAACTTTTCACCTCTGATTTAAGCAGTGCAGTTTGGAAACTTCAAAGTAAGTACAGTGATATGGTTTGGCTGTGTCCTTACCAAAATCTCAACTTGAATTTTATCTCCCAGAATTCCCATGTGTTGTGGGAGGGACCTACGGGGAGGTAATTGAATCATGGGGTCCAGTCTTTCCTGTGCTATTCTCATGATAGTGAATATGTCTCATGAGATCTGATGGGTTTATCAGGGCTTTCCACTTTTGCTTCTTCCTCATTTTCTCTTGCTGTCACCATGTAAGAAGTGCTTTTTGCCTCCCGCCATGATTCTGAGCCTCCCTAGCCAAGTGGAACCGTAAGTCTAATTAAACCTCTTTCTTTTTGTTCCTAGTTTCAGGTATGTCTTTATCAGCAGCGTGAAAACGAACCAATACAGTCTCTACTTCCATTGTATTTTTAGCCATGCATTGTGATGCAAATGAATGTAATAGCAAACTATAAATTTGCAACAAATCAATGCATGCATTTAAACCATTATTATTTTTTCTCAGTTTTATTTTTAATTGGCAAATAATAACTGCATATTTATAGAGTTCAAAGTGATATTTCAACATATACATTGTGAAATGATCAAATCAGGGTAATTAGCCTATCCATTACTTACCTCAACTGTTCATCATTTCCTTGTGTTGTAAATATTTAAAATCCTCTCTTGTAGATATTCTGATGGATACAATACATTATTACTAAGTACAATCACTGTCGCCTTTCTGTGTGATAGAATGCCCAGAACTTAACTTATCCAGAGGAGTCTCGTGAGATAGATAAAAGCATCCTAAACAAGATTAAAAATGGAGAAGAAGTCAATCTATGTTTCAAAAGGGAAAACCTTTAAAAATAATAAAGTTTAATGGGTATAAAGTTAAGCCATTATTAATTATTTTTGAAGGCTTTGTTTTTGAAACACAGAACTGATTCCCTCTCCATTTTTAAACCTGTTTAGGATACTCTTTTAACTAGCTGGATTCCTCAGGGGGTATCAAATTGTTACTCATTGTTTTTATTACTCAAGTTCTGTCTCATCAGTTTATATTTTTAAAAGTATACTGAAGAAATGTGGTTTGACATTGGCCGGAGGGACCAGCATTGTCTTTTTTCCCAGGAATGGAAGTTTGGCAGGTTGTGTGTTGGCTGTGATAGAGGGTGGGGATGAGCACAAATATATTACACCTTTTAGGGCTGAAAAATAACACCTCAAGGTTTAAGACTGAATTACAGAACACTTAGCCTTCAGTAAATCCACTGTGATGGGCAAATGCCTGCCACATTTATTTGAGGCTAATTGCTTCTGAAGGCCTTAACAGGTGTCCCCATTACTGTCAGGACTGAGGTACTGTTACTGACGTAAATGAGAATTTGGTGCATGAAGAGGAGATAGGTGACCAAGACTCCCTTTTATTCCCTGATAATGCAGATAATTTGGCAGGGAGTGAGGCAAGAAGAGACTCTGAATGCCTGGTTATATTTGGGCAGTTAAGCAGTTATGTCTCTACTTTGGCAGAGAAGCCATACGTCAACATATAGAATTATTCTTTACCCTGTATTAGCAGAATGACTTGACTAATATCAAAGAAAGAACCCTCCATATTTGGGAGCATACCAGAATAAACTTTAGTTTTTCTCATTTGCATCAAATCTGATGCAAGACATGTGGCCCTCTGCTATCTTCTAACTCTACCATCTTTTACTCTCAGCCTCCAGTGGCACCATGGTGGCCAGTGGGGAATGTATGAGGTATCTGATGGTTCACCTCCTTGCACAGAAAATTACATGCATCATAGTCCATTGACCAGAGCTGGCAACATTGTTCCACTTCAATATTTAGTGGTCTGGGAAATGAACAAGAGCACATATGATATTTGGTCATTATTGTCTCTGCACCATTGTCCCCACCCCTCTTTACAAGCAGACATATTCCCAAGGGTTCCACCATCATCATTACCAGCAGCAGCAGCAGCAATCCCTTCATGAGCTCAGTTTCCTGATTTCTGAAAAAAATAAGGACAATAATGCCTACTTCACAAAACTTGGATGAAGTAACATTTGAAAGCACTTAAAGTAGGGTATGGCACAAAATAGATATTCAGCATGTATCATCACCAGTGCTACACTCTTGATAGAGAATTCAACAGGGACATTCCCATTGCACATAATTAAACACATAACATGAAATTAAAAAGAATATAAAATAAAGTCATTTATTTTTATTTTTCAGTCACATATTACAAAACAAAGTAGTGTTGACTCTGATACAGCTATTTGGTCTTTAATTCATCTTCTTATTCTCAAAGGGCACCATAGTCATTGCCTGAGATCTGTGGTTCTAAGCCTCTAGGTGATCCAATGCGAAGCAGAGTTGTGAGCCAGTATAGTCCCTTGCTTTCTAGCCTTGCTACTCTCACCCTGTTCCTCTGAATATCATCTGGATTCTGGAAAAGTATATATTAAAAAGTATATCGTAATTAGTTAATTACTTCCAGTTTTTGGCTACCCCTTGATTACCATTGTCATTATCATCATCATCAAACATGTTTTTCAAAGAGCAGTATTTCTGAAAATAATAGGTCTCAATTTTTATTAAAAATAATATAATGTTAGGTCCTCATTTATAAAATTAATAAAGTATTTCACAAGCAAGATTTTTGTTCCCTTTTACAATGAGGAGACTATGACTCAGACAGGTACTGTGACTAATAAGGGGAAGAGTAAGGGACTCCACTTCAGGTTTTCTCATACCAAGTCCTGTGCCTTTTTAGTTGTATCAAAAGTCTCCTAAGGGTCTGGCAGCCAAGATGGCCAAATAGGAACAGCTCCAGTCTACAGCTCCCAGCGTGAGTGAAGCAGAAGGTGGGTGATTTCTGCATTTCCATCTGAGGTACAGGGTTCATCTCACTAGGGAGTGCCAGACAGTGGGTGCAGCGCACCATGCACGAGCCAAAGCAGGGCGAGGCATTGCCTCACTCAGGAAGTGCAAGGGGTCAGGGAGTTCCCTTTTCTAGTCAAAGAAAGGGGTGACAGATGGCACCTGGAAAATCGGGTCGCTCCCACCCTAATACTGTGCTTTTCTGACGGGCTTAAAAAACGGCCAGGAGATTCTATCCCACACATGGCTCAGAGGGTCCTACGCCCATGGAGTCTTGCTGATTGCTAGCACAGCAGTCTGAGATCAAACTGCAAGACGGCAGTGAGGGTGAGGGAGGGGTGCCCGCCATAGCGCAGGCTTGCTTAGTTAAACAAAGCAGCCAGGAAGCTCGAACTGGGTGGAGCCCACCATAGCTCAAAGATGCCTGCCTGCCTCTGTAGGCTCCACCTCTGGGGGCAGGGCACAGTCAAACAAAAAGACAGCAGTAACCCCTGCAGACTTAAATGTCCCTGTCTGACAGCTTTGAAGAGAGCAGTGGTTCTCCCAGCACACAGCTGGAGATCTGAGAACAGGCAGACTGCCTCCTCAAGTGGGTCCCTGACACCTGACCCCCAGGCAGCCTAACGGAGAGGCACCCCCCAGTAGGGGCAGACTGACACCTCACGAGGCCGAGTACTCCTCTGAGACAAAACTTCCAGAGGAACGATCAGACAGCAGCATTTGCGGTACACAAAAATCCGCTGTTCTGCAGCCACCACTGCTGATACCCAGGCAAACAGGGTCTGGAGTGGACCTCTAGCAAACTCCAACAGACCTGCAGCTGAGGGTCCTGTTAGAAGGAAAGCTAACAAACAGAAAGGACATCCACACCAAAAACCCTTCTGTACATCACTGTCATCAAAGACCAAAAGTAGATAAAACCACAAAGATGGGGAAAAAACAGAGCAGAAAAACTGGAAACTCTAAAAAGCAGAGTACCTCTCCTCCTCCAAAGGAATGCAGTTCCTCACCAGCAATGGAACAAAGCTGGACAGAGAATGACTTTAACAAGTTGAGAGAAGAAGGCTTCAGATGATCAAACTACTCTGAGCTACAGGAGGAAATTCAAACCAAAGGCAAACAAGTAAGTTAAAAACTTTGAAAAAAAATTTAGACAAATGTAAAACTGGAATAACCAATATAGAGAAGTGCTTAAAGGAGCTGATGGAGCTGAAAGCCAAGGCTCGAGAACTACATGAAGAATGCAGAAGCCTCAGGAGCCGATGCGATCAAGTGGAAGAAAGGGTAGCAGTGACGGAAGATGAAATGAAGTGAGAAGGGAAGTATAGAGAAAAAAGAATAAAAGGAAATGAACAAAGCCTCCAAGAAATATCGGACTATGTGAAACGACCAAATCTACATGAGATTGGTGTACCTGAAAGTGACGGGGAGAATGGAACCAAGTTGGAAAACACTCTGCAGGATATTATCCAGGAGAACTTCCCCAATCTAGCAAGGCAGGCCAACACTTGGATTCAGGACATACAGAGAATGCCACAAAGATACTCCTTGAGAAGAGCAACTCCAAGACACATAATTTTCAGATTCACCAAAGTTGAAATGCAGGAAAAAATGTTAAGGGCAGCCAGAGAGAAAGCTCGGGATACCCTCAAAGGGAAGCCCATCAGACTAACAGCTGATCTCTCAGCAGAAACTCTACAAGCCAGAAGACAGTGGGGGCCAATATTCAACATCCTTAAAGAAAAGAATTTTCAACCCAGAATTTCATATCCAGCCAAACTAAGCTTCCTAAGTGAAGGGGAAATAAAATCCTTTACAGACAAGCAAATGCTGAGAGATTTTGTCACCACCAGGCCTGCCCTAAAAGAGCTCCTGAAGGAAGCGTTAAACACGGAAAGGAACAACAGGTACCAGCCACTGCAACATCATGCCAAATTGTAAAAACCATCAAGGCTAGGAAGAAACTGCATCAACAAGTGAGCAAAATAACCAGCTAACATCATAATGACAGGATCAAATTCACATATAACAAGATTAACTTTAAATGTAAATGGACTAAATGCTCCAGTTAAAAGACACAGACTGGCAAACTGGATAAAAAGTCAAGACCCATCAGTGTGCTGTATTCAGGAAACCCATCTCACATTCAGAGACACACATAGGCTCAAAATAAAAGGATGAAGGAAGATCTACCAAGCAAATGGAAAACAAAAAAAGGCAGGGGTTGCAGTCCTAGTCTCTGATAAAACAGACTTTAAACCAACAAAGATCAAAAGAGACAAAGAAGGCCATTACATAATGGTAAAGGGATCAATTCAACAAGAAGAGCTAACTATCCTAAATATATATGCACCCAATACAGGAGCACCCAGATTCATAAAGCAAGTCCTGAGTGACCTACAGAGAGCCTTGGACTCCCACACATTAATAATGGGAGACTTTAACACCCCACTGTCAACATTAGACAGATCAATGAGACAGAAAGTCAACAAGGATACCCAGGAATTGAACTCCGCTCTGCACCAAGCACACCTAATAGACATCTACAGAACTCTCCACCCCAAATCAACAGAATACACATTTTTTTCAGCACCATACCACACCTATCCCAAAATTGACCACATAGTTGGAAGTAAAGCTCTCCTCAGCAAATGTCAAAGAACAGAAATTATAACAAACTGTCTCTCAGACGACAGTGCATTCAAACTAGAACTCAGGATTAAGAAACTCACTCAAAACCACTCAACTACATGGAAACTGAACAACCTGCTCCTGAGTGACTACTGAGTACATAACGAAATGAAGGCAGAAATAAAGATGTTATTTGAAACCAACAAGAACAAAGACACAACATACCAAAATCTCTGGGACACATTCAAAGCAGTGTGTAGAGGGAAATTGATAGCAATAATGCCCACAACAGAAAGCAGGAAAGATCCAAAATTGACACCCTAACATCACAATTAAAAGAACTAGAGAAGCAAGAGCAAACACATTCAAAAGCTAGCAGAAGGCAAGAAATAACTAAAATCAGAGCAGAACTGACGGAAATAGAGACACAAAAAAACCCTTCAAAAAATTAATGAATCCAGGAGCTGGTTTTTTGATAAGATCAACAAAATTGATAGACAGCTACCAAGACTAATAAAGAAGAAAAGAGAGAAGAATCAAATAGATGCAATAAAAAATGATAAAGGGGATATCACCACTGATCCCACAGAAATACAAACTACCATCAGAGAATACTACAAACACCTCTATGCAAATAAACTAGAAAATCTAGAAGAAATGGATAAATTCCTTGACACATACACCCTCCCAAGACTAAACCAGGAAGAAGTTGAATCTCTGAATAGACCAATAACAGGGTCAGAAATTGTGGCAATAATCAATAGCTTACCAACCAAAAAGAGTCCAGGACCAGATGGATTCACAGCCGAATTCTACCAGAGGTACAAGGAGGAACTGGTACCATTCCTTCTGAAACTATTCCAATCAATAGAAAAAGAGGGAATCCTCCCTAACTCATTTTATGAGGCCAGCATCATCCTGATACCAAAGCCAGGCAGAGACACAACCAAAAAAGAGAATTTTAGACCAATATCCTTGCTGAACATTGATGCAAAAATCCTCAATAAAATACTGGCAAACCGAAACCAGCAGCACATCAAAAAGCTTATCCACCATGATCAAGTGGGCTTCATCCCTGGGATGCAAAGCTGGTTCAAGATACGCAAATCAATGAATGTAATCCAGCATATAAACAGAACCAAAGACAAAAACCAAATGATTATCTCAATAGATGCAGAAAAGGCCTTTGACAAAATTCAACAACACTTCATGCTAAAAACTCTCAATAAATTAGGTATTGATGGGATGTATCTCAAAATAATAAGAGCTATCTATGACAAATCCACAGCCAATATCATACTGAATGGGCAAAAACTGGAAGTATTCCCTTTGAAAACTGGCACAAGACAGGGATGCCCTCTCTCACCACTCCTATTCAACATAGTGTTAGAAGTGCTGGCCAGGGCAATTAGGCAGGAGCAGGAAATAAAGGGTATTCAATTAGGAAAAGAGGAAGTCAAATTGTCCCTGTTTGCAGATGACATGATTGTATATCTAGAAAACCCCATTGTCTCAGCCCAAAATCTCCTTAAGCTGATAAGCAACTTCAGCAAAGTCTCAGGATACAAAATCAATGTACAAAAATCACAAGCATTCTTATACACCAATAACAGACAAACAGAGAGCCAAATCATGAATGAACTCCCATTCACAATTGCTTCAAAGAGAATAAAATACCTAGGAATCCAACTTACAAGGGATGTGAAGAACCTCTTCAAGGAGAACTACAAACCACTGCTCAATGAATTAAAAGAGGATACAAACAAATGAAAGAACATCCCATGCTCATGGGTAGGAAGAATAAATATCATGAAAATGGCCATACTGCCCAAGGTAATTTATAGATTCAATGCCATCCCCATCAAGCTACCAATGACTTTCTTCACAGAATTGGAAAAAACTACTTTAAAGTTCATATGGAACCAAAAAAGAGCCCGCATCACCAAGTCAATCCTAAGCCAAAAGAACAAAGCTGGAGGCATCAGGCTACCCGACTTCAAACTATACTACAAGGCTACAGTAACCAAAACAGCATGGTACTGGTATCAAAACAGAGATATAGATCAATGGAACAGAACAGAGCCCTCAGAAATAGCGCCACATATCTACAACTATCTGATCTTTGACAAACCTGAAAAAAACAAGCAATGGGAAAAGGATTTCCTATTTAATAAATGGTGCTGGGAAAACTGGCTAGCCATATGTAGAAAGCTGAAACTGGATCCTTTCCTTACACCTTATACAAAAATTAATTCAAGATGGATTAAAGACTTAAACATTAGACCTAAAACCATAAAAACCCTAGATGAAAACCTAGGCAATACCATTCAGGACATGGGCATGGGCAAGGACTTCATGTCTAAAACAAACACCAAAAGCAATGGCAACAAAAGCCAAAATTGACAAATGGGATCTAATTAAACTAAAGAGCTTCTGCACAGCAAAAGAAACTACCATCAGAGTGAACAGGCAACCTACAAAATGGGAGAAAATTTTCGCAACCTACTCATCAGACAAAGGGCTAATATCCAGAATCTACAGTGAACTCAAACAAATTTACAAGAAAAAAACAACCCCATCAAAAAGTGGGCAAAGGATATGAACAGACACTTCTCAAAAGAAGACATTTATGCAGCCAAAAAACACATGAAAAAATGCTCACCATCACTGGCCATCAGAGAAATGCAAATCAAAACCACAATGAGATACCATCTCACACCAGTTAGAATGGTAATCATTAAAAAGTCAGGAACCTTCAGGTGCTGGAGAGGATGTGGAGAAATAGGAACACTTTTACACTGTTGGTGGGACTGTAAACTAGTTTAACCATTGTGGAAGACAGTGTGTCGATTCCTCAGGTGTCTAGAACTAGAAATACCATTTGACCCAGCCATCCCATTACTGGGTATATACCCAAAGGACTATAAATCATGCTGCTATAAAGACACATGCACACTTATGTTTATTGTGGCTCTATTCACAATAGCAAAGACTTGGAACCAACCCAAATGTCCAACAATGATAGACTGGATTAAGAAAATGTGGCACATATACACCATGGAATACTATGCAGCCATAAAAAATGATGAGTTCATGTCCTTTGTAGGGACATGGATGAAATAGGAAATCATCATTCTCAGTAAACTACCACAAGGACAAAAAACCAAACACCGTATGTTCTCACTCATAGGTGGGATTTGAACAATGAGAACACATGGACACAGGAAGGGGAACATCACACTCTGAGGATTGTTGTGGGGTGGGGAGAGGGATAGCATTAGGAGATATACCTAACGCTAAATGACGAGTTAATGGGTGAAGCACACCAGCATGGCACATGTACACATATGTAACTAACCTGCACATTGTGCACATGTACCCTAAAGCTTAAAGTATAATAAAAAAAAAGTATCCTAAGGTTGGGATCCCAGGTTTTGAAGACCAAAAAAAATAGCAGTGGCTTATAAAAATAACAGCAATGGGTGATTCGCCTCAGATGAGCAGGTAAGGCATTTCCTACCAGCAAATCAGTAGCAACGTTGCTCATATGAATTGAATCTGTTTTTTACATTGTCTTAACAGTCAACTCACAATTAGAGTTTTAAGAGATTGCTAGAAACATTAAATGAATAAAGTAATTGGGCTGACCACTTGTGCGCTGGTTATTTTGATCATTAAGAATGGCCTACGTTAAATGAATTTGTTTAACTGCAAATAACTTCATCCCCAAGCTTCCCAGATCTAACCAGTCTCAAGGGCTGAGCAAAGAAATTTCCTTGGTTACACTGAGTACTTGTGTTTGCCAAGGCATCTTGGATACCCAAGGGACCCAAAATAGATCTACTCAAATGGTTTCCAATCTTATTTGCTTCCTTCCCCAGTAAGGGTCAGTTCAGAAGGATTCTAAATTAATGCAAGTTCTCCAGAGGTCAGCATAAATTAAAAAACATCAGCGTCTACTTTAACTATTGATAGCCTATTAAACCCTGATATTTAAATTGTGCTAGCATATAAATTAGGCTGCTGAGAATTAAGAATCAAGGGGCAATGCGTTGTTAGAGTAATCCAAATACTGCATACTAAATTGTAAGGCAGATTAAGATAACAGATTCTGTAGATACTCTAGCCTAAAGGAAGAGGAGTGTAACTCTCTACTACTTGAATGAGGGCTGTGCATAGTGAATTTATTCCAAAGAGTACAGTACAGAAAAAAAGATAACCTTACAATGCAGAAACCTAGAAACACTTGTCATTTGGGTAGTTAATGGTCAAATCGTATTCATAATATATACTCTTCCTTTATGTGATGAAAATGGCGCTTTGTCTCTGTGATTCTCCTCCCTAAACCCACAACCTCAGTCTAATCATGAGAAAAGCTTCTTCAGGCAAATTTCAATAGAGAGAAATTCCACAAAATGCCTGACTAGTACTCCTCAAAATTGTCAAGGTCATCAAACCCAAGGAAAGTGTGAAAAAAATGTCACGGCCAAGAGGAACCTAACAACTTGTGACAAGCAAATGTAACAAGGGTTCTGTGTGATATCCTAGAACAGAAAAATAACATTAGGTAAAACAAAAAAAAAATAGATAACCGATGGACTTTAGTTAATTATAACATATTAAGATTTGTTCATTAATTGTAATATGTACCATACTAATGTAAAATAGTAATAATAGAGACAATGAGAATCTGATGTGGAGAAGTTGTATGAAAACTGTTTAATCTGCATAATTTCTCTGTAAATCTAAAACTGTTCTAAAAAATATGTCTATTAATAATTCTAAAAAATAACAATAATAAACCCTTACATGGTCCCAGGTACTGTTCTGAGTTGTGTTATTATTTTGCATGATAATTTACTTAATGATATAATTATCATTCCCATTTTATAGATGGAAAAACAGAAGCACAGAGAAAAGTAATTTGCTCAAAGTCATGCCTACAGGAAATGCTGGGGGTATGGTTAGAACTCAGGGAACCTGAATGCAGTGTGTAGCTCTTAACTACTAGGCTATGCTAACTTTCTAAAATCTATTTTCTTGTTTATCTTAGTCTGTCTATGCTCATCTTCATGACCCTTTTTTGAAATTAACTTCTGTCTAAACCAAGCCTCAATTTACCTTCTGTAGTGAGAATTTATTTTTCCTTTCCTGAAATTAATTTCCAATTCTTCCAGCAACACTTACCACTACTTTACCTCCCATCAACATCTTCACCTTTGGAATCTACATCTTTCCCAATAACAACCAATAAGGTTTGAATTGTGTTGACTCTACTCCCAGTTCCAGCATTGGTCCAAGCCAATCAACCTAGAGCATTCCTCTGGCTGCAATGATTAGCTACAGGATGGCCACATAACATGGCTGATGAGAAGATACAGAAACTTCTCCAGGATTTCCAAGACAGTGAAGGTTTTTTTTCCCCCTGGATTTGGTGAAGTAAGTGCCTGAGGCTTGTTGCTGCACCTATATTACTACCTTGACGGGTGCCATGCTGAGGAACAGTTGATATTTGTAAGAGGACAGAGAAAGGTAATCCAGAAAAATGAAATGGATAACAGTATTTCAGCCTGCCTTGCCCTTACACATTCAGGTTATAGGTATCAATTGATTACCTTTTTTTATTTGAAAAATTTAAGGTTTTTGACAGATAAACATAAGGAGTTCCAGCTGCTGCACTGTGCTCCTCTGGACCTCGGCCCCAGGAAAGTCTGAATTTTACCTGAGCAGTCAACAACCAGTCTCTGTAGGTGAGATGAATTTCGTAAGCCCTGTCTCACCCATGCTCACCCTCTTCCTCTCCCATTCTTCTCCCATTGGGGCTAGGTTGCTCGTGATTCAGAGCTCCAAAGACCACAGCTTGTTTTAATTCAGACTGATTACTCTTAAATGGGACTGGCATTCCCTTGACTTGGAGTTTTTGTTTTTTGCCTTTTTTTCCTTTTCTTGTCCCCAAATATTAACAATTCCTTTATTCATGAGCCTCCTTTTCTCTCCACCATTGCCTTCAACTACATTTTTATCTCAAAAAGAGAAGGGGGAGTTTGTCCCCCGTATAATTTCTTTCTATTGCTATATTCCCGATCCCACTGAATGTTTCCAACAGCTGTCTAAATCCTCAAGCCAGAAACTGGACATTTTTATAGTTGTTCTTAATTTTTTTATGGATACATAGTGGAGTAAAGAGTAGAATAGTGATTACTAGAGGCTAGGAAGGGTAGTGGGGAGGAGGGTGAATTTGTTCCTTCTCATGCTGCTATGAAGAAATATGCAAGACTGGGCAATTTATAAAGAAAAGAGGTTTAATTTACTCCCAGTTCTGCATTGCTGGGGAGGCCTCAGGAAACTTACAATCATGGCAGAAGGGGAAGCAAACATGTCTTTCTTCAAATTGCGGCAGGAAAAAGAAGTGCAGAGCAAAGAGAGTGAAAGTCCCCTATAAAACCATTGGATCTCATGAGAACTCACTCACTATAATGAGAACAGCATGGAGGAAACCACCCCC
This sequence comes from Homo sapiens, assembly GCF_000001405.40. Taxonomy (NCBI): domain Eukaryota; kingdom Metazoa; phylum Chordata; class Mammalia; order Primates; family Hominidae; genus Homo; species Homo sapiens. Next base: position 131,259,576 of record NC_000008.11, read on the forward strand.
ATGATTAAATCATCTCCCATGAGGTCCCTTCCCCAACATATGGGGATTACACTTCTGATTCACACCTCAAGATGAGATTTGGGTGGGGACACAGAGCCAGACCATATCAAAGGGGGTGAAGAGAGTTTGGTTAATGGGTATAAAAACACATTAGATAAAAGGAATAAGGGCATCAGTTTTTATTCTTTCCTCTTTCATATACTTGCATTTAGTGTTACCATACCCTCTGCCTTACATTTCTAAAATGGCTCACAAATCCATTAGTTTTTGTCTGTTTATCAACAAATGCTTATCTACTATTATCAACTATTACCTTGAAGACTTACAGCAATAACCTCCTAATTTATATTCCATCCCTAAACATTGAGAATAATAAATTCACAGATGCTTGGAGCTGGGAGAGACCTCAAAGATAATCTGGCCCAGTCCTTTGTTAAAGTCTTTGGTACACTTGGCAACATACCACAATACCACCTCAACTGCTCAAGGCCCTCCACCCCATACATCCCCTGATCTGGCCTCAGCCTCATCCCTCTGTGTACTCCTATGCATGTGAACTGTCACTTACTTACATCTTACTACATAGAACTGCACATTCAGGCTTCTGGGCCTTTGCTCCTGCTTTTCTCTCTGGAAAATTGATCCCATCCCTTAAATCATCTAAAAATAAGCATTCACTTTTCATAATTCAGTCAGGATCACTTTATTATAACATTTTTCCTGATAATCTTTTTCCTTCTTGCCATAGTACTGGTTTGTTCCAACTTACATGCCCCTGCTGTGGCTTCTATGGACTCCTATCACAGTGCCTAGAACTTTTTATCACACCTGATCATTTATACATCTGTCTCCTCACCTAAACTGAGAGTTTTGCAGGCTGAAGGTGTGCATGTTTGTATCTGTGCCCCTATACCAATCATAATATCTGTTATGTAACAGAACCTCCAAGCATGTTGAATGAATGGTTAAGTTAATGACTGAAGAATTAGGTCTTCATCCATAATAAGCTAGACATGGTCAGGGTAACGTTCCCTTGCCCTTTTTGCAGCCCTTGAGTGACTGAAGAGAGCCATGAGGTCTCCTTGATTCACAGTGATTTATTTCTATCCCCTCGTCGTAACATAGGGTCTTCAAGGACAGTGTCCATATGTAAATGGTCCTCAAAGTGTGGTTCAGCATGGGTATCTCTTGAGAACTTGTAAGAAATGCAAATTATCAGTCCCCACTGAAACCTACCAAATTAGAAACTCTTGTGATGAGGCTCAGAAGGCTGTGCTTTAGAATCAGGTGATTCTGAAGTGCTCTGATGCACATTCAAGTTTGAGAACTACCACCATGTACCACTCCTGCTGCATGGTCAGCACAAGGAACTATAAAGTAGAAATGATTGATTGTTAATCTATTTGAAGCCATCTAGTTACCCATTGTTCATTCCTATCACAACTCTTCAGGAACTGTCCTAAACACCATTTTGACATGCTTCAGGTATCTAATTCTTCTCTGTACTCCCACTCCCTCAGCAGAAGGCCTGACCATTTACCGTCCTGAGAAAATAGAGGGTATCCTAATGACTACCCCCCATTTCTCATCTTTTCATCCAAGTATGTCTCAGTTTCAGCATTCAGGTAGTTTAAACCCCTTAGTATTACTGACCAGACTCTCATGACATAGAATGTCTCCATCCTCACCTCCTACCACTTAACTAATTACAAACTATTCCCCAGCCAAACCCTAAGACAGAGAGTCTTCTTTTATAAAAATCCTGAGCATTGTCTCATGAAAAAAAAAGTACTACTCTTCCATAGCTCCACCTCCATGTACACAGATACAGGGTCTCTTGGCTCATAGTTGGGCCTCAAAATATATGTGTTAAATCAAGAAATAGGAAAGGTGCAAGTTAGGGCTCTTGATTGCAGGGAAAAGAAACTAGTTTCACCAAGGTTAAACCAAGAAGAAAATTTTTTTGGAAAATATATATTTTAGCTTACAGACTTTAAGGAAAAGCTAGACCATCAGGCCTTGGAAAGGACAGCTAACCAGAACCCTCTGCAGGCATTGGAAGCAGGGCAGTGTCTGAGGGTCAGTAAAGTTAGTCAGCCAACACCAACCATTCTCCATCATTTCATCACTGCTCCAAATTTAAAGTCATGCATGGAGGATGGGCTAAACTGGCTGAATTTGTGTCACATATAACATCTAAGTCACAAGAGGTGTCTTAATTGGGATTTCTCCAGTAGCAAATCCGGAATCAAAAACTTGAGTGCTTGTAGTTTATTTGCAGGGTGATGACAGGAACTAAATGGAAGTGAGAAAACAGGGATAGTGAGACAGGGAAAGAAGAAAAGACGTTATCATAAACTATGTAGAAAACCTCTGATTCCCCACTTCTGGATTGCTCTGGTTGGCAAGCAAATGAGCTCCTATTGTGGAAAACCTACAGGGTTCAAAGGGATATGGGACAGAGATTAATAGAATCTGCTATAAGAAGTTAATGCACCTCTTTTAAGAATTCCATTAAGGGGGGTGGAGCCAAGATGGCTGAATAGGAACAGCTCGGGTCTATGGCTCCCAGCGTGAGCGACGCAGAATACGGGTGATTTCTGCATTTTCATCTGAGGTACCGGGTTCATCTCACTAGGGAGTGCCAGACAGTGGGTGCAGGTCAGTGGGTGCAGCCCACTGTGTGCGAGCTGAAACAGGGCGAGGCATTGCCTCACTCGGGAAGTGCAAGGGGTCAGGGAGTTTCCTTTCCTAGTCAAAGAAAGGGGTGATAGACGGCACCTGGAAAATCGGGTCACTCCCACCCTAATACAGCACTTTTCCAACGGGCTTAAAAAACGGCACACCAGGAGATTATATCCCACATCTGGCTCGGAGGATCCTACACCCACGGAGTCTTGCTGATTGCTAGCACAGCAGTCTGAGATCAAACTGCAAGGTGGCAGCCAGGCTGGGGGAGGGGTGCCTGCCATTACCCAGGCTTGATTAGGTAAACAAAGCAGCCAGGAAGCTCGAACTGGGTGGAGCCCACACAGCTCAAGGAGGCCTTCCTGCCTCTGTGGGCTCCACCTCTGGGGGCAGGGCATAGACAAACAAAAAGACAGCAGTAACCTCTGCAGCCTTAAATGTCCCGGTCTGACAGCTTTGAAGAGAGTAGTGGTTCTCCCAGCACACAGCTGGAGATCTGAGAACGGGCAGACTGCCCCCTCAAGTGGGTCCCTGACCCCCGAGCAGCCTAACTGGGAGGCACCCCCCAGTAGGGGCAGACTGACACCTCACACGGCCAGGTACTTCTCTGATACAAAACATCCAGAGGAACAATCAGGCAGCAGCATTTGTGGTTCACCAATATCCACTGTTCTACAGCCACTGCTGTTCTGCAGCCACCGCTGCTGATACCCAGGCAAACAGGGTCAGGAGTGGACTTCTAGCAAACTCCAACAGACCTGCAGCTGAGGGTCCTCTCTGTTAGAAGGAAAACTAACAAACAGAAAGGACATCTACACCAAAAACCCATCTATACGTCACCATCCTAAAAGACCAAAAGTAGATAAAACCACAAAGATGGGGAAAAAACAGAGCAGAAAAACTGGAAACTCTAAAAAGCAGAGCGCCTCTCCTCCTCCAAAGGAACACAGCTCCTCACCAACAATGGAACAAAGCTGGATGGAGAATAACTTTGATGAGTTGAGAGAAGAAGGCTTCAGATGATCAAACTACTCTGAGCTACAGGAAGAAATTCAAACCAAAGGCAAAGAAGTTAAAAACTCTGAAAAAAAAATTAGACGAATGGATACCTACAATAACCAATGCAGAGAAGTCCATAAAGGAGCTGATGGAGCTGAAAGCCAAGGCTCAAGAACTACATGAAGAATGCAGAAGCCTCAGGAGCCGATGCGATCAAGTGGAAGAAAGGGTATCAGTGATGGAAGATGAAATGAATGAAATGAAGCAAGAAGGGAAGTTTAGAGAAAAACAAATAAAAAGAAACGAACAAAGCCTCCAAGAAATATGGGAAAATGTGAAAAGACCAAATCTAGGTCTGATTGGTGTACCTGAAAGTGATGGGGAGAATGGAACCAAGTTGGAAAACACTCTGCAGGATATTATCCAGGAGAACTTCCCCAATCTAGCAAGGCAGGCCAACATTTGGATTCAGGAAATACAGAGAATGCCACAAAGATACTCCTCGAGAAGAGCAACCCCAAGACACATAATTGTCAGATTCACCAAAGTTGAAATGAAGGAAAAAATGTTAAGGGCAGCCAGAGAGAAAGGTTGGGTAACCCACAAAGGGAAGCCCATCAGACTAACAGCTGATCTCTTGGCAGATACTCTACAAGCCAGAAGAGTGGGGGCCAATATTCAACATTCTTAAAGAAAAGAATTTTCAAAGAGAATTTCATATCCAGCCAAACTAAGCTTCCTAAGTGAAGGAGAAATAAAATCCTTTACAGACAAGCAAATGCTGAGAGATTTTGTCACCACCAGGCCTGCCCTAAAAGAGCTCCTGAAGGAAGCACTAAACATGGAAAGGAACAAAAGGTACCAGCCACTGCAAAAACATGCCAAAATGTAAAGACCATCAAGGCTAGGAAGAAGCTGCATCAACTAACGAGCAAAATAACCAGCTAACATCATAACGACAGGACCAAATTCATACATAACAATATTAACTTAAAGTGTAAATGGGCTACATGCTCCAATTAAAAGACACAGACTGGCAAACTGGATAAAGAGTCAAGACCCATCAGTGTGCTGTATTCAGGAAATCCATCTCACGTGCACAGACACACATAGGCTCAAAATAAAGGGATGGAGGAAGATCTACCAAGCAAATGAAAAACAAAAAAAGGCAGGGGTTGCAATCCTAGTCTCTGATAAAACAGACTTTAAACCAACAAAGAACAAAAGAGACAAAGAGGGCCATTACATAATGGTAAAGGGATCAATTCAACAAGAGAAGCTAACTATCCTAAATATATATGCACCCAATACAGGAGCACACAGATTCATAAAGTAAGTCCTTAGTGACCTACAAAGAGACTTAGAATCCCACACAATAATAATGGGAGACTTTAACACCCCACTGTCAACATGAGACAGATCAATGAGACAGAAAGTTAACAAGGATACCCAGGAATTGAACTCAGCTCTGTACTAAACAGACCTCATAGACATCTACAGAACTCTCCACCCCAAATCAACAGAATATACATTTTTTTCAGCACCACACTGCACCTATCCAAAATTGACCACATAATTGGAAGTAAAGCACTCCTCAGCAAATGTAACAGAACAGAAATTATAACAAACTGTCTCTCAGACGACAGTGCAATCAAACTAGAACTCAGGATTAAGAAACTCATAACCACTCAACTACATGGAAACTGAACAACCTGCTCCTGAATGACTACTGGGTACATAACGAAATGAAGGCAGAAATAAAGATGTTCTGTGAAACCAATAAGAATAAAGACAAAACATACCAGAATCTCTGGGACACATTCAAAGCAGTGTGTAAAGGGAAATTTATAGCACTAAATGCCCACAAGAGAAAGAAGGAAAGATCCAAAATTGACACCCAACACCACAATTAAAAGAACTAGAAAAGCAAAAGCAAACACATTCAAAAGCTAGCAGAAGGCAAGAAATAACTAAAATCAGAGCAGAACTGAAGGAAATAAAGACACAAAGACCCTTCAAAAAATTAAAGAATCCAGGAGGTGGTTTTTATGAAAAGATCAACAAAATTGATAGACCACTAGCAAGACTAATAAAGAAGAAAAGAGAGAAGAATCATTACCATTCAGGACATAGGCATGGGCAAGGACTTCATGTCTAAAACACCAAAATCAATGGCAACAAAAGCCAAAATTGGCAAATAGGATCTAATTAAACTAAAGAGCTTCTGCACAGCAAAAGAAACTACCATCAGAGTGAACAGGCAACCTACAAAATGGGAGAAAATTTTCTCAATCTGCTCATCTGACAAAGGGCTAATATCCAGAATCTACAATGAACTCAAACAAATTTACAAGAAAAAAACAAGCCCATGAAAAAGGGGGCAAAGGATATGAACAGACACTTCTCAAAAGAAGACATTTATGAAGCCAAAAGACACATGAAAAAATGATCATCACTGGCCATCAGAGAAATGCAAATCAAAACCACAATGAGATCCCATCTCACACCAGTTAGAATGGTGATCATTAAAAAGTCAGGAAACAACAGGTGCTGGAGAGGATGTGGAGAAATAGGAACACTGTTATACTGTTGGTGGGACTGTAAACTAGTTCAACCATTGTGGAAGTCAGTGTGGCGATTCCTCAGGGGTTTAGAACTAGAAATACCATTTGACCCAGCCATCCCATTACTGGATATATATCCAAAGGACTATAAATCATGCTGCTATAAAGACACATGCACATGTATGTTTATTGCAGCACTATTCACAATAACAAAGACTTGGAACCAACCCAAATGTCCAACAATGATAGACTGGATTAAGAAAATGTGGCACATATACACCATGGAATACTATGCAGCCATAAAAAATGATGAGTTCATGTCCTTTGTAGGGACATGGATGAAATAGGAAATCATCATTCTCAGTAAACAATCGCAAGGACAAAAAACCAAACACCGCATGTTCTCACTCATAGGTGGGAATTGAAGAATGAGAAAACATGGACACAGGAAGGGGAACATCACACTCTGGGGACTGTTGTGGGGTGGGGGTGGGGGGAGGGATAGCATTAGGAGATATACCTAATGCTAAATGAGGAGTTAATGGGTGCAGCACACCAGCATGGCACATGTATACATATGTAACTAACCTGTACATTGTGCACACATACCCTAAAACCTAAAGTATAATAATAATAAAAAAAAGACAGAAGAATCAAATAGATGCAATAAAAAATGATAAAGGGGATATCACCACCAATCCCACAGAAATACAAACTACCATCAGAGAATACTACAAACACCTCTACAAAAATAAAATAGAAAATCTAGAAGAAATGGATAAATTCCTCGACACATACAACCTCCCAAGACTAAACCAGGAAGAATTTGAATCTCTGAATAGACCAATAACAGGCTCTGAAATTGAGGCAATAATCAATAGCTTACCAACCAAAAAAAGTCCAGGACCAGATGGATTCACAGCCGAATTCTACCAGAGGTACAAGGAGGAGCTGGTACCATTCCTTCTGAAACTATTCCAATCAATAGAAGAAGAAGGAATCCTCCCTAACTCATTTTATGAGGCCAGCATCATCCTGATACGAAAGCCTGGCAGAGACACAACCAAAAAAGAGAATTTTAGACCAATATCCTTCATGAACGTTGATGCAAAAATCCTCAATAAAATACTGGCAAACCAAATCCAGCAGTACATCAAAAAGCTTGTCCACCATGATCAAGTGGTCTTCCTCCCTGGGATGCAAGGCTGGTTCAAGATACACAAATCAATAAATGTAATCCAGCATATAAACAGAGCCAAAGACAAAAACCACATGATTATCTCAATAGATGCAGAAAAGGCCTTTGACAAAATTCAACAACCCTTCATGCTAAAAACTCTCAATAAATTATGTATTGATGGGACATATCACAAAATAATAAGAGCTATCTATGACAAACCCACAGCCAATATCATACTGAATGGGCAAAAACTGGAAGCATTCCCTTTGAAAACTGGCACAAAACAGGGATGCCCTCTCTCACCACTCCTATTCAACATAGTGTTGGAAGTTCTGCCCAGGGCAATTAGGCAGGAGCAGGAAATAAAGGGTATTCAATTAGGAAAAGAGGAAGTCAAATTGTCCCTGTTTGCAGATGACATATTGTATATCTAGAAAACCCCATTGTCTCAGCCCAAAATCTCCTTAAGCTGATAAGCAACTTCAGCAAAGTCTCAGGATACAAAATCAATGTGCAAAAATCACAAGCATTCTTATACACCAATAACAAACAGAGAGCCAAATCATGAGTGAACTCCCATTCACAATTGCTTCAAAGAGAATAAAATACCTAGGAATCCAACTTACAAGGGATGTGAAGGACCTCTTCAAGGAGAACTACAAACCACTGCTCAAGGAAATAAAAGAGGATACAAACAAATGGAAGAACATTCCATGCTCATGGGTAGGAAGAATCAATACCGTGAAAATGGCCATACTGCCCAAGGTAATTTATAGATTCAATGCCATCCCCATCAAGCTACCAATGACTTTCTTCACAGAATTGGAAAAAACTACTTTAAAGTTCATATGGAACCAAAAAAGAGCCCGCACTGCCAAGTCAATCCTAAGCCAAAAGAACAAAGCTGGAGGCATCATGCTACCTGTCTTCAAACTATACTACAAGGCTACAGTAACCAAAACAGCATGGTACTGGTACCAAAACAGAGATATAGATCAATGGAACAGAACAGAGCCCTCAGAAATAATGCCGCATATCTACAACCATCTGATCTTTGACAAACCTGAGAAAAACAAGAAATGGGGAAAGGATTCCCTATTTAATAAATGGTGCTGGGAAAACTGGCTAGCCATATGTAGAAAGCTGAAACTGGACCCCTTCCTTACACCTTATACAAAAATTAATTCAAGATGGACTAAAGACTTAAATGTTAGACCTAAAACCATAAAAACCCTAGAAGAAAACCTAGACATTACCATTCAGGACATAGGCATGGGGAAAGACTTCATGTCTAAAACACCAAAAGCAATGGAAACAAATGCCAAAATTGACAAATGGGATCTAATTAAACTAAAGAGCTTCTGCACAGCAAAAGAAACCACCATCAGAGTGAACAGGCAACCTACAAAATGGGAGAAAATTTTCACAACCTACTCATCTGACAAAGGGCTAATAACCAGAATCTACAATGAACTCAAATGAATTTACAAGAAAAAAACAAACAACCCCATCAAAAAGTGGGCAAAGGATATGAACAGACACTTCTCAAAAGAAGACATTTACACAGCCTAAAAACACGTGAAAAAATGCTCATCATCACTGGCCATCAGAGAAATGCAAATCAAAACCACAATGAGATCCCATCTCACACCCGTTAGAGTGGCGATCATTAAAAAGTCAGGAAACAACAGGTGCTGGAGAGGATGTGGAGAAATAGGAACACTTTTACACTGTTGGTGGGACTGTAAACTAGTTCAACCATTGTGGAAGTCAGTGTGGCAATTCCTCAGGGATCTAGAACTAGAAATACCATTTGACCCAGCCATCCCATTACTGGGTATATACCCAAAGGATTATAAATCATGCTGTTATAAAGACACATGCACACGTATGTTTATTGCAGCACTATTCACAATAGCAAAGACTTGGAACCTACCCAAATGTCCAATAACGATAGACTGGATTAAGAAAATGTGGCACATATACACCATGGAATACTATGCAGCCATAAAAAATGATGAGTTCATGTCCTTTGTAGGGACATGGATGAAACTGGAAACCATCATTCTCAGCAAACTATGACAAGGACAAAAAACCAAACACCGCATGTTCTCACTCATAGGTGGGAACTGAACAATAAGAACACATGGAAACAGGAAGGGGAACATCACACTCCAGGGACTGTTGTGGGGTGGGGGGAGGGGGGAGGGATAGCATTAGGAGATATACCTAATGCTAAATGATGAGTTAATGGGTGCAGCACACCAACATGGCACATGTATACATATGTAACAAACCTGCACATTGTGCACATGTACCCTAAAACTTAAAGTATAATAATAATAAAATAAAATAAAATAAAATAAAATAAAATAAAAAGAATTCCATTAACACTGTGTGAACTAACCAGACATATTTCTCTAAAAGAAAATCAAGACACTGTTTACCAGGAGAAAGGAGAGTAGATCCTGGGCAGATAACATGATATACATGTCAAAAAATAAGATAACCCATGGATAAGAGAGATTTAGAAAAAACGTGCTTGGGGAGCTTCATAGGGTAGAAAGATCTTACCCAGTTAGGGAAAAATCATTAAAAAAATTCATTGAGAAGTTGGATTTTGTTCACCAAATGCACTCTCCTGTCTCAACATAGCAAAGTCTGTCTTCATGGTCTCTCCTCTTCAAGCATTCAATGCATGTATGAGCTACACTGGATTCTCATGATCACAGCATAATTCAAAGAAAATGTATGTGGATGTGTGGATGTAGCAAATCATTAGTGCTGGGTGTTTGCTTAGATCCTGTTGATGCTATTTTCAGGTGAATAATTGCTAATTTAATTCTTGCTGGGAGAACAACATTACACTCAAATTCCTGTATGTGGGGGAAAAAAGAAAACAAGGCACTAATGACTAGACAGACTCAGGTTTCTATGGCAACATATTGCTCTTAAGGCTCAAGTGGAATATTAAAATAATGGTTCATTAGGTGGCACAGGTTTATTTTCTATTATAGTATATACGCAATATATAGTGCATCAGTAATGTAGTACTTGATTTATGGTCTCTAATATAACCTCTATAGCAGTGACAATTTTTTTTCACCATTTTACCACATAAAGAATTATTCAAGGTTGTAGCTATATTATTATTAATCTATTCATATCTTTTTGCCTCTATGTAGCTGAATGTATATCTCTACCTCTTTATCCATCTCTCTATCTATGTCATGGCCATGGATATCTGCCCTGCATCTAGTAAATGTAAAAATTCCATAGAGGAGGGGAGCAACTCTCTGTGTGAGTATATGAATGTCTGTCGGTGAATATTCAATGGCCCTGACATTCAAAAAACTCTCTGGGATCTTGCATCTCACTACTTCATTCTCCTGCATCCAGATAGGATCATTCAAGTCTCTTCAAGAATGCTCTTTGTTTTTTATTCTGAAAGCCATTAATCTAGCTATATTCTCTTCCTGGAAGATTCTTCCATCCATCACTCCTTTGCTTGTTGAGAGTCTACGCATTCTTCAAGGGCCAGTTGAAATACTCCATTCTCTGTCCTTTCAGACCTTCCTTAAAGGCTTGATCAGAAATAACTAACCCTTTTTCTGCAGGATAAAGGTCTTCATTTGTATTTTGTTGATGGCCCTATTAGATTGATCTACTGGCCCCAGTGTGGATTAATATTAGAGACACTTCTCAAACACTTGATTTTTTTGTTTGAATCTTTCTCCTCACCTATAATAAATAGCACTGAAATCAGACAGCTCTGATTCTACTTCCTTTTCAACTTATTACCTGTGTGTTCTTGAGAAAGAGAGATAACTTCCCTAAGCCTCAATTTTATCATTTATAAAAATGGTTTAAACAATAGATCCTATATGATATTGTTGTTGTAAAGATTAAATGAAATGCAAATCGATGTTGATGATGATGATGATAGTAATGACAATAATGTAGAGAATGAAAATAACTATACTGGTTTAGATATGCTTGAGTATTGAAAGAAAATTAAAATTTTATAAATAGTGAGTGCAGGGGACACACATAGCTCAAAAAAGCAGTAAATAGTATGTTAATGCCCCGAAGAGAATGAATGCATGACCAAAAATTCACTGAGCATTTATTAATCCTTTCTATGAGCTAGCCTCTGGGGAAAATTAAATACAGAGAATACTTAATATCCTGCAAAATTAAGTTCTGTTTTCTAGCTTGGAACATAAGCATGACTAGTATTCTGCTAGCATCTTGAGAATTTTCTTCCTATGATTTTCCTAGATTTTACAGTTCTCTCATATCGCTATATTTTATATTTTTCCACTCACAATTTCCTTTCATTGGAATGTTTTTCTTTGTTTTCTTCACCATTCTATCCCCTAATGTTTCCTCAAGATTTTGCTCAATAATTGTGTCTTACCTCCTCTAGCAAAGTTTTTCTCTGATCCACCATCCTCTAAGGTTTGGTCAAAATAACCACAAACAAGCAAAAAACCAAGTCTCCCTTTTCGCTCCTATAGTTGCTTGTGCAGGTCTGTCACTACACTTTTGTCTCTGGATTTTAATTAATAGAATGTACTTGATTTTTCATGCCAAAAAAAAAAAGTTAGAATTATTTCTTTATCTCTACAACCTTAGCATTTAATACAGTGCCTGTCACTTAATACGAACTCAATAAAAAATAATTACATAAATGCATGTAACATTTATTAGTGTTATTTGACACAAATGGTATACTAGATTATGCTTGGTAAATAATCACTCTCACCCTCTTCACCTTCATGGGAGAAATGTATTTCTTTGCCCCAGCAACAGTAGCCCTGGCCATGATGTAATTTAGATGTTAGTGGACACGACACAAGCAAAGGCTAGAAATGTGCTTGTGCGCTTGGCTCTTTTTTTTTGTTTTTTATTTTTTGAGGCGGAGTCTCACTCTGTTGCCCAGGCTGGAGTGTGGAGTGCAATGGTGTGATCTCAGCTCACTGCAAGCTCCGCCTCCCGGGTCATGCCGTTCTCCTGCCTCAGCCTCCCGAGTAGCTGGGACTACAGGTGCCCACCCCCACGCCCGGCTAATTTTTTTGTATTTTTAGTAGAGACAGGGTTTCACCGTATTAGCCAGGATGGTCTCGATTTCTCGACCTCGTGATCTGCCCGCTTCGGCCTCCCAAAGGGCTGGGATTACAGGTGTGAGCCACCGCACCCAGCTGCGCTCCGCTCTTTTTGTGCATTCCTTCCTTCTACCATGAGAGGAATGTGAGTTAGGCAGCTATCAGTTTTAAGGAGAAAGAGAGAGACATGAAGAGCAGCTCTATATCTACTCAGAGGTGGGATTGTCACACTTGTTGGATTGCTGTTATCAAAACAAACAAGCAAACAAACAAAAACAAAAGATGACAACTATTGTTGAGGATTCAGAGAAATTGGAACGCTTATACACTGTTGGTGGAACGTAAAATGGTGCAGCCATTATGGAAAACAGTAGGGAAGTTATACACACACATACACACACACAAAACAAAACAAACAAAAAAACAGAAATACCATATAATCCACCAATATCACTTTTGAGTATTTATTCAAAAGAATTAAAATCAGGATCTTGAAGAGACATTTGAACTCTCATGCTCATTGCACTACAATTATATGCATAAGTTGGAATGTTGTTCCACCTTAAAAAGAAGGAAACCTTGTCATATTTGGTAACGTGGGAGCACCTTGAGGACATTATCCTAAGTAAAATATTCCAGTCACAGAAAGGCGTATATGGCATGATATCACTTATATGAGTTATTTAAAATATTCAAATTCAGAGGAGAGAATCACGGAGTGAAATGTTTCCAGGGGCTGGGAGGAGGGGTAGATGGGGAGCTGATATTCCATGGATATAACGTTTTAGTTAAACATGATAAAATTAAGTTCTAGAGACTCGCTGTACAACATTGTGCCTACAGTCAACAATACTGTACTGTACACCTAAAACAATCTTAAAAGGATAGATCTCAGGTGAAGTGTTCGTATCACAATAAAAAAGAATAAATCAGAATTTTTTCTTTTAAAAACCCACAAAGGTTTTGAGAAACCCACATTTATCCTGACTAAAAGAAAAGAGACTGAGACAGAAACTGAGAGAGACTGACACTGTTGATATAAAAATAGCTCTGGTATCGTAACTTTCTACAAGGAAGAAGCAGGCTGAGAAATATGCTCACATACCAAAAGGATATATTCTTTAATTCCGTCTTCAGAAGCGACCAAGGAGGAGGATTTCTCACACAGTAAAACCATGAACCATGGAGAACAGTGGACTGAGGAGTCACTTCCAGAAATCACAAGGAGATCTAATCAAAGAACCAGGCACGGTTTGCCCAGTGAGATTTCAGCATTGCCCAGAACTGTTTACAGCTATGTACCTCCCATTCTCCTTGTGTTTGTTGTGGTTATCCTGTCCATGTCCCAATACTATGTGTCAAATGTAAGTAGGGCAAACACCTTGTCTTTTTATTCATTAGTCACTCTACCAAGAGATGGTGCAAAATGCGTTTAATGTATGATTCTGGATTTGAGTACGCCCTGATTCAATGAGGTTAGGAAGACATCTTAGGGTTGTATCAGTGTATTTTGTAGGTATAGATAATGTGAATATTTATCATTTTAGTGGATACCATGCTGCCCTACCCCCTCAGGCAGGACCACAGTACTCAGTTTCTTCCATAAGGACTGTTGCCTCCTGATGGCTCACAGCTGAGGCTCTTCCAAAAAATTACCATCAGCGTAGGGAAGCTGCCTCACCAAGTACACATCCCTTCCCCACTTAAGATAGCCGCATTGCTTCAACTAGAGACAAATCTAAAGAGTCATTTTAGGTCGGGCACAGTGGCTCATGCCTGTAATCCCAGCACTTTGGGAGGCCGAGGCGGGCTGAATACAAGGTCAGGAGATCAAGACCATCCTGGCTAACATGGTGAAACCCCATCTCTACTAAAAATACAAAAAAATAGCCAGGCATGGTGGCAGGCGCCTGTAGTCCCAGCTACTTGGGACGCTCAGGAGAATGGTGTGAACCGGGGAAGCAGAGCTTGCAGTGAGCAGAGATCGTGCCACTGCACTCCAGCCTGGCTGACAGAGCGAGACTCTGTCTCAAAAAAAAAAAAAAAAAAAAAAAAAAAAACGGTCATTTTAGACCCAGACTTCCCTACTGGATCAGCTGAAGTCTCATTTGAATTTCATCACCCTTCATCGTCTTTTTCTAACCCTACTTCCTTCATTCACATACATGTCATAACTGAGAGTACTGCTAACAAATTTCCTCTAAGAATAATGTCTATATTATGGTGAGTTGCCAGAAAACACAATCAAAGAAAGTTGGATCCAGGAGTGGTCTAAGAAAGCAGAATGTAGAATGAGATGTTAGATCTGGATCAGTCATCTACTGACTGACAATGAAGATCCAGTCACTAGTGGCAGGGGGAGTGTGGATAACCCTTGGCATGCTGGAGCAGTACAACTTGAAACATTTTTACAGCTGATGTACTGGGATAGAATAACTGTAGGAAGGAATGTTCTGGCAAGTGAATATATCTCAGGCACTTGAGAAGTTCAGTGGAAAGTGGAACACCTTGAATGGAAAGAGAAGTGGGTTGAACACACATCTTCATGGGTACTTGTGAATTGTTCAACTTGCTCATTAAGCACAAATTGGGAAAATCTTAGTATCACATTTGTATGCAACATAGAGAGTGTTTATCAGGCAGGAGGTATTAAATAACCAAGAAAAGAGGTAATGTGGCCAGCTAGACCAGCTAACACGGTGGACACCTGAGTGGAATAGCCATGGTGGCAGGCATAGAAGCCATTCATGGGGAACTGAGCATAGCTACCTTTTACTGTGGCTCATTTAGCTACTACTGCCACCCAGTATTCAACCTGCCAGCAACAAATACAAATGATGAGACTCCAGACGGCACCTTCTCTCAAGATGACCAATTAAATACTTGATGGAACGTTGATTACAATGGGAAAGGGAGGCGAGTAATTGTTTTTGTGTTTGTTTGTTTGTTTTTGAAACAGAGCAACCCCCTGTTGATCAGGCTGGAGTGCTGTGGCGTGATCTCAGCTTACTGCAGTCTCAATCTCTTGGGCTTAGGTGATCCTTCCACCTCAGACTCCCAAGTAGCAGGGACTGCAGGCATGTGCCACCATGCTAGGATAATTTTTGTACTTTTTGTGGAGATGGTGTTTCACCATATTACCCAAGCTGGGTGAATGATTTTGACTTGAATTTACACATATTCTGAGTATGAGTTCATATTTTCTCCCTTAAGGGCCTCAGTCAGCAAAATTTTCCAAGAACTTATAGATGGTTTGGTTCACTAGCATGTGAAGCTGCATAACACCACATTGGATCAAGGGTCCCCACCTTTAGCTCACCGAAGGTGAACATAGGTACATGTTTCACTGGCTACATCACATACTATACATCACCCCAAATCTATCAGCCTTATAAAGAGATGGCATAGCTAGGATGCTATCCTGGAGATACTACTCTGTGATGATGAAATACCACCCTCCAGGAAGGAGTGTAAACTTGCATCAACCATCATTATATGGTACTTCATCCCCAAAAGGTAAAGTATACATATTCATAAACCAAGAGGTGAAATAGGAGTGGCTCAGCACTTTGGGCCACATTAGACACTTTGGAAATGAGTATTTCCAGTCCTAGTCATTCTATGCTCTGTTAACACTAGAGATCATCATTCTCATTGGTTAATGCCTCTCTCTGGAGTACAATAAGAGCCGCCATGACACTTTATGCAGTGGCTGTGGCTTGATAAGTACAAGTCCCTGTGACAAGAGACAGTCAGGTAAAGAGTCATCATCCTGGCAGAAGTAATTGACCCGAGTCACCAGAAGGAGGTAGTTATGTTGCTAGACAATGGGGTAGGGACACATACATTTGTCATCTAATTGATTCACAGGTCCATCACATACCCAACTTTGATTGTAAATGGAGAAGCACAGCAGCCATGGCTTGAGGAAGATAAAATGACCATGAGCTCAGACTCCTCAGGAATGAGTGTCTGGTTGACTACAGCAGGTAAGTCACCTCAAACAGCAGAAGTGCTAGCAGATAATGTGGGAAGTCTAGAATTGGTAGCAGAAGAAAGAGATAAAAAAATAGTTGTTGCTGTACTAGACAAACTATTCACTTTTTTTTCTGTAAAATTTCTCAAGAATAAAGATAAACTAGTATTCTCAAGGATTTGTTCCCAGGTAAGCAAACTTACTGGAAGGAAATGGATGTGATTGATTCAACGGGTGCTGTTCTCCACTGCTCCAATTTTTTGAAACAGAACACTCCTAGCTTATAATTCGCAGCTAAGTCCCTCCACAGGACTCTTCCTCAGCCTAGGGAAGCTGCCCCATGTAAGTGTGCATTGCCTTTTTCCAGGGACAGCTCTAATCCAAATGGCTAGTCAGTTCAGTGGCACAAAAGTCTAGCCTCTATGCCTCACCTGGGTCAATTCAAACTTAAGTTTTCCTTATACTATGAGCTGAGGACTCTTTTGTAACATCATCGCAGTTTTCTCTTACATTCCAATACTGCTTCTGACTTCTCTCATAGGTTTTATTCCTGAGAGCACTCCCAACAAACTATTCACATCCATATCAATGTATGTATCAGACTTTTTCACAAGGAAAGAAGAGGGCAATTGTTAGAGATTTGTTATATCATCATTAGATGTTAGAGAATTGTTATATCATCATTCAGTAAATAATTACCTCTTCCTTGTTACTTTCTTGGAAGGAGTATATATTCTTACCCTATTGATGTTGGACTTGGTCAAGTGATTTACTTTGGCCAATGAATCTTTATGGGTGTGATATAAGCAAATGATTGAAATTTGTTTATATCTTTGCTCTGGGATGTTAATCTATGGGAAATCGGAAACACATGGGGTAGATCAAGACCTAATATGAGCTTGGAACCAAGCCTAGTTAAGTCTAGCTTAAATCAGCCAAACCCCAGATGAAACCACAGGTGCAAGAGCAAGAAAATATTATACTACACTGACTGTTGTGTTGCTTTGTTAAACAACATTATTTTACATACAGCTAACCAATACACTCATTGTTTCCAGTTTTCCCTCATTTTGGACATGGTAGGATAGTTGCTCCTGACCCTATCATGTTGGTTGAAACAATGTGACTAATTACAGCAATTGAGTTGAGAGAAGTCCATGCGTCAAGGATGGTATATGCGTTTGTCTGCTGTCCTGAAATCCTTTAGGATTTTCTCTTATCTTTGACACAGTGGTTGGCAACCTCCAAAATGATGGCTGTTTTACTAGCTTAGGTATCTCAGCAAATATAACTAAGAGAATCCCCTTCTGACTCATGATGGACAGGTACCATGACAAATAAACCTTTGCCATTTTAATCTCCTTGGATTGTGGGTGTTTTGTTATGGCAGAATAATCTAGACTATCCTGACTAATAAATTAAATGGATTAATAAATTAAATGGATGCTTCTGTGATCAGATGAGTGCATGACCCCATGAATAAATGAAGGACATGGCCCCTGACATACACTCACTGTTGTGGGAAAGACCAATTCATCATGATCCAGCTCACATTCCAAGTCCTTGAGAAAGCCTCAATATCCTGATGATGATGATGATGATGATGATGATGATGATGGTGATGATTGCTGCTGCTGCTGATGGTCATGGTGATGATGGTAATTATTATGTGATGGCTCAGAGTAATTACTGTCTTCTAGGAATAGTTCTAAGTGCTTTACATTTATTGACTGATTTTTCATAAAAAATCTCACAAATAAGTTATTAATTTCCCTATTTGCCAGAAGAAGAATCTGAAACACAGGAGAGTTATCTTAGTCTGTTTTGTGCTGCTATAACAAAATACCTGAGATTGGGAAATTCATAAAGCACATAATTTTTTTTCTCACCCTTCTGGAGGCTGTGAAGTTCAAGATCAAGGGACCAGCAGCTTCTGTTGTCTAATTAGGGCTACTCTCTGTTTCCAAGATGGTGCCTTGTTGCTGCATTTCATACACTGTGTCCTCATACAACAGAAAGAGTAAGGGCAAGCCAGTCAACTGCTGTATGAAACCTCTTTTATAAGGACCTTAATCTCATGAATAAGAGGAGGAGCCCTCATTATATAATCACCTCTTAGGGGCCCCACGTTTTAGTACCATCAAAATGGCCATTGCATTTTAACATCTGTTGGAAGGGGCACATTCAAACCATATGAGGGGTCAAGTAACTTACATGAAAGTCACACTGTTAATCTTTGACAGAGCCAATATTTGAGCTCAGGCTCTCTGATTTAGAGTCTGCATAGCTTATACATTTATTTCAGTCTCACAACCAAATTTTGCAGCAGATATTATTCCCAACTATAGAGGAGTCAATTGAGGCTTAGAGAAATTAAATTACTTGCCCTATTTCAAATAATTTGTATATAGCATTTGTATAGATTGCTGCATAACAAACTATTCCAAAACTTAGTGCTTAATTCAACAGTAATCAATTATTTCACTCATGAATCTGTCTATAATTAGAACTCACGGAACTCAAGTACTGTGATGGGCCTGACATTTTATCCTACTTGTAAGGTAACAAGATAGCCTGCTACAGCTTCACAGATGTTGTCAGAAGACATAAGCACCCCCTAGCATGGAGACAAAGGACTATACATAGCACAGAAATCAGCACGAGGTTTTATATTTACATTGGTTCCTTTCCCTCTCATGTCTCATGGTGTATTAGTCCATGCCCACACTCCTATAAAAAACTACCTTAGACTGGGTAATTTATAAATAAAAGAGGTTTAATTGACTTATAGTTCCACATGGCCGGGGAGGCCACAGGAAACTTACAATCATGGTGGAAAGCTAAGGGGAAGCCGGTAACTCTTCTCATGTCAGAACGGGAGAGAGCGCAAAAGGGGAAGCACCACTCACTTATCAAACAACCAGATCTCATGAGAACTCTATTAAGAGAATAGTGAGAGGGAAGTCTGCCCTCACGACTC
Organism: Homo sapiens; assembly: GCF_000001405.40. Lineage (NCBI taxonomy): Eukaryota > Metazoa > Chordata > Mammalia > Primates > Hominidae > Homo > Homo sapiens. The sequence continues at coordinate 131,279,071 of NC_000008.11, forward strand.
AATCACTTCCCACCAGGTCCCTCCTGTGACAAGTGGGGATTACAATTTGAGGTGAGATTTGGGTGGGGACACAGAGCCAAACTATATCACACGGTGTTTATGTTGAGTGCTCCAGGATGATGTTATAAACACAGAGGGTTTGCATCACAGTGGAGGAACCTTGAACTTAAAAAACCTGGATCTTTTAAAAAAGGATGCACGTAAACATGCCCTCTGCTCTGCAGGGAGACTCTCTCTATCTTTCAAGGCTATTCACTATACAAACATGCTTTAAAAGTTCAGAACAAAATGGCAATTAGGGCATCACTTTCAAGATAAGCAGAAATGTGAAAGACCATGAAGAATTGTTGTAAAACACAGAGATCTTTCATCCCTACTCCACATGGAATTAAGTTGGGCCCCTTGACTGAGGGCTGGAGGATCCTTTGTCAAGGTGGTTCACTCACGTGACTGGCAAGTTGATGTTGATTATTGTCTGGGAACAGCAACTGCAGTGGAGCAGCAATTTAGCTTCCTCCAAAGTTTATCTCTGCATGGGTTGTTTGGGCTTACTCATGAATGCTGACTAGGTTGAGTTCTGGATTTAGAAATCATACAGCATCATTTCCACTGTACTCACAAGTCCATCCCTACTTAATGTCTTGATAGCAGGAGTACTAAAATCACAATGCAAGAGAAACATGCAGGATGGGAGATATTGTGGCCCTTTTTCTTTTGAAAATGCAATCTTCTGTAACATCTATTAATGTAATAGCCATGTGTTGAGCATCTATTACATTCCACACAGTATGCTAGTTGGTGAAGAATGACAAAATCACTGGTTAATGAGTTCCCCATTTAGTGGAGAAAAGAGAGGCCCAAAGAATTACAGTTAATACTAAATGGTGTGTTCAATAACAGATAAACATAGGTAACACAGGCACACAGTACAGGGATATGAGTCCAGTCTAAGAAGGAAGTCAATCATTCTGATTCTGAAACCAGCACTGGCCCTCAGTACTTAATTTATCATTACCTTTTTGTACTTACGACATCTCATGTTGCATTTACCTGGACATACGTCTTATTACCCATCAGATTATGAGCCAAACAATAATACCATTTCTTGAGCCATTATTTGTTTGACAGACAATATACTAAACATTTTATTCAGGATATATCATTTGTTCCCTTACAATAAACCCAAAGGGGCAGATAAAATTACACTATTTAAAAAATGAAGAATCAAGTTTCTAGAAAGAGAAGTTATTAAAACTTTTAAGTAGCAGACCTTGAATTAGTTCTCAAGTCTTTCAGTTTCCAACACTTATACCTACAACCACTACATTGTGCTGTGCTATGATGATCTTTATGTCACAATAACTAAAATATTAGTGCATAAATATCAGCATGTCCCTTTCCCTGTCCTTTAAAAGAAAGAGTTCTATTTTGCATTTATTGTATCTGTGCTTTATTATGAAATTGGTCAAGGTAATAGATGAAGCTGGGAGTCAAGAGAGGCTAGATTGGTTTGCATTGGAAAGGGCAGACTGTCACATACATATTAAAAGGAAAAGGAAATAGGAAGGAGAGCGTAGAGACTAACTACCAATATATGAGTTGTATTTAGAGAATTTTATAAAGTTTGAAGAGGAGAGTCAAAGAGTAATAGGAAAGATAATTTAGGTCATTTTACTGTGGTCTGAGCCATGTAACGTCTTCTTGATTTTTTTACAGAAAAATACCAGCAATATTCAATTGATTTCCAATTACTTTGGATGCCAAACTTGTTTCTTCTTACATCATTCAGAGGTGTAAAGTCCACAAAGCACCTCAGTTTTATTGGGGTTCTATTTGCTTCAGATCATTTCAGATCCAGAAACACCCACTAAGTTGCTTCTATGAACAAGTCACAGTGCTAGGTGCTGGGTATTACATAGACCTAAAGAAAACATGACTTTGTTAGTAACTTTACAGTTCTTTGAGGTGGAACCAATAATAAATAATTGTAGTGTATGCAATATTGAGGAAAACACAGGAGATTGTGAGGCCAGAGAGGATAGACACATATGACTATGTGCAGGTGGTGAGTGTGGGGTTGCTACAGAAAGGTCTAGTATGTTGCCTGATGCTTTCCATATTCAGAGCATTGATCATATCTAAATTGCTTTGAAATGGGAAGGAAGGTTAGAGGGAGACTTACCAAGTGAACTTGATATCAGAGAGCACCTTAAGCAAAAGGGAAGGTTTAGTTCATAATTTGCTCATTCCTACTGAGGAAATTAGGGCAAGTGTCTTATCCAAACTGATTCTGCAACCCAGCAACGGAGAGAGTCTAGCTGGGCAGGTTCATTAGGTTACATGCCAAGCGCATATTAATAAGCCTATCTCTGCAAAGCTTCCCATGGAAGTGAGCTTCCCACTATGCATTAAGAGGCAGGCCACACTATAGCTAAGTATGTGTCTGAACTGATTTGCTGTCTGGGATACTTTCTTGGGTAGCTCTTTAACATAACCCAACAATACTTTTAAACTTTGTTATGTGAATTCCAGACTCTTATTTAGTCTTTGGGATCACAGTTGTTTTGTTGATTGTTTTCTTCTTGAAGAATAGCCAACAGGCTTTATTCATTTTGTATCTCTGGAACTCTGTGTGGACACTGATACTGGTTTAGGGAATAAAAATGACGTTCCAATCTGTGAAGTGGGTATTTTCTTCACTACTGTTTCCATTGTATAAATGAGGGAGCAAAGTCTCAGAGAGGTCAGGCTCTTCAACTACAGGGTGAGTGTTGGTATTTTGGTTCAAATTCTGTGATCTTATAAAGTCCATATATTTTCTATAATTAAACTTTATCTCAATATGCTTCCTGAATTAGGCTAAATAAATAGTAGGTCTTTCAACTTTTTTATTTTCAATCAGTTGGCCCTGTTAGTTCACTTCTTAGCTATCTGATACAAAAACAAAATAATCAATTAAGATACGGACTATATCTGACATTGAATAACTCCATTACATGTTAAGTTAAAAAATTATTGTGTATGCAGGCATGTTAAACATGGCTACTTTTTTGTAAAATACAGTATGTGTGTATGTGTGTGTGGGTGTGTGTGCTTGAATTCCTGAAGGCTATATATAAAAAATGTTAGCAATGTTTACCTGTGAATGGCAGAATCACAGGTAACTTACCTTTCTTTTTATTTTTTTTTTCTGAATCATTTGTTTTTTGGAACAACTCCTATGTTTTACTTTTATAAACATATAAAACAGTAAAGTTATTTCCATCTTAGAAAGATAAATCTCTTGTACATATTTGATACTTTGTTATTTGGATTTCAGTGCTATAGAAAAGCCTGGGGATTAGGGAAAACTAACAAAGCTGGTTGAAATGAAACAAACAAAAGCTGAGTGAGGTTCCTAGTACCCCAGCTCTAATAGATCAGTGTTTGTGTCCACCTGTGTCCAGGTGTAATTTCTGATGAGCCCTGGTCTCTGGTTCAACATCTTGTTGCATTTGTGTAGTCTCTTACAGTTTACAAGGTCTCTGATCTTCTTTTTCAACAAACACACTCTGTATAAGCAAGAAGGTCAGGCATTGTTTTCTTTTCCTTCCCCATGTCCCCATTCTGCTGTATTTAGGCCAAGGAAGTAAAATTCAAAGAGGCTGTTACTTGCTAAGTCCTATACTGAGTTGAGTTATGGCATGAGGAGCAGTGCTGAGAGACAGACAATAAATATTATGAATCATCATAACTACTGTCTTTGCCATTTATTTTATCTTCCCCAGCTCCCCCAGGAGAACTAGATACTCCCACCTCTAACAAAAATTACACATACCTCCAACCCTAATATAGCATTTGCTTACATGCATCTCCTTGAGGGAAGACAGTATTTCAATTTCATACTGCTTATGTCAGAATCCGGCACACAGCAAGTTCCCAACACACAATTACTGAATAAATAAACAGCTTCTATCCTGGAGGCCCATCGTACAAAAGTAATTATGAAAAATAAAGAAAGAAAAGGACCCCTTTATTAATATTATGGAGTTCCAGGAGATGAGGGGGTGCAAGTTGGTCTCTGGACCCCCTCATAAACTCCAAATTATAGCAATTTCTACATCTGTCCTGGTATGCTGGAGCTGGCTCTTATCACCTCACAGAGCTGATAACTAAAATTTTGAAGACTTCCGTGAGCCATTTGACTCACACTGGTAACTTGAAATTGACCATAGTGGAAGTACTTACACTGCAGGAACTGGCAAATGGTACAAATCAGGATTTTTTGTTGTTGTTAGTTCCTGGACCAAGGGCTTCAGTGCTGTCTTTGTCTCCTCATGCCATAAACCTCATGCCACTTTCATGGAAAACTGACACACCAGGAGTATTGGGAAGGCAAGGCAGAGTTAGGGGGAAGTGACTTGTTCTAGCTTACTCCATGACTTCAATAGGGCAAAAAGAGGATTTTAACCCTCAATTCCTTCGCCAGTATTTTTTCTTCAACACCACCATATTAGAAGGGCTTAGACAGGCCAGGCATGGTGGCTCACACCTGTAATCCCAGCACTGTGGGAGGCTGAGGTGGGTGGATCACCTGAGGTCAGGAGTTTGATACCAGCCTGGCCAACATGGTGGAACCCCATCTCTACTAAAAATTCAAAAATTAGCCAGGTGTGGTGTTGTGTGCCTGCAGTCCCAGCTAATTGGGAGTCTGAGGCAGGAGATTCGCTTAAATCTGGGAGGCAGAGGTTGTAGTGAGCTAAGATCACACCACTGCACTCCAGCCTGGGTGAGAGAACAACACTCCATCTCAAAAGAAAAACAAAAACAAAACAAAGAAGAGCTTAGACACTCTTCAATAAAGGCCAACTTCTTCCCCTGCTTGAGTGGATGTTACCCTCTGGGGTAACATTATCTTAACAGGAATGAATGCTTCCACCCTGACCTCTGCCAGGGAGCTGAGGTAGCCACAAAAGAGCTGACTGCTTTGAGGAACATGAGGAAGATGACAATGATAGTGCTGATGGCAGTGTTTATTATGTGCTGGGCCCCATGCTAGGTGTGTCCATGTACGATGTAATTTAATTCTCATAGCAACACTACAATAACAATAATGACTAGTATCTGTTCATTAGTATTTTACATGCTAGTTTTTATGTCAAACTCTACAGGTGACAAGCAATCTCTGCCCTGTTAGATCCCATAGTCTAGGTGCAGTTAATCACAGAACATCACAGTCTGCTCAGCCTATACCTAAGCAATAATAACAAGAAAAACAAAAAGAGTAAACGGTTGCTTATTATTTACCAGATGTTGTTCCAGGCATTTTACATGTATTATCTCATTTAACCTTTCCCTATGGGTGAGCTATCATTATTATTCCCATTTTAGAGATAAGAAAAATGAGACACAGAAAGACTAAGACTGCATTTTTCACCACTATACTTTGCTATTCATAAAACAGAAATCCTTGTTTTGTAAATAAAGAAACTGAGATACAAAAAAATAAAGTAAGTTTCCTCAAAGCCACACAGCTAAAAGTGACAGAGATGGGATTTAGCCCAGGACTCTGGTTTCAGAGAAGGGATTCTCTTAATAGTATTTATGATGGAGCCGATGATGGTGACAGAGAAAATCATGCCATCCCTCTAGTAACAAGGGCTCCTCATGTGGAAATAGTCTCAGATGAGTCAGATATTATTAATTACTTCTCACAGACAATAAGTCAAGTCCCATAGTCAGAGTCATAAAGCCAGTTATGTAGAGTCAGAGACCCCAGCCCCAACCTCAGAACTGTCTTCACATCCTTGTGCCCTTTTCTGCTTTCCCATGAACTGTCCTCTCAGGAGGATGCCTGTCACAGACCCTTGGATTACTGGTCTGCTTGATAGCATTTCTTGAATATAAACTGGCCAGGATGTAGGAGTCTCAAATTAGGGGCCATGGTTTCTTGTCATTTCTGGTTTGATCTTAGGCCTGCCTGTTCCCTTCCTGGATTTCCATTTTCTGAAGGTAAAATGATGTGCATTGGGGAACAGACCTAATGATCCCAAAGGTGCTTTTTAAAGTTGATATTACCTTCTAAGTTTAGCTGGGAAAATAAGAGTTTTCTGAGAAAGAGTCATACTCTATAGCTTTGGATGGGAAAGTGCCTTATGACATGAGATGTGGGAGAATTAAGAAATCAGCCAAGCATCACTGAGTAGGCTGTGAATGGAAGAATGCTGGCAGATCTTCAGGGACACAGTAATTAAGCAGAAGCAGATGAAAGTTCTAAAAGAGACATCAACAAAAACTAGTGCTGTGGCTGGGTGCAGTGGCTCATGCCTGTAATCCCAGCACTTTGGGAAGCCGAGGCAATGGATCACCTGAGATCAGGAGTTCGAGACCAACCTGGCCAACATGGTGAAACCCTGTCTCTACTAAAAATACAAACATTAGATGGGCGTGGTGGCAGGCACCTGTAATCCCAGCTACTCGGGAGGCTGAGGCAGCAGAATCACTTGAATCCAGGAGGCAGAGGTTGCAGTAAGCCAAGATTGCGCCACTGCACTCCAGCCTGGATGACGTGTGAAACTCCGTCTCAAAACAAACAAACAAACAAACAAACAAACAAACATTAGTGCTGTGCCTGATAGCCTCTAAGAGACCTGCTCAAAGATTTGTAGATAAGGGAAACGTGCCTAGAGCCTAGGAGATAGAGAATTACTATAGGGCAATTAATGTGAAAGAAAACATTAAATAAGACTACAGTAGTACAATGAAGTGATATTGGAGAACATTAAAATCACAGACTCCTTCTTTCACAAAGTTTTATCAATTGTGAGGAACAAGTGAGAGTTTAGGAAAACCCTCATGGCCTTTGCTGAACCCTCATCCCAGTAACGGAGACAGAACTTCAGAGTTCTCCAGCTGTTTTGTTTTCCAGTTTACAGTACAGTGGAACTACTGCTTTAGAATTTGGCATCACTTGTTGGGGATATGAGTGGCAGTGCCTGAGAATTAATCTAATACAGAGAAAAAAGTTAGAGCTGAGAAATCCATTAAGATGTAAAGCATCATTTGAGGTCCTGGACATAGCTATTCTTAAAGCCGTACTTCCTCTTATAGGGCTAGTCAATACCTCTCATTTCTATTATGCCTTAAGTCTCTTGGGTTATTTACCTTTTATTTGCAAGAAGAAGAGTCCTGGCACCTAATACAAACTAATAATTTTATGTACATATCTATACATGCATGTGTACATTGAAAAAGTCTAGAAAAAATAGCACCCCCACAAAACAAACACTGCATTACCTAAATCTTGATTTCTCAATACTATCACCCAACAACAAAAAAAAGCCAGAGATCCTTACAGGAATGGCTGATTCTAGGTTTGAGGTGGAAAAGTACAAGGTAAACTAGATTTTTTTTTTTTTTTTTTTTTTTTTGCCAGAAATCAAGAAAGAACTCAAAGACTGATGAGTTGCATCCAGCACACACAGGAGCAGAGGGAAGGGGTTCCCACTGGCTAATTTTTGGAAATGTAAGCACAAAAAAAAGATTATAATTTATTGTAGTGCATTTAATTTTTTATAATTTATAAATGTATAATATGAGAGAGGTGGAGTAAGGGAGAGAGAAACAAAAGGGTAAAAAAAAAAACAAAAAAAACCTGTCCTATACAGAAGAATGTCAGCTTACATATGTAGAAGAGATTACAGAATTAGAAAAACAAGTCATTTTAATTAATTTAAGCAATGATCATCAATGGAATTATGACCTGTTTCTACTCACAAAACTTTTTATATCAAATGTGTGGGTTTTTCCACACCAACAACCCTTCTCTAACCTCTCAGCACTAAGTGGGTGTTCAATAATTCAATACAGTTCCTACACCAACTACCTAGAGTTAGCGTCAAGCCTCATAGGTGAAAGCCTCAGTCTCTCAAGACTGCTCCTATTTCAAACGCCAAGAGTGAGTCCTGGGGACTCTCCTGCTTCTGACTGACTAGCTGTAAATCTAGGGTTCCCACAATTCTCTCCTTGGTTTTGATAATTTGCTAGAGCACCTCACATAACTCAGGAAGTTACTTCATTTTTATTTGCTAGTTTATTATAAAGAAACAGCCAAATGAAACAGAAGCATAGGAGAAGGGAAGGGAGAATGCAATATCACAGAAATAAAAAATCATTAAATAAAAAGTTGTAGGGGAAACAGATATTCCATGATGCCAAAAGACCCCTACCTCCTTTGCCACCCCAGGAAATCTCGTAGATAATAGCAAAAAGAAATGTGTACCTTTCCATGCAAACATCAGGTTGACCATCATCTTAACCAAATGATCAAACTTTGCCTTATCAACAGTTGGAAAACTTGATTTTGTTTTTCTCCTTTTATGCTGTAAAATGACCTTGCCAAAAATGTTTAACGTGGATCTAAGCAAGCCTTTAGAACCAATGCTCAGTTTCTAGAAAAAGTAGATGGGAAAAAATGGGTAAGTATACCATAAGAAAATTCAATAAATATAAATTAATAGAGATGTGGAGTTTTTTTTACAAAACCATTGGCCTAGACTCTTCCAGAAGTCAATATTAACTGGGGGAGAAAAGAAAAAATAAAAGATGGCAGATTTGTTTTAGATAGAAGAATTCGAAGAAACGTAATGATGAAAGATAATGCATAAAACTTTGAGTGGATATTGATTTTAAATTTTAAACAAATATAGAAAGAGTCTAAAGATAATTGAGAAATTATGACTGTGGGCTATTAGTCAAAATTATGAATACTTGTTAATTTATTTGTGTGCGAAAGGCATTGCAGCTTTATAGAAGAATGTCTTTATTCTTAGCAGAGGTATCCAAAGTGTTCAGAAGGAAAAGATCATGATATCAGCAACTTACTTTCATATGGATCAGAAAAATATGAATATAAGCCCTTTATTATTTATAAATATAGAGAGATAAAGCAACTATGATGAAATGTTAACAACTTTTGACAATTCTCGGAAGGTATACAGGTGTTCTTTGTGTAAGTCCAAGGGTTGGCAAACTTTTTCTGTAGAAGCCACTTTACATATATATAGTAATTTACACTAAAAAATATAGTAAATAACAAACTTCTTATGCTTTGTGTACCAGAAGGTCTCTGCCATAGCTAGTCAACACTGCCCTTACAGTATTAAAGCAGACATTGACAATGCATTTAAGAATGCACATGGCTGGATTTGGCTCTCAGGCATAGTTTACCAATCCCTGTACAATAAATCCCCTTTATCCATGGGAAATACATTCTAAGACCACCCCCCATAGATGCCTGAAACTATGGATAGTATCAAAACCTCTATGTAGTATGTTTTTTCCTAAGCATACATACCTATGATAAAGTTTAATTATAAATTAGGCACAGTAAGAGATGAACAACAATAGCTAATAATGAAAGAGAATGATTGGAACAGTATACTGTAGTAAAACATGTGAATGTGGTCTCTCAAAATTTCTAATTGTACTGTATTCACCATTCTTGTGATGATGTGAGATGATAAAATGCCTAATGATGAGATGAAGTGGGATAAATGACATAGGCATTGGAGTGAGGCATTAGGCTACCACTGACCTTCTGAAGATATGTCAGAAGGAGGATCATTTGCTTCAGGTGATCCTGGATCACTGACCCATGATGAAGTTGATGGTGGTATTTCAGGAGCAGACCATGTAGATGACTAATGGGTGGGTAGTGTATGTAGAGTAGATACACTGGACAAAGAAATGATTCATGACCCAGGCAGGGTGGATTTCATCACAAAATAGCTTACAGTTTAATACTTAGAAATTGTTTATTTTCAGACTGAGGTTGACGGAGGGTAACTGAAATCTTGGAAAGTGAAACTGGGGATAAGGGTGACTAATGCACTACTCCTTTAACTCTGTATGTGATTGTAAATTCTCATCATATAAAGTGTGGGGAGAAAAGAGAGACTTGGTGTTGATCATCATAATGCATATCTTTTGGTGTTGATCATCATAATGCATATCAATGAGGAAGTATTCAATATGCACAATGGAGTGGTGATGGACAAGGGTTGGCGAGAGGGCACCTCATAGTCTCTGCTAAGGGCATGGGGCTTTGTGGGTGAGTAACACTGAGCCAGCAAAAGCATTCTTTACTCTCCTTACAATTGCTTGTTTCAAGAGCTTGAGCTCCAAATCACTGTGCTATTTCACATTTGGTCTTTTTTTATTTTCCTCAGGTTTTTAAAATGTATTATTGTTGTTTCCTGTTTGCCTCCAAATGCTACTTGTGTATATTTAATACAACTCAAAAATCTCTAGATTTACTCAAATCTATCTATCTTTATTGATCTTGCAGTTAGTGACTGTATAAAACAGAAAGGCCTAGAACCAATTGCAGACAATTATTTTATTTCTAATGCCCTTATCTTGATGTTCAGTTCTTTAGCAAGACTTATCTACTTTGACAGCTGGGCACTCTGGGACTTCATTCTGCCAAACGTCAAGTAGATGTGAGGCTATTAAGGGAGTTTGCTGGTTTGGAAAATTGAGCACTGAAAGTTCTCAGGTAAATAGGGAGGAAGTGCTAAAATGCTGCTTCTTCAGCTTCAGTCTGCTTTTGGCAAGCATTTTATCCAAGTTAACATTAGAAAGAGAGGTTGGGGTTCTTCTGTTTAGTCAAGCTTTGTTTTCAAGGATCTGCATGTACCTCTACTTGGACAACACCTCAACCTGTGCTCTTTCTAGAGTACTGACAGTCTTATCAGACAAACAGTCTGTTCAGAGTCAATCAACCTTATCTGGCAATTAGGCTGAAGATAAGCTATTCCTCTTTTTTGCATTCGCAGATAAAATCATGCTTCCCGTTCAAGAGGTTCACTCTGGGTATAGACGGCATTTCTGAAAACATGGCATTGACTGACATTATTGACAGTGGACTGGGAATGGAAAGATCAGAGTTCTTTGCATGGCTGAGCATCTTACTTTTCCTTGATCTTGGGAAGGAAGGCGCCTTCTCTGATGGAGATTATCTGTCAGTGAAACTAGGTGGGTAGACCTGGAAACTTCCAGCTCCCACCTCCTATTTAACTACAAATCTATATACGTGTTCATTTTTCCACTTTATTTTATTTTCTAGTCATGAAGGCAATTTTATGTTTCAAAATAAGAATCCATTTCCAGAGAAAGAATTTGTTAATTCAACTGTGCAGTTTAAAAGATGAGGAAAATAGTGAGTAAAGAAAATACACATGCATGTGTGTACCTGCAGGCTTCCAGTACAATACTTTCTCAGAACAAATGTGTCAGAACTTGAAAGAAAATGTTATTAAATTGCCATGTCATTGTCATGCTCAACATTCTTTCTCAAAAGGAGAGAAAGTAACCATTGTTACTTATTTAATCTGTAGTATATTCTCAAAATTCTAACCCTAATGTGTAATAGGTGTATATATCATAATTGACCTTTGTGTGTGATTTTTTTGCTGTTCGTTCTCCTGCTCCACTTTAAGCTGAGTACAGGTAGGCAAGGAATCTCTCGAACACCATTGTATCTCTAGTGCTCTGCAGTTTCAAGTGCATGTGCTCAATAACTATATGTTGAATCAAATACAATTGAATTAAATAGAGAAATAGAGTCTGTGGAATCAGGTTTTATACCTAGACTATGCAACTAGTGTTTGAAGTTAAGTGTGCCAGACGTTAGCCTGTGTTCATTCCACTAAATTGTTTTGCCTTGTAAGATTATTATTTAGCACAGCCAAATAAGTGAACTTGAGGCACTTTACAGACAGAAAAGCTCTGGTTGACCTCCCCTCCCCTCACCAAGAAGCCCATTTTAAATCTAGCTGACACCAACAATTCTACCATGGTATGATGATTTTATCCTATGAGTGTAAGGTTCTGATTAACATGAAAAATGCTAATAACCTTGGAAGATCTCACATGCATATTATCAGATATCTATCCTTTTATTTAAATAAAACATCTTATTCCAGCAGCACATGTTCTTTTTAGAGTTTAAATACCAATCACTATGGAGAAACAGATGGAGGAATGAAAACCAGGAATAAGGGGGAATTAAGAAATGTAAAACAATCTGACACAGTTCTCACAGTGACAGCACTTTCATTTTCTCTCTCAGCACCCTGCTTCTGGTGTCACTGGTATCCAAGTCATTAGCTGGTAAAGCTTAGCACCTCATCGAGGTGTCTGCATTATTTCACTCTTCAAGACAGAAAAGTTGTCAAGACCAAAGGAAAATAAACCTCCGTTAGGAAAAAGAGGATTGCTATTTTGGGATTTGGGGTTCTACCCAGCAACACCCAAGATACCACCTTTTTTACCATGGCAATGAGATCATTACAAGTACACATACAAATGCTTATGTGAAATTAAATTATTTAGAATAAAAAGAAATATGATTTCAGCAGAAAGCATTTATGTGAAGACATATGTCTTATTTGGCTCATTTGATTCTTTGAAATTGTTTCTTTTAAGGCAAGGAGAATGAAAAAATCTCTATAATTCTACAAACATAAAATTATGTGACTCAGTGATTCAGTTTCATACTGAGTATATTGCTAGCCAAAATATAAAAGCCTTTTTATTATTATTTTACTCTTTTAAAAGGAGTTGTTCCCAAATGACATGAATTCACATTGTGGCATAGAGAGTTAGCAAAACTCTAGAGGTGCTCAATCATTAACTAGATCATTATTTGGCAAATACATTATAGAGGCCAGTCCTGCAAAACATACGGTGGTTTTCAAAGTGTCGTCTGTGGTTCATACACATGAAAATCACCTAGGCTGCTCGTTAAAAAGTAGTAACTAAAATCTCTAGTGATGAATTTTAGTAATTTGCATTTTAAACAATTTAACGGGAATTCTTTTGTAGTCTGAACCTAAGAAGTACTAACAAAGAGAACTGGATCTAATATCATAAAGTCCAATTTAAGACCCTATTTTCTCTTCCTTTATGTTAGTTTTTAAAAGCATTCTCTTTGCTCAAAAGAAAACGGATGAGATAGTAGATCATCTAGAGTTCCTGAGTTAGAAGCACCAGAAACAAATTCTGCTAAAAAATGATAACAGAATAAAGGGAAAATAGTACAAAATCTAGCCTTTGGAAACACATGACCTGCAGTCACTCTTATGAACTTGGGCAGTATGGGCTATCTTTTGAGGACATTGTTGCTGGGATAATTCATTTCTAGTTAATTTCAGTTTCCTAGATTAAAATTCAAAAGTTTTAGAGAAAAAGGTATTCATGTTGGAAAGTAAAAAGTAAAACTATCTCTATTCACAGATAAGATGATATATATGTGTATGTGTGTATACATGTATATACATGTGTTATACACACACACACACACACACATATATATATATATATATATAATCCGCAAGAATGCTACTAGAGCTAATAAAGAAGTAAGCAAAGCTGCAGGGCACAGGACCCACACACAAAATAATTTTGTTTCTGTATACCACCAATGAACAATCCAAAAAGAAAATTTAAAAAGTAATTTTTAATTTTACAATACAATCTTTAAAATTTTAAAGATTATTTAAATTTAGATTTATTTAGGAATACATTTAAACAGAGAAGTGAAAAATCTTGTACACTGAAAACTGTAAAACATTGTTGGAAGAAATTAAGGAAGATCTTAAGAAATGGAAAGACATCCCACATTCATGGATAGGAAGACTTAACATTGTTAAGATGTGAATATTATTCAAAGCAATCTGTAGTTTTGACACAATTTCTATCAGAATTCCTGCAGCTTTTTCCACCAGGATTCATAGCAGCATTATTCACAATAGCCCAAAGGTAGAAACTACCCAAGTGTTCATCAACAAATAAATAGATAAACAAAATGTGCTATATACACACTATGGAATATTATTCAGCCATAAGAAGAAATAGCATTTTTATATAGGTTACAACATGCATGAACCCTGAAAACATTGTGCTAAGTGAAATAAGCTAGATGCAAAAGGATGAATGTTGTATGATTCCACTTATATAAGGTGGAATAGACAAATTTCATAGAGACAAAGTAGAATAGAGGTTACCAGGATCTGGAGACAGTCAGGAATGCAGAGTTATTGTTTAATGAAGAAAGGGTTTATGTTAGGGATGATTAACATGTTTTGATTATAGATAGTGGCAATGGTTACCCAACACTGTAAATGTATTTAATACCACTAAATCAAACACTTATAAATAGTTAACATGATAAATATGTTATACATATTTTACCACAGTAAAAAAAGAAAGGGAAAATGCCTTAAGATAAAGAGTGCTAGCATTAGCTTAGACTTGGATCCTATCTATGACCACTCCTTGCCTGGGAATAGCGTTTGTAGGGTGGGAGTTAGGATTTGGGGATGGGAGTAAATTTGATGGGTGGCCCCATCCAGGCTGCCAAAATGGTGAAAAAATGTTTCCCCAAAGAAAAATCAAGAGGAAAGTGAGGAAACAAAAGCAAATGTTTACTGCAGAGATATTTGAATGGAGATTACTTCTTAGTATCCACACACTACTAATCTCTTAAATTCTCAACTGCATTAACAGAAGAATGATTCAGCTGACCCCAGCAAACGTAATTTATATTTGCTGATTTAAAATATCACTTGCCCTTGACAATTTGACACGTGCCTCGTTCAGTCACCTAGAGTGAGGGACTTCTTACAGAAGGAATAAAAACCTGCTGTCCCCAAAATGAGTGATTTCTGAAAATTTTTATTTGAATTTGTTTAATGGAAACAGACACTATCCAGTACACTTTAGGCCTCACAACCCCTCTAAGATCTTATACTTGACCCAACTCACTCATTGGTGTGATCTACTTGTTCTACGTAGATTTTTAAGTTGCAGCCCTGGGCTTATGGTGAATTGGCAAGCACGTGTGAGAAAGATCATGTTGTCTTAAGCAACTTTGATTCCAAGAGAAGAAGAGTAATATGAGTACTCCAGTCCAGTCACCTGATGAGAGATTCCTGAAGGGAGAACTTGCATCTTCAAAGCGTTGGAGGTAGAAGGAAGACAGGCAGAAGGACATCCCAGAATCAACCCAGGTACTGTCCTCTGCCTGTAACACTTTCCACATCTTCTCTCAGCTCTTTTCTCACTTATTTTCTTCATAGCACTTATTACTCCTTTCAATGGTATGTATTTATTTCATTACTGTTTTTTTTCCTCACGTAGGATGTGCCTAGAATAAGAGGAGTTTTTTTTCCACTGCTCTACTTGAAGTATCTAATACAGTTTAGGCATACTTAGGACAAAATAGGTGGACTATAAATATTTGGTGAAAGAATAAATTCAAATCCGTATTCTTAAAAGTCAACTTTCTTAAACTACCTCCAACACCTCCCTCCTCCACAAAATGAAAAATATGTTACAGTCAGAGGGTTTCATATGGCACTATCTACTGCCTTCTATTATAGCAGATGAACAGATACAACAATAAATGTTATGTTTGTTCACTTAGATGTTTTTTCACTGAATTCTCAACTCTTCAAAAACAGGGAGTGTGCAAACTCAGTGAATATTTATGGAAGGGATGAAATAAAGCATGATTTGGGAGGTGAACTCTAAGGGTAAACAATGAAAAATAAACTTCAGGTAGAATGTAATGCTTTTCTTCTCTTACTATCCATCAAATTCAAGAAAGTACATTGGTCCTGATTTGTTGCCCTAGTTATTTAAGCTTTTTGCTTCCAGCAGAGGATATCTAGATTAAAAGATAAAGGTTGAGATAAAGATGGATTGTAGAATGCCAAAAATAATTGTTATTGTCTTTTGAACAGTTCCAGTATAGTAGGATCTAAATTAATCCTGGATTACTAATATTTATTGTCAATCATATGAGAGATAACACAAAGGCCATATTAAAATTTTTGATCTTTAAAATCTTGCCTCCAAAGTTCAAGTAAGTTCAAGAATATATGGATAAAAGAAACACAAGCACATTTTTTAAAATGTTATTAAGAAAGCTGACTTTTCCCTAAGTTTCAAGAGGAATAAATTTAGCATTTAGAAAATATAGAAAATAAATGTGTATGTATTCATCAACATATATATGTGTATAGAGTTTAATATTTTCCACATTAATATTTATACATTTTAACATATTTATTCTAATATATTTAGTATTAAACTCCTGTTTTCTTATTTTATTAAATATTCTTTAAAATTACAATTACTGTTTATTATTTCAATATTTGCATTATTCATTTATTCAGTCCCTTATTGTAGGGCTTTTATATCCTAATAGACTGCAAGAATTGTCCAGTAATCTCTACTCTTATCCGTATTCCCACCATTTTTCAATGCGACTTTGAAGCTTCTCTTATCAAAAGATGCAAACTATTTCCCCACTGGTCTTTGATTAACAGAATGTGGTGGAAGTGACTGCATCAACCCTGAGCCGACACACCCAGAAGCCTTGCAGACTTCTACTTCCTGCCTTGGAATCCTGACAAGCCACTACTTAAGCAAATGTGAGCTACCCTTTTAGTGGTGGTTACATGGGATTAGATGAGATACATGGGGCCCGGATTCCTGATTGCCCCACTTGACAGCTGAGAAACACCTGGGAGCAGGGCTGCCCAGCTAACATCTGCTGACTGCAGATGAATGAACAAGCCCAGCCAGATAGAGAAGAAACAGTCAGCTGGGCCATAAACAATGTTTTGTAATAATCGTTTATTTATATGGTTTACATTTTGTTTAACTCTCATTTTTTAATGGGAATAGGACTTTTTTATTGTGGTAAAATGTACATAATGAAAATTTACCATTTTAACTATTTTAGCTGTACAATTCAGTGGCATTCAATGTTGTGCAATGCTCACAACTACTTCCAACTTTTTTCATTATTCCAAACAGAAACTCTATGCCATTAAGCAATAACTTTTGATTCTTCCCATCCCCAGCTCTTGGTAATCTCGATTCTACTTTCTGCCTATATGAATTTGCCTATTTTAGACACCCCACATAAGTAGAATCATACAATATTTGTTCTTTTGTATTTGACTTACTTTACTTGGCATATTTTCAAGGTTCATCATGTTGTATTATGTATTAGACTTTTATTTCTACTTATGGCCGAATATCATCCTGTGGTAGATAGATAGATATAAAATATGGTAAATATATGTATATATATTATTTATCTCTTCATTTGTTAATGGACACTTGAGTTGTTTCTACCTTTTGACTACTGTGAATAACACTGCTATGAACACTGGTATAGAACTACCTGAGTGAGTGTCTGCTCAATTACTCTGGGTATATACCTAGACGTTGAATTGCTGGGTCAAATAGTTATTCTATGTTGAACATTTTGAAGATTGCCAAAATTTTCCAGAGTGACTGCATCATTTTATATTCTCACCAGCAGTTCACAAAGATAACATTTTCTCCACATCCTTGCCAACACTTGTAATTTTCTATTTGTTTGATAATAGTCATGCTAGTGAGTGTGAAGTGGTGATATCTCACTGTGGCTTTGATTTGCATTTTCCCAATGACTAATGATGTTGAACATTTTCTTTTTCATGTGGTTATTGATCATTTGTATATCTTCTTTGGAAAAACTGTCTATTCAAGTCTTTTGCTCACTTTTTGAGTCATTTCTTTTGTTATTGAGTCATAGGAGTTCCTTACATATTCTGGATATGAATTTCTTTTCAGATATATGTTTTAAAAATATTTTCTGTCATTTTGTTGGTTTTCTTGATAGTGTTCTATCATTACCAAGTGTCAATGCTAATTAAAAAAAAATTTGATGAAGTCTAATTTATTCATTTTTAAATTACTTGTAGTTTTATTACCATACTTAGAGACCATTACCAAATCTAAGGTCATGACAATTTTTTCTTATGCTTTCTTTTAAAAATATTTTAGTTTTTATCTGACAAAGGGCTAATATCTGACAAAGAGCTAATATCTGACGAAGGGCTAATATCCAGAATCTACAATGAACTCAAACAAATTTACAAGAAAGAAACAAACAACCCCATCAAAAAGTGGGTGAAGGACATGAACAGACACTTCTCAAAAGAAGACATTTATGCAGCCAAAAAACACATGAAAAAATGCTCATCATCACTGGCCATCAGAGAAATGCAAATCAAAACCACAATGAGATACCATCTCACACCAGTTAGAATGGCAATCATTAAAAAGTCAGGAAACAACAGGTGCTGGAGAGGATGTGGAGAAATAGGAACACTTTTACACTGTTGGTGGGACTGTAAACTAGTTCAACCAATGTGGAAGTCAGTGTGGCGATTCCTCGGGGATCTAGAACTAGAAATACCATTTGACCCAGCAATCCCATTACTGGGTATATACCCAAAGGATTACAAATCATGCTGCTATAAGGACACATGCACACGTATGTTTATTGCGGCACTATTCACAATAGCAAAGACTTGGAACCAACCCAAATGTCCAACAATGATAGACTGGATTAAGACAATGTGGCACATATACACCATGGAATACTATGCAGCCATAAAAAATGATGAGTTCATGTCCTTTGTAGGGACATGGATGAAACTGGAAATCATTATTCTCAGTAAACTATCACAAGGACAAAAAACCAAACACTGCATGTTCTCACTTATAGGTGGGAATTGAACAATGAGAACACGTGGACACAGGAAGGGGAACATCACACTCTGGGGACTGTTGTGGGGTGGGGGGAAGGGGGAGGGATAGCATTAGGAGATACACCTAATGCTAAATGACGAGTTAATGGGCGCAGCACACCAGCATGGCACATGTATACATATGTAACTAACCTGCACATTGTGCACATGTACCCTAAAACTTAAAGTATAATAAAAAAAATTATAGTTTTAACTTTAAATTCAGTTATGTAACTCTTCCAAATAATTTTTGCAAAGCGTGCATTCCCTGGTGTGTTTGGCCATTGAAGTTTCTGTTCTATTGTATTTGTGATCAGCCTGACAAGTAATTCTTTAAATGTCTGACTGACTCCAAAATGAGAAAGAACATTAAAAAGATGCTGTCTCCTTAAATCTGATAGATGCTTCTCAGGAATTTTGCTTCTGCTGAGGGGACCAAAACCAAGGCAAGCATTTGGGCAGGTTCCTCAGGGCACTGCCAGACCAACCTAAACACACAACTCCAAATGTTTAGAGGAGAAGGTCTCCACTGCCTGTTCTGGCACCAGACAGCAACTCCAAAATGTGGGATGCTAACCCCACAGCCTTGAAGGGGCTAAGAAATAGGAGATGATATTGGGTTCGAGCATGAGCACGCTGGTCACTTACATGAGATCAGCAGCCTTTCCCTTCATTGAGCACTGCTCTGGTTGCTGTAAGTGTTAGATCAGGTTCCAGAACTCCAATGAAATTGATCCAAATCACTTTTTTCAGCTCAGTGATTTATTTGGGGGAGGAATCAATTTCTCCATTGCATTGTAAAATTTTCTACTCTGCCATTGTGTGACATTATTCCTCTCACATTTTTTAATTAAACATTTTGAGATAACTGTTGATTCACATGAAGTTGAAAAAAATGATACAGAGAAATCCCATGTATTTATTTATCCAGTTTCAACTTCTGGTAGCATGTTGTAAAATTGTAGTGCAAAATTACAAGTGGAATATCAGCATTGGTACAGTCAAGATGCAGAACATTTCCATAATACAAGAATTACTCATGTGGTCTTCAAATAGCCACATCCACTTCCCTTTAGCTCTCAACCCTTCTGAACCCCTGGTAATTACTATTCTGTTCTCCATTTCTATAATTAATTTTGTCATTTCATCATTTGACCATTATTCCATAATTTTCTCAACCTTAAAATAAGAATAGTATTACTTACTTGCCAGTGTAACTTCACATAATAGACTTCAAGTTTATTTGAGTACTTATCTTGCACATATTAAGCACTCCAATAAATGTTAGCTGTAATTATTGATGCTATTATTACTATGGTCAGAATCATAGCCTTAGGGTATCAATATCAGGGATAAAATATTGTCATTGGAAAAAAGTTAAAGAATATGGATTTGGCTTTAACTTTTTCTTAACTAGAAAGTATTCTCCATTGTGTCATAATATTTCTAAATCTCACTTTCTCCACATTTTGAATGGAAATAAGAAAGTTATTTTACATTCAATGTTTTTGTGGTGATTAAATGTACCATGTTTATATAGGCTGATCCAGTCAGCTTTCTTTCCCCTTTTATTATTCACTGACAATGTATGAGAGTTAAAGCTTAAATCTATTGTCAACCTGCAATGTACCCATTAGCAGAGGTACACAAGCAAGAACATACTATACAATTCTTTAATGAAATTCTTATCCTTCTGCCTCAATGGCAGAGGAGGACAATATTTTGAAAATACTTATTCTACCTCTTCTACGCTTTTCCTGGGAAAGCAAGTTGGTGTACTATGTTTGGAAGGTTATATGTTAGGTCTATTGAATTAGGCCATTCTTGCTTGCTACAAAGAAATACCTGAGACTGAGTAATTTATAAAGAAAGGAGGTTTACTTGATTCATGTTTCTTCAGGCTGTACAGAAAACATGGTGCTGGTATATGCTTGGCTTCTGGAAGCTTTTACTCAGGGTGGAAGGCAAAGTAGGGAGACGACACATTATATGGCAAAAGCAGGAGCAAAAGACAGTGACTTAGCAGGGAGGTGCAACACACATTTGTTTAAATGACCAGGTCTCATGTGAACTCTCATGATCCAAATCCTCATGATCCAAATACCTCTCACTAGGTCCACCTCCAACATTAAGGATTGCATTTCAACATGAAATTTGGGTGGAGATAAATATACAAATGATATAATTTCATCTCTGGCCCCTCCCAGATCTCATGTTCTTCTCGTATTGAAAAATACAATCATGCCTTCCCAATACTCCTTTAAAGTCTTAACTTGTTTTAATGTTAACTCAAAAGTCCAAAGTCCAAAGTCTCATCTGAGATAAGGCAAGTCCCTTCCATCTATGAGCCTGTAAAACCAAAAACAAGTTATTTACTTCTAAGATAAAATGGTGGTATAGGCAGTATAGGGTAAACATTGCCATTCAAAAGGGAGAAATCAGTCAAAATAAGGGGCTGCAGGCCCCACATGAGTTCAAAACCTACCATGGCAGTCATTAAACTTAAAGAGCCAAAATAATTTTCTTTGACTGCATGTCCCACATCCAGGGCACACTGGCACAAGGGGCAGCTCCATCCCTGTGGCTTTGCAAGGCCTAGCCCCTGTGGCTGCTCTCACAGGTTATTGAGTGCATGAGGCTTTTCCAGGTGCAAGGTGCAAGCTGCTAGTGGATCTATCATTCTGCGATTCTTTCCTATGCTCCAATAGGTAGTGCCTAGTGGGGACTCTGTGTGGGGGCTCCAAACCCACATTTTCCCTCTGCATTTCCTATTAGAGGTTCTCTGTGGGGCTTCAGCATGCTTCTGCCTGGGCACCCAGTGTTTCTCATACATCCTCTGAAATCTAGGTCGAGGTCTAGCCTCCTTAATTCATGCACTCTGCACACCCAGGCTTAATACCACATGGAAGCTGCCAAGGCTTATGGTTTGAATTTTCCAAAGTGACAGCTCTTGGTGTACCTGGGCCCTTTGAGCTCCAACTGAAGCTGGAGTGCCTGGGATCTTGGAATTAGTGTCCCAAGGCTGTGCAGGGCTGCAGGGGCCCTAAGCCATGCCCAGGAAACCATTCTTCCCTTCAAAATCTCTGGGCCTGTGATGGGAGGGGCTGCTGTGGACGTTTCTAAAATGCCTTTGAAGTCATTTCCATTATTGTCTTGGATATTAGCACTTGGCTTTCTTTTAGTTACGCAAATTTCTCTAGCAAGTGATTGTTCCACAGCGTGTTTGAATTCCTTTCCCAAAAAGCTTTCTTTTTTTCTGCCACATGGCCAGGCTGCAAACTTTCCAAACTTTTATGCTCTGCTTCCCTTCTAGATGCAACTTCTAACTTTAAGTCATTCTTCTGCTCCCACATATGAGCATAGCTCATTACAAGCAGCCAAGCAACATCTTGAACTCTTTCCTGCTTAGACATTTCCTCTGCCAGATACTCTAAATAATCACTGTTTATTCAAACTTCCACAGATCCTCAGGGCATGAACAGAATACAGCCAAGTTCTTTGCTGAGACATAACAGGCATGACCTTTGCTCCAGTTCCCAATACATTTTTCATTTCTATCTGAGACCTCACTGTTGATATAACTATCAGCATCTTGGTCACAACCATTTAACTATTCTCTCAGAAGTTTCAAAATTTCCCTCATCTTTCTGTCTTCTTCTCAACCCTCCAAACTCTTCCAACCTCTGCCTTTTTCCTGGTTCCAAAATTACTTGCACATTTTCAGATATATTTATGGAAATGCCCTTCTCTTGGTAGCAATTTTCTTCATTAGGTTGTTCTTGCACTGCTGTAAAGAAATAACTGTGACTGGGTAATTTATAAAGAAAGGTTTAATTGGCTCATGGTTCTACAGGTTTTACAGGAAGCATGGTGGTGATATCTGCTCAGCTTTTGGGGTGACCTCAGAAGCTTTCAATCATGGCACAAGGTGAAAGGGGAGCAGACACATCACATAGAAAAAGCAAGAGCAAGAGGGAGAGTTGGGGGGGAGGTGCCACACACACATAAACAACAAAATCTCAGGAGAACTCACAGCAAGAGCTGGCATACTATGGCCCAAGCCACTTGTAAAGGATCTGCCCCTATGAACCAAACACCTCCCACTAGGCTCCAGTTCCAGATTTGAGGATTAATATTCAACACGAGATTTGAGTGGGGATGAATATACAAACTGTATCACCTATCAAAATGAAAAATCTACAAACTTGTATTTCTATGAATTCTATTTTCAGGTATTCATTATATAGTCAGTTTTACAAGTGTAAAAGTATTATATTTTATTTTATTGCTTTTTTGTAAGAGCTCTGCACATATTGTAGATACAAATCCCTTATCAGGTATATAATATGCAAATGTTTTCTCCCAATCGGTGAGATAATAAACATCCCTTTAATAAAAGTTTATTTCTATAAATTTATGGGGTACATGAGCAATTTTGTCATATGAATGTATTGCATAGTGTTGAAGTCTTGGCTTTTAGTGTACCCATCACCCAAATAATGTACATTGTACTCATAAGTAATTTGTTATCTCCCTTCCTCCTTTCAAGCCCTAGCCTTCTGAGTTTCCAGTGTCTATCATTCCACACTCTTTTGTCCATGTGTACACATCATTTAGCTCCTGCTTACAAGTGAGAACATGCAGAATTTGACTTTCTGTTTCTGAGTTGTTTGGCTTAAGACAATGGCTTCCAGTTCCATCCATTTTGCTGCAAAATACATTATTTCATTCTTTTATATGGCTGAATAGTATTCCATTTTGTATATATACACCATATTTTCTTTATCCAGCCATCCATTAGTGGACACTTAAGTTGATTCTGTATCTTTGCTATTGTGAACAGTACAGCAATAAACACACAAGAACAGGTATCTATTTTATATAACTATTTATTTTCCTTTGAGTAGTTACCAAGTAGTGGGATTGCTACATTTTTATTTTTAGTTCTTTGAGAACTCTCCATACTGTTTTCCTGAGAAGTTGTACTAATTTACATTACCACCAACCCTTTTCTTTGCAACCTCACTAAGGTTATTTTTTGACTTCTTAGTAACAGCTATTTTCACTGGTGTAAAGTGATATCTCATTGTGGTTTCACTTTGCCTTTACATTATGATTAATGATGTTGAGAATTTTTTCATTTGCTTGTTGTCATTTGTTTTCTTTTGAAAAATATATATTCATGGCCTTTGCCCACTTTTAAATGGTGCTTTTTGTTGCTGTTGTTGCTGGAGTTGTTTGAGTTCCTTGTAAATTCTAGATATTAGTCCCACACTGGATGCACAGTTTGCAAATATTTGCAAGTATTTTCTCCCATTCTGCTGATTATCTGTTCATCTGTTGATTATTTCTTTTGCTCTACAGAAGCTTTTTAGTTTAATGAAGTCAAGTTCCATTTGTCTATTTTTGTTTGTGTTGTTTGTGCTTTTGAGGTTTTAGTCATGAATTCTTTCCTTAGACCAATATTCAGAAGAGTTTTCCCTTGGTGTTCTTCTAGTACTTTTCTAGTCTCAGGTCTCAAATTTAAGTGTTTAATACATCTTGGGTTGGTTTTTGTGTATTGTAAAAGATGAGTCCCTTTTTATTATTCTGCATATGGCAATCCAATTTTCCCACCATTTATTGGAAAGGATGTCCTTTCCCTAGTGTATATTTTTGTTGGCTTTGACAAAACGGTTGCCTGTAGATATGTGGCTTTATTTCTGGGTTCTCTATTCTGTTCCACTGATCCGTGTGTCTATTTTTACACAAGTACCATGCTGTTTTGTTACTATTGCCTTCTACTATAATTTGAAGTCAGGTAATGTGATGCCTCCAGCTTTGTTCTTTTTGCTTATGATTGCTTTGGCTCTTCAGGCTCTTTTTTGGTTTTATATAAATTTTAGAATTCTTCTAATTCTGTAAAAACTGATATTTGGATTTTATATAAATGACATTGAATCTGTAGATGTTTGGGAGAGTATAATCATTTTAGTGTTTTTTTTAACTTTTATTTTAGGTTTGGGGGTACATGTGAAGGTTTGTTACATAGGTAAACATGTATCTCTGGGGTTTGTTGTACATATTATTTTTTCACCCAGGTATTAAGTCCAGTACCCATTAATTATATTTTCTGTACCTCTTCTACCTCCCACCCTCCCCTCTCAAGTAGACGCCAGTGTCTGTTGTTTACTTCTTTGTGTTGATAAGTTCTTATAATTTCACTCTCACTCATAAGTGAGAACATGCGGTATCTGGTTTTCTGTTCTTGCATTAGTTTGCTAAGGATAATAACTGGTAGCTCCATCCATGTTCCCACAAAAGACATGATCTCATTCTTTTTTTATGGCTGTATAGTATTCCATGAAGTATATGTACCACATTTTCTTTATCCAACTTGTCATTGATGGACATTTAGGTTGATTCCATGTCTTTGATAATGTGAATACTGCTGCAATGAACATTTTCACACATGTGTCTTTATGGTAGAATGACTTATATTCCTCTGGGTATATACCCAGGACTGGGGTTGCTGGGTCAAATGGCAGTTCCTCTTTTAGTCTTTGAGGAATCAACATACTGATTTCCACAACTGTTTAAAGGATCAGTATTACTAAAATGGCATACTGCCCAAAATAATTTACAGATTCAATGCTATTCCTACCAAACTACTAATGATATTCTTCACAGATGTAGAAAAAGGTATTTTACAATTTATATGGAACCAGAAAAGAGCCCAAATAGTCAAGGCAAAACTAAGAAAAATTAAAAAACGAAGCTGAAAGCATCATGCTACCTGACTTCAAACTACACTACAAGGCTACAGTAGTCAAAACAGCATGGTACTGGTACAAAAACAGGTATATAGACCAATGGAACAGAATAGAGAGACCAGAAATAAGGTTGGACATCTACGACCATCTGATCTTTAACAAAGCTGACAAAAACAAGCAATAAGGGACTTAAGTGTAAAACCCAAATATAAAAACCTTGGAAGACAACCTAGGCAATACCATCCTGGACATAGGAATGAGCAAAGATTTCACAGCAAAGACACCAAAAGCAATAGCAACAAAAGCAAAAATTGACAAGTGGAATCTATTCAAACTTAAAAGCATCTGCACAGCAAAACAAACTATCAACCGAGTAAACAGACAACCCATAGAATGAGACAAAATATATGCAAACTATGCATCTGACAAAAATCTAATATCCAGCATCTATAAGGAACTTTAACACATTTACAAGAGTAAAACAAACAACTCCATTAAAAAGCGGACAAAGAGCATGAACAGAAATTTCTCAAAAGAGGACATACATGCAGCCAACAAGCATATTTTAAAAAGCTCAATATCAGTGATCACTAGAGAAATACAAATCAAAGCCACAATGATCATTTAACAATAGTAATTCTTCTGTTTCATAAGCATGGAATGTTTTACCATTTGTTTGTGTCATCTACAATTTCCTTCATCAATGTTTTGTATTTTTCCTTGTAGAGATCTTTAACCATCTTGGTTTCTAGATACTTTTTGTTGTTGTTGTTGTGGTTGAAAACAGAATTATCTTCTTTATTTGATTGTTAGCTTGATAGTTATTGGTGTATAAAAATTCTACTGATATTTATATGTTGGTTCTGTATCCTGAAAACTTACTGAATTTTTTAAATCAAATCTAAGATATTTTGGTGGAGTCTTTAGAGTTTTTAAATGTAAGATCACATTGTCAGCAAACAGAGATCATTTGACTTTCTCTGTTTCAAATTTGGCTACCTTTTATTTCTTTCCCTTACCTGATTGCTCTGGCTAGGACTTCCAGGACTACGTTGAATGGGAGTAATGAAATTGACCAAACAAGATAAGGACATCCTTGTCTTGTTTTAGTTTTTAGGGGGAATTCTTTCAACTTTTACCCATTCAGTGTGATGTCGGCTGAGGGTTTATTTTATACGGGCTTTATTATGTTGAGATATGTTCCTTCTATGCCTGGAAGGCAATACAAAAAGGAACTCTAGAAACGATATGAAAACACTGAAATTTAAAAACATGCCCTGAATGACCATTGAGTCAATGATGAAATTAATATGGAACTTAAAATAATTTTTAATTATTGCATGAAATGAAAACATAACATACCAAAATATTTAGGATACAGCAAAAGCAGTACCAAGTGAAAAGTTTATAGCATTTTTTGATGCCTACATGAAAAATATGGAAAGATTACAAATTAGCAGCCTTATATCACACCTCAAGGAACTTTAGAAAAACAAAAACAAATCAAATCCAAAGCTAGCAGTAGAAAAGAAATAACAAAGATCAGAGTAGAATTAAATGAAAATGAGACCAAGAAAATAATGCAAGGATTTATGAAACCAATAGTTGCTTCTTTAAAAAGATAAACAAAATTGGCCAGGCACGGTGGCTCACGCCTCTAATCCCAGCACTTTGGAAGGCCGATGTGGGTGGATCACGAGGTCAGGAAATCGAGACCATCCTGGCTAACATGGTGAAACCCTGTCTGTACTGAAAATACAAAAAATTAGCTGAGTGTGGTGGCAGGCGCCTGTAGTCCCAGCTACTCAGGAGGCTGAGGCAGGAGAATGCTGTGAACCCGGGAGGTGGAGCTTGCAGTGAGCGGAGATTGTGCCACTGCATTCCAGCCTGGGCAACAGAGAGAGACTCTATCTCAAAAAAAAAAAAAAAAAAAAAAAAAAAGATAAACAAAATTGATAACTCAGTAGCTGGACTAATCAAAAAAAGAAGAGAAGATCCAAATAAACACAATCAGAAATGAAAAAGAAAACATTACAACATATATCACAGAAATACAAAAGATTATCAGAGACTCTTATTAACAACTATACATTTACAAACTAGAAAACCTAAAAGAAATGGATACATTCTTGGAAACATACAAATGCCAAGATTGAACCAGGAAGAAATAGAAATCCTGAAGAGACCAATAAATAGTATTGAGATTGAACTAGTAATAAAAATCTTCCAACAAAGTAAAGCCCAGGACCAGATGTATTCACAGCATAAGTTCTATTAAATGTACAGTGAAGAACTTGTACCAATCCTCCTGAAACTATTTCAAAAAATTAAGGAGGAGAGAATTACCCCTAACTCATTCTAGGAAGCCAGTATCATCCAAGACAATGATATAACAACAACAACAAAAAAAACTGAAAATCAATATCCTTGATGAACACAGATGCAAAAATTCTCAACAAAATACTAGCAACCAAGTCCACCAGCATATCAAAAATATCAAGATCAAACTCATGATGAAGTGGGTTCTATTCCAGGGATGAAAGGATGGTTCAACCTACAAAAATCAATAAATGTGATTCATCACATAAACAAAAAATTAAAGACAAAAACTATATGATCATCTCAACAGATGCAGAGAAAGCATTTGATAAAACTCAGCATCCCTTCCTTCATGATACAAACCATTTACTTTTAACATGAATCTTTATATTTAAAGTGGGTTTCTTGTAGCTCACATATAATTGAGTTGTTGTTGTTCTTTTTTTTATCCACTCTGACAATATATGTCTTTTAATTGGTGTAATGTGACCAGTCACATTTAAAGTAATTATTGATATAGCTGGATTAATATCTACCATATTTGTAGCTGTTTCCTATTTGTTGCACTTTATCTTTTCCTTTATTTTTCTTTTGCTCTCACTTTAATTGAACATTTTATATAATTCCATTTTATCTCTCCTTTCAGCATATCAGTAATGCTACTAACAAAAAACTTACTACTTTTCCTCAAGTTTCCAATATACATTTCTAACTAATCTAAATTTTACTTCAAATAGCACATCACCTCACATGTAATGCAAGTGCCTCATAATAATATTCTCAATCCCTCCCTCCTGTCCTTTGTGAATTTCTTCATTTCTTTAACTTATTTATGTTATGATCGCTTAATGCATTGTTACTAATATTGCTTTAAACAAAGTTACCTTTCATATCAATTAAAACTAAAAAATAAAATATTTTATTTTACCTTCATTTATTCTTTCTCTGATGCCCTACCTTTCTTTATGTAAGTCCAATTTTCTGACATCATTTCCCTCCTGCCCAAAGATCTTTTATTATTATTATTATTATATTTTAAGTTCTAGGGTACATGTGCGTAATGTGCAGGTTTGTTACATAGGTATACACGTGCCATGTTGGTTTACTGCACCTATCAACTTGTCATTTACATTAGGTATTTCTTCTAATGCTATCCCTCCCCTAGGCCCTCACCCCCCAACAGGCCCTGGTGTGTGATGTTCCCCTCCAAAGACCTTTTAAATGTCATGCACAGCAGATCTGCTGGTTGCAAGTTCACTCAGCTTTTGTCAGATAAATTTGTTATTTCTCTTTAACTTTGGAAGGATAATTTTCACTGGATATAGAATTCTAGGCTGGTGTTTTGTTTCCTTTCAACACTTTAAATATTTCACTCCACTTTGTTTCCGCTTGCATTGTTTTTGACAAAAAGTCTGCTATTCCTATTCTTATTCCTGATAAGTAGGTATTTTATTTCTCTGACTTCTTTCAAGGTGTTCTCTTTGTAAAGCCTCTGAGCCCAAGCCTGCAGGTATACATCCAGATGGCCTGAAGCAACTGAAGAATCACAAAAGAAGTGAAAATGGCCGGTTCCTGCCTTAACTGATGACATTACCTTGTGAAATTCCTTCTCCTGGACAATGAATCTCAGGAGCTCCCCCACCGAGCACCTTGTGACCCCCCTGCCCCTGCCTGCAAGAGAACAACCCCCTTTGACTGTAATTTTCCACTACCTACCCAAATCCTATAAAACTGCCCCACCCCTAACTCCCATTGCTGACTCTCTTTTAGGACTCAGCCCACCTGCACCCAGGTGATTAAAAAGCTTTATTGCTCACACAAAGCCTGTTGGTGGTCTCTTTACATGGATGCACAAGACACTCTTGACTTTGATTTTCTGCAGTATGAATATGGTAAGAAGAGTATGTATTTGCTGTTGGTGGTGGTGTTTGTTTTGTTGCTGCTGTTGTTGCTTTTTGTCTTTATTATGCTTGGGGTTCTCTAAACTTTCTGTATCTGTGATTTGGTGTCTATCATTAATTTTGGAAAGCTCTTTGCTGTTATTACTTCAATGTTTGGGGTTCTCTAAACTTTCTATATCTGTGATTTGGTGTCTCATTAATTTTGGAAAGCTCTTTGCTGTTATTACTTCAATTTTTTTTTTTCTGTTTGGTTCTGTCTTTCTTTTCCTTTTGGTATTCCAAAGTTTCTCACAGTTCTATAATCTTCTAATAATATCTCAGTCTTTTATTGGACACATGCCTCAGGGCTGAGGCCTTCCTATGTGTTTCTCAAATGGTATAGCATTTCCTCCCCTGCTTTCTAGCTGCTACATTTCCACTGCATTTCCTTGAAGTCCCCAAAACCTGTTGGCTATATTTTTCCCTTCATGTGTGAGACAGGAAGAGAAGAGTGGATTAGACTGAGAAAAATGCCTTTTCTTAAACTGAAATACATCTCTACACATTCTCTTCTTCTGGAGGGCAGCTCTTTGTTATAGAGAACACTCTGGGTGTGTTTCACAATTTTGATTCTTCCCTATTCTATGCCACAGCCAGGAAAGGGTCTTTCTTGGATCTTTACTTTGAGGATATGATAGGTTTCCTTGAAATAGAGCCCATGCAAATATGGGATTTCCTAAAACTGTGGTCCCCAAAAGGCTCTCCCTCTCAAGCTATTATACAGTTAGCCTCCGTCAGTTTGTTAAAATTGCAATTTCAGTATCTTTACAGGGTATATGGCTCTATTACATTCTGCTCCATTGTTGCTGTATTTTTCTGATTGTACCTGTCTCTAGATTTCAGATTGCAATTTGCCCTGTGACCTCAGTTTTCTGATAAGTAGCATAAAACAAAAGTAATTTTTCAGAATTTTCAGCTTTTTCTTATTGTAGGCATGGGAATAAGAACTTCGAAGCTCTTACATGTTGGAGCCAAAATTGGAATTCCCATGCATGGGGTTATGATAAATAGTAATCATTCATCTTCAAAACCACTGATACCAGCTTGGCCAAAAATATGCTTAAGAAAAATCTTTCTTTATATTAATATCAGACTCTGTATGGTTCTTAGCCCTTTCTCATCCCTGCAGCTAAAGGCATGTGGTCCTCTGTTCCTATACCAAACAGTATCAGTTAAGATGGAGATTTCAGGGGCCTTGTTTTTACATACTGTTGAAATCAATCCTGCTTTAGCTAAGTCTGTTTTGGGCCTAATTTCCAGATTCCTAATTCTTGGGATTGTTTTCTCCAGCTGAGGAATTCTTAACCAAACAAGAGACTTGTTTTTTCATTTCCTAATCTGATGATTCCCTTTTCTATCACCTGTTTTTAAGACTTAATTCCTGCCTCTAAACTCCAGCTAAGTGTTGCCTTTTGAGCCTAATCCTTATATCTCTGGAAGTCAGTATTTTCTACCTGTCAGGCCTCTGAGCCCAAGCTAAGCCATCATATCCCCTGTGACATGCACATACACATCCAGATGGCTGGTTCCTGCCTTAAGTGATGACATTCCACCACAAAAGAAGTGAAAATGGCCTGTTCCTGCCTTAACTGATGACATTGTCTTGTGAAATTCCTTCTCCTGGCTCAAAAGCTCCCCCACTGAGTACCTTGTGACCCCCACTCCTGCCCACCAGAGAACAACCCCCCTTTTTCCTTTACCTACCCAAATCCTATAAAAGGGCCACACCCCTATCTCCCTTCGCTGACTCTCTTTTCAGACTCAGCCTGCCTGCACCCAGGTGATTAAAAACTTTATTGCTCACACAAAGCCTGTTTGGTGGTCTCTTCACAGGGACATGCATGAAATTTGGTGCCGTGACTCAGATCGGGGGACCTCCTTTGGGAGATCAATCCCCTGTCCTCCTGATCTTTACTCCATGAGAAAGATCCACCTACAACCTCAAGTCCTCAGACTGACCAGCCCAAGAAACATCTCACCAATTTCAAATCCGGTAAGCAGCCTCTTTTTACTCTTTTCTCTAACCTCCCTCACTATCCCTCAACCTCTTTCTCCTTTCAATCTTGGTGCCACACTTCAGTCTCTCCCTTCTCTTAATTTCAATTCCTTTCATTTTCTGGTAGAGACAAAGGAGACATGTTTTATCCATGGACCCAAAACTCCTGCACCAGTCATGGACTGGGAAGGCAGCCTTCCCTTGGTGTTTAATCATTTCAGGGACGCCTCTCGGATTATTCATCCAGGTTTCAGAGGTGTCAGACCGTGCAGGGATGCTTGCCTTGGTCTTTCACCCTTAGTGGCAAGTCCTGCTTTTCTGGGGGAGAGGCAAGTACCCCAAACCCTTCTCTCCATGTCTCTACCCCTTCTCCACCTTTCTGGGGGGCAAGAAACCCCCAATCCCTTCTCCTTCACTCTTAGCGGCAAGTCCCGCTTTTCTAGGGGAGGGGCAAGTACCCCAACCTCATATCTCTGCACCCCAATCCCTTATTTCTGCACCCCAACCTCTTATCTCTGCACCCCAATCCCTTATTTCCATGCCCCGACCTCCTATCTCTGCACCCAGATCCCTTATTTCCATGCCCCGGCCTCTTATCTCTGCACCCCATCCCTTATTTCCATGCCCTGACCCCTTTCCCACTTTTCTGGAAGGTAAGAACCCCCAAACCCCTTCCCTCTGTGTCTCTACTCTCTCTTTTCTCTGGGCTTGCTTCCTTCACTATGGGCAACATTGCACCCTCCATTCCTCCTTCTTCTCCCTTAGCCTGTGTTCTCAAAAACTTAAAACCTCTTCAACTCACACCTGACCTAAAACCTAAATGCCTTATTTTCTTCTGCAATGCCCCTTGACCCCAATACAAACTCAAGAGTAGTTCCAAATAGCCAGAAAATGGCACTTTCAATTTTTCCATCCTGCAAGATCTAAATAATTCTTGTTGTAAAATAGGCAAATGGTCTGAGGTGCATGACATCCAGGCATTCTTTTACACATTGGTCCCTTCCTAGTCTCTGTGCCCAATGCAACTCATCCCAAATCCTCCTTCTTTCCCTCCCGCCTGTCCCCTCAGTCCCAACCCCAAGCATCGCTGAGTCTTTCTAATCTTCCTTTTCTACGGACCCATCTGACCTCTCCCCTCCTCGCCAGGCCGAGCTAGGTCCCAATTCTTCCTCAGCCTCCGCTCCTCCACCCTATAATCCTTTTATCACCTCTCCTCCTCTCACCCAGTCCGGCTTACAGTTTCATTCCGTGACTAGCCCTCCCCGACCTGCCCAGCAATTTCCTCTTAAAAAGGTGGCTGAAACTAAAGGCATAGTCAAGGTTAATGCTCCTTTATCTTTATCAGAACTCTCCCAAATCAGTGAGCATTTAGGCTCTTTCATCAAATATGAAAAACCCAGCCCAGTTCATGGCTCATTCAGCAGCAACCCTGAGACGCTTTACAGTCTTAGACCCTAAAAGATTAAAAGGCCATCTTATTCTCAATATACATTTTATTACCCATCCTGCTCCCGACATTAAATAAAGCTCCAAAAATTAAATTCCGGCCCTCAAACCCCACAACAGGACTTAATTAACTTCACCTTCGAGGTGTGCAATTAATAGAGTAGAGGCAGCCAAGTAGCAACATATTTCTGAGTTGCAATTCTTTGCCTCCACTGAGACAAACCCCAGCCACGTCTACAGCACACAAGAACTCCAAATGCCTGAACCGCAGCTGCAAGGGGTTCCTCCAGAACCTCCTCCCCCAGAGCTTGCTACAAGTGCCAGAAATCTGACCACTGGGCCAAGGAATGCCCACAGCCCAGGATTCCTCTTAAGCCGTATCCCATCTGTGTAGGACCCTACTGAAAATCAGACTGTTCAACTCACCTGGCAGCCACTCCCAGAGCCCCTGGAACTCTGGCCCAAGGCTCTCTGACTGACTCCTTCCCAGATCTTCTCAGCTTAGCAGCTGAAGACTGACACTGCCCAATCGCCTCAGAAGCCTACAGGACCATCACAGATGCTCTAGGTAACTCTCACAGTGGAAGGTAAGTCCATCCCCTTCTTAATACGGAGGCTACTCACTCCACATTACCTTATTTTCAAGGGCCTGTTTCCCTTGCTTCTATAACTGTCGTGCGTATTGACAGCCAGGCTTCTAAACCTCTTAAAACTCCCCAACTCTGGTGCCAACTTAGACAATACTCTTTTAAGCACTCCTTTTAATTATCCCCACCTGCCCAGTTCCCTTATCAGGCCGAGATACTTTAACTTAATTATCTGCTTCCCTGACTGTTCCTAGGCTACAGCCACACCTCATTGCTGCCTTTTCCCCCAGTTCAAAGCCTCCTTCACATCCTCCCCTTGTATCTCCCCACCTTAACCCACAAGTATGACACCTCTACTCCCTCCTTAGTGACCGATTATGCACCCCTTACCATCCCATTAAAAACTAATCACCCTTACCCCACTCAATGACAATATCCCATCCCACAGCATGCTTTGAAAGGATTAAAGCCTGTTATCACTCGTCTGTTACAGCATGGCCTTTTAAAGCCTATAAACTCTTCTTACCATTCCCCCATTTTACCTGTCCTAAAACCAGACAAGGCTTACAGGTTAGTTCAGAATCTGCGCCTTATCAACCAAATTGTTTTGCCTATCCACCCCGTGGTGCCAAACCCATATACTCTCCTATCCTCAATACCTGCCTCTACAACCCATTATTCTGTTCTGGATCTCAAACATGCTTTCTTTATTATTCCTTTGCACCCTTCATCCCAGCCTCTCTTTGCTTTCACTTAGACTGACCCTCACACCCATTAGGCTCAGCAAATTACCTGGGCTGTACTGCTGCAAGGCTTCACAGACAGCCCCCATTACTTCAGTCAAGCACAAATTTCATCCTCATCTGTTACCTATCTCGGCATAATTCTCATAAAAATACACGTGCTCTCCCTGCTGATCATGTCTGATTAATCTCCCAAACCTCAACCCCTTACAAAACAACAACTCCTTTCCTTCCTAGGCATGGTTAGTGTGGTCAGAATTCTTACACAAGAGCCAGGACCACACCCTGTAGCCTTTCTGTCCAAACAACTTGACCTTACTGTTTTAGCTTAGCCCTCACGTCTGCATGTAGCGGTTGCCGCTGCTTTAATACTTTCAGAGGCCCTAAAAATCACAAACTATGCTCAACTCACTCTCTACATTTCTCATAACTTCCAACATCTATTTTCTTCCTCACACCTGATGCATATACTTTCTGCTCCCCAGCTCCTTTAGCTGTACTCACTCTTTGTTAAGTCCCACAATTACCATTGTTCCTGGCCTGCACTTCAATCCGGCCTCCCACATTATTCTGGATACTACACCTGACCCTCATGACTGTATCTCTCTGATCCACCTGACATTCACCCCATTTCCCCATATTTCCTTCTTTCCTGATCAGGGTGAGGACCCTGATCATGCTTGATTTATTGATGGCAGTTCCACCAGGCCTAATCGCCACACACCAGCAAAGGCAGGCTATGCTATAGTACAAGCCACTAGCCCGCCTCTTAGAACCTCTCATTTTCTTTCCATCGTGGAAACCTATCCTCAAGGAAATAACTTCTCAGTGTTCCATCTGCTATTCTACTACTCCTCAGGGATTATTCAGGCCCCCTCCCTTCCCTACACATCAAGCTCGAGGATTTGCCCTCACCCAGGACTGGCAAATTAGCTTTACTCAACATGCCCCAAGTCAGATAACTAAAATACCTCTTAGTCTAGGTAGACACTTTCACTGGATAGGTACAGGCCTTTCCTACAGGGTCTGAGAAGGCCACCACAGTCATTTCTTCCATTCTGTCAGACATAATTCCTCAGTTAAGCGTTCCCACCTCAATACAGTCTGATAACAGATGAGCCTTTATTAGTCAAATCAGCCAAGCAGTTTTTCAGGCTCTTAGTATTCAGTGAAACCTTTATATCCCTTATGGTCCTCCGTCTTCAGGAAAAGTAGAACGGACTAAAGGTCTTTTAAAAACACACCTCACCAAGCTCAGCCACCAACTTAAAAAGGACTGGACAATACTTTTACCACTTTCCCTTCTCAGAAGTCAGACCTGTCCTCAGAATGCTACAGGGTACAGCCCATTTGAGCTCCTGTATAGATGCTCCTTTTTATTAGGCCCCAGTCTCATTCCAGACACCAGACCAACTTGGAGTGTGCCCCAAAAAAACTTGTCATCCCTACTATCTTCTGTCTAGTCATACTCCTATTCACCATTCTCAACTACTCATACATGCCCTGCTCTTGTTTACACTGCTGGTTTACACTGTTTCTCCAAGCCATCACAGCTGATATCTCCTGGTGCTATCCCCAAACTGCGACTCTTATCTCTTGAAGTAAATAAGTAATCTTTGCTGACAGGACTATGCTGAATCTCCTTAGGCACTCTCTAATTAGATGTCCTAGGTCCTCCCAATTCTTAGGCCTTTAATACCTGTTTTTCTCCTTCTCTTATTCCGTTTAGTTTTACAATTCATACAGAACCGTATCCAGGCCATCACCAATAATTCTAAATGACAAATGTTTCTTCTAACAACCCCACAGTATCACCCCTTACCACAAGATCTTCCTTCAGCTTTATCTCTCCCACTCTAGGTTCCCACATCACCCCTAATCCCGCTTGAAGCAGCCCTGAGAAACATCGCCCATTATCTCTCCATACCACCCCCAAAAATTTTCACCACCCCAACACTTTACCACTATTTCGTTTTATTTTTCTTATTAATATAAGAAGACAGGAATGTCAGGCCTCTGAGCCCAAGCTAAGCCATCATATCCCCTGTGGCCTCCAGGTACACATCCAGATGGCCAGTTCCTGCCTTAACTGATGACATTGTCTTGTGAAATTCCTTCTCCTGGCTCATCCTGGCTCAAAAGCTCCCCCACTGCGTACCTTGTGACCCCCACTCCTGCTCGCCAGAGAACAACCCCCCTTTTCCCTTTACCTACCCAAATCCTATAAAACGGCCCCATCCCATCTCCCTTCACTGACTCTCTTTTCAGACTCAGCCCGCCTGCACCCAGGTGAAATAAACAGCCATGTTGCTCACACAAAGCCTGTTTGGTGGTCTCTTCACACGGATGTGCATGAAACTACCTACACCCATACGGAAGGGAACAAATCATGGTAAACCACAAGCACTAGTAGCACTTACGATAGTTGCTGAAGATCCTCCTTAGCTCCCAGCCTTCTGTTCTGTTCCAAGTCAGCCTGCCTCCTGATGCTAGATGTTCTTCCTTCTCCCTGACCTTTATAAGAGATCGTGGAATTGAGGGCTGCGCTGGAGCCTACCTCTGCTTTTATGGAACACACTGAATCTACTAAAATCAGTGTTTTCTCACTAAAAGCAAGATCTCAATTATGTAAATAGTACAGGATTTCAAAAATCTCATTCACTGGTGATTTCAGGTAGTTGGATCTAGGATACTGAGGGAGACAGAGCATGATCAAGCTTGTTCCTTGATTGGCCAGATAGTTAATTCAGTTCAGTATTTGCTCTGCATAGACAGAGATGTATAGTTGTACCTAATTCTTTATTTTTGATCCTAAAAGTCAGTCGTGCTAAGTAACTAGTTACATACATTTAGTGCTAGCACACACATTTTTAGTTATAGTCTTTAGAAAAACTATAAGCTGTGTTTGAATTATGCTTCAACCACTAACTTTGTGACCTTGGCTAAATCACATAAACTCCCCATATCACTTTCCTTAGTCTTAAATAAAGATAACACACAGTGAGTGCTCAGGAAATACCAACTCCTCTTTACCCCCGTACATACTGCTCAGCCTGAACGTTGCATCTTCTGGGCCTTGCTCACTTTTGCCAATGTGTGACTTGCTACAAAAAAATGTGTTCATGGATGATATGTCTTTTCAAAAACCTTCCCTCTATGCCTATCACGCTGGTATTTTTTTAAGCTAGTCTATCACTGAAAATTCACAAACTCATACCTGCCTGTTGAAACTATGTCCTTGCTTCACATTCTAACTGAAGATCTAACTGTGATAAAATATTTTTCACTCTCACTATCCACGTTGTTTTACACATCTACACTGGTGTCTGTCAACTTTGCAACAGAATACACTTATATGTAAACCTCTTTCACTAAACCATGAACCCATAGAGTGCCAACCATTTACAATTAGTGTCAATGTGGAATTTTGTTCTCAACAGATACTGGGTAAATTAAATATTTTATCAAATAATGATCACTGCACCTGAATAGCAGATATGTTGACATTTCCTTTTAAACTGGAGTACATTTATCTCCATTACAGGGACTGTGTGGTCTAACGTTTATAAACACTGTGCATAGCATTGAACCATGAAGTTAACATTTATTAATCAATTTTGAGGCCTTAGTGTATTTCATAGTTTAAATTGGTGTTCTGATCAAAAGAAAATAAGAAAATGGTGGAACAAAAGTTTTAGAAAAAAAGGGTAGGGAAAGAGGAAAGAAGGAAGTAACAAAATGAAGATTCCTAGCCCTATAGCAACAAATATCTAGCAGGTGCTGAATGGTTGTTTTTCGTTTTTTGTTTTTTTTTTGTTTTTTTGTTTTTTTGTTTTTTTCAGAAAAGTAATGGAATGCTACAGCCTAGTCAGTTTTGAGAAAAGGCTAACCAACAACAACAACAACAAATCATAGTCATGCTCAGATTGCACATGAACAAAAAAATGTTGGAGAGAAACCATTGAAATAACTCACCGGTCCTCTTGTGTTGCTGCTTATCTGATTATCTGAGGTCAAGGGAACTGAGGACAACAAAGGAAATTAGGTCTTTCATAGTTCTCATTAAATGCTGGAGGAGTCTGACTACTGCTGAGCTGAGCACTTCAGCGGCTTTGGAAAAGGAAGTGTGGTTACTTATTTCACCACCTTCATTGTGCTGGAGGAAATAAGAAATAGCTCTGAGACTAATAATAACAGAAACGGCATCCACAGCAGCAGAGCCCAGTTGCACTTCCTAAAGGCAGTATAAATAATTAAGTGTCTCTATAGGCAAGCCACTAGGAATAAACGAAAAAGAGCTGCAATTGCTGATGTGGTTTCACCCCAGTCCTGCCCATGTTTCTTAACAGGAAAGGGAGTTGCAATGCCAATAATAAAATCTTAGAGCTGGAAAGAACATTTATTTGCCTGTTTATTCATTCATTTACTCAGTCATTATTGGGCACTTACGGTAGACTAGTCGTTATGTTACCTACTAGGAGCTTGGATATCACCCACTTTTATGTCTTCATTCTTTGAGCGAAGAGCTATCTACATGGTGAGTCCAAAAGTGCACAAGAGGAAACCTGGCTTGTCCAAACCAAGGGCTATAACTTAGTTTCCTAACTGCCCAGCAAAAATATTTTCAGTTAGGCTCCACTTTAACTCTTAAAAATGTGGCTTGTGAATTACTTGATGAATAATTTTACTTTCTTGATTATATTAAGCACAAAAAGGAAGAGAAACACAATTACAATATTAAAATTGTGAAAGGCATCTCACCAAGGTGCTTCTTCTGAGAACTCCATGTCTCCATTGCTTATCTGAAACCTTTATTTTGCTTGGCCTCTGGGTCCCACTGCCTCTGGATTTACTTCTCACCTGCTGACTGCTCCTTCTTTTTTACTTTTTCTGTGTGCTCTCCATCTTCCTGACCTCTTTAATTTGAATGTCCTGGGACTCAGCCCTTTGGCTTCTCTTTGCAATCAGTGCACACACTCTAGATTTACCCATCCAATGCCACAGCCTTAAATAACATCAATATTCTTCTGATGGCTCTCAAAGTAATATATTTTGCTCTGACGTCCCTCTTTAATTCTACATGTATATCAGACTGTCTGTCTATTTGGCAGCCCCAGTGTGATGTTCCTCTAGAATCACTACCTTAACATATGTGAAACAAACTCTTTTCACCCCACCCCTCACCAAAAAAATCTATTTTTTATATACGTATCCATTCAAGAAAAGGAAACCTTCTTTCATTTGCTCGGGTAAAACACTCTGAGTAACCGGTTCCTCTAATTTCTCTATTTCCCATATTCAGTCCATGAGCAAATTTTACAACTGTTAACTTTGAAATAATACACACAGCATCCAATCACTTATCTAAACTCTGTCGCTGCCGCTCGGGTCTAAGCACCATCATGTCTCACCTGGATTATTGTGACAGTCTTCTTAATGGGTTTTCTGCATTTCCTTTTTGCTCCACTGTAGTCTATGCTTCTCAGAGCAGCCTAAGTCAATCCTCTGCTCAAAATGCTCCAATGCACACTGCACTCTATCAAAGCTCTAACTATTGCTAAAATGACCCATTGTCTCCTTTATTCCTGCTACCTCTCAAGTCACATGCCCTATCCCCTATGCCTCCTCCAACTGTCCCTCTGACGCAGCTATCGAGTACCTTGCTGTTCCTCAAACACAGTAAGCACACCCTATCTTAGGGTGTTTGCATTATCTATGCAAAAACACTGCATGGTGTGCTTTTTTTTGCTATGCACCCGCATGGTTTATCTTCACAGAGATCTTGGCTAACACTAGCACCTTTTCATTCTATGGTCCTTTCCTCTGCTTTATTTTTCTCTTTGCACCTTTCACCGTCTGATCCATACTTTTTGATTGTTTTCCCCTCAAGGACATAAGCACCATGACAATAGGAATGTCACTTTATTTATTTATGTCTCCTTCTACGTAAGTGCATTGGCCCCAGAAATCTAGACCTCTAATTATAAAGAGGCCATTTTTTTTTCCTCCAGCTTCAAAATAATTGCACTTCAAAATTGTAATACTTTGTGAACAAAGGAAAAAGATTTAAAATTATGGGTCTAGGGTCAAGGCAATGGTGGAAGATAAAAAGGAAAGATGTTACATTCCTTGGGGGACAAGGTTGGTCTTGAAGAAGAAAGAAAACAATGAGGATGTTGAATGAAGTAAAAAACAATGTTGGCCAGGCGCGGCGACTCACGCCTGTAATCCCAGCACTTTGGGAGGCAAAGGCGGGTGGATCACAAGGTCAGGAGTTTGAGACCAGCCTGGCCAACATAGTGAAACCTCGTCTCTACTGAAAATACAAAAATTAGCCGGGCATGGTGGTGCACGCCTATAGTCCCAGCTACTCTAGGGGCTGAGCCAGGAGAATCGCTTGAACCCAGGAGGCGGAGGTTGTGGTGAGCTGAGATCACGCCACCTCATTCCAGCCTGAGCAGCCAACCGAGACCCCATCTCAAAAAAAAAAAAAAAAAAAAATAATATATATATATATATATATATATATATATATATATATATATATATATATATGTATATGAAAAGAGGACAATATTCCAAAATAAATGTTAATATAATTATTTCCATGAGGCAGTAATTGGAATAATCAAGGGAAATGACTCACAATGAAGGCAGTCATGCCTGTTTGAAGTGGATCTAAGAGTAGAAACAGCAAGCAGGGTGTCTATTTGGGTAATGAGAAGGGAGAAAGTGTTGGTAAACAGAAGGAAGAAAGCTACTAATTTTCCCAGAGTCTGTTTAAGATGAAGTTCTGCTCCAATCAGCTAATTTTAAGAGGTTTTAGATTAATCTTGTTAAACATTTCAGCATGATGGAGTTTGGGATTATTTGATGTAAATAGTTCTTACACAAAATGTAAATGTTATCTTAATAAATATTTTTAAAAAAGGATTTGAGAAAATTCAACAACTATTTCTAATAAAACAAATAAGCATATAATCATTAAAAAATTAAAAAACAATTTTATTTTAAAATATTTTTATTTTAACATTCTTATCAAACTTTAAAAAAAATGTCAGACACCATGGCTCATGCTTGTAATCCCAACTATTTGAGAGGCTGATCAAGGCGTTTGAGGCTGCAGTAAGCTATGATGGGACCACTGCACTCTAGCCTGAGCAACATCATGAGACTCCATCTCTTAAAAAAATAAATGGAAATGACAAGGATAATTGGTTTACCACTTTTGATAAAATTCCCTGGGAATTTGCTTCTAATGACATTAAGTATACTAGAGTTACTCCTATTTGAAGGCATAATACAAAATTATTATTTTTTATAGGCAACGTGTTGGGAAAACTCGAGTCATCTGAAAACTATTAGAACCAACAAAAAATATTCAAGGCAGTAGCTTTGTAAAGAATAATTACCCAGTTCATTTTCTACACTTCAGCTATAACAAGATAAAAAATTTATTAATAAAACTTAATTCTCATAACGATAAAACTGATTTAAAAGAATACATAGTAATGCATTTACCAAAAAATTGTTTAGGAATTATATGGGGAAAATTTTCCTAATTGAATACCCTTTAATTCCTTCTCCTGCCTGATTGCCTTGGCCAGAACTTCCAACACTATTTTGAATAGGAGTGGTGAGAGAGGGCATCCCTGTCTTGTGCCAGTTTTCAAAAGGAATGCTTCCAGTTTTTGCCCATTCAGTATGATATTGGCTGTGGGTTTGTCACAGACAGCTCTTATAATTTTGAGATACGTCCCATCAATACCTAATTTATTAAGAGTTTTTAGCATGAAGAGTTGTTGAATTTTGTCAAAGGCCTCTTCTGCATCTACTGAGATAATCATATGATTTTTGTCGCTGGTTCTGTTTATATGCTGGATTACATTTATTGATTTGCATATGTTGAACCAGCCTTGCATCCCAGGGATGAAGCCCACTTGATCATGGTGGATAAGCTTTTTGATGTGCTGCTGGATTCAGTTTGCCAGTATTTTATTGAGGATTTTTGCATTGATGTTCATCAGGGATATTGGTCTAAAATTCTCTTTGTTTGTTGTGTCTCTGCCAGCC
The DNA here is from genome assembly GCF_000001405.40 of Homo sapiens. Lineage (NCBI taxonomy): Eukaryota > Metazoa > Chordata > Mammalia > Primates > Hominidae > Homo > Homo sapiens. The sequence continues at coordinate 131,321,565 of NC_000008.11, forward strand.
TTTGGTATCAGGATGATGCTGGCCTCATAAAATGAGTTAGGGAGCATTCCCTCTTTTTCTATTGATTGGAATAGTTTCAGAAGGAATGGTACCAGCTCCTCCTTGTACCTCTGGTAGAATTCGGCTGTGAATCCATCTGGTCCTGGACTTTTTTTGGTTGGTAAGCTATTAATTATTGCCACAATTTCAGAGCCTGTTATTGGTCTATTCAGAGATTCAACTTCTACCTGGTTTAGTCTTGGATGTATATGTCAAGGAATTTATCCATTTCTTCTAGATTTTCTATTTTATTTTTGTAGAGGTGTTTGTAGTATTCTCTGATGGTAGTTTGTATTTCTGTGGGATCGGTGGTGATATCCCCTTTGTCATTTTTTAGTGCATCTATTTGATTCTTCTCTATTTTCTTCTTTATTAGTCTTGCTAGTGGTCTATCAATTTTGTTGATCTTTTCAAAAAACCAGCTCCTGGATTCATTAATTTTTTGAGGGGTTTTTTTCTGTCTCTATTTCCTTCAGTTCTGCTCTGATCTTAGTTATTTCTTGCCTTCTGCTAGCTTTTGAATGTGTTTGCTCTTGCTTTTCTAGTTCTTTTAATTGTGATGTTAGGGTGTCAATTTTAGATCTTTCCTGCTTTCTCTTGTGGGCATTTAGTGCTATAAATTTCCCTCTACACACTGCTTTGAATGTGTCCCAGAGATTCTGGTATGTTGTGTCTTTGTTCTCGTTGGTTTCAAAGAACATCTTTATTTCTGCCTTCACTTTGTTATGTACCCAGTAGTCATTCAGGAGCAGGTTGTTCAGTTTCCATGTAGTTGAGCGGTTTTGAGTGAGTTTTTTAATTCTGAGTTCTAGTTTGATTGCACTGTGGTCTGAGGGACAGTTTGTTATAATTTCTGTTCCTTTACATTTGCTGAGGAGTGCTTTACTTCCAACCATGTGGTCAATTTTGGAATAAGTGTGGTGTGGTGCTGAGAAGAATGTATACTCTGTTGATTTGGGGTGGAGAGTTCTGTAGTTGTTTATTAGGTCTGCTTGGTGCAGAGCTGAGTTCAATTCCTGGATATCCTTGTTAACTTTCTGTCTCATTGATCTGTCTAATGTTGACAGTGGGGTGTTAAAGTCTCCCATTATTATTGTGTGGGAGTCTGTCTCTTTCTAGGTCTCTAAGGACTTGCTTTATGAATCTGGGTGCTCCTGTATTGGGTTCATATATATTTAGGATAGTTAGCTCTTCTTGTTGAATTGATCCCTTTACCATTATGTAGTGGCCATCTTTGTCTCTTCTGATCTTTGTTGGTTTAAAGTCTGTTTTATCAGAGACTAGGATTGCAACCCCTGCCTTTTTTTGTTTTCCATTTGCTTGGTAGATCTTCCTCCATCCTTTTATTTTGAGCCTATGTGTGTCTGTGCACGTGAGATGGATTTCCTGAATACAGCACACTGATGGGTCTTGACTCTTTATCCAATTTGCCAGTCTGTGTCTTTTAATTGGAGCATTTAGCCCATTTACACTTAAGGTTAATATTGTTATGTGTGAATTTGATCTTGTTATTATGATGTTAGCTGGTTATTTTGCTCATTAGTTAATGCAGTTTCTTCCTAGCCTCAATGGTCTTTACAGTTTGGCCATGTTTTTGCAGTGGCTGGTACTGGTTTTTCCTTTCCATGTTTAGTGCTTCCTTCAGGAGCTCTTCTAGGGCAGGCATGGTGGTGACAAAATCTCTCAGCATTTGCTTGTCTGTAAAGGATTTTATTTCTCCTTCACTTATGAAGCTTAGTTTGGCTGGATATGAAATTCTGGGTTGAAAATTCTTTTCTTTAAGACTGTTGAATATTGGCCCCCACTCTCTTCTGGCTTGTAGAGTTTCTGCCGAGAGATCAGCTGTTAGTCTGATGGGCTTCCCTTTGCGGGTAACCCGACCTTTCTCTCTGGCTGCCCTTAACATTTTTCCTTCATTTCAACTTTGGTGAATCTGACAATTATGTGTCTTGGAGTTGCTCTTCTCGAGGAGTATCTTTGTGGCATTCTCTGTATTTCCTGAATTTGAATGTCATCAAATTGTCCCTGTTTGTAGATGACATGATTGTATATCTAGAAAACCCCATGGTCTCAGCCAAAAATCTCCTTAAGCTGATATGCAACTTCAGCAAAGTCTCAGGATATAAAATCAATGTGCAAAAATCACAAGCATTCTTATATACCAATAACAGACAAACAGAGAGCCAAATAATGAGTGAACTCCCATTCACAAATGCTTCAAAGAGAATGAAATACCTAGGAATCCAACTTAGAAGGGACATGGAGGACCTCTTCAAGGAGAACTACAAACCACTGCTCAATGAAATAAAAGAGGATACAAAGAAATGGAAGAGCATTCCATGCTCATAGATAGGAAGAATCAATATCGTGAAAATGGCCAAACTGCCCAAGGTAATTTATAGATTCAATGCCATCCCCATCAAGCTACCAATGACTTTCTTCACAGAATTGGAAAAAAACTACTTTAAAGTTCATATGGAACCAAAAAAGAGCCCTCATTGCCAAGTCAATCCTAAACCAAAAGAGCAAAGCTGGAGGCATCATGCTACCTGACTTTAAACTATACTACAAGGCTACAGTAACCAAAACAACATGGTACTGGTACCAAAACAGAGATATAGACCAATGGAACAGAACAGAGCTCTCAGAAATAATGCCACATATCTACAACTATCTGATCTTTGACAAACCTGGGAAAAACAAGCAATGGGGAAAGGATTCCCTATTTAATAAATGGTGATGGGAAAACTGGCTAGCCACATGTAGAAAGCTGAAACTGGATCCCTTCCTTACACCTTATACAAAAATTAATTCAAGATGGATTAAAGACTTAAATGTTAGACCTAAAACCATAAAAACCCTAGAAGAAAACCTAGGCAATATCATTCAGGACATAGGCATGGGCAAGGACTTCATGTCTAAAACACCAAAAGCAATGGCAACAAATGCCAAAATTGACAAATGGGATCTAATTAAACTAACGAGCTTCTGCATAGCAAGAGAAACTACCATCAGAGTGAACAGGCAACCTACAGAATGGGAGAAAATTTTTGCAATCTACTCATCTGACAAAGGGCTAATAACCAGAATCTACAATGAACTCAAATGAATTTACAAGAAAAAAACAAACAACCCCATCAAAAAGTGGGCAAAGGATATGAACAGACACTTCTCAAAAGAAGACATTTATACAGCCAAAAATAACACATGAAAAAATGCTCATCATCACTGGTCATCAGAGAAAGGCAAATCAAAACCACAATGAGATACCATCTCACACCAGTTAGAATGGCAATCATTAAAAAGTCAGGAAACAACAGGTGCTGGAGAGGATGTGGAGAAATAGGAACACTTTTACATTGTTGGTGGGACTGTAAACTAGTTCAACCACTGTGGAAGTCAGTGTGGCGATTCCTCAGGGATCTAGAACTAGAAATACCATTTGACCCAGCCATCCAATTACTGGGTATATACCCAAAGGATTATAAATCATGCTGCTACAAAGACACATGCAGACGTATGTTTATTGTGGCACTATTCACAATAGCAAAGACTTGGAACCAAGCCAAATGTCCAACAATGATAGACTGGATTAAGAAAATGTGGCACATATACACCATGGAGTACTATGCAGACATAAAAAATGATGAGTTCATGTCCTTTGTAGGGACATGGATGAAGCTGGAAAGCATCATTCTCAGCATACTATCACAAGGACAAAAAACCAAACACCGCATGTTCTCACTCATAGGTGGGAATTGAACAATGAAAACACATGGACACAGGAAGGGGAACATCACACACCAGGGCCTGTTGTGAGGTTGGGGGAGAGGGGTGGGATAGCATTAGGTGGTATACTTAATGTTAAATGAGGAGTTAATGGGTGCAGCACACCAATATGGCACATGTATACAGATGTAACTAACCTGCACGTTGTACACATGTACCCTAAAACTTAAAGTATAATAATAAAAAAAAAGGAATTATATGGGGGAAAATTACAAAGAGAAATTACGGCTTGAGAAAATCTCATTAAAAACTCCTATTGTAGAAAAGAACGACTAAATATTGATATAATATCAGATCATCTAAGGTTAATATACACATTAATGTATTTTCCCACAATAAGTCTGTAATTACCCTATAATGAACTTAAATACTTTAGAAATAGACAAGCTCATATCTAAATATTAGAAGTATTGAAGACATTTGAAAGATTCGTCAACTATTAATCATATGTCCCATGAATTGGCAGAATGAATAGCTTAACAAAAAATTATACAGGAAAAAATTGTGTAATAAAAATATCAGGGATAAATAAGAACTGAGTCTTAACAACTGTATTTCAGACGAAGGAATTTTCTTCAGATAACACATTTTACTTTGAAAACAGATTATTAGTGGCCACTGATAAACAGTTTATATTTCACATATATATTAGTCATCTGTGCTACAGTAATAAGCAGTCCATAATCTCAGTGGCTTATAACAAGGGCTTTGGCATGAAGGTGTGCCCCTGTAAAATATATATTGAAATGTAATACCCAAAGGTGTGGCCTTTGGGAAGTGATTATGTCATGAGGGCTTCGCCTCATGAATGGGGTTAGCATCATTTTATAAGGGCTATATGTTAGCGGGAGCATGCTCTTGCCTTTCAGTTCCTTCCACCACATGAGGACACATTCTTCATCCCCTCCAGAGGATGCAGCAACAATGCATTATCTTAGAAAGAGAGAGAAGCCCTCACCAGACACTATGCCTATTGGTGCCTTGATCTTGGACTTCTTAGCCTCCAGAACCATCAGTAATAAATTTCTATTCTTTATCAATCAGTCAGTCTGAAATATTTTATTACAGAAGCACAAATAAATGAAGACAACAACAAATCCTTATTTCTCATGCATGAAAGTGTGAATCACTACACAATATTTTCATTTCTAGAAATTGTACCACTGATCTGTTCTTATAAGCCTAAATATGCAAGGGTAAAAACTATCTATTGCTATGCTGTCTTGCAATGGGTACTTAATAAGTCACAGGTTCCAGTATTTCTTTATGGTGAAGGCTGGCCACCTCACAACCATCCTAGCTATAACTTTAAAGACTAAAAGGATTGATTACTATAATTTGTGTTAACAAAACAAAAACAAGAACACAGAAAATAAAACAAAACAAAATACTAAGTATTATGGCACAACCCTGCTAAAAACCTTCAATGACACTGTTTTGCTTTTAGACCACATAACCAGTTAGCATCTGGTCCCCATTTCATCACAGCCTGGTAGATTCTCCCAGACCCAGGACTTTTCTTACACAAAACTATACACATGTATATTTCTTTGTGAGATTTTTGTTTAATAATTTTTCCCACTTGGCATTAAGCTATTTGAGGGCAGAAACTATCTCTGTTTTTATTTCTACACTGTATCTTTGGTAAATAAAAAGCCTAACACATGGCACTCAGTAACTACTTACTGTCTGAGTGAAAAAGTTCAAAAGAGGTTAATTTCAAGCTTGGTAAACAAGCTTCTCTCTTGCTCTGTGCCTCACTTTTTTATCAAAGCATAATCTGCCCTGAAAGATTGGTTTTTACTAAACTATGCTACTTTTTTATGACCTTAACCCTACAGATATTTATTCATGTCATTGGTTTGTTAAATTTAACATATACATATTGAGGGCAAAATATGTTCTTGGTATAATAGAAAATAATGTATACTTTTTTCATTCTCTGCTCATTTAAAACCATTTAACTAGAATATGAAAGCAGTTATACAAAAATGTGTAATTACATGAATAATTATAGTGGGTTCCTTAGTGACACAGAAATGTATTTCTCTCTTGAAATACATAGAGGAAAATTAATATAGACAGGACAAAATGAAAGGGAGCATCAATATTAAATAAGAGCAATTTCACAAGGTATTTTCTAGATAAGCATACAATATTGGCCCTGATTTATTTCAAGTGTGTATAGTTTAAGGAAATTGAGATGAATACAGATGAAATACTAAGCTAGCCGATGAATCTTTTAGAAAATGGAATTAGCAACGGTATGCAATCTGTCTTTAAAAATTATTAATTTTGGATGGCTTTCAGAGTTCATGGCTTATGTAACTGCCTGTGATCCTTCCAGAAATCATTTATATGACCTTGGGTGTATCCCCTTTTTTTTGTTGTTGTGTCTTGGTTTCCATACTTTTAAGATTAGAAAGTCGAATGATCAATTAGATTTCTTCCAACTCCCTTATTCTTTACTTGTATTTTTACCTCTTACATATTTTGAAAACTTATTTTGCCCTTCAGTGGCTTCTGTGACTCAACCTTCTTGTTTGGCTGGCATTGAGTCTAGACCCTTGCAGTGTATGGGGAATGTGACATTGGTGTCATATGAATGCTGACCAGTCCAGCTTTGTTGGTGGCATTATGACATATCATTCATCTTGGCCACAGAAATTAATGAGCTGAGAGTGGTTTTATAATCAGACTCATTCTAAAGTAGTTTAATCCAAGTTAAATGATAAAGCTTTGTATTACTTCAATCAGGCTTTGGGGCAAATATATCCTGTTCAGCTGCCATACAGAATGAAAAACTGAAGGAAAGATGTTAAATGGTGATATGATATTTAGTCTATTAGAGCTGTAATGAAAGTGGTAATGACTAAGCATCATTAAACCAAAGAGTGTCACAGGGATCACTCAGCTACACCTTTGGGGAAATCTCAGGCTGCAGACAATGAGGCATCACACCATCTTCCATGAATGGTCTCCAGAAATGTGTGATGATACCCTTTATGGCAGATGTGGAAGTCTGTGCCAACAGTGATGAGCCACTGACTTCTCTACCTCTATTATACCTCGAAATCCAAGAATGCAGACCCTGAAAAGCTTCAGGAGAAGTTAAATATTTCTTCAAGATGCCCCCCAAGGACTCTATCTGAGACTTTTCATGTGCAGTAGTTCATGTAGCCTAAGGATACCTAGAGCATGGTGACTAAGAATGAGCTGAGGTTAGACTACCTGGTTCCACAGTAGGGTAAGTTTACCTGTAATAAAAAGCACCTTGTAATCAAAAGCATTGATATTTTTACAGCAAAAACTTTCACAATAGGTGAGATAAAGATAAATGATAAACAGTTTCATATAAATTCAGGCTTAGATTTTCTGCCAAAAGGATTAGCAACAAGCTAATACAAAACAAAACAAAACACACACCAAAACAAGCAAAATGGAAAGCTCTTAAAACAAGTTCTGTCTTACATGAAATGCTTCATTGTAATAGCTCTTATCACTGTCATTATTTTTATTATTATAGAAATGGGACTCAGATAACTTAATTAACCTCCTCCTGGCCATAAATCTTGTATGTGGCCAGCTAGAATCCATACTCACATCTCTTGGACTTCAAAGTTCACCTTCTTCTTACTGCAATGCAAAGCTTTCCTTGTTCCAACTGCATTATCTGTGAAATGAAATTCAAATTCAAGACAATTCAGTTAGAATTTAGGTTTTCCTGTTTTGGAGGAGTGAGGACATCTGAATCTGTTAAGTAAGAGATATTTTTATTGGTTAATTTAATTAAAAACACTGGATACACAACAAAATCAATTACATTTTTGCATACTAACAATGAATGTGGAAAGCAAAATTATAAAGATCATACCATTTACAAGCACTCCAAAGGAAATGATACACTTAGGAATAAGCTTAAAACATATACAGTGTTTATGCTGAAAATTATAAGATGTTGTTAAATATATTAAAGAAGACCTAAATAAATGAAGAGCTATTGTGTCATGAATTGAGAAACCTAAACATAGTAAAGATGTCAATTCTCCACAAATTGATCCATAGGTTTAGTGCAATTGTATACAAAGCATGCTTACTCTAAAATTCATATGGAAGGGCATATGCTTAAGGATCGCTTATAAACCATCCTGACAAAAAAGGTTGAAGTGGAAAGAATCACTCTACTGAATATTAAGACCTACTATATGGCTATAGGCATTAGACTGTGTGGTTTTGGCAGAGGAACAGACACAAAGACCAATGGAAGAGAACAGAGAACCTAGAAATAGATCCACACAAATATACACAACTAATTTTTGACAGTCATGCAAAGGCAATTCAATGAAAGAAACACAGCCACTTCACAAATAGTGCTGGGGCAATTGGGCATCCACATAATAATAATAATCTACTCTTAAACATCCCATTTATACAAAAATAAGCTCAAAATTTATCATGGAATTAAATGTAAAAACAAAATTTTAAACTTCAAAGAAAATAAATGAGAGAAATCTTTTGTATGTATGACTAGGCAAAGAGTTCTCAGATTTGACCAAAAGCATGATAGATAAAAAGAAAAATTAATAAAATGTTTTCATCAAAATTAAAAATTTTTCTTCAGCAAAAGCCAATATCAAAGAAATGAAAGACAAACTACAATTTAAGGGAATATATTTGCAAATCAAATAACCAACAAAGGACTAAGAGCTAGAATAAATTAAAAATTCTCAAAACTCAATGATAAAGAAAAACGAGCATTCAAATTAAATCATGGGCAAAGGACATGAAAAAGCATTTCACTGAAGACAATACACAGATAGCAATAAAAGCACTTGCAAAGATTTTCAACATTGTTAGCCATTAATCACACGCAAACTGAAACCAAAATGAGTTATTACTCTACATCTATAAGAATAAAAAATATTGACAACACCAAATGATGATAAGGGTGTGGAGAAATAGGATCACTCATACTCTACTGGTGGGAGTCTCAAATGTTACAGCCACTCTGGAAAACATTTCTGTAGTTTCTTATATAACTTCTGTAGTTTTTTATATAACTAAGCGTGCAACTACCATACATCCCAACAACTGCATTTGTGAGCATTTATCCCAGAGAAATTAAAAATGTGGTCACACAAAACTTGTCCATGAATGTTCATAGATTTTTTTCTTAATAGTCAAAAATTGGAAACAATCCAGATGTCTTTCAGACAATGAACGGTTGAACAAACTATGGTAAACCTATACCGTGGAATACTAATTAGCAATAAAAATTACAGACTATTAATGCAATGACTTTGATGGATTCCAGGGGTTTATGCTAAGTTAAAAAAGCCAGTCCCAAAAGTTCACAAACTGTGTAAATCCACTTATATGGTAGTCTCAAAATGACAAATATAGAAATGGAGAGCATATTGGTGTTCACCAGGGTTCAGAAATTGGGGGAGGCAGGTGGAGGTGACAGTAGCTATAAAAGGCAACACAAGAGTATTGTGGTGGTGGAACTGTTCTGTTATAGTGACTATAAATTTCAATATCCTGATTGTGATATTGTACTATAGTTTTATAACATGTATCATTTCTTGCAACTGCATGTAAATCTATAATAATCTCAGAATTAAACATTTAATTAAAAACTACTATACACTGGATGTTTTATTCTCTCCCAAACACTTAGGTTTAAAATAATGTACTTTTTGAAAGTTTTAATCAATTTATTCTTCTTTTTAAATTAAATTTTCCTATTATAATTGTAAATGGAAACAATTAATAAAATAGAAGGAAAGGATTTACAACAATGCCTTTTAGTCCCACATTTCAGCAGTCATCTCATTCACTTTCTTGTGTATTTCTCAGAACACACACACTCTTACTTATGTACATCACACATATACATAGAATCATTCATATTTGCATCTCACTTTTTGATGGCCACCTGGTATTAAGTGCCTTGTATGCCCCATGATTTAGTTTATTGTTCCTGTTTTGATCAACATCCTTTTTCTCCGGTTGCATGCTATTTTATTATTTTATTTTATTTATTTTTTGGTATTAGTATCCTTTATTAGTTGATATATGAATCTGTGATGTGTCACAATTTATAAAACACTCCAAAACATCAATTTTATATAAATAAAATAAAATATAACTTAAAAATGCAACATTGAATCATCTTGTAGCTTCACCTTTTTTATTCTTGTGAAACTTCTCTGTAGAGTAAATTTGTGGAAAAAATTCTTGGAAAATTGATTTGTACATTTTTAATTTTGATGGACCTCAAGATTTAACCTTCAAATAAGGTAAATCAAGTTGCTTTCTTGCAAAACTGTAGAAGACCTAGAATGAACATCTTCAAAAGCTTCTGTGAGGCAGAGGGCTAAGGATTTTAGGGAAGTGTTGCATGGTAACTATTTTCTTCTCTTACTCTGCTAATAGATAACATGTAGGTGGACTACAGATTAAGCCTCAGGCATCATCAGTGACTAATGGGAGAAGAAAGATAGCTGATTATCGGTCACACAAATACACATTGTGCATTTGATCACTATAAAAACACTGGAAAATGAATAATTTTATTTCCATTTATTATAAACTGAACTGTGCACCTTCTCATCACTCCACCAAATTCATATGTTGAAGTGCCAACCTTTAATGTGACTGTGTTTGGAAGGCATTTAAAGAGGTAATTAAAATTAAATGAGATAATAAGGATGGGGCTGAAATCCAATATGACCAATGTCATTATAAGAAGAGAAAGAGACACCAATGACCTCCCTCTCTTCACCTACACACTGATGAAATACATTGTGAGAAGATAATGAGAAGGAGGCCATATGCAAGCCTAGAATAAATCCCTCACCATCAACCAAATCTATCAACACCTTGTTCATGGACTTCCAGCTTCCAAAGCTGTGAGAAAATACATTTTTATTGATTAAGCCACACCCAGTTTGTGATATTTTGATATGGTCACCCTAGATGACTAATATACCATGCAAAACTTGACAAAAGTGGGATCTGGAAATACTGAAACAAGTGGGCACACCCTTCTAGGTTTCTTTTTTTAAGTTAAGATCAAAAGGAAGATGGCACAGTAGGAAGCACAGGAATCTCTCTTTCCACCAAGACAACAATCACACTGGCAGAATCCGTCTGATATAACTATTTGGGAAATTTGTAGTGTATTGAAAGCTTGTAACTTCCAAGGGGAGCCTTGGACAGTAAGTTGTATTTGCTTCATTCAGTTTCCACTCAACATAGTGGCAGCTATGCATCCCCCATCCACCCCCATTCTGGTGGCAGGCAGCTGTGCACAGATTTCTGGAGCAGCTTGCAGACAGATTGCAGGAGCCAGGGTGGGCAAAGAGGGCCCTGTTCTCCAAATGTTCAAGATCTGTGCTCAAATTGCTAACTGCTGCTTCTGATCACAGGGGTGCAGATACAGAGAGGCAGGCAGCCATTGTTGTTGCCTTTACTGCTCCAATTAAAATTACTTCCAAGGGATTAAAAGAGCCAACACCTCTTTCCCATCTTCATTTTTCTCTTTATCTCTTTTTGGGAACCAGGCATTAAAAATTAGGACATTAAGAAACAACTGCATATAGAGGAGAAATTAGGAAGTGATTATGCATGCTCAGGGAAAGGTTCAGGCTCAGAAAAGTACTGAAAAGTCATTCGGTTTACTCCTCACACTGATCATTGGCAAAGCCCACAATAATAAAAAAAAAATGAGAAGAATTACAAAATCCAGCAAATCCTAGGAAAGGGGAAGAATCTAACTTTCAGAGTTTTCACACTATGAGATTCAGGTGATCAGTTTTCAAAAAAAAAAAAAAAATCAAAATGTACAAAAGTAACCAGGAAAGTATACCTCTGGAAAATCCTCACGGTAGATCTACTAGACACAAATGTTAAAAAAATTGTCTTAAAAATTCTCACAGAACTAAAGGAATACAAAAGAAAGTCAACAAAATAATGTATGAACAAAATAGAAATATCAACAAAGAGATAGAAAACCTAAAAAGAGACAAAAAATAAATTTTTAAGATGAAAATTATGGTAAATACAATGAAAAATTTGCTAAAGAAATTTAAAGGTAGATTTGAGCAGGCAGATGAAATAATCAGCTCACTTGATGAAACGATAATGGAAATTATTGAGTCTGAAGTATAAAAAGATAAAGAAAAGATGATGATAAGTAAACAGAGCCTAGGGGACATATGGGACACCATCAAGTAGACTAACACACACGTTTTGGGAATCCCAGAATAAGAAAAAGGAAGATAAAATATTTTTAAAATAATGGTTAAAAAAAAAAACTTCCTACATTTGATAACAGACATGAATATAAACATCTAAGAAGTTCAAGTTCAACAAATTCCATGTGGATGACCTTAAAGAAACCCACATCAAGACACATTATAGCCAAACTTTCAAAACACAAAACAAAGAATCTTGAAAGCAGCAAGAGAGAAGTAGTTTGTCACATACAAGGGATCCTCAATAAAATCATCTGTAGATTTCTCATCAGAAACTCCAGAGGCCAGAAGGCAGTTGGCCAATATACTCAAAGTGGTGGCAAAATTATCCTTTATAAGTGAGGGAGAAATTAAGGCATTCCTAGATAAACAAGAGTTGCCACTAGACATACCTTGCAAGAAATGCTTAAAGGAGTCCTGAAAGATGAAATGAAAGGACACTAAAAAATAACTTAAAGCCACCTAAAGAAATAAAGATCTCAATAAAGGTAATTATACAAGCAATTATAAGAGCTAGTATTACTGTTAAAATGATTGGTAAACTCCAGTTATCATTTTCTACATGATTTAGGAGACTAATACAATTTAAACAACATTCATCTAAAAGCTAGTATTATTGTAACTTTGGTTTGTAACTTCATTTTTTGGTTTCTACATATCTTAAGAGACTAACACATTTTTTAAATTATTAGTTTATGTTTCTGGGCACACAATATATAAAAATGTAATTTTGTGACGTCAACTGAAAGGGTAAGAAATGGAGCTGTAAAAGAGCAGAGATTTTGAGTGTTATGGAAGTTAAGATAGTATAAATTTAAGTTAGAGAGTTATAACTTTAGGATGATACATGTAATTTCTATGGTAATCAGAAAGAAAATAGCTACAACATATACACAAAAAGAAATGAAAAAATAACCTTAAACATTTTGCTACAAGAAATCAACTAAATACAAAAGACAGTGATGCAACGAGGGACACTAAAAGTGATAAAACATTTAGAAAACAAACAGTAAAATGATAAAAGATCCTCTTTATCAGTGATTACTTTAAATGAGAACAAATTAAATCTGTAAGAACATAGAGATTGGGAGAATGAATAAAACACATGACCTAACTCTCTTCTTTCTACAAGAGACTCACCTCAGATCCAAAAATACAAACACATTAAAAGTGAAAAGATGAAAAAGTATATTCCATGAGCATAGTAACCAAAAGAGAGCAGGGATGGATATACTAATATATATACATATGTTATATTATATAATATATGTTATATATGTTTAATTATATGTGACTTATTCTATGAGGCCAGTATTACTTTCTGATACCAAAGCCAGATAAAAACACTACAAAAAAAAAACTATAGACCAATATCCCTTATCAAAATTGATGCAAATATCTTCAACAAAATACTAACACACCAAATTCATCAGCATACTAAAAGGATTATACACCATGACTAAATGGAATTTATTGCCATAACGCAAGGATAGTTAAATATGTAAAAATTGGTCAGTGTAATACACCAAATTGGCAGAATAAAGGAAAAGAAAACACATGATCCTAACAGTTGATATAGAAAAAACACTTGACAAAATTTAACAAACTTCCATGATAAAAACTTTTAACAAATAAGAAATGGAAGTAAACCACCTTAATATAATAGAAGCCATAAGGAGAATCCTATGACTAACATCATACTCAATGGTGATATACATATATATATATATATAAATATATAATGTATATAACATATATATAATATAAAATGGTAATATATATTATATAATTATAATATATTAAATATATTAATATATTTAACTTACATTAAAATATTTATATATTAATATAATATATTAAACATATATCTTTAACTTAGATATAATTATAATATTTAATATAGTATATATAAGTTTAATACATTATATTAATATAATTATATATTAAATGTTATAATTATATATAAGTTAACAAACTTCCATGATAAAACCTTTTAACAAATTAGAAATGGAAGTAAACTACCTTAATATAATAGAAGCCATAAGGAAAATCCTATGACTAACATCATACTCAATGGTGAAAGACTCAAACCTTCTCAGCAAAGATTACTGAAATGTACATTTAAAAACGGTTAAGATGATAAATTTTATGTTATGTGTATTTTACCACAACATGAAAAACTAGAAAAAAGTGTTTTTCCAAACCCAGGTTATTTTTTTCCAACAACCAACTGTATTCGCCTGTTCTCACACTGCCATAAAGAACTGCCCCAGACTGGGTAATTTAGAAAGAAAGAAAGGTTTAATTGACTCACAATTCTGCATGGCTGGGAGGCCTCAGGAAACTTATAATCATGGCAGAAGGTGAAGGGGAAGCAAGGCATCTTCACAAGGTGGCTGGAGGGAGAATGAACAGGAGGAACTACCAAACACTTTTAAAACCATCAGATCTCCTGAGAACTCACTTACTATAATGAGAACAGCATGGGGAAGACCACACCCGTGATTCAATTACTTCCACCTGGTCTCTCCCCTGACTCTCGGGATTATCAGGGTTATGGGGCTTACAACTGAAGATGAGATTTTGGGTGAGGACACAGCCAAACCATATCACCAACACTTTACCCTGATACTGGTTCCGACAAGACTGTTCTTTGTACTACAGTGTAATAATACCAATAATTATAGCTAAAGTTTAGCCAAACACTTATTATGAGCCAGACATATATTAAATGTATGTGTATTAACAATTCGAGATAGGTATTACTATTTTTCCACTTTATTAGTGAGAAGCATGAGGCAGTGACTGAATTAAGTTGTCCAAGGCCAGAAAATCAGTGAATAAAAAGCTGGGATTTTAACTTTTGTTCTAACTCATGCTATTAAAAATATGGTACATGAATTAGCAAGACCATCATCACCTCGGAGCTTGTTAAAAACACAGACTTTTCAAGTTGCACCCTAGACCTACTGAAAAGGAATTTGAGTTTTAACAAGTGTATTAGTCCGTTTTCATGCTACTGATAAAGACATACCTGAGACTGGGTAATTTATACAGGAAAAAGGATTTAATGGACTTACAGTTCCATGTGGCTAAGGAGGCCTCACAATCATGGTGGAAGGCAAGGAAGAGCAAGTCACATCTTACATGGATGGCAGCAGGCAAACAGAGAGAGTTTGTGCAGAGGAACTCCTCTTATTGAAACTATAAGATCTCATGAGACATATTCACTGTTGTGAGAACAGTACTAGAGAGACCCAACCTCATGATTCAGTTACCTCCCACTAGGTCTCTTTCACGACATGTGGGAATTGTGGGAGTTACAATTCACTATGAGATTTGGGTTGGGACACAGCAAAATGATATCAACAAGATACCCATTATTTTAGGGAAGCATTGTTCTAAATCATGATTCCTTTGCATCTTTGTCTCGTCCAACCTGATAAGAAGAACAACTGGCCAACTCTGCAGTCATTTCCCACTTAGAAATGAAATACCATGAGTCTGTGATCAAGCCCAGCTGTGCCTAATGTCCACCCCCACATTGCTCCCTGACAGGCCTTTCATTGTGCTTTTTCTTTTTCTTTTCTTTTTTTTTTTTTTTTGCAGTTCCCAGGTGAAAAATAAAGCATAATATCTAAGAGGCACCTTTATGTAACTTAGAGTGATGGGCATTTTTGATAACTTACACAATAATTATTCTTTATTTCCACACATATGACTTTCTGTAAACCCAGTGGTTAACCTTAATTAGAGTCATTGATAAGAGAAAAAACCAAATGTCTAAAATACCTAGAAGATGTTAATCAGGGAAGACCAAGAAGGAACGTACTAACTTGTAAGGCACCTTCCACCTTCTAGCATGAATTGTCTTCCTAAACTCTTCCAACAATTGCCAAGGGAGACATTGTTTTACAAGTTCAGAGAAGTTAAGAAACTTGCTCATAGTCACATATCTAGGAAGTATTAGGAGAGTGCAAAAGTAATTGTAGTTTTTGCATTGTTGAAATTTGCCATTTGATATTGGAATATATTCTTAAATACATGTGGTTATGTGATACAGCATTTTAATGGGCATTTCTCACTTTATGGTTTTTTTTTGCTAATGACTTATTACTTGCTGTTTATTTTAGACTATAGAAATGATTTTAGACAAAAAGCAAATTTGAGTGATTTTTTTTTATTCAAGTTCAAAATGGGTCATAAAGCAGCAGAGACAACTCACAATATCAACAACACAACACATTTGGCCCAGGAACTGCTAACAAACCTACAGTGCAATGGTAGTTCAAGAAGTTTTGCAAAGAAGATGAGAGCCTTGAAGATGAGGAGCATAGTGACCTGCCATTGGAAGTTGACAATGATCAATTGAGAGCAATCATCTAGACTGATCCTTTTATGAATACATGATAAGTTGCTGAAGAACTCAACGTCGACCTTTCTGTAGTCATTTGGCATTTGAAGCATATTAGAAAGATGAAAAAACTCAATAAGTGGGTGGCTCATGAGCTGAGCAAAAATTTAAAAAAAATCATCATTTGAAGTGTCATCTTCTCTTATTCTACATAACAGCAATGAACCACTTTTCAATCAGATTGTGATGTGTGACAAAAAATGGATTTTATGTATGACAACTGGCAATGACCACCTCTGTGGCTGGACTGTGAAGAAGTTTCAAAGCACTTCCCAAAGCAAAACTTGCACCAAAAAAAGGTCATGGTCACTGTTTGGTGGTCTGCTGCCGGTTTTATCCACTACAGCTTTCTGAATCCCAGTGAAACCATTACATCTGAGAAGTATGCTCAGTAAATCGATGAGATATACTGAAAACTGCAATGCCAGCAGCTGGCATTGGTCAACAGAAAGGCCCAAATTCTTCTCCATGACAATGTCTGACGACACATTGCACAATCAATACTTCAAAAGTTGAATGAATTGGGCTATGAAATTTTGCCTCACCCACCATATTCACCTGACCTCTCACCAACTGACTACCACTTCTTCAAGCATCTCAACAACTTTTTGCTGGGAAAACACTTCCACAACCATCAGGATGCAGAAAATGTTTTCCAAGAGTTCATCAAATCCCGAAGCACAGATTTTTTATGCTACAGGAATAAACAAACTTATTTCTCATTGGCAAAAATGTGTTGATTGTAGTGGTTCCTATTTTTATTAATAAAGATGTGTTGGAGCCTAATTTTAATGATTTAAAATCCACAATCTGAAATGGCAATTGCTTTTGCACCACCCTAATACTTAAAGTGGAATCAATCCCAGGCATGGTTGGTTAGGGTTAGGGTATCAAACCATGCCTGGGTTTGGGAATCAAAATGGGTAACATCACTGAAGGTTTTACCCATGCTCTGCCTCATACTAATTATGCAAGGTCAGTCATTGCATGTCTGTTTCATTATTCATGGAATAGAAATAAAAATCCCTACCTCTTAAGGGCATTGTGAGTTTTAAATGAGAGAATGTAGTCAAAAAGACTGCACACATTTTAACATGTTTTGTAAATGTTAGGAAGCGAGCCTATTTTATCTACAGCCAAATGTATGAAAGCAGT